>NC_000012.12:7084650-7709650 GCF_000001405.40 Homo sapiens | reverse complement strand
GCTTGAACCCAGGAGGTGCAGGTTGCAGTGAGCCGAGATCATGCCACTGCACTCCAGACTGGGCAACAGAGCAAGACTCCATCTCAGAACAAAATAAATACAACAATTAGCCGGGCATGGTGGCAACCACCTGTAATCACAGCTACCCAAGAGGTTGGGGCAGGAGAATCACTTGAATCTAGGAGGTGGAGGTTGCGGTGAGCCAAGATCGTGCCACTGCACTCCAACCTGGGTGACAGAGCAAGACTCAGTCTCAAAAAAAAAAAAAAAAGACAAATAAAAAAGAAAAGAAGCAAATTAGAAGGATGAGGAACCAAATTTGAAATATGTTAATACATGAGAAGGAAGAGGAAAAAAGCCACATCTGCACGTTAGAAGTCAAGCAAGGATGCCTAAATGGAAAAAATCAAGACATATCATTACAAACTTGCTCTATAGACCAGGCACGGTGGCTTATGCCTGGACTCCCAGCACTTTGGGAGGCCAAAGTGGGTGGATCACCTGAGGTCAGGAGTTCGAGACCAGCCTGGCCAACATGGTGAAACCCCCGTGTCTACTAAAAGTACAAAAATCAGCCAGGCGTGGTGGTGCATGCCTGTAGTCCCAGCTATTTTGGAGGCTAAGGCAGAAGAATTGCTTGAACCCAGAAGGTAGAGGTTGCAGTAAGCCGAGATCATGCTATTGCACTCCAGCCTGGGCAACAAGAGTGAAACTCCATCTCAAAAACAAAACAAAACAACAAAAAAACTTGCTCTACAGAAATACACAAAGGCCGGGCGTGGTGGCTCCCGCCTGGGATCCCAGCACTTTGGGAGCAGATCACTTGAGACCAGGAGTTTGAGACTAGCCTGGCGAACATGGTGAAACCCCACCTCTGCTAAAAATACAAAAATTAGCCGGGTGTGGTGGCACATGCCTGTAGGCCCAGCTACTGGGGAGGCTGAGGTGAGAAAATTGCTTGAACCCGGGAAGCAGAGGTTGCGGTGAGCCCAGATTGCGCCACTGCATTCCAGCCTGGGTGACACAGTGAGAGGCTCTGTCTCAAAAACAAAAACAAAAAAAAGAAAAGAAATACACAAATGCCCCCCAAAAGCCATCCATACCAAAGTTTAAAGTGGGTGCTTATAGGAAAAAGAAAATGAAAAATGCAACAGAGGACGGCAGTTGGGACATGTGTCTGTTTTAAGAAACTTAGAACTATGTGCTACTTTATAGTATATGCACATACAACTTTTTGAATTTAAAAAAGTGGGGGAAAAAGGGGTAAAGGGGCCAGGCACAGTGGCTTATGCCTGTAATCCTAGCACTTTGGAAGGCCAACAGAGAGGCCAGGAGTTTGAGACCAGCCTGGCCAACGTGGCAAAACCCCATCTCTACTAAAAATACAAAAATCAGCGGGGCATGGTGGCATGTGCCTGTAATCCCAGCTCCTTGGGAGGCCGATGTGGGAGAATCCCTTGAACCAGGGAGGGCGAGGTTGCAATGAGCCTGGATGGGCCACTGCACTTCAGCCTGGGCAACAGAGCAATACTCTGTATCAAAAAAAAAAAAAAAAAAAAAAAAAAAAAAGGTGGGGAAGGAAAGAGGGGAGTAAGAAAAAGAAAAAAATGGGGGAGAAAACAATTATCAGCTGTAAAACACATAAGAGAAGGGGAAAGGGGAGCAAGAATGAACATAGGGAAATCCACAAGAACATTGCATTGAGTCTGGATGAGTAATGAAAATTATTTAAGTGTTTAATGATACATGGTAAAGAGTTATAATTTTAAAAAGTTCGTAAGTTCAGTTATGAAAATCTGTTATGTGTATAGAGGAAACAGGGCTGGGCCTGGTGGTTCAATCCTATAATTCCAGCACTTTGGGAGGCGGAGGCCGGAAGATCACTTGAGCCCGGGAGTTCAAGACCAGCCTTGGCAGCATAGTGAGACCCCTGTCTCTACAAAAAATACAAACATTAGCTGGGCATGGTGGCTCGTGCCTACAGTCCCAGCTACTCTGAAGGCTGAAGTGGGAGCAGAAATTCCGCCTCCCAGGTTCAAGCGAGTCTCTTGCCTCAGCCTCCCGAGTAGCTAGGATTACAGACATGAGCCACCATGTCCAGCTAATTTTTTTTAGTAGAGACAGGGTTTCACCATGTTAGCCAGGCTGGTCTCGAACTCCTGACCTCAGGTGATCCACCCGCCTCAGCCTCCCAACGTGCTGGGATAACAGGCGTGAGCCACCGTGCCCAGCCTCATACCTGACACTTCTATAACAGAAGACAGATTAACAAGAGGTAAGCATAACAAATTTATTTAAACGTATTTTAAGTGGACCGACCATGGCGGCTCAGGCCTGTAATCCCAGCACTTTGGGAGGCTGAAGTGGGAGGATCTCTCGAGCCCAGGAGTTTGAGGCCAGCCTGAACAACAAAGCGAGGCAAGGTCTCCCCCAAAAAATGTAAAAATTAGCTGGGGCTGATGGCACAGGCCTGTGGTCCCCGATATGGGTACCCAATACGGGTCACTGAGGCAGGAGGATGGCTTGAGCCCAGGAGTTGAAGGCTGCAGTGAGCTATGATTGCACCATTGCACTCCAGCCTGGGCCACAGAGACCCTGTCACAAAAATATATATTTTTTTGACCTCCCATTTTGAAACAAATTCATATATATATACATACACACATGTATATGTGTGTGTGTGCGTGTATGTGTGTGTATGGTATTCCAGAGAGGGAAAGCCTGGTAAGGGGAAGATGAGGGCTGCTATTTTGGAAAACCCTACCAACATGCAGCTATTTTTCTTTCTTTTTTTTTTTTTTTGAGACGGAGTTTCGCTATTGTTGCCCAGGCTGGAGTGCAATGACACGATCTCGGCTCACCGCAACCTCCGCCTCCCAGGTTGAAGCGATTCTCCTGCCTCAGCCTCCTGAGTAGCTGGGATTACAGGCATGCGCCACCACACCCGGATAATTTTGTATTTTTAGTTGAGACGGGGTTTCTCCATGTTGGTCAGGCTGGTCTCAAACTCCCGACCTCAGGTAATCCTCCCGCCTCGGCCTCCCAAAGTGCTGGGATTATAAGCGTGAGCCACCGTGCCCGGCCCGCTATTTTTCTTTTCTTTCTTTTTTTTTCTTTTTTTTTTTTTTGTTTTTTGAGATGAAGTTTCGATCTTGTTGCCCAGGCTGGAGTGCAGTGGCGCCATCTCGGCTCACTTCAACCTCCGTCTCCCGGGTTCAAGCAACTCTCCTGCCTCAGCCTTCTCAGTAGCTGGGATTACAGGCACGCGCCACCACGCCCGGCTCATTTTGTATTTTTAGTAGAGACAGGGATTGCTCCATGTTGGTCAGGCTGGTCTGGAACTCCCGACCTCAGGTCATCCGCCCGCCTCGGCCTCCCAAAGTGCTGAGATTACAGGCGTGAGCCACCGCGCCCTGCCGACACGCAGCTATTTTACTTAAGCTCTTTCCATGCTTTCTAACCGTGGCGGCCCGGGCCTCCCCCGGGCCTGTCCCTTTGCCCCGGCAGCCCCACCCCAACGCTAGCCTCTCTTTGCATTCGTTCTCACTCTCCACCCTAGCATATGTGCGGTTCAAACCGGACGTTTCCACCTGGCTTTGAAGGTTACCCGCCTTGCATTCCTGCAGTGGAAGCCCAAGGGGGCACGACGGAGTCGAGCAGCCCCGCTGGGGTGGGGCGGGAGGGTCCGGAGCTCACCTAGGCGGGACGCCGCGGGGCGTGTGAGCAAAACAACTCCTGGCGTCCACGCCTCCTCCTCACCTCCCGCAGCCCTCAGTTGCCTTCCTCTCCAGGAATCCTCCTTAGTTTTTGGAATTCCACAGTGAGAAATTAATACTCCCAGGGCCAATTATTTAATAGCTTAGTGGAAAATACTTAATGATGACAATACGATGACAGCCCTCTAAAGAGTTTGCTGGAAGAAATGGTGGCTCTGATAGAAAGAGGGGAAGATGGGTGGTAGATTTCCCAAAATGCGCTGTTTGAGTGAGGCTATCTGGAACCCTGACTAAAGGTCACTCGGGCCTCTCAGAAGAGGGTAGTAAATACTGTTAGCATTCCCAGATTTGCTTAAGGATGAGATTTCAGGAAAGACTTGTTTTGTGTATTTATAGAGCTCCACAGAATGTACAGGGAGTAATGCTGGTGGGGTGTTGCCTAAGAATAACTTTGTGTTTCATTGTTTCTTTTTCTTTTTTGAGACAGAGTCTCGCTCTGTCGCCCAGGCTGGAGTCCAGTGGCGCTATCTTGGCTCACTGCAACCTCTGCCTCCCGGATTCAAGCGATTCTTGTGCCTCAGACTCCCAAGTAGCTGGGATTACAGGCACGTGTCACCACGCCCGGCTAATTTTTGTGTTTTTAGTAGAGACGGGGTTTCGCCATGTGGGCCAGGCTGGCCTCGAAATCCTGACCTCCGGTGATCCACCGCCTCGGCCTTCCAAAACGTTGGGATTACAGGCGTGAGCCACCGCACCCGGCGAGATCTTACTTTCTAGTAACATTCTCCAATAAAAAGAACGAGAGCTCCTTGGAGAAATGGCTAATTCTAGGACTGGGAAGAAAATATGTAAGATAAGAGCATTGTCAGACCAGGCGTGATGGCTCACACCTGTAATCCCAGCACCTTGGGAGGCCAAGGCAGGTGGATCACTTTGATACTGTTCAGGTGAATGAAGGAACACCAGGGCTCTTGTCTCTCCTTGAATTAGATAAAACAACATGGCCGGGAGCAGTGGCTCATGCCTGTAATCCCAGCACTTTGGGAGGCTGAGACGGGCAGATCACAAGGTCAGGAGTTCGAGACCAGCCTGGCCAATATGGTGAAACCCCGTCTCTACTAATAACACAAAAATCAGCTGGGAGTGGTGGCACACGCCCGTAGTCCCAGCTAGTCAGAAGGCTGAGGCAGAAGGATCACTCTAGCCCAGGAAATCAAGGCTGTAGGGAGCTTTGTTCATACCACTGCACTCCAGCTTGGGTGACTGAGCAAGACTGTCTCAAAAGAAAAAAGAACCAAAAACAACACACCTGTTGGTAGGAGCACAGGAGCCAACTAAAAGACCTGGAACAGCTTGAGCCACAAAATAAATAAGTAGTATTGGATTATCACCCAAAGTTTAAAATAAATATTCATGAGGTCACTCTGATATAAATAAATGATAGGACAAATTAATAATTGGACAGGAAGAGACAACTCTCTCTCTGGGCTATTTTTTGTTTGTTTGTTTGACAAAGAGTCTCGCTCTGCCTCCTAGGCTGGAGTGCTGTGGCGTCATCATACCTCACTGCAGCCTTGAACTCTTGGGCTCATGCTATCCTCCCACCTCAGACTCCTGAATAGCTGGGATTACGGGCATGAACCCCAACAGTCGGCTAATTTTTTTAAGTTTTGGACAAGAGTTCCAACTCTCTTTAGAATTGCAGAAGAATTCCAAACAATGTATGCTCAAGACAGGGGTGGGGGGGCACACCCAACTACCCACTTCTTAGGTGTGAACTGCACATGGTGACTCCTTTTATGGTATGAGGCCACCACTTCTCCTGTTGGCCTTCTCAGTTTCTCCCCAACCTCCCCTTTTCCCTAGTTTATAAGACAGGAGAAAAGGGAGAAAGCAAAAAGTTGGAAAGAAACAGAAGTAAGATAAATAGCTAGACGACCTTGGCGCCACCACCTGGCCCTGGTGGCTAAAATAATAATAATATTATTAACCCCTGACCAAAACTACTGGTGTTATCTGTAAATTCCAGACATTGTATGAGAAAGCACTGTAAAACTTTTTGTTCTGTAAGCTGATGTATGTAGCCCCCAGTCACGTTTCTCATGCTTACTTGATCTATTATAACTTTTTCACGTAGACCCCTTAGAGTTGTAAGCCCTTAAAAGGGCTAGGAATTTCTTTTTCGGGGAGCTCAGCTCTTAAGACACGAGTCTGCCGATGCTCCCGGCCGAATAAAACAACCTCTTCCTTCTTTAATCTGGTGTCTGAGGAGTTTTGTCTGAGACTCGTCCTGCTACACTTTCAAAGTGTACAGTATGGCTGGGTGTGGTGGCTCATGCCTGTAATCCTAGCACTTTGGGAGGCCAAGGCAGGTGGATCACAAGGTCAGGAGTTCGAGACTAGCCTGACCAACATGGTGAAATCCCATCTCTACTAAAAATACAAAAATTAGCCGGGTGTGGTGGCACACACCTGTAATCCCAGCTACTTGGGAGGCCGAGGCAGGAGAATCACTTGAACGTGGGAGGCGAAGGCTGCAGTGAGCCGAGATCACACCACTGTACTCCAGCCTGGGTGACACAGTAAGACTCTCTCAAAAAAATAAAAATAAAAATAAAAATAAAAATAAACCCCCAAAATCAAAGTGTACAGTATGGAGCCAGGCGCGGTGGCTCATGCCTGGAATCTCAGCACTTTGGGAGGCCGAGGCAGGCAGATCACTTGAGGTCAGGGTTTCAAGACCAACCTGGCCAACATAGTGAAACCCTGTCTGTACTAAAAATACAAAAATTAGCCAGGCCTGGTGGTGTAGGCTGAGGCACAAGAATCACTTGAACCCAGGAGGCGGAGGTTGCAGTGAGCCAAAGTTGCACCACTGCACTCCAGCCTGGGCAACAGAGCAAGACTCCATCTCAAAAATAAGAAAAGAAAAGAGAAGAGAAGAGAAAGAAAAAAAAAATCAGGTGTTGGGATTATAGGCGTGAGCCACCATGCCTGGCCCTTTATGTACCCTGAATTGATAATTAGACATAATTTAATAAGAAGATAATATGGCCGGGCTCGGTGGCTCGTGCCTGTAATTCCAGTGAGGAGGCCAAGGAGGGCAGATCACGAGGTCAGGAGTTCAAGACCAGCTTGGCCAACATGGTGAATCCCCATCTCTACTAAAAATACAAAAAATTAGCCGGGTGTGGTGGCGGGCACTTGTAATCCCAGCTACTTGGGAGGCTGAGGCTGAGGTAGGAGAATCGATTGAACACCCGGGAGGTGGAGGTTGTGGTGAGCCAAGACCGCACTACTGCACTCCAGCCTGGGCAACAGAGCAAGACTCCATCTCAAAAAAAAAAGAAGATAATATAAAATGTAAATCTTTTTTTTTTTTTTTTGAGATGGAGTCTCGCACTGTCACCCAGGCTGGAGTGCAGTGGCACAATCTCTGCTCACTGCAGCCTCCACCTCCAGGGTTCAAGCAATTCTCCTGCCTCAGCCTCCCGAGTAGCTGAGATTACAGGTGCCTGCCACCATGCCCGGCTGATTTATTTTATTTTATTTTATTTTATTTTTTTCATTTTTAGTAGAGTCGGGATTTTACCATGTTGGTCAGGATGATCTGGATCTCTTGACCTTGTGATCTTCCCACCTCGGCTTCCCAAAGTGGTAGGATTACAGGGGTGAGCCACCGTGCCTGGACGTGAGATTCTTTTCAAAAGTTAGTTTTGGTATGTTGGCTTTGTATGTACCCTCGGCAAATTCTATTCAACCTATTTCGATAATGTCTCATTGCCTGTACTCATTTCCTTTCTTTGAAAACTAGTAAGAAAGGTAGAAATGGTCACCAGGGCATGGCGTGTAATTAGTACAGGACATCTCAAGGAGTTTTCCTTAATTTCTGAAGATTCTTCTCAACTTTTTTTTTTTTTTTTTTTGAGACCGAGTCTCACTCTATTGCCCAGGTTGGAGTGCAGTGTTGTGATCTCGGATCACTTCCAACTCCGCCTCCTGGGTTCAAGGGATTTTCATGCCTCAGCCTCCCAAGTAGCTGGGATTACAGGTGTGTGCCACCATGCCCTGCTAATTTTTGTATTTTTAGTAGAGATGGGGTTTCATCATGTTGACCAAGCTGGTCTTTAACTCCTGACCTCAAGTGATCCACCTGCCTCGGCCTCCCAAAGTGCTAGGATTACAGGCATGAGCCACCGTGCCTGGCCTCAACTTTCTTATATCCCTACTAATGATCATATCATGTTTAGAACAGATGGAAGAGGTGTCCACAATTCAGTTGAGAAAAAAAGTTTCAAACAACAACAACGAGACATTTCTATTAGGAAAAGGAGCTCATTTATCAATGGGAGGGTGGTAGAGTATAAGGGTTGAAGAAGAAGCTTCATTATATTTGACGTTCTCCTCCTGAGTGTTTTTTGTTTGTTTGTTTTCAAGACAAGCTCTTGCTCTGTTACTTGGGCTAGAGTGGAGCAATTACACTTAATTTTTTTTTCTTTTTTTTTTTCTTCCTTTTTGTGGAGAACGGGGTCTCGCTATATTGCCCAGGCAGGTCTTGAACTCCTGGGTTCAAGCTGTCCTCCCGCCTGTGCCTCCCTGAGAGCTGGGATTACAGGCGTGAGCCACCGCGCCCGGCTGAGTGGAGCAATTACATAGCGGAGCAATCACATAGCGGAGCAATCATAGCTCCTGGGCTCAAGGGATCCTCCTGCCTCTGCTCCACCAAAGCACTGGGATTACAGGCATGAATCACCATGCCCAGCTGGGTTTTCAAATTTTTTTTAATTTTTATTTTTAATTTTAATTTTTAAATAGAGGTGGGGTTTTGTCATATTGGCCAGACGTCTCTTGAACTCCTGGCCTCATGTGATCCACCCTCCTTGGTCTCCCATAGTGATAGGATTGCAGGCGTGAGCCACCACGCCTGGCCAGGAATAGTTTTTAAACATTTAGTATATATTACAAATTTTTCTTCCAGATAAGTTATGTTAATGTATACCTAGACCTGTGTATAATAGCGTTAATTTCCTTGTTTCCTCATCCACACAAGCCGTTGTCTTTTTTCATCTTGCTAATTGGATAGACAAAGACATTTCATTGTTTTAATTTGCATTTCTTTTTTTCACTAGTGAAGTTGAAAATTTTTTATGTTTATGATAACAATAATTCTGCTGGACTGATATTTTTCTCATTTTATTTTATTGTATCATTTTAACTTTTATTTATTTATTTATTATTGAGGACAGAGTCTCTGTTTGTCGCCCGGGCTGAAGTGCAGTGGCACAATCCTGGCTCATTGCAACTTCCACCTCCCGGGTTCAAGCGATTCTACTGCCTCAGTCTCCCGAGTAGCTGGGATTACAGGTGCGCGCCCCCATGCCCAGCTAATTGTTTTCATATTTTTAGTAGACCCAGGGTTTCACCATGTTGGTCAGGCTGGTCTCGAACTCCTGACCTCAAGTGATCTGCTCGCCTTGGCCTCCCAAAGTGCTGAGATTCCAGGCATGAGCAACTGCGCTCAGTCCTTAACTTTTATTTATTTTTAATTTTTTAATTTTTAATTTTTTTGAGACGGAGTCTTGCTCTGTCGCCCAGGCTGGAGTGCAGTGGCGTGATCTTGGCTCACTGCAAGCTCCGCCTCCCAGGTTCAGGCCATTCTCCTGCCTCAGCCTCCGGAGTAGCTGGGACTACAGGCACCCTCCACCACGCCAGGCTAATTTTTTTGTATTTTTAGTAGAGACGGGGTTTCACCGTGTTAGCCAGGATGGTCTCGATCTCCTGACCTCGTGATCCGCCCGCCTCAGCCTCCCAAAGTGCTGGGATTACAGGCGTGAGCCACCGTGCCCGGCCAACTTTTATTTTAAATTCAGGGGTACATGTGCAGGATGTGCAGGTTTGTTACATAGGTAAATGAGTGTCACGGGGACCCATTGTACAGATTGTTTAATCCAGGTGTTAAACCTAGTATCCATTCATTATTTTTCCTGATTCTCTCCCTCCTCCCACCCTCCCTCCTTTTCGCATTTTATGGATTAGAAAACTAAAGACCAGAGAAACAATTTTTCCAGGACCCACAGCCAGTAAGCGATTGAGTTAGGATTTTAGTCTTAAGTCCATGACTCCAGAACCAATTCTATACTACCTAGCTATATTGCCTTGATTTTCTTTTCTTTTTCTTTTTTTTTTTTTTTTTTAAGACAAGTCTCGCTCTGTCACCCAGACTGGAGAACAGTGGCACAGTCTCAGCTCACTGCAACCCCCACCTCCCGGGTTCAAGTAATTCTCCTGCCTCAGCCCCCTGAGTAGCTGGGATTACAGGCATGTACCACCAGGCCCAGCTGATTTTTGTATTTTTAGTAGAGATGGGGTTTCACCATGTTGGCCAGGCTGGTCTCGAACTCCTGACCTCAAATGATCCACCTGGCCACTGTGCTTGGCTGATTTTTATTTTCTGATTTGGGCTCAAAGTCCAGAATTACAGTGGCTTTGCTTATAGAATCTTTTTTTTTTTTTTTTTTTTTTTTTTTGAGACAGCGTCTTGCTCTGTTGCCCAGGCTGGAGTGCAGTGGCATGGTGGCGTGATCTTGGCTCAATGCAAACTCTGCCTCCTGGGTTCAAGCAATTCTCCTGCCTCAGTCTTCCGAGTAGCTGGGATTACAAGCGTCTGCCACCATGCCCCACTAAGTTTTGTATTTTTAGTAAAGATGGGGTTTCACCATGTTGGTCAGGGTGGTCTTGAACTCCTGACCTCAGGTGATCCACCCATGTCGGCCTCCCAAAGTGCTGGGATTACATGCGTGAGCCACTGCACCTGGTCTGCTTATAGAATCTTTAAAAACAATAAAATTCAATCCTATGATTTCTTAGGTAAGCAAAGTGAGTCCCAAATAGGTTAGCCCTGTATGACATATCAGACCATTCCAATTCTTCACTTTGAAAAATTTCCATGCCTGAGTATATATCATAAAAGACTGAGTGAATTGCCTAAGATTACATTGTTTATTTATTTATTTATTTATTTATTTTTGAGATGGAGTTTCATTCTTGTTGCCCAGGCTGGAGTTCAATGGTGCGATCTCAGCTCACTGCAATCTCCGCCTCCTGGGTTCAAGCGATTATCCTGCCTCAGCCTCCTGAGTAGCTGGGATTACAGGCAAACGCCACCACTCCAGGCTAATTTTGTATTTTTAGTAGAGACGGGGTTTCAGCATGTTGGTCAGGCTGGTCTCAAACTCCTGATCTCAGGTGATCTGCCCACCTTGGCCTCCCAAAGTGCTGGGATTACAGGAGTGAGCCACCGCGCCCAGCCTACGATTACATCGTAATTGGAAATGCTGTGCTTAACTCAGATCCCCTGGCCGATTTGGTGCTTTTCCTGCTAGGCAACTGCACATTCTCTATTACTTCTTTTTCCCTCCATGATCAAACTACCTCTCTCCCTGCCTTTTTTTTTTTTTTTTTTTTTTTTTTCTTTTTCTCTTAGCTTGTGCTCTGCTGAACCTTTTTTTTTTCCTTTAGGAACTGGGTCTTGCTATAGTACCCAGGTTGGCGTCGCACTCCTGAGCTCGAGGGATCTTCCCACCTCAGGCTTCTAAGCGGCTGGGACTACAGGCACAAGCCACTGCACCTGATCGACCTCCTCTTTAATTAATAATAATGACGATAATAATAATAGCTAACTTTTATTGAGTGCTTTCCATTCGGCAGACATTGTCCTGAATGTCATCTGTACATTATTTTACGAGTTGCCCTCAGCACCTTAACAAAGAATGTTTTTGTTTGTTTGTTTGTTTGTTTTGAGACGGAGTCTTGCTCTATCCCAGGCTGGAGTGCAGTGGCGCGATCTCTGCTCACTGCAAGCTCCGCCTCCTGGGTTCACGCCATTCTCCTGCCTCAGCCTCCCGAGTAGCTGGGACTACAGGCACCCGCTACCATGCCCGGCTAATTCTTTTGTATTTTTAGTAGAGACGGGGTTTCACCATGTTAGCCAGGATGGTCTCGATCTCCTGACCTCGTGATCCGCCCGCCTCGGCCTCCCAAAGTGCTAGGATTACAGGCATGAGCCACCGCGCCCAGCAACGAAGAATATTTTATTCCCATTTTACACTTGAGTGGCTTGCTCATGGTCACATAACTAATCAGTAGTGGAACCAGAATTTGAACCAGTTAGTCTGATTTCTGACCTTAAGTCAGGAAAGTCAAATAAAGAAAACCCAAATACAACCTACTCTTATTGTTGAAAAAAGGTTAAGATTGTAGATTAATTTAAAAGTGTTAAATAAGATAGAAACAGGAGATAAGAGAAGTGGGACCTGCGAGCAGTGGCACCTGCCTGTAGTTCTAGTTACTTGGAGGCTGAGGCAGAAGATTCCCTTGATCCAGTAATTCAAGGCCAGCCTGGGCAACACAGTGAGACACTCCCCAAACCTAGTCTCTAAAAAAAAAAAAGAAAAAAAAGAAATGGGGAAGACCTCACTATATAAAAGAGTGAGACCTCTAGAAATAGCAACCAATTAATTCCTTAATTTATTTTTTGCACAGATACTTATCAAATGTCTGCTACCTGCCGGACACTTTCTTCACCAGTGGAGATACTTTGGGGAAAAAGACACACTGAAGATACTTAGGCAAAGAGACACAGTTCTGATCCTCAAGGTGTGAGTTGTCTGAAAAGGAAGGAGGCAAACACAGTAAAATGCACTGCAGAAACTGTAATGGAGGGCCGGGTGCAGTGGCTCACACCTATAATCCCAACACTTTGGGAGGCCGAGGTGGGTGGATTACCTGAGGTCAGGAGTTTGAGACCAGCCTGACCGACATGGAGAAACCCCGTCTCTACTAAAAATACAAAAGTAGCCGGGCATGGTAGCGCATGCCTGTAATCCCAGCTACTAGGGAGGCTGAGGCAGGAGAATTGCTTGAACCTGGGAGGCAGAGGTTGTGGTGAGCTGAGATCGTGCCATTGCACTGCAGCCAGGGCAACAAGAGCGAAACTCCGTCTCAAAAAAAACAAAAAAACAAAAAAACTGTAATGGATGCCCAAGTATGGCTCAGTGGGAGAAAGAAGTATCTCAATCTATTTTGGTGAGTCGAAACTGTGGAAGTAGAGGTGACCTTTGAACTTGGTCTGTGTAAAGGCTCTGAGATGAAATGAGCTCACAGAGCTACAAATAGGTCAATGTAATTAGAGCATCCACACTAAGGATGGTGGGTGGTGAGAAACAAGGCTGGCGGCTGGGTGTAGTGGCTCATGCCTACAATCCCAGCACTTTGGGAGGCCGAGGTGGGAAGACTGCTTGAGACCAGGAGTTCAAGACCAGTCTGGACAACATGGCAAGGCCCCATCTCTGTAAAAAATAAAACAATTAGCTGGAAGTGGTGCCCTATGCCTGTAGTCTCAACTACTCCAGAGGCTGAGGTGGGATGATCTCTTGAGCTCAGGGGGTCGAGGCTTGCAGTGAGCCAAGATCAGGCCACTGCACTCCAGCCTGGGCAACAGAGCGAGACCCTGTCTCAAAAATAAATAAATACATAAATAAAAATAAAAATAAAAATAAAATAATGAAATCTACTTGAGTATTTGTCTAATCCAGGGGTGTCCAATCTTTTGGCTTCCCTGGGTCACATTGGAAGAAGAAGAATTGTTTTGGGCCACACGTAAAATATACTAACACTAATGATAGCTGATGAGCTTAAAAAAATCACAAGAAAGTTTCATAATGTTTTACGGAAGTTTATGAATCTGTGTGGGGCTGCATTCAAAGCCATCGTGAGCCTCATGTGACCCTCCGGCCGCAGGTTGGACAAGCTTGGTCTATGTAGATGATTAATTACAAGTCTATGAATTATTCACTGCTCTATTCCTAGCACCTATCTCAGCACCGTGCACATAATAGATGCTTAGTAACTGTTTGTTAAATGAATAAATGCATGTCTCCTTTTCACTCTGTCTACTGCTGACAACCTCACATTGTTGTAGAATTTATGTCCATGCATTGGTAATCTTTGTTCTGTGAACTTTTTCCTGGAAGAGTAGAGCAAGAGAAGAGAAAAAAAAATTCCCTCTTCACATCCAATGGCCTTTGAGGAGCTGGGAAGAGAGCAATTCACACTTGATTATCTTACATCAGATAAATTAGCAGCCTCTGAATTGTTGGGCAGTCTGGCAGTGGAGCTCTCCCCGGTCTGACAGCCACTCCAGAGGCCATGCTTCGTTTCTTGCCAGATTTGGCTTTCAGCTTCCTGTTAATTCTGGCTTTGGGCCAGGCAGTCCAATTTCAAGAATATGTCTTTCTCCAATTTCTGGGCTTAGATAAGGCGCCTTCACCCCAGAAGTTCCAACCTGTGCCTTATATCTTGAAGAAAATTTTCCAGGATCGCGAGGCAGCAGCGACCACTGGGGTCTCCCGAGACTTATGCTACGTAAAGGAGCTGGGCGTCCGCGGGAATGTACTTCGCTTTCTCCCAGACCAAGGTAAGGAAATAGAGTGTTATCCAGAAAAACATCTGGAACTGGGTGGTGTGAAGAAAGGAAAGGACAATAGGAAATGACAATTACTGATGGCCTTGTGCTGGTATTTTTCATATTTTGTCTCATTTAATTCCAGCCACGATCCTGAGAGGAAGTTAGATATTCTTATCAAGTTCCTAACAGTAAGGAAATTAGGCTCAGACAGTAGGTAACCTGTAATCTATTCAAGATCATACAGCTAGTGTGTGAGAACAAAGTCAGGATTTGAAATAGGTTTTTGTTTTCTGAATCAACTGCTTTGTGCTTCAGTTGAGATGAAAGAGGTGAGGGAGGAATCAGAGCTCAGTCTCCCACCCTGCAGCCCATATATACACATCCTGCCGTCTTCCATGTGGCAAGCAGGGTATGAAAATTTTGAGGTTGGTTTGCCCAGGAGTCCTGCTTCCCTTATTTGTACCTCCTGGCTACTCTTGTTGGGTGGCAAAGGTTATTCTAGATTTGTGAATAGAGAGCAATAATATATACAACTGTCATATCCTTTTAAAAGGATCTCAGTGAGTGGGATCCAGTACTTTCCCAAACTGACCACCCACCAAATAACTTAGGTCTTCCATTAACAGTAGATCCTCCAACCCCATTCCTGCCCCTAGTTCTCCCCACCCAATTCTTATTCAAAGTCTGAAATGGGTGTTGAGAATCTGCATGTCTATACAACCTCCCGGGTGTTTCAGATGCAGAATTTAGAGCCTTGGTTAGTTTTACAGCAACTGGAGAGAAGATTTGAATATTTATTTGTCCAAGAAGCACTTATTGGATACCTATGGTGAGCCAGGAACTGTGTATGGCCTTGAGAATACAAGATAAAGTTTGCCTTTT
Organism: Homo sapiens; assembly: GCF_000001405.40. NCBI lineage: Eukaryota > Metazoa > Chordata > Mammalia > Primates > Hominidae > Homo > Homo sapiens. The sequence goes on along the minus strand of NC_000012.12, from coordinate 7,694,587 downwards.
TTTTTTTTTTTTTTTTTTGAGAGTCTCGCTCTGTCCCCCAGGCTGGAGTAGAGTGGCACTTTCTCAGCTCACTGCAACCTCCGCTTCCTGGGTTCAAGTGATTCTTCTGCCTCAGCTTCCCAAGTAGCTGGGATTACAGGCGTGTGTCACCAAGCCCAGCTAATTTTTTAATTTTTTAATTTTTTAGTAGAGACAGGGTTTCACTATATGTTGGCCAGGCTGGTCTTGAACTCCTGACTTCAGGTGATCCGCCTGCCTCAGCCTCCCAAACTGCTGGGATTACAGGCCTGAGCCACCGCACCCAGCCCAGAATTACCTTTTAAAAATGCGTATTGAGTCGTACTGCTCCTCCACGTAAAATTCTCGTCTGCAAAATTCTGCAAGAGTTGACCCACCATGCCCTGCCTGTTCTGACCCTGCTGCTTACTTCCCCAGTCTCACCTTTTACACCCTCTCCTTGCACACTCAACTCCAAGCTCATAGTAGTCTATTCCTTCTAGAGCATGCACTCTTGTCTCATCCTCACACGTGCTGTATCCAGGCTGCCTGAAGTACTCCCTCAGAATTTGCCTGGTCAAGTACTTCAGGCTTTTCTTCTTCTTCCTCTTGTTCTTCCTCTTTTTGTTTTTTCCCCTTGAGACAGGTCTTGCTGTGTCACCCAGGCTGGACTGCAGTGGCACAATCTCGGCTCACTGCAGCCTCCACCTCCTGGGCTCAAGCGATCTTCCCACCTCAGCCTGCCGAGTAGAGTAGTTGGAACTACAGGCTACAGGTGCACGCAACCACGCCAGGCTGATTTTTGTACTTTTTTATAGAGATGAGGTCTCACCATGAGGCTGGTCTCTAACTTCTGAGCTCAGGCAATGGCCTGCCTTGACCTCCCAAAGTGCTGGGATTATAGGCATGAGCCACCATGCCCAGCCAAATTTTGTTAGGTTTTGAATGATGCTTGAGAATGAAGAGGTGTGGTGGTGGGGTGCTTAAGAGTGTTTCGGTTTGAGTTGTAATTTCTCCCTAAGCTGAATGACCTCAGAAAATACCTACTTAAGGCTGGGCGTGGTGGCTCACACCTGTAATCCCAGCACTTTGGGAGGCCGAGGCAGGCAGATCACGAGGCCAGGAGTTCGAGACCAGCCTAGCCAACATGGTAAGGCCCTCCCCCCACTCCCCTGACCCCCGTCTCTACTAAAAATACCAAAAAAAAAAAAAAAAAAAATTAGCCAGGTGTGGTGGCGGGCGCCTGTAATTCCAGCTACTCTGGAGGCTGAGGCAGGAAAATCGATTGAACACCCGGGAGGCAGAGGTTGCTGTGAGCCAAGATCGCACCACTGCACTCCAGCCTGGGTGACAGAGCAAGACTCCATCTCGGGGAAAGAAAAAGAGAGAAAATACCTACTCAAGCGTGAAGTCATTCTACCAAACAAAATGATGGCATTAGAGGCCAAATGAGTTATTTGTGAAAAGGGAGAAATTGAAGATGCAAATAGTAAAAGTAGACTGTATTGGGCCTTTTCCTAGAGGAATAGGTAAAATTTGAAAATTCAGGCAGGAAAGTTAGCTTAGAAAACAGGGAGAGCACATTTGTAACTTCAGAAGAGGGGCATCCATGGACAAAAATCGAAGAATCACATTGTACTTCAATATGAGGAGAGGCTGGGCACAGTGGCTCGTGACTGTAATCCCAGCACTTTGAGACGTGGGAGGATCCTTTGAGCTCAGGAGTTCTCGATAAGCCTAGGCAACATAGAGAGACCCTATCTCTACAAAAACTTAAAAAAAAAATTGGCTGGGTGTGGTGGCTTTTGCCTGTAATCCCAACACTTTGGGAGGCCGAGGTGGGCGGATCACCTGAGGTCAGGAGTTTGAGACCAGCCTGGCCAACATGGTGAAACCCCGTCTCTACTAAAAATACAATTAGCCAGACGTGGTGTGCACCTGTAATCCCAGCTACTCCAGAGGCTGATTCAGGAGAATTGCTTGAACCCGAGAGACGGAGGTTGCAGTGAGCTGAGATCAAGCCAGTGCACTCCAGCCTGGGCAACAGAGCAGGACTCCGTCTCAGAAAAAAAAAAAAAAAATTAAAGCCAATCTGAATGATTGGACTTTGGCCAACAACACCTGACTGTCTAGGTTGCTATTTTTTTTTTTTTTTTAACTGAGACGGAGTTTTGCTCTTGTTGCCCAGGCTGGAGTACAATGGTGTGATATCGGCTCACCACAACCTCTGCCTCCCAAATTCAAGTGATGCTCCTGCCTCAGCCTCCCGAGTAGCTGGGATTACAGGCATGTGCCACCCTGCCCGGCTAATTTTTTTGTATTTTTAGCAGAGACAGGTTTTCTCCATGTTGGTCAGTCTGGTCTCCTGACCTCAGGTTATCTGCCCGCCTTGGCCTCCCAAAGTGCTGGGATCACTGGTGTGAGCCACCATGTCCCGGCCCAGTCTATTGACTCTTTCTCAGAATAATGGTTTAAGTGCCTAAAGTAAAATATTTAGGATTTCAAAAGAAACCAATTAAATATTGAAATACATTTTAAAATTTTTTTAAAACTTTTTTTATTTTTTATTTATTTTTTATTTTTTGAGGCAGAGTCTTGCTCTGTCGCCCAGGCTGGAGTGCAGTGGCGTGATCTTGGCTCACTGCAAGCTCCGCCTCCCGGGTTCACACCATTCTCCTGCCTCAACCTCCTGAGTAGCTGGAACTACAGGCACCCTCCACCTTGCCCGGCTAATTTTTTGTATTTTTAGTAGAGATGGGGTTTTACCGTGTTAGCCAGGATGGTCTCGATCTCCTCATCTCGTGATCCGCCCGCCTCGGCCTCCCAAAGTGCTGGGATTACAGGCATGAGCCACCACGCCTGGCTTTTAAAATATTTTAAAGACAAATGTATATATAGTAATATATATAATGCTTTATTCATGTAATACATAACAAGATTTAGGGAGGTGACTATACCTATAACTACCATAAATTTCGGCATAGTGTTAGCATAAGTGTTTTGTTTTTTTTTTTCTTTTTCTTTTCTTTTATTTATTTATTTATTTTGTAGAGATGGGGTTTCACTATGTTGCCCAGGATGGTCTCAAACTCCTGGCCTCAAGCAAATCTCCCATCTCAGCCTCCCAACGTGCTGGGATTACAGGCATGAGCCACCTTGCCTGGACTCCATAAATATTTTAAGTTATTTGCAACAACTAAACGTATGAACACACCTATGATTTTATTGATAACAATGTCATAGGCCCTGATGATATTACTGGGATTTGTTACCTATATTCATAATGAAGGAAATGCTAAATTTCATTTAGAGTTTAGTGGAAATAATGATGTAATTATTTTTCCCATCTAAGTTCGTGCACCCTCTACATTTCATCCAGGAATCTCTGGGAACCTGTGGATGTGAAGATAAGAACCTCTGGCTTTCTTTTTTTTTTTTTTTGAGACGGAGTCTTGCTCTGTCACCCAGGCTGGAGTGCAATGGCGCGATCTCGGCTCACTGCAAGCTCCGCCTCCCGGGTTCACGCCATTCTCCTGCCTCAGCCTCCTGAGTAGCTGGGACTACAGGCGCCCGCCACCACGCCTGGCTAATTTTTGTATTTTTAGTAGAGACGGGGTTTCACCATGTTAGCCAGGATAGTCTCGATCTCCTGACCTCGTGATCCGCCCGCCTCGGCCTCCCAAAGTGCTGGGATTACAGGCGTGAGCCGCCGCACCTGGGGACCCTCTGGCTTTCAGGAATAGAGAAACAAACCCTCCCAAATGACAGGGCTTGTGTCTTTCCCTGCCCTTATATTGTATATGTGGGTGTCTGGCATTTCTATTATATAGGTGGATATGAAGTAAATACATCATTATGACTCTGACATGTCTCTTTTCCCATCTAGGTTTCTTTCTTTACCCAAAGAAAATTTCCCAAGCTTCCTCCTGCCTGCAGAAGCTCCTCTACTTTAACCTGTCTGCCATCAAAGAAAGGGAACAGTTGACATTGGCCCAGCTGGGCCTGGACTTGGGGCCCAATTCTTACTATAACCTGGGACCAGAGCTGGAACTGGCTCTGTTCCTGGTTCAGGAGCCTCATGTGTGGGGCCAGACCACCCCTAAGCCAGGTAAAATGTTTGTGTTGCGGTCAGTCCCATGGCCACAAGGTGCTGTTCACTTCAACCTGCTGGATGTAGCTAAGGATTGGAATGACAACCCCCGGAAAAATTTCGGGTTATTCCTGGAGATACTGGTCAAAGAAGATAGAGACTCAGGGGTGAATTTTCAGCCTGAAGACACCTGTGCCAGACTAAGATGCTCCCTTCATGCTTCCCTGCTGGTGGTGACTCTCAACCCTGATCAGTGCCACCCTTCTCGGAAAAGGAGAGCAGCCATCCCTGTCCCCAAGCTTTCTTGTAAGAACCTCTGCCACCGTCACCAGCTATTCATTAACTTCCGGGACCTGGGTTGGCACAAGTGGATCATTGCCCCCAAGGGGTTCATGGCAAATTACTGCCATGGAGAGTGTCCCTTCTCACTGACCATCTCTCTCAACAGCTCCAATTATGCTTTCATGCAAGCCCTGATGCATGCCGTTGACCCAGAGATCCCCCAGGCTGTGTGTATCCCCACCAAGCTGTCTCCCATTTCCATGCTCTACCAGGACAATAATGACAATGTCATTCTACGACATTATGAAGACATGGTAGTCGATGAATGTGGGTGTGGGTAGGATGTCAGAAATGGGAATAGAAGGAGTGTTCTTAGGGTAAATCTTTTAATAAAACTACCTATCTGGTTTATGACCACTTAGATCGAAATGTCAATATACCTGTGTTTATAATTTGTCTTCCTGAAAAACCCACCATAATTAACAATGCCCATACTTGCATGCGTGTGCACACACACACATCCTGGAGCCCTAATAATCATAGTTAATTTCTGTTCTAACATACTCATTATGCATATGACAGTATGGACACTGGCATTTACTGATGGCCGATTATGGGCAGGCATTATCCTACGTGTTACTTTACAAACATTTCACTGTCTTTGAGGGAAGTATTGTTATTTATGCTTTACAGACAAAGAAGCTGAGGTTTAGAGAAGCTAACAAATTTTCCTAAGGTCAGCAGCTCTCCCTGGCTCTCCCTGGCAAATCTGATATGCTAACAGCATTACATTAAAAATATTTGAGGCCGGGTGTGGTGGCTCACGCCTGTAATCCCAGCACTTTGAGAGGCTGAGGTGGGTGGATTATGAGGTCAGAAGATCGAGACCAGATTGACCAACATGGCGAAACCCCGACTCTACTAAAATACAAAAAATTAGCCGGGCATGGTGGTGCATGCCTGTAGTCCTAGCTACTTGGGAGGCTGAGGCACGGGAATCGCTTGAACCCAGGAGACCGGTTGTAGTGAGCTGAGATCGTGCCATTGCACTCCAGCCTGGCAACAGAGCAAGACTCCGTCTCAAAAAAAAAAAAAATTAATTTTTTTAAAGGAAGCCTCGGCTTCCAGAAGTGCTGGGATTGCAGGTGTAAGCCACTGCACCGGGCCCTAGTTAGACCAGCCCCGTTCTGGTCTTTTATTGATGTTCCATATGATTCCTATAGTGCAGATCACATTGTACATATAATCTTTTTTTTTTTTTTCTTTTTGAGACGGAGTCTTGCTCTGTCGTCCAGGCTGGAGTGCGGTGGCGCGATCTCGGCTCACTGCAAGCTCCACCTCCCGGGTTCACGCCATTCTCTTGCCTCAGCCTCCCGAGTAGCTGGCATTATAGGCATAGGCCACCATACCTGGCTAATTTTTTTGTTTGTTTGAGATAGAGTTTTGCTCTTGTCGCCCAGGCTGGAGTGCAATGGCATTGTCTCTGCTCACAGCAACCTCTGCCTCCTGGGTTCAAGCAATTCTCCTGCCTCAGCCTCCCAAGTAGCTGGGATTACAGGCATGTGCCACCACACCCAGCTAATTTTGTATTTTTAATAGAGATGAGGTTTCTCCATGTTGGTCAGGCTGGTCTTGAACTCCTGACCTCAGGTGATCCGCCCACTTTGGCCTCCCAAAGTGCTGGGATTACAGGCATGAGCCACCTCGCCCGGCGCCGGGCTAATTTTTGTATTTTTAGTAGAGACGGGATTTCACCATGTTGGCCAGGCTGGTCTTGAACTTCTGACCTCAGGTGATCCACCAGCCTTGGCCTCCCAAAGTGCTGGGAGTGCAGGTGTAAGCCACTGCGCCTAGCCCTAGTTAGTTAATTTAATGGCTGCAACTGTATGTGCTTGTTTAGATATACCATAATTTACTTCAGAGAACGTTTATCACTAGACATTATGAAGTTTGCAGTTTTCATGATGGAATAGGGTTGTAACTCTGTGTTCACATATCATTGTCCATTTTTTAGTCCCCACCCCCTTAGAAAATTTTCAGACATGGAATTGCAGAGTCAAAAGCATAAGCTGACTCGTGTATAATTAACATAAAATCAATATTAAAACAAATATGGATAAATTTTGGGGTGAAATGCAAAATTTGCATATATATAGAAAAACTCTAGTCTGGGCTTGGTGGCTGATGCCTGTAATCCCAGCACTTTGGGAGGCCGAAGTGAGAGGATCACTTGAGGCCAGGAGTTTGAGACCAGCCTGGGCAATATAGTGAGATCCCATATCTACAAAAAATTAAGAAATTAGCTGGGTGTGGTGGCACTTGTCTACAGTCCTAGCTACTTAGGAGGCTGAGGTGAGAGCATTGCTTGAACCCAGGAGATTAAGGCTGCAGTGAGCTGTGATTGCGCTACCACCCTCCAGCCTAGGCAACAGAGTAATAAACAAACAATTTACAAAATAATAAAATGTAGATTATAATTTTACTATATTATAAATATATGTGAAGACCCCTGCATAACCCCCTCAATCTTTTTTCTCATCCTTCCAAAGAAACCACAAACCTGAATTTGTTGCATATCTTTTCTGTTTATTTCTTTAAAATTTTACTACATATATATATATATATTTGAGACGGAGTTTGGCTCTGAATAGCAATCTATTATGTACATGTTCCATGCTGCCCAGGCTGGAGTGCTATGGTGCCACATCAGCTCACCACAACCTCTGCCTCCTGGGTTCAAGCGATTCTCCTGCCTCAGCCTCCCTAGTAGCTGGGATTACAGGCATGCACCACGGTGCCCGGCAAATTTTGTATTTTTAGTAGAGATGGGGTTTCTCCATGTTGGTCAGGCTGATCTCAAACTCCCAATCTCAGGAGGTGATCCACCAGCCTCGGCCTCCCAAAGTGTTGGGATTACAGGTGTGAGCCACCACCCCTGACCTACTACATATATTTTTATCCATAAACAGTATAAAACATTATTTCACAAATATGTAAACATTATACAAATCATATTGGAATATCTATCTATCTATTTTAGAAATGGGGCCTCACTGCATTGCCCAGGCTGGAGTGTAGGGGCACCATCATGGCTCACTGGAGCCTCTACTTCCTCGGGCTCAAGTGATCCTCCCACCTTAGCCTCCCAAGTAGGTGGGACCACAGGGACGTGCCACCAAGCCCAACTCATTTTTGTGTTTTTAGTAGAGATGGGGTTTTGCCATGTTGCCCAGGCTGATCTGGAACTCCTGGGCTCAAGTGATCTGCCTGTCTCAGCCTCCCAAAGTGCTGGGATTACAGGTGTGAGCCACTGCACCTGGCTTCCAAAGATATTTTTTAAAAAATTAGGTCAGAAGCTGAGCATGGTGGCTCATGCCTGTAATCCCAGCACTTTGTGAGGCCAAGACGGGCAGATCGCTTGAGCCCAGGAGTTTGAGACCAGCCTGGGGAACATGGCAAAACCCTGTCTCTACAAAAAGTACAAAAATTAGCCAGGTGTGGTGTGGTGTGCCTATAGTCCCAGCTACTTGGGAGGCTGAGGTGGGAGGATCACTTGAGCCTGGGAGGTTGAGGCTGCAGTGAGCCATGATTGTGCCACTGCACTCCATTCTGGGTGGCGGAGTGAGACCCCATCTCAAACAAAAAGAAAAAAAAAATGGTTTTTGAGATGGGTCTTTCTGTGTTGTCCAGGCTGGCCTTGAACTCCTGAACTCAAGTGATCCTCCTTGTTTAGCCACCTGAGTAGCTAGAGCTACAGGCACCTGCTACTCAATCCAGCTCACAATTTATTATTTCTGTGATTCATAGAGGTTGATAGGTGTAGATATAATCAATTTTATTATTATTTTTGAGAAGGAGTCTTACTTTGTCACCCGGGTTGGAGTGCAATGGTGTGGTCTCGGTTCACTACAACCTCTGCCTCCCGGGTTCGAGCAATTCTCCTGCCTCAGCCTTACGAGTAGCTGGAACTACAGGCACCTGCCACCACACCTGGCTAATTTTTGTATTTTTAGTAGAGAAGGGGTTTCACCATGTTGGTCAGGCTGGTGTTGAACTCCTGACCTCAGGTGATCCGCCCGCCTTGGCCTCCCAAAGTGCTGGGATTACAGGCGCGAACCACTGCGCCCGGCCGGTGATATAATTAATTTTTTTCCTAGCTGAATAGCAATCTATTATATGCATGTTCCATGATTTATTGATTTGCTATCTCGTTATTGGATACTCAGGACATTCAAACGGATTGCAACAATCATTCCCGTAGAAGGGACACAAAATCTCTTTGCATAGCTAGAGCTTCATTAGGGCAGCAGTTTGGGCAATTTGTAAGGAGAATGGAGAAAAGCATAGGGAGCCTGTGGCCACTCTGAATGTATGTCCCTGAACATAACTGAAACTGGTCTTTAAAAAGCACTCGCCTCGCCAAATGCATCATTTGAATGAAAGGTACTGTTATGACTGAGAGTAGGAGATTGACTCTGGACCAATCATTTAGAACAAATTAGTGGAATAATCACTAACCTGGATAACGCAGTAATAACCTGCATGAATATGATAACAAGGCACTTTTAGATTACGTTTGTTGAAGAAAGAGCTAAGAAATTAATGTATGGACATAAAGGAACAACAGGCGCTGGGGCCTACTTGAGGGTGGAGGTGGGAGGAGGGAGAGGAGCAGAAAAGATAACTATTGAGTACTAGGCTTAGTACCTGGATGACAAAATAATCTGTATAACAAATCCCCAAGATCGGAATTCAACTATGTAACAAACCTGCACTTGTACCGCTGAAATTAAAATAAAACAAACAAAAAAAAAAAGTCCGGGCACGGTGGCTCACACCTGTAATCCCAGCACTTTGGGAGGCCGAGGTGGGCGGATCACGAGGTCAGGAGATCAAGACCATCCTGGCTAACACGGTGAAACCCCATCTCTACTAAAAATACAAAAAATTAGCCAGGCGTGGTGGCGGGCGCCTGTAGTCCCAGCTACTTGGGAGGCTGAGGCAGGAGGATGGAGGAGAATGGCGTGAACCTGGGAGGTGGAACTCGGAGTGAGCCGAGATCGCGCCACTGCACTCCAGCCTGGGCGACAGAGTAAGACTCCGTCTCAAAAAAAAAAAAAGAATGTAACAGAAGAAAGATGGGTGGATGTTTTGGTGAAGGTAGCAGTGCTTTGGTGAGGATGCGGTGGTCTCAACCCTGACCTCTGTCTGTGGGTCTAGGATTCTTTTTTTCTTTTTTTTTTTTTGTGAGACTGGTCTCGCTCTGTCGCCCAGGCTGGAGTGCGATGGCGCGATCTCGGCTCACTGCAACCTCTGCCTCCCAGGTTCAAGCCATTCTCCTGCCTCAGCCTCCTGAGTAGCTGGGATTACCGGCACCGCCACCATGCCCGGCTAATTTTTTGTATTTTTAGTAGAGATGGGGTTTCACTATGTTGGCCAGGCTGGTCTCGAACCCCTGACCTCGTGATCCGCCCACCTGGGCCTCCCAAATTGCTGGGATTACAGGTGTGAGCCACCGCACCCAGCTGTATACTTAATCTATGAGTTTACAAAAAGATGCCAAGGGAAGAGGGCCAGCCAGCACTCTTGTTGATTAAAAACAAAACAGAAAACAAAAAGTAAAACTTTCTGCTAGGGTTGGAGGGGGAAAAAAAAGAATGAAAAAGAAAAGAAAAAACAAAGTACACTTGAAAATCAGTTTATCATCTGAATGTGTATTGGGAAATCAGAGGAAAGGAATTAGGTAAATTATCCCAATGGCAAGATTTATTAACCTCCAGGTCCAGACACTGAAGACATTTTCTAGTCATTTTACATCTTATCTCTCCTATTAATATTCTAATTAGTCTACAATATGCTTGATAGAACTCTAGCTTTTTTTTTTTTTTTTTTTGAGACAGAATCCTGCTCTGTCCGCCAGGCTGGAGTGCAGTGGTGTGATCTTGGCTCACTGCAACCTCCACGTTCCGGTCTCAAGAGATTCTCTCACCTCAGCTGGGACTACAGGCACCTGCCACCACATCCGGCTAATTTTTTGTATTTTTTGTAGACATGGGGTTTCACCATGTTACCCAGGCTGGTCTCGAACTCATGAGCTAAAGCGATCCTCCTGCCAGACCTCATATAGCCCTGGAATTACAGGCGTAAGCCACTGTGCCTAGCCTAGCTTTCTTATTTGTATCATATGTCAAACCCGCTTCCTAAAGCCTCCTAAAGCGCTGGAATTACAGGTGTGAGCCACCGTGCCCAGCCTAGCTTTCTTATTTGTATCATATGTCAAACCTGCTTCCTTGGGCTTATATTGATTGGTGTAATCCTAAATCATGTTGGCCAAACATTACAAATCATAGCACAGATTATTTCTGAAGTAAATTATCTGCACAGTTTCACTTTTATTTCATTCAACTGATATTTATTGTGTGTCTATTATATGCCAATTAGTGTACTAGGTCCTCGGAAATAAGAATAAATGGTCACTTTCATTGTAGAGGTTAAAATCTAGCACTTTTTTTTTTTTTTTTTTGAGACAGAGTCTCACTCTGTCATCCAGGCTGGAGTGCAATGGTGGGGTCCCAGCTCACTGCAACCTCCACCTCCTGGGTTCAAGCAATTCTCCCGCCTCAGCCTCCTGAGTAGCTGGGACTACAGACATGTGCCACCACACTTGGCTAATTTTTGTATTTTTAGTAGAGACAGGGTTTCACTATGTTGGTCAGGCTGGTCTTGAACTCCTGACCTCATGATCCGCCCATCTCGGCCTCCAAAAGTGCTGGGATTACAGGTGTGTAACACCACACCTGGCCTTTCTAGCACTACAAATTACTTGAGTATAAATTATTTGAATATGTACGTGTGAAAAAATTTAGCATATATCCCAATGTAGGCATATTTAATTATTCACAAACTGTATGTATTATTTTTAATTAATATATTGTGCATATTTGAAAATGCTCACATTAAAGTTTTTTTTTTCTTTTTTCGAGTCAAGAGTTTTGCTCTGTAGCCCAGGCTGGAGTGCAGTGGTGTGATTATGGCTCACCTCATCTTGCTTGAGCCTGCAGCCTCAACCTCCCAGTCTCAAACAATCCTCCCATCTCAGCCTCCTGAGTAGCTGGGACCACAGGTGTGCAACACCACACCCAGCTAATTTTTGTGTTTATATATATATATATATATATATGTTTTTTGTTTTTTGTTTTGTTTTGGTAAAGATGGCATTTCACTATGTTGCTCAGGCTGGTCTTGAACTCCTGGGCTCAAGCAATCCGCCTACCTCTGCCTCAGGGAGGCAGAGGTTGCGGAGAGCCGAGATCGCGCCATTGCACTGCAGCCTGGGCAATGAGAGTGAAACTCCGTCTCAAAAAAAAAAAAAAAAAAAAAAAAGAATAGTGGCTACTGCCTTTTTCCAGTTGTTCTGAGGTTGGCTGGTTTGTTCTGTTCCTGAATGAATCAGATTATCTCCTGAGGTCATTATCATGCCTAAAACTAAAGAAATGCATGCATAACTGCCTTCATGGGTTTGGGATCCACATTATTCTATTTCTCTACTAGAATCTTCATGTTCGTCAGACCAGTCTACAATAGGCAGAGTATGTGCCCTGTAAGCCAAGTTATAGGCTGTGATTTGGGCAGGTTGGGGCAAGATAGGACTCTTTATTCTAAAATTTAAGTAAATTAAGCATATGTGTACAGCACAGCTATTTTAGAACATTTTAAGACTCATGATCTTATTTAATGGCAGGAATTTTTACCATCAATTTAATTTATTTCTATTCAGTTTCACATTTACTGAATGCCTTTGTGAGGGAAAAGAGATTTCTTTCTTTACCCATTGTTCAATTCATGGCTGATGCACACATAACATAAGAAAAGAAGGATTGGTGGGGCACGGTGGCTCACACCTGTAATCTCAGCACTCTGGGAGGCCGAGGCGGGCAGATCACGAGGTCAGGAGATAGAGACCATCCTGGCCAATATGGTGAAACCCCGTCGCTACTAAAAATACAAAAATTAGCCAGGCATGGTGTCATGTACCTGTAGTCCCAGCTACTCAGGAGGCTGAGGCAGGAGAATCGCTTGAACCCAGGAAGCGGAGGTTGCAGTGAGCAGAGATTGCGCCACTGCACTCCAGCCTGGCGACAGAGCGAGACTACGTCTCAAAAAAAAAAAAAAAGAAAGAAAGAAAAGAAGGATTAACAAGAGAAAAGCAATCAAATTTATTTAACGTTAAGTTTTAGTGAAAGGAGAACCTTCAGAAATGAAGACTCAAACAGGGAAACTTGTGCTAAGTTTGATAAAGGGTAGACAGTTGTGCAGAAGTATGATTGGACAAAGGAGGTCTGATTTAATGGTAATATACTGGGAATGGCTCGGCACTGTGGTGTGAGCCTGTAGTCCTTGCTGCTTGGGGGGCCAAGGCCTGAGGATCACTTTAACCCAGGAGTTCAAGACCAGCTTGACCAGCTTGGGCAACATGGTGAGACCCCCACCTCTTAAAACAAACAAACAAACAAAGGAACTGGAGGAGTACTTAGCAAGCCTGTTCGTTCTGATTCTTCTTAGTGCCTCTGTGTCTTTAAGGATAAAGATGTTCCTTTTCTTTGGGTATAGAGAGGATACATCTAGAATGAAGTTTTTATGCAGAGGAAGGGCAGAGAGTTCTTTCATGGCCTGCTTTAAGAGGAAGGGCAGGAGAAAGTGCAAGAACTTTCGGGCTTCTGTTTCCTCAGATACCAAGGTGCTGTATTTTGGGATAGTATGTCCTGAACCCCATCACCTTGAAGGGAGAAAGAAAAATAAGATAGAGATTCGGCCTTTGAGTAGTAGTTTATCGTAAAACTATACTTCCTAAATTCAGACTGGGCCTAATTTTTGTTTTCCTTATTTATTTATTTATTTATTTATTTATTTATTGTGAGAAGGCATTTCGCTCTTGTTGCCCAGGCTGGAGTGCAATGGCATGATCTCAACTCACCGCAACCTCCGCTTCCTGGGTTCAAGCGATTCTCCTGCCTCAGTCTCCCAAGTAGCTGGGATTACAGGCATGCACCACCACGCCTGGCTAATTTTTTTGTGTTTTTACTAGAGACAGGTTTTCTCCATGTTGATCAGGCTGGTCTCGAACTCCTGACCTCAGGTGATCCGCCCATCTCAGCCTCCCAAAATGCTGGGATTACAGGTGTGAACCACCACACCCGGACTTTTTTCTTTTTTTTTTTTTTTTGAGACAGAGTCTCTCTCTGTCGCTCAGGCTGGGGTGCAGTGGCACCATCTCAGCTCACTGCAACCTCTGCCTCCTGGGTTCAAGCAATCCTCCTGCATCAGCCTCCTGAGTAGCTGAGATTACAGGCATGTGCCACCATGCCCAGCTAATTTTTGTATTTTTATTAGACATGGGTTTTCACCATATTGGTCAGGCTGGTTCAGACTCCTGACCTAGTGATCCACCCACCTCAGCCCCCCAAAGTGCTGGGATTACAAGTGTGAACCACCATGCCCGGCAATTTTTGTTTCTTTTAAAATAAAACAATCTTTTCTCCTTATCCACTCCCACTGCTTCACTCGACTAGCCTAAAAATAAATAAGTAAATAAAATAAAACAAGCCAGGCTCAGTGGCATGCTATCAGCTACTCAGGAGGCTGAGGGGGAGGATCACTTGATGCCAGGAGCTCCACTCCATCCTGGGCAACATAGCAAGAAATTAAAATCTCTAAAAAATTAAAAATAAAGGGATTCATTTTTATGAAATGAAGGGACTCATATAGGTTCACGCCTATAATCCCAGCAATTTGGGAGGCCGAGGCGGGCAGTTCACTTGAGGTCAGGAGTTCGAGACCAGTCTGGGCAGCATGGTAAAACCCCATTTCTGAAAAAAAAAAAAAAAAATTTGCTGGGTGTGAACAAGTGGGCCTGTGGTAAGGCGGGAGCATTGCTTGAGCCTGGGAGGTGGAGGTTGCAGTAAGCCGAGATTGCACCTCTGCACTCCATCCAACTTGGGTGATAGAATGACGCCCTGTCTCAAAATAATAATAATAATAATAATAATAATAATAATAATAATAATAATAATAATAAATGAAAAAATTAAAATTACATAAAACAAAAAAGCAATGGAGCATAAACATCAGTACACCAGGGGTGGTTGCAGGATTGTTTTCTCAACATTTTATTCTCTCCTCAAAATGATATTGAGCACTTTAACTTTTATCGCAGTGGTTTCTGTGCTTTGTTTTTGAGTGGAATATTTGGAGCATGTGTCTTTAAATATTTGAATCTGTTGACTTTTGACGAGAGTTTTGACTGAAAACAGGCACCTGTTTCAACAGGAAAGGGGTATGTTCTGTTGTTTTTTCCCACTCTTCGTAGGTCAGAAAGCACTGTCAGTGATTGCATATGCCGAGATTTTCTCCTGGACCAAACTTTGGTGGGGCTCTTCTGAGCTTGCTTTTCTACTCAGCTTGACCTTGGGCTTCTGTGTTCAGTTCTGGCAAGAATTCCCAAACTTGATATAGGATCACTGTCATTAAGTGACCAAATTCCTCATCCTGCATTGCCCCCAGGTGATGTCTGATCACCTTGGCTTGTCTTCAGCAAGAATTCTAGTCTGAAAAAAAAAAAAAAGAAAGAATTCTGTTAGGTTGATTTAGCCAGAATCCCCCCTTACTCCTGATGTTTTTTTCGTAGTAATTTTCCATCAGAGATGAAAGTTTTCCGTCAGAGATTGGAAAATTACTGGTCTTTGGCACTTCATACTTTCATACCCATTTTTCCTTGTTGTATTTGGAATTAAGCCCACTCTAAACTAGGCCCCTTTTCCCCTATTGCAATCGCCCTGAATAAAATCTATTTTTACCACATCAGCTACTGTTTAGCTCTAGGTTTTCTTCAATACATGCAAACATAAATGCATTCCTTTAGGTCCGGGCACAGTGGCTGTGCACGCCCAGGCTGGGGTGCAGTGGCACCATCTCAGCTCACTGCAACCTCTGCCTCCTGGGTTCAAGCAATCCTCCTGCGTCAGCCTCCTGAGTAGCTGAGATTACAGGCACGTGCCACCATGCCCAGCTAATTTTTGTATTTTTCCTTTACATTACAGGCATGAGTCTGTAATCTCAGCACTTTGAAAGGCTGAGGCGGAAGGATCTCTTGCGCCCAGGAGTTTGAGACTAGCCTGGGCAACACAGGGACATCCCATCTCTACCGAAAAAAAAAAAAATTAGTCGGGTGTGGTGGCACGCCCTGTAGTCCTAGACTGGGACTACAGCCGCATCTGAGATGGGAGGATCACTTGAGCCTGGGAGTCGAAGGCTGCAGTGAGCTGTGATTGCGCCACTGCACTCTAGCCTAGAAAACAGAGCAAGACTCTGTCTAAAAAAAAAAAAAAAAAAAGTATATCACACAGACACACATATATACAAACACACATGCATACATATATACATATATATTCAAGTGGGTTTGATGGACAGATAGATTCTTTCTTCTCTCTTTTAATAACAAAAAGCATTAAATAACAAGAGTAGGGGCAATTCTTTCTGATCAAAAATTTATCACTGCAATCATTATTACCCTGTTGCGATAATGTAAAATTTATCTTTCTGAGATAGTGAAACTTACTTGAGAATTGTTTTAGCCACAAACTATTTCCTCCTCCTCCTCCATTTTTTTTGAGACAGAGTCTCACTCTGTTGCCCAGGCTGGAGTGCAGTGGCTTGATCTGGGCTCACTGCAACCTCTGCCTCACGAGTTCAAGCGATTCTCGAACCTCAGCCTCCCGAGTAGCTGGAATTACAGGCGTGACACCACACCCGGCTAATTATTGTATTTTTAGTAAAGACAGGGTTTCGCCTTGCTGGCCAGGCTGGTCTCGAACTCCTGACCTGAAGTGATCCACCAGCCTCGGAGTCCCAAAGTGCTGGGATTACAGCTGTGAGCCACCGGGCCCGGCCCTATTTTCATCTTTCAAAAAGTAAATAATATACAATAATTATATGGTAAGTGATATGGGAGCTTTAGGCTCCTCATGGGGTAATTGTTCAAGGTCTCCTGGAACAATAGTAATTAAAACAATATCAGTTGTGAAAGAGAATATGATAACTACCGCAGGTGTAAACAGAAATGAGAAAATTAAATTCTTCCGGAAAGATGATTTAAAAAAAGAAAAATGCAAATTAAAGACTGAGTCCAACTAAATAAAAGAAGAGGTAGGACGCAGTGGCTCACGCTTCTAATCCCAGCACTTTGGGAGGCCAAGGGGGATGGGTTACCTGAGGCCAGGATTTCAAGACTAGCCTGACCAACACGCTGAAACCCTGCCTCTACTAAACATACAAAAATTAGCCAGGCGTGTTGGCGGGCGCCTGTAGTCTCAGCTACTGGGGAGGCTGAGGCAGGAGAATCGCTTGAACTCGGGAGGTAGAGGTTGCAGTGAGCCGAGATGGCGCCATTGCACTCCAGCCTGGGTGACAGCAAGACTCCGTCTCAAAAAAAAAGAAAAAAAAGAAGAAGAAGAAGGTCTGCTTATCTTGATATGGTTATTCAGAGATAGTAGTATTTTGACAGAGGGAGATGTCAGGGAATTTTATCTAGAGCAAAGGCAGGAAACAGATGGCAGAAACTGAGAGGGACTGGAGGAGTTTGAGCAATTTCTGTGTTGTGGTTGGCTCTACTAATTCTATTGTTTTTCTGCCCTCTGCTGACTTAAATGGGGAAAAGCAAATCTATGAAAACCCTTACGTCTGGGGGATTGAAGGACCCATTAAGAACCTGATAAAACATGTAGACACTCCCCCAGAAAATAATGCACATAAACACAAAATGTTTTGCATATAATTTCAGTGGCTGCATGGATAAACTATGGGACGATGAAAGGCACACTCCTCTTGAGTCAGGTATTTTTACTTTTGTCTCTGTTTATGATTTTGTGTGTGTGAGTACACACGAACTCTTTTGCAGTATTCAATTCCTTTTAAGTAACCTATTTCCCACTCCAGCTTTTTCTATTTCCATGTATCTATGGCAGGTTTGTTACGACAATTGCCCTTTAACCTATTCCCTACACTGCAGCTGTGGTGGTTCTTTGAAAACCCGATTCTGGACCAGGTGCTGTGGTGCACGCCCAGCACTTTGGGAGGCCCAGGCAGGAGGACTGCTTGAGCCCAGGAGTTCAGATCAGCCTGGGCAACATAACGAGACCTCGCCTTTACTAAAACAATTAAAAAAATAAAATAAGCTTGTACAGTGTTGAGCACCTATAGTCCCAACTACTTGGGAGGCGGAGGAGGAGAGAAAAATCACTTGAGCCTAGGAGTTTGAGCTTATGATGAGCTTTCATTGCACCACTGCACTCCAGCCTGGTGACAGAGTAAGACCTTGTCTCAAAAAATAAAACATAAATTAAAAAAACCCCAATTCTAGTCATGTTACTTCCCTGTGGTACTGAATTATTTTTTGCCTTAGGGAAGACAACCCCCTGATTTTCCTTAGAACATTTATTTCACTTTTTTTTTTTTTTTTTGAGATGGAGTCTTGCTCTGTCACCCAGGCTGGAGTGCAGTGGTGCGGTCTCGGCTCACTACAAGCTCTGCCTCCTGGGTTCACGCCATTCTCCTGCCTCATCCTCCCGAGTAGCTGGGACCACAGGCGCCCGCCACCACGCCCAGCTAATTTTTTGTATTTTTAGTAGAGACCGGGTTTCACCGTGTTAGCCAGGATGGTCTCGATCTCCTGACCTCGTGATCCGCCCGCCTCGGCCTCCCAAAGTGCTGGGATTATAGGCGTGAGCCACCGCGCCCGGCCACTTATTTCACTTTTGTTTGCCTTACTGCAATTAATTGTTTAATTAAAAAAACAAACAAACAAACAAAAAAACCCCATACACACTCAAAAGCATTTCCTGGAAGAGAATTGAAGTCTATGACAAAAATGCACAGACTGATCAAAAGTCTCTAATTTCTTCCAATTTCTGAAATTTCTCCTGGAAACTGATTTGTTTTGTTTTGAGACAGACTCTCCTCCATCACTTAGGCTAGAGTCCAGTGGTGCGATCTCTGCTCACTGCAACCTTTGCCTGCAGGGTTCAAGCAATTCTTGTGCCTGAGCATCCCAAGTAGTTGGATTACAGGTGTGTGTCACCACACCGGGCTAATTTTTTTTTTTTTTTTTTGAGACAGAGTCTCACTCTGTTGCCCAGGCTGGAGTGCAGTGGCGCAATCTCAGCTCACTGCAACCTCCACCTCCCGGGTTCAAGCGATTCTCCTGCCTCAGCCTCCCAAGCAGCTGGGATTACGCCTGGCAATTTTTGTATTTTTAGTAGAGACGGGGTTTCACCATCTTGGCCAGGCTGGTCTCAAACTCCTGGCCTCATGTGATCTGCCTGCCTCAGCATCTCAAAGTGCTGG
The DNA here is from genome assembly GCF_000001405.40 of Homo sapiens. NCBI lineage: Eukaryota > Metazoa > Chordata > Mammalia > Primates > Hominidae > Homo > Homo sapiens. Next base: position 7,675,818 of record NC_000012.12, on the reverse strand, counting down.
GATTACAGGCGTGAGCCACTGTGCCCGGCCAAAATTGGGTTTTTATTTCAGGTTTGATAGATGATTAAATAGCTGTTGGAGTCCTTGGTTACGGCATTATTTTTCAGACTCAGGCTGCATTTTGAGAAAGGCAGTACAGGAACTGGAGACTAAAGATTTTGGTTTATGGCTTGATTACCCAACGGAGGTGTCATAGTGCCAGATGGTCTCAGAGTCAGTGGCATGAAGGAAAAAGGAAGTCTGTGAGACCTCACTGTAAGAGGCTCATGACAATAAAATTGAGTCTGAGAACTCTTCTCAAGCTAATATTTTTAAATAATAATCACTTGGCACATATTGATTGAAAATTTAGGTCGGGCGCAGTGGCTTACACCTGTAATCCCAGTGACTTAGTACAAAATGCAGTTGGTTCAAATGATTCTGGCTGAGATGCCAAATACATAATTCAGATGTTTATGTTACAAGTATTATTGTTTCCCTTTTTCCTCTGTTAAATAGCTATTTACACACACACACAAACACACACATATATACAATACACTAGGACACCAAGTGGGTATTTTTTGCAACCCAAACTAAAAATCCATAAGCATATGCATGGCAAACCAAATAGTAGAGATAAGAAAGAGAAGTATTCCTACACAGGAGGCTCTCACCTCCTCAAAATTCCCGAGTTGACATTTAATGTCAATGATGTTCTTGCCATTGAAATAAACATAAAACAGGAATCACTCTGTTGCCTTGGCTAAAGTACCGGTGGTGTGATCATAACTCACTTCAGCCTTGACCTCCTGGGTTCAAGCAATCCTCCTGTTTCAGTTCCTAGTAGCTTGAACTACCCTGAGGAAGCCGAGTGCAGTTTCTCATACCCGTAATTCCAGCATTTTGGGAGGCTGAAGAGGGAGGATTGCTTGAGCCCAGGAATTTGAGACCTGCCAGGGCAACATAGTGAGACCTAGTCTCTATAAAAAATAAAAAAATTAGCTGAGCATGGTGGCAAGTACCTGTATTCACAGCTACTTGAGAGGCTGAGGCAGACAGGTTGCTTGAGCCCAAGAGTTCAGGATGCAGTGAGCTGTGATTGTTTCACTGCACTCTAGCCTGGGCAACAGAGACCTTATCTCACTTAAAAAAAAAAAAACAAATAAAAAAGAAAACAAAAAACTTAGAGGGATCTCAGAGAGATCTTTGCACACCTATGTTCATAGCGCCACAATTCACAATAGCCAAAAGGTAGAAGCAATACAAATGTCATTGACGAATGAAAAAACAAAATGTGATATACACGTATAATGAATATTATTCAGGCTTTAAAAAGAAACAAATCCTGTCACATGCTACAACGTGGATGAATCTTGAGGATACTATGTTAAGTGAAATAAGAGTGGCCGGGTGCGGGTGGCTCACACCTGTAATTCCAGCACTTTGGGAGGCTGAGGTGGGTGGATCATCTGAGGTCAGGAGATCAAGAATAGCCTGACCAACATGGTGAAACCCTGTCTCTACTAAAAATACAAAAAATTAGCCAGGCGTGGTGGTGGGCGCCTGTAATCACAGCTACTCGGCAGGCTGAGGCAGGAGAATCACTTGAACCTGGGGGGGCTGAGGTTGCAGGGAGCCGAGATCACGCCGTTGCACTCCAGCCTGGGTGACAAGAAACTCCATCTTAAAAAAAAAAAACTTACTGGCCGGGCGCGGAGGCTCACGCCTGTAATCCCAGCACTTTGGGAGGCCGAGGCGGGCGGATCACGAGGTCACGAGATTGAGACCGTCCTGGCTAACACAGTGAAACCCCGTCTCTACTAAAAATACAAAAACTAAGGCGGGCTTGGTTGCAGGTGCCTGTAGTCCCAGCTACTCGGGAGGCTGAGGAAGGAGAATGGCCTGAACCCGGGAGGTAGAGCTTGCAGTGAGCCGAGATCACGCCACTGCACTCCAGCCTGGGCGACAGAGCGAGACTCCGTCTCAAAACGAAAAAAAATAAAAAATAAAACTTACTATAAATTTATGATAATCATAACAATGTGGTGTAAACATAATAATGGACATATAGATCAATGGAATGAGAGGATTCCAAAATGAATTCATGCACATATATGGCCAATTAGTTTTTGTTTGTTTGTTTGTTTGTTTGTTTGTTTGTTTTGAGATGGAGTCGCACTCTGTTACCCAGGCTGGAGTGCAGTGGCACGATCTTGGCTTGCTGCAACCTTTGCTTCCTGGGTTCAAGCGATTTTCCCGCCTCAGTCTCCCGAGTAGCTGAGACTACAGGCACAGGCCAACACGCTAGGCTATTTTTGTATTTTTAGTAGAGACAGGGTTTCACTATGTTGGCCAGGCTGGTCTCAAACTTCTGACCTCAAGTGATCCACCTGCCTTGGCCTCCCAAAGTGCTGGGATTACAGGCATGAGCCACCGCACCCAGTTTTTTTTTGTTTGTTTGTTTGTTTTTTGAGATGGAGTTGCACTCTGTCACCCAGGCTGGAGTGTAGTGGAACGATCTTGGCTTACTGCAACCTCCACCCTCTGGATTCAAGCGATTCTCCTGCCTTAGCCTCCTGAATAGCTGGGATTACAGGTGCGCACCACCACACCCAGCTAATTTTTGTATTTTTAGTAGAAATGTAGTTTCACCGTGTTGGCCATGCTGGTCTCGAACTCTGGACCTCAAGTGATCCACCTACCTCGGCCTCCCAAAGTGCTGGGATTGCAGGCCTAAGCCATTGCGCCTAGCTGCCAATTGATTTTGTATTTTTTGTATTTTTTATTTTTTGAGACTGAGTTTTGCTCTTTCACCCAGGCTGGAGTGAAGTGGCTAGATCTTGGCTCACTGCAACCCCCGCCCCCCAGATTGAAGAGATTCTCTGCTTCAGCCTCCCGAGTAGCTGGAATTACAGGCACCTGCCACCACGCCTGGTTAATTTTTGTATTTTATTTTTTTGAGACGGAGTTTCACTCTTGTTGCCCAGGCTAGAGTGCAAAGGCTCGATCTCGGCTCACCACAACCTCCACCTCCCAGGTTCAAGCAATTCTCCCACCTCAGCCTCCCAAGTTGCTGGGATTACGGGCATGCACCAACATGCCCGGCTAATTTTTGCATTTTTAGTAGAGACAGGGTTTCACCATGTTGGTCAGGCTGGTCTCATACTCCCGACCTCAGATGATCTGCCCGCCTCGGCCTCCCAACATGCTGGGATTACAGGCGTGAGCTACAGTGCCCAGCCTAATTTTTGTATTTTTAGTAGAGAAGAGGTTTCATCATGTTGGCCAGGCTGGTCTCGAACTCCTGACCTCAGGTGATCCACCCGCTTCTGCCTTCCAAAGTGCTAGGATTACAGGTGTGAGCCACAGTGTCCAGCCTGCCAATTGGTTTTTAAATAAAGGTGCCAAGATAATCCAATGGGAAAAGTGTATACACACACACACACACACACACACATACACATATATGTGTTTCTTTCTTTCTTTTTTGAGATGGAGTCTCACTCTGTCACCCAGCCTGGAGTACTTTGGCGAGATCTTGGCTCACTGTAACCTCTGCCTTCCGGGTTCAAGGACTTTTCCTGTCTCAGCCTCCCGAGTAGTTGGGATTACAGGCATGCACCACCACGCCCGGCTAATTTTTGTATTTTTAATAGAGACAGTTTTACCACGTTGGCCAGGTTGGTCTTGAACTCCTGACCTTAAGTAGTCTGTCCGCCTCGGTTTCCCAAAGTGTTAGGATTACAAGCGTGAGCCATGGTGCTTGGTCAGAAAAGTATATATTTTTTAAAACAAATGATGCTATAAAACTAAATATCCATATGAGGGAAAAATAATGCAGATATTCATATGTACAGAAAAGAATACTGGCCAGGTGCCGGGCGCGGTGGCTCACGCCTGTAATCCCAGCACTTTGGGAGGCCGAGGCGGGCGGATCACGAGGTCAGGAGATCGAGACCATCCTGGCTAACACGGTGAAACCCCGTCTCTACTAAAAATACAAAAAATTAGCCGGGCGAGGTGGCGGGCGCCTGTAGTCCTAGCTACTCGGGAGGCTGAGGCAGGAGAATGGCGTGAACCCCGGGAGGCGGAGCCTGCAGTGAGCCGAGATTGCGCCACTGCACTCCAGCCTGGGCGACAGCGAGACTCCGTCTCAAAAAAAAAAAAAAAAAAAAAAAAAAAAAGAATACTGGCCAGGTGCAGTGGCTCATGCCTGTAATCTCAGCACTTTTGGAGGCCATGGAGGGTGGATCACTTGAGGTCAGGAGTTTGAGACCACCCTGACCAACGTGGTGAAATCCCATCTCTACTAAAAGTACAAAAAAAAATTATCTGGGCATGATGCTGCACACCTGTATTCCCAGCTCCTTGGGAGGCTGAGGCAGGAGAATTGCTTGAACCCAAGAGGCAGAGGTTGCAGTGAGCCGAGATTTCGACAATGCACTCCAGCCTGGGTGAAAGAGCAAGACTCCATCTCAAAAAAAAAAAAAAAAAAAAAAGAATCCTGACCCTGACATCACACCATATACAAAAATAACTCGAAATGTATCATAGGTTTATTGTAAAAGCTAAAACTAAAAATATATAAGTACCAGAAGAAAATATAGGAGAATAGCTTTGTGCCTTTTGAGTAGACAATGATTTCATAGACAAAAAGCACTAACCATAAAAAGTAATCCAATCGATATAAACTGAACTTTACTAAAACTTCATTAAACTTCTGCTCTTCAAAAGACACCATTAAGGAAAATAAAAAGCAAACCAGAGACTAAGGGAAATATATACAGACAGTCCCCAGTTTAATGATGGCATGACTTAGAATTTTTCAGTTTTACAATGGTGTACAGGTGATATGCATTCAGTAGAAATTGTATTTCAAGTACCCATACAGCCATTCGATTTTTCCTGTTAAGTGCAGTATTCAATAAATTGAATGAAATGTTAAGCACTTCATTTAAAAATAGTCTTGTGTTGGATGATTTTGCCTAAGTGTAGGCTAATATAAGTGTTCTCAGCATGTTTAAGGTAGGCTAGGCTATGATGTTTGGTAGGTTAGGTGTATTTTTTTTTTTTTTTTTTTTTGAGACAGAGTTTTGCTCTTCTTGCCCAGGCTGGAGTGCAATGGCACGATCTCGGCTCACCACAACCTCTGCCTCCCAGGTTCAAGTGATTCTCCTGCCTCAGCCTCTGGAGTAGCTGGGATTACAGGCATGTGCCACCACACCCGGCTAATTTTGTATTTTTAGTAGAGGTGGGGTTTCTCCATGTTGGTCAGACTGGTCTCGAACTCCTGACCTCAGGCGATCCACCCGCCTTGGCCTCCCAAAGTGCTGGGATTGCAGGTATGAGCCACTGCACCCGGCCAGGTTAGGTGTATTAAATGAATTTTCAACTTAACAATATTTTGCAATTATGATGGGATTATGGAGACATGACTTCATTGTAAACTGAGGAGCATTTGTATACAGATATGACAAAGCTTGTATCCACAATACGTAAAAAACTCTTACAACTCAGTAATGAGACAAAGAACCCAATTAAAAAATGGACAAGGCCAGGTGTGGTGGCTCACACCTGGTAATCCCAGCACTTTGGGAGGCTGGGGCAGGTGGATCACCTGAGGTCAGGAGTTTGAGACCAGCCTGACCAACATGATGAAACCCCATCTCTACTAAAAATGCAAAAATCAGCCAGGCATGGTGGCACACGCCTGTAATCCCAGCTACTCGGGAGACTGTGACAAGAGAATCACCTGAACCCGGGAGGAGGAGGTTGCAGTGAGCCAAGATGGGGCCATTGTACTCCAACCTGGGCAACAAGAGCAAAATTTTGTCTCCAGGGTGGGTGGGAGGTGGGCGAGGTAGGGAGGGAAGACAAAAAATTTGAACAAGTTTCAGAAAAAAGATATATAAATAACTAATAAGTACATGAAAAGATGTTCATTGCATTTAATTTTAATGCAAATTAAAATCACAATGAGATACTACCACACACTCACAAGTATGATTGTAACTAACAGGGCTGACATTACTAAGTACTGATGAGGTTGTATAACAATTGGGGCTCTCTTATACACCTGATGAAAATGTAAACTGGTAACAACAATTTGGCATTTTCTTCAGTTAAATGTAGCTGGGTGTAGTGGCTCACACCTGTAATCCCAGAACTTTGGGGAGGCCAAGGCAGGAGGATTTCTCAAACCCAGGAGTTCAAGACCAACTTGGGCAATATAGTGAGACCCTGTCCCTATAAAAAATAAAATCAATTTTTTAAAAAAGAGTTAAATGTGCATTTACCTATTTGATCCAGCAATTTCACTCTTGGGTATTTACCCAAGAGGAAGAAAAAGAGACATGTTTACACAAAGAATTGTATACAAATGTTCACAGCAGCTTTATTCATGAAAGCCTAAAATTGGAAATAACCCAAAGTACATCACATCGACAGAAGAATATACAAATCGTAGCATACCTATGCAATGGAATACTATTCAGCAATGAAAATTAACCACCAATACACCTAATCATGTAGACCGATTTTACAGAAAAGCTGAAGAACAGCCTGGCCAACATGGTGAAACCCCGTCTCTACTAAAAATACAAAAAGTTGTATAGTGAGACCCTGTCTCAAAAAAAAAAAAAGGAAAAGCTGAGCAAAAGAACACACAAAAGTGTGCACAATGCATGATTCCATTTGTATGAAGTTCTATAATAGTCAAAACTAAACTATAGAGACAGAAAGAGCAGTATTTGCCTGGGACTAGGAGTAGGAGGATAGCTGCTAACACACAGAATTGGGGGGTGCTGGCCAGGCATGGTGGCTCACACCTGTAATCCCAGCACTTTGGGAGGCCAAGGTGGGTGGATCACTTGAGGTCAGGAGTTCGAGACCAGCCTGGCCAACACGGTGAAACCTCATCTCTACTAAAAGTACAAAAATTAGCTGGGCATGGTAGTGCATCTCTGTAATCCCAGCTACTTCTTGCAAGGCTGAGACATGAGAATGGCTTGAACCCGGGGGGCTGAGGCTACAGTGAGCCAAGGTCAAGCCACTGCACTCCAGCCTGGGCGATAGAGGAAGACCCTGTCTTAAAAAAAAACAAAAAAACAAAAGAACTTTTGGGGTGATGGGAATTTTAAATATCTTGACTGGAGTAGTTACATAAGTGTATGTATACATTTTTCAAAATTCATAAATTTTCAGGTGCAGGACAGACTTAAACTGAATAGCTACATTTCATCCTTGATTATCTTTGACCTCACTTACAAATAATTAACCACATGATAGTCTGTCATATGTCATAGTTCCAAGTTTTCTTAAACAAAACAGAACATGGACGAAGCGCTCAATAGGCATTCTAGTAGAAAACAAACCCAAGTTTTGCACCCTCTTGGCTGCTGCATGTTTACTTCCTGGGAGCATGTCCTACCATATCAGTTTCCTATTGCCGCTTCATGAAATTGCCACAGACTTAATGGTATAAAACGACACACATTGTTTTATAGTTCTGGAGGTCTGAAGTACAAAACAGGTCTCACTAAGCTGACATCAAGGTGTCATCAGGGTAGCATTTCTTCTGGAGGCTCTGGGGGAGAATCCATTCCTTGCCTTTTCCAGCTTCTACAGGCTTTCCTCATTCCTTGAATCGTGGCTCCCTTTGAGCCAGCAAGCAGAATTCTGCTCTCATCCTCATATCTCCATTTCGCATCCTGACTCTGACTCTTCTACCTCCCTCTTATAAGGACCCTGTGATTAGACTGTGCCCACCTGCATAATCCAGGATTGTCTTCTCATCTCAAGATTTTTAATTAACGACAAAGACCCTTTTGGCACTTAAGTTCATATGTTTAACAGATTCCAGGGATCAGGACATGGATATCGTTGATGGCTATTATCTTACCTTTTTTTTTTTTTCTTTTTTTTTTTAGACGTAGTCTCACTCTGTTGCCCAGGCTGCAGTGCAATGGTGAGATCTCGGCTAACTGCAAACTTCCCTCCTGGGTTCGAGCAATTCTCATGCCTCAGCCTTCCGAGAAGCTGGGATTACAGTCACCTGCCACCACACCCAGCTGACTTTTATATTTTTAGGAGACTGGGTTTTGCCATGTTGGCCAGGGTGGTCTTGAACTCCTGACCTCAGGTGATCCTCCCATCTCTGCCTCTCATAGTGCTGGGATTACAGGCGCGAGCCACTGCGCCTGGCCTAACCTACTTTTATTCTACAATGATTCTACTCTTACCTAACTTAGAAAAACTTGGTCTCTGAAGGGCCTTTATTGATGATGTGGGATTTCTGCCCCTTCTTCAAAACACTGGTCTGCCCCTGTCGAAACACCTGCTTTATCTCATGGAGGCTCCAGGTTGACTTTCATAACTAAGTAAAGTCTTGTATGTAGGATTCGGGTTTCAGGTTCATGGGGCCTTGAGATTCAAAGTTCAGGAGTTCTAGATTTGAGACACTAGAGGGAGACTTAGGCCTTGAAAAAGTGACCTCAATTCTAGGAGTAAGTGCTGAGACTCAGAGGAATTTTTGGCTTGAACTTGACCCAGGGTTCAGGCAACAGAGAGCAATGGCATAGGGAAGTATGGCATTTACTTTTTCAAGGGGGATAAAAAAGCAGAAGTGGCTGGGAGAGGTGGCTCACGCCTGTAATCCTAGCATTTTGGGAAGCTGAGGCGGGTGGATCACCTGAGGTCAGGAGTTTGAGACCAGCCTGGCCAACATGGAGAAACCCTGTCTCTACTAAAAATATAAAAATTAGCCTGGTGTGGTGGTGGGTGCCTGTAATCCCTGCTACTTGGGAGGCTGAGGCAGGAGAATCACTTGAACCTGGGAGGCAGAGGTTGCAGTGAGCCGAGATCGCGCCATTGCACTTCAGCCTGGGTGACAAGAGCGAAACTCTGTCTCAAAAAAAAAAAAAAAGGGCAGAAGTGGACTTGGCCACACACTTAATCTTAGATTCAAGGATGAAGAGAGCACCAAAGACCTGTACACAAATTAGCTGACTCAGAGGCCAAGGTCCTTCTCATTTTGTATCTAATAGCTCCCCTCCCCTCTCCAACACGGATGTAGGACAGAGAGCAAAATGAGAGGAAGTTGGAAATAGGTGAATAACAGCTGAAAGCCAAGGCCACAGTGTGCTCACCAGATAACATAAAAATTTTCAAGCTATAGTTACAGATTAAGTCTCTCTTAACTTTATTTTTCCTCTCATCTCTCCATTAAAGAATGATGCATCCTAGGCTAGGCACGGTGGCTCATGCCTGTAATCCCAGCACTTTGGGAGGACGAGGCGGGTGGATCACCTGAGGTCAAGAGTTCAAAAACAGCCTGACCAACATGGTGAAACCCCGTCTCTACTAAAAATACAAAAAATTAGCCGGGCGTGGTGTTGGGCGCCTGTAATCCCAGCTACTCGGGAGGCTGAGGCAGGGGAATCGCTTGAACCTGGGAGGCAGAGGTTGCAGTGAGCCAAGATTGTGCCATTGCACTCCAGCCTGGGCGACAAGAGCAAAACTCCGTCTCAAAGAAAAAAAAAAAGAATGATGCATCCTTGATGCAGAGTAGGAGATAATGAAAAATAAATAAATAAAACAAAACAAAACAAAAAAGAATGATGGATCCACCTTGCCTTAATCTTTATTTAAAGAAAGAGAAAGTTTACCAAATTCAGATGTCATTGAAGAACTTTGGAATTTGGTACCCAGTGATCCACCCTACAAAATTCATGTCATTTGCATCATAGGCTTTCTCATCACTAAAGATGCAAATCCCCACGATAATGTCCCTCTCAGTCGGCCCCCTGTTTGTACAGACAGCTCAGATTCCCATAACTGCCTGAGATGCGGGAATGAGTCATCCTCTGCCCAAGCAGGTGGCAGTGGGCACACCTGAAGCAACAAAGTCCAGGAACAATCAGCACAACTTATGACTCCAGAGGAGGAAGTCCAGAGACAGAGCACCATGACTTCTGAGAAAGGTAAAATGGATCCGGGGGCTTGGCAAGTATTCTTGAACAATGCAAGAATGGTGTGTGTGTGTGTGTGTGTGTGTGTGTGTGTGTGTGTGTGTGTGTGTGTGTGTCCTGCTGATTCTTGCATCTGTGGGTGTTTTCAAACTTCCCTATTATTGATTAATATATTAGTCTTAAATAAGATGGTTTATTATTAGTAAATATTTACATCTCCAAGTGACTTTAACCAAATCAGTGTTTGTTTCACCATGATAAAAAATTAAGTAGCCAGGCGCTGTGGCTCACACCTGTAATCCCAGCACTTTGGGAGTCCAAGGAGGGTGGATCACTTGAGGCCCAGGGTTTGAGACCAGCCTGGCCAACATGGTGAAACCCTATCTGTACTAAAAATACAAAAATTAGCCAGGCATGGTGGCGCATGCCTGTAGTCCCAGCTACTCGGGAGGCTGAGGCAGGAGGATCACTTGAACACAGGAGGCGGAGGTTGCAGTGACCTGAGATCACGCCACTGCACTCCAGCCTGGGCAACAGAGCAAGACTCTGTCTCACAAAAATAAAAAAAAAGTTAAGTAAAAGTACAACTGTTTAAATAACAGTTTAAGGTAACAACAGACGTGATAGCATGAGAACAATGTGCTAATTGACAAATGAATTGACTATAACTAATTGATAAATTTGTGCACAGTCAGTGTTAGAAAAATGCATGGGAGAGGAAGAACACTTCAGGCTGAAGGAAGTAATTTCAGCTGAGCTAGGATTTGAGCTGGATTCTAAGAGAAGTGTAGACCTAAAAAAATTTTTATCTTATTTTGTTTTTAGAGACTAGCGGGTGGGTTCACTACTTCGCCCAGGCTGGTCTGGAACTCCTGGGCTCAAGCAATTCTCCACCCTTGGTCTCTCAAAGTACTAGGAATACAGGCATGAGCCACCATGCCTAACCAAATTTTTTTTTTTTTTTTTTTAAGACTCGCCCTGTTGCCTAGGCTGGAGTACAGTGGTGTGATCACTGCTCACTGCTGTCTTGACCTCCTGGGCTCAAGAGATCCTCCCGCCTCACCTTCCTGGGTAGCTGGGACAACAGGCATGGGCCACCAGCCCTGCTAATTTTTTTGTAGAGATGAGGTCTTGCTTTATTGCTCAGGCTGGTCTTGAACTCCTGGGCTCAAGTGATCCACTAGCCTCGGCCTCCCAAAGTACTGGGATTACAGGTGTAAGCCACCATGCCAGGCCAGAAGGGCAGACTTTGGATCGACAAAGAAGAGGAGATTCCAGGTTGATTGAATCCTATTGATGAACAGAATTTAAAAGCTTTTATAGAGACTTGTGTCTGGAATATAATGAATAAACTGGTTAGGCTACAAAAAATTTATGTAAACAATTTGCAGTAAGACCAGAAAGCAAATTTGAAGTGTTATTATACTATAGAGGACTTCGAATGCCAGGCTCAAGGAATGAAAGTTTTTCTTTATGGTAGAGGGAATATCTTTGGAGAATTTATGAATAGCACAGAGATATGACTAAAATAGTGCTTTAGACACATTTACTTGACATGTGATGGGTTTTGGACTGGAAGCAAGGAGACCAGTTAGAAGACTATTGCAATAGTGTGAGTGTGATGGGGCAGAAGGTAATATAGATATCAGTTTGGAGTTGAAGTAACAATTTATTTTCTCCTTTATGTTCTTCATCTGTTAGAATTCTTTTTTAAGGTCAGGTGTGATGGCTCACACCTGTAATCCCAGCACTTTGGGAGGTCAAGGCAGGCGGATCACCTGAGGTAGGGAGTTTGAGACCAGCCTGACCAACATGGAGAAACAACGTCTCTATTAAAAATACAAAATTAGCTGGGCACGGTAGCACATGCCTGTAATCCCGCTACTTGGGAGGCCAAGGCAGGAGAATCACTTGAACCAGGGAGGCGGAGGTTGCAGTGAGCCGAGATCGCGCCATTGCACTCCAGCCTGGGCAACAAGAGCAAAACTCCATCTCGGGAAAAAAAAAAAAATTCTTTTTTAAGTGGCATACTGGGGGAAAGACCAAACACATTATTTGATTGTAGTAGCTAATACCTTCCCTGGACTTTTCTTATGAAGGTGGTGTGTTCTATACCTCAAACTGTCCCCAGTCATGTGGCTGGTATCCTTGTCTTTGCATCCCAGGAATAATATTGATCAGTGTAGACACAGCATATGTCTCACCGTCCCTTTCTGAACTTCTCACTGCTGCTTCAGCTCTTTCAGAGAAAGTGTCTTCCCATCATCAAATGCCTTTTTCCTATGATGTGGCCTCTGTTTATGTAAGGCTCCCTCGGAGTAGATTACTGGTTCAAGGGCCCCAATTTGCACTAAGATCTGAGAAGAGCTCATTCCAACGTGCCAGCCACCCCCTTCCTCCTTCCTCCCAATGCTCAAATCCCCCATTCCTCCTTTAAAAGTAAGAGATTTGTTCTTCAGGTCACACTTGGAATAGTGTTTCCTGACTTCGTCCTATTTCCTAGATATCTGGCTAATTTCTCATTTTAGTTCTTCTCCCCAGCTAGAACCACTCTCTGCAAAAAAACCATGCCATGCCCAAGTCCTTTCTACAACTCCTCTACCATCCAGTGCAAATGCATAAAAAGTAACACACACAAACAGGTACACACACAGCCTAGGGTAAAGCATGCTCTGTTTTAAAGGAAGTGTCTTCCAGAGCCTGTGACTCTTCTCTGTTCAAAAATAGCACCTGCGAGTTAAGGTTTGGCCAGGAGCGTGGGATGAATTTCTTGCCTGCATCTCCCCAAATCACCCTTAGAGGTTCAGGCCTTGTCAGCGCCCATTTTATTGCCAGGAACATCCCCAAGCCTCTGAGTCCTGAGAGGCGCAGGTCTCTAAAATTCAGTACTCTCCCTTGAATCATCCCCATACTCTCTAATGGCTTCTTACACTTAGCATACTATCCAGAGCTGGTAAGGCCCTGTGGCTTACCCCCTCCATTGCTCATCTCCCTCCATTGCAGGTCTTGATCACTCCGACCCAGCCAAGCTGACTTGCTTGCTCTTCCTTGAACAAGTCAAGGTCCACACTTCAGGTCGTTTGCACCTGGTGTTCCCTGTGCTTGGAAAGCTCTCCCCTTCCCCGACGTCCACATGTCTTGCTCTCTAAATTTACATTCAGGTCTCAGCTTTAATGTCCCTCTTTATAGATGTCTTCTCTGACTGCCATCTCTGATATGGTCGATATGGTGCCCCCACCACCTTTTGTCTCCTTCCAGTACTTTTCTTCTTCCTTTTTTTTTGAGATGGAGTCTCTCTCGCTCTGTCGCCCAGGCTAGAGTGCAATGGTGTGATCTTGGCTTACTGTAACCTCCACCTCCCAGGTTCAAGTGATTCTCCTGCCTCAGCCTCCCGAATAGCTGGGATTACAGGCACGTGCCAACATGCCCGGCTAATTTTTGTATTTTTAGTAGAGACAGGGTTTTGCCATATTGGCCAGGCTGGTTTCAAACTCCTGAACTCAGGTGATCCACCCGCCTTGGCCTCCCAAAAGTGCTGGGATTACAGGCATGATCCACCGTACCCGGCCGTCTTTTTTTAAATTTTTAAATTTTTTTTATTTTTTAAAGACAACGTCTTGCTCTGTCGCCCAGGCTGGAGTGCAATGGCGATCATGGCTCACTGTAGCCTCGAACTCCTGGGCTCAAGTGATCCTCCCACTTCAGCCTTCTGAGCAGTGGGGACTACTGGTGCACACCACCATGCCCGGCTAATTTAAAAAAGGTTTGGTTTTGTTTTGTTTTGTTTTTAGAGACGGGGTCTTGCTGTGTTGCTTACGGTAGTCTCAATTTCCTAGCCTCAAGCAATCCTCCCGCCTCAGCCTCCTGAAGTGTTGGGATTATAGGCATGAGCTATGGCACCCAGCCAGGGACTCTTTTGACTAAGGGAGAGATCAAGATAATCCCCACTCCCTGAAGCCCTGTGCATTGGGAATTTAGATGACTGCTCATTTCCACATCAATTGTTACTTCCCATCTCTCAATTCTAGTGCTGGACCTACTATTAGGTTCTATACCTAAGAGCAGCAATTGTTGCTTTTTTCTCTTTCCCCTTCCAGGTTAGCACGATTCAAAGGGAGAATCTGTGTCCACTTGAGGTCCCTTATGTAGCAGGACTGCCCTGTAAATGTCTTCAGGAACCACTTGGCTCCAGTTGGAGCCTGGTCCTTTTTTGCTGGTTCAATAGGATCTTTCCATATGTTCTTTACAAGTATCTTTTTACACTTATTACTCATTCAGTTATCTTTTCTCCTTCCTCTCGAGTTGTGGTTTAAAATATGTATAATTACAATTATAAAGAGATATCTATCTATCTATCTATCTATCTATCTATCTATCTATCATCTGTCATCAAAGATATCCTGGCTTCTCTCCACACTACCAAATACTCTTTCTTATTTTTTAATTATAATTTTTATTTCAGATTCATGGGGTACACGTGCAGATTTGTTACAAGGGTATATATTGTGTGATGCTGAGGTTTGGGCTTGTATTGACTCTGCTACCGAGATAGTGAACATAGTACCCAATGGGAAGTTTTTCAGCTCTTTCCCCTCTCCCTCCCTCAGTCCTTTTGGACTTTTCCAGTGTCTATTGTTCCCGTCTTTTTTTTTTTTTTTTTTTTGAGACGGAGTCTCGCTCTATCACCCAGGCTGGAGTGCAGTGGCGCAAATTTGGCTCACTGCAAGCTCCGCCTCCCGGGTTCACGCCATTCTCCTGCTGCAGCCTCCCGAGTAGCTGGAACTATAGGTGCCTGCCACCACACCAGGCTAATTTTTTTTTTTTTTTTTTTGTATTTTTAGTACAGACGGGATTTCACCATGTTAGCCAGGATGGTCTCGATCTCCTGACCTTGTGATCCACCCGCCTCCGCCTCCCAAAGTGCTGGGATTAGAGGTGTGAGCCACCATGCCTGGCTGTTCCTGTCTTTATGTCCATGTGTACCCAAGGTTTAGCTCCCACTTATAAGTGAGAACATGCAATATTTGGTTTTCTGTTTCTGTGTTAATTTGCTTAGGATAATGGTCTCCAGCTGCATCTATGTTGCTGCAAAGGACATGATTTATGATTTCATTCTTTTGTATAGCTGTATAGTTTTCCATCAAATACCCTTTTTTTTTTTTTTTTTAGATGGAATCTCATTCTGTCACCAAGGGTGGAGTGCAGTGGCACATTCTTGGCTCACTGCAAGCTCCGCCTCCCGGGTTCAAGCGATTCTTGTGCCTCGGCCTCCTGAGTAGCTGGGATTACAAGCATGGGCCACCATGCCTGGCTAATTTTTTGTATTTATTAGAGACGGGGTTTCACCATGTTAGGCTGGTCTCGAACTCCTGACCCTCAGGTGATCCACCCACCTAGGCCTCCCAAAGTGCTGGGATTACAGGTGTGAGCCACTGTCCCTGGCCCAAATACCCTCTCTTTCTTTCTTTCTTTCTTTCTTTCTTTCTTTCTTTCCTTCCTTCCTTCCTTCCTTCCTTCCTTCCTTCCTTCCTTCCCTTCCTTCCTTCCTTCCTTCCTTTCTTTTTTTGAGACAGAGTCTTGCTCTGTCACCCAAGCTGGAGGGCAGTGGCATGATCTCTGCTCACTGCAACCTCTGCCTCCCGGGTTCAAGCAATTCTCCTGTCTCAGCCTCCAGAATAGCAGGGATTACAGGTGCCTGCCACCACACCTGGCTAATTTTTGTATTTTTAGTAGAGACGGGGTTTCACCATGTTGCCCAGGCTAGTCTTGAACCCTTGACCTTGTGAACCACCCGCCTCAGCCTCCCAAGTGTTGGGATTACAGGCGTGAGCCACCGCACCCGGCCCAAATACCCTTTCTTTAAATTGAAACTTTATTTTATTTTATTTATTTATTTTTTTGAGACGTAGTCTCGCTCTGTCGCCCAGGCTGGAGTGCAGTGGCTTGATCTCGGCTCACTGCAAGCTCTGCCTTCCAGGTTCACGCCATTCTCCTGCCTCAGCCTCCCGAGTAGCTGGGACTACAGGCGCCCGCCACCACGCCTGGCCAGTTTTTTGTATTTTTAGTAGAGTTGGGTTTTCACCGTGTTAGCCAGGATGGTCTCGATCTCCTGACCTCATGATCCGCCCACCTCGGCCTCCCAAAGTGCTGGGATTACAGGCATGAGCCGCTGTGCCTGGCCAGTAGTTGCATTTTTAGTTTTTCTTTTTTAAAATAAATTTGCAAACTGTTTTCCAGTATGGCTGTACCAGTTTACATTCCCACCAGCAAAGTATGACAGATTCAGTTTCTCTGCATCCTTACCAGCATTTGGTGTTTTGCATGCGTGTCTGTGCACGCACACCTATACACACACATATAGCCATTCTGATAGGTGTGTAGGAATATCTCATTGTGGTTTTAATTTGTATCTCCCTGGTGCAAATTAAATGGTGAGTTGGTCACAAGTACTCCAGGTTGCCGGTAGTTCCTTTTGTGTGTGTGTGTGTGTGTGTGATTTTTAAATTTCAAATATAAACATATATATATATATATATATATATATATTTTTTTTTTTTTTTTTTTTTTTTTTTTTGAGAGGGAGTTTCACTCTTGTTGCCCAGGCTGGAGTGCAATGGCGCGATCTCGGCTCACTACAACCTCCACCTCCTGGGTTCAAGCAATTCTCCTGCCTCAGCTTCCTGAGTAGCTGGGATTACAGGCATGCGCCACCACACCCAGCTAATTTTGTATTTTTAGTAGAGACAGGGTTTCTCCATGTTGGTCAGGCTGGTCTCGAACACCTGACCTCAGGTGATCTGCCTGCCTCAGCCTCCCAAAGTGCTGGGATTACAGGCATGAGCCACCGCGCCCGGCCTATAAATATATTTTTAAATTTTCTTTTTTTGGTGGAAGTGCTTTTTTTTTTTTTCTTTTGACATGGAGTTTTGCTCTCGTTGCCCAGGCTGGAGTGCAACGGCATGATCTGGGCTCACCGCAACCTCTGCCTCACAGATTCAAGTGATTCTTGTGCCTCGGCCTCCCAAGTAGCTGGGATTACAGGCATGTGCCACCACACCCGGCTAATTTTTGTATTTTTAGTAGAGACGGGGTTTCGCCATGTTGGTCAGGCTGGTCTCAAACTCCTGACCTAAGGTGATCCACCTGCCTCAGCCTCCCAAAGTCAGCCACCGCGCCTGGCCTAAATTTTCAATCAATATGTGCCAAGTGATTATTATTTAAAAATATTAGCTTGAGAAGAGTTCTCAGACTCAATTTTATTGTCATGAGCCTCTTACAGTGAGGTCTCACAGACTTCCTTTTTCCTTCATGCCACTGACTCTGAGACCATCTGGCACTGTGACACCTCTGTTGGGTAATCAAGCCATAAATCAAAATCTTTAGTCTCCAATTCCTGTATCGCCTTTCTCAAAACGCAGCCTGAGTCTGAAAAATAATGTACCTGTAACCAAGGACTCCAACACCTATTTAATCATCTATCAAACCTGAAATAAAAACCCAATTTTGGCCGGGCACGGTGGCTCACGCCTGTAATCCCAGCACTTTGAGATGCTGAGAGGGGCAGATCACATGAGGCCAGGAGTTTGAGACCAGCCTGGCCAAGATGGTGAAACCCCGTCTCTACTAAAAATACAAAAGTTAGCCGGGTGTGGTGACACATGCCTGTAATCCCAGCTACTTGGGAGGCTCAGGCACGAGAATCACTTGAACCCTGGAGGCAAAGTTTACAGTGAGCCAAGATTGCACCACTGGACTCCAGCCTGGGTGGTGGAGTGAGGTTCTGTCTCAAAACAAAACAAAACAAAACAAAACAAAACAAAACAGAACAAATCAATTTCCAGGTGATTCTATTTCGGAAATTGGAAGAAATTAGGGACTTTTGATCAGTCCATGCATTTTTGTCATAGACTTCAATTCTTTTCCAGGAAATAGTTTTGGGTATTTTTTTTGTTATTTATTTATAATTTTAGTTTAATTATTATTATCTTTTTTTGAGACAGGGTCTGTCTCTCTTGCCCCTGCTGGAGTGCAGTGGCATGCTCATGGCTCACTGCAGCCTCAACCTCCTGGGCTCAAGTGATTATCCCACCTCAGCTTTCCTAGTAGCTGGGACTACAGGCATGCACCACTACAGCTGGTTAAACTTCTGTATCTTTTTGTAGAGACGGAAATTTCCCCATTTTACCCAGGCTGGCCTTGATATCTTAGGCTTAAGCGACCATCTTGCCTTGGCCTCCCAAAGTGCTGGGATTACAGGTGTGAGTCACTGCCTACAGCCTGGTTTGTTTTTTAATTTTGTTTTGTTGTTATTGATTGTTTTTATTTTAAGGAATTTAGTAGCTCTAGATGCAGGCTTATCTTCAGTTTTCCACAGCCCTTGCTCACTTTCTTTTCATGGGAATGGCCTGGGCCTACCGTAGAAAGCATACTTCACAGTATATGGCTAGCCCTCTATATGAAAAATAAAACGTCAGAAAGTGTGCAATCCACCTCTCTCCAGCCTTAAAGGTGCAAAAAGCCTCAGAGTCACTTCAAAAGTGTTCTGACTTTGGAGACATATTCCAAGGACTGGCTCAACTTAGGTTCTATGTTATGCAACTAGACATTCAGCTAACAATTTGGCAGTCATGGCGAGGAAACATACACATGAGGCTCAATTCAAGGGTAGTAACTTAGTACGAAATGCAGTTGGTTCAAATGATTCTGGCTGGGATGCCAAATATGTAATTGAGATGTTTATGTTACCAGTATTATTAGTTCCCTTTTTCCTCTGTTAAATAGCTATTTACACACACACACACACACACACACACACACACACACACGTATATACAACACACTAGGACACCAAGTGGGTATTTTTGCAACCCAAACTAAAAATCCATAAGCATATGCATGGCAAACCGAATAGTAGAGATAAGAAAGAGAAGTATTCTTACACAGGAGGCTCTCACCTCCTCAAAATTCCCAAGTTGACATTTAATGTCAATGATGTTCATGCCATTGAAATAAACATAAAACAGGCATCTTTCTAACCCTCTGAAAGGCTGCCGTAATAACAGTGCTTAACGTTTATGAAGCATCTGCTGCGTCAGGCACCTTGCAAATGTTTTCCATTCATTGTGTTACGTGAGTCTTCCGACAACCTTGTGGAATAGGCAATCTTAGGGTCTACATTTGACAAATGGGGAAACTGAGGTCTAGAGAGGTTAGGAAACTTGCCAAATGTGTTAGAGCAAGTAATTGGCTAAACTGGGATTATAACCCATTTTTCTCTGACCCTAGAGCCTTGGCTCTTGATTGCAACACTGTGTTGCTTCTTTAGACTAGACTGAGATTCATGGACCATTTTAAGTTTGTAACCACCTTTGAGAGTCTGAATGGAGGACGTGGTTTTGCCTGGTTTTACTTCCTCCTCTAGAGTGCGGGGTCCATATTCCTCTGATGATAAGGGCCAGGAGAGCCATCTAAACAAAGTACTGCTTAGATCACTCCAAAGCCGGGGCCACTCACACTGCACCCCAGGAAACTGAACCTCTGTCCTTTCCAGCCCAGACTTTCTTCCACGGAGTGACACTGATTAGTTTGTAGGCCAGGTGAGGCATGATTTCATAACCATGGAGTAATCTGACCAGGGTCATGCAGGGGAGCAGCAGGCCTGCGGTATATAAATTCTCAAATACACATCTTCCATTTATTTCCTTATTTCTTTCTTTAAAAAAAAAAAATTTGGCCTAGGCATGGTGAATCATGCCTGTAATCCCAGCACTTTGGGAGGCTGAAGCAGGAGGATCTCTTGAGCTCAGGAGTTTGAGACCAACCTGGGCAACACAGAGAGAACACGCCTCCACAAAAAAAATAACAAATGAAATAAAATTTTAATTTTTTAAGAGACAGGGTCTCACTGTATCACCCAGGCTATGTACAGTGACATAATCATAGCTCACAGTAACCTGGAACTCCTGGGCTCTAGTGATCCTCCCTCCTCAGCCACTCAAGTAGCCACAGGTGTGTGCTAACACACCCTGCTAATTTTACATTTTGTAGGAATGGGGTCTCACTGTGTTGCCCAGGCTGGTCTCAAATTTCTGGCTTCAAGAGATCCTTCTGCCTTGGCATCTCAAAAAGCTGGGATTATAGGTATAAGCCACTGCACTCTCTCTCTATATATATAAAATCAAAGCCCCACCAATGCCACCTCCTTTTCTATTTTCCAAACTACTCCACCACCATGGTCTGCACCACTCCCTGTGAGGCCCCTCAAAGCTGTCCATGCCCATGTCTACATTAGGCTTCTCTACCCATCGTGTCATAACATTTCCTGTATTTCCATTTCTTTCTTTCTTTTTTTTTTTTTAAGGAGTCTTGCTCTGTCACTCAGGCTAGAGTGCAGTGGCGTGATCTCGGCTCACTGCAACCTCCACCTCCTGGGTTCAAGCAATTCTCCTGCCTCAGCCTCCCAAGTAGCTGGGATTACAGGCATGCGCCACCACGCCCAGCCAATTTTTTTTTGTATTTTTAGTAGAGATGCGGTTTCTCCATGTTGGTCAGGCTAGTCTGGAACTCCCGACCTCAGATGATCTGCCCGCCTCAGCCTCCCAAAGTGCTGGGATTACAGGCGTGAGCCACCACACCGGGCCTATTTTTAATTTTTATTTTTGAGACAGAGTTTTGCTCTTTTGCCCAGGCTGGAGTGCAATGGTGCGATCTTGGCTCACTGCAACCTCCTCTCCCCAGGTTCAAGTGATTCTCCTGCCTCAGCCACCCGAGTAGCTGGGATTATAGGTGCCCGCAATCACACCTGGCTAATTTTTGTATTTTTGGTAGAGACAGGGTTTCACCATGTTGGCCAGGCTGGTCTCAAACTCCTGACCTCAGGTGAACCACCTGCCTCGGTCTCCCAAAGTGCTAGAATTACAGGCGTGAGCCACCGCACCCGGCCTCTAAGAGGCTTTAAGAAGTGACTTTCCCATTGTGCTTAATCATTTTTGTTGAAGCCTTAAGGCAGACTACCTTGTTTGGGATTGGGCATCTGGGAAAAGAGATTTTGGCAGAGTCCTTAAAAATCTTGCTTTTCTTGGGTACAATGAGCTGGTCCAATACAATTAATCCATGAGAGAATCTTCAAATTCCATTTTCTGAGATGATTTGGAGGTTTGGAATAATAGAGCACTTTTTCTTAGCAACTCATTTGATATTTGAGTGTTGTTTGACATAATCATATCTTGGTCAACAGGTCCTTCAACCGGTGACCCCACTCTGAGGTAAGAATAACACTATCACAGTGCCCATTTAATTTGATCAAGAATCAATGGGTATTTAAGAGCTGTGCATGGTGGCACATGCGCCTATAATCCCAGCTACTCAGGAGGCTGAGGCAGGAGTAGGAGGATCGCTTGAGCCCAGGAGGTCAAGGCTGCAGTGAGCTATGATTGCACCACTGCACTGCAGCCGGGGTAACAGACTGAGACCCTGTCTCAAAAAAAAAAAAAAAAAGGAACTGTGGATATAGCTTTCTTTATTGTTCCTTTTCTCTTTTGCCATTTTCCATTCTTTCTTTCATTTTTGCCTTTTCCAGTTTCATTTTCTATGGTTATTGTTTTTTATATCTTTGCTCTTATGTCTTTTGATCTCTTTAAATAAATGATTTTCTAGCTTGCTTATCTGTTATTGTCTTACAATTTCTCTTCTTTTTTTAAATCGCATGCTTTTATAGCCATTAGTGAAATACCTGGGAAACTCATTTGTCACTTTAACTTCATCTTCGTTTTATAATGTCTGCCCATTTTTCAGACATAGGACAGGGAAGTCATGTTAAGGAATATATTATCTCTTGATAGGTGGAAGGATTGATCTATGTAGTAAATGAATGTGATACTTTAGGGATGAGTGGGAACTATTAGGATGTAATAAGCTTGTGACTTAACCATATTGCAAAGAAGAGTCTGCAGTTCAATTCTGAGTTTCCCTTGAGTTACAGCTTTCAGACATAGAGAGTGTTAAATCTAAAGACACCACTGAGAGCAAGTAGAATTTCTTTCTTATAGGAGTTAGTATATAGAATCCTAATGTGGAAGAATCTTGAGGCTAAATTGCTCTTTTGTCTGTTCTTGACAATACAATCTTGTTGGCAATTTGAGGCGTCAACACTTGAGAAAATCTGGTTAGAGTCCATTGAGGAATAGAAAAGATAAGGATTGGAACATAGCACCTCTAGGTGTAAAATAGAAAAGTTAGAATATAGCTAGGCATGGTGGGGCACACCTGTGGTCTCAGCTACTCAGGAGGCTGAGGCAGGAGAGTAGCTTGAGTCCAGGAAGGGGAGATCAGGCTGGCCAGCTTAGAGAGACCATGTCTTAAAAAAAAAAAAAAAAAAAAAGGGTTAGAATATAATGAAGGAAAATTTAAAAGAGAAACAAAGACACGCTTACACCTGAATTCAAGACTAAAACATAATGGTATTAGAGAGTGGTCACCAAATAATGTGACTGGGGGAAGAAACCTGTGCACTATGTTTGTGAGAAAAAAAAATCTGATAATTCAAACAGACCTCTTCAGATAACTTTGAGACATATACTAGAAAAAGAAGTTTCCTGAGATGTTATGTCTCAGATCAGCCTGATAGAAGAGGGGAGCAGAGGCTGGGCGTGGTGGCTCACGCCTGTAATCCCAGCACTTTGGGAGGCTGAGGTGGGCGAATCACAAGGTCAGGAGTTTGAGACCAGCCTGGCCAACATGGTGAAACCCCGTCTCTACTAAAAATACAAAAAAATTAGCTGGACATGGTGGCGGGAGCCTGTAATCCCAGCTACTTGGGAAGTTGAGGCAGAAAAATCGCTTGAACCTGGGAGGTGGAGGTTGTGGTGAGCTGAGATTGCACCACTGCACTCCAGTCTGGGCAACAGTGTGAGACTCCATCTTAAAAAAATAAAATAAAATAAAATAAAATAAAAAAAGAAGAGGGGAGCAGGAAAAGATTTCTAAGATCTCTCTAAATGTGGCATGACAGTGTGGGCTGCTTTTTGTATTTCAGGAGAAGAATCGAACCCTGGGAGTTTGACGTCTTCTATGACCCCAGAGAACTTCGTAAAGAGGCCTGTCTGCTCTACGAAATCAAGTGGGGCATGAGCCGGAAGATCTGGCGAAGCTCAGGCAAAAACACCACCAATCACGTGGAAGTTAATTTTATAAAAAAATTTACGTCAGAAAGAGATTTTCACCCATCCATGAGCTGCTCCATCACCTGGTTCTTGTCCTGGAGTCCCTGCTGGGAATGCTCCCAGGCTATTAGAGAGTTTCTGAGTCGGCACCCTGGTGTGACTCTAGTGATCTACGTAGCTCGGCTTTTTTGGCACATGGATCAACAAAATCGGCAAGGTCTCAGGGACCTTGTTAACAGTGGAGTAACTATTCAGATTATGAGAGCATCAGGTAAAAACAGTAAACAAAGAAACTTCATTGTTTACAACAGACTGTGGTGATAGTAGCTGTTTTTAGGCCAGAAGATTGGTTAGCCCAGGCTGGAAGTCTCAGAAGTAAAAGTCCAAAATAATGTCATAAAGGACTAGGTCTGAAATTCATGACAAGGAAAGTTACAAAAATACAACTCCTGGCTACGCATGGTGGCTCATGCCTATAATCCCAGAACTTTGGGAGGCCAAGGCAGGAGGATCACTTGAAGCCAGGGGTTCAAGATCAGCCTGGGCAACATAGTGAGACCCCATCTCTAAAAAAAATTTAAAAATCCGGCCAGGTGCGGTGGCTCACGCCTGTAATCCCAGCACTTTGGGAGGCCGAGGTGGGCGGATCATGAGATCAGGAGATGGAGACCATCCTGGCTAACACGGTGAAACCCCGTCTCTACTAAAAAATACAAAAAAATTAGCCAGGCGTGGTGGCGGGCGCCTGTAGTCCCAGCTACTCGGGAGGCTGAGGCAGGAGAATGGCGTGAACCCGGGAGGCGGAGCTTGCAGTGAGCCGAGATCGCGCCACTGCACTCCAGCCTGGGCGACAGAGCGAGACTCCGTCTCAAGATAAAATAAAATAAAATAAAATAAAAAATAAAATAAAAAAATCAGACAGGCATGGCAGCATACACCTTTAAAGGCTGAGGTAGGAAGATCTCCTGAGCCCAGAAGTTCAAGGCTGCAGTGAGCTATGATTGGACCACTGCACACTGGCCTAGGTGACAGAGCGAAACCCTGTATCAAAAAACAAAAACAAAAACAAACAACAACTCTTTTTTTTTTTTTTTTTTGAGACGGAGTCTTGCTCTTTCGCCCAGGCTGGAGTGCAGTGGTGCAATCTCGACTCACTGCAAGCTCCACCTGGGGTTCACGCCATTCTCCTGCCTCAGCCTCCCCAGTAGCTGGGACTACAGGCGCCCACCACCACGCCCGGCTAATTTTTTGTATTTTTAGTAGAGACGGGGTTTCACTGTGTTAGGCAGGATGGTCTCGATCTCCTGACCTGTGATCCACCCCCCTCGGCCTCCCAAAGTGCTGGGATTACAGGCGTGAGCCACCGCACCCAGCCAACAACTCTTTTCTCTAGTCTTGCCTCTCAGCCATCTTTAAATGAACTGCTTTATTCTTTTTAGGGGGTCTAATGTCCAGCAGCAACTAGACTAGAGACTACAGGCTTTCTATACGGGAAGCTAGGTTGGGGATCTTCTTAAGTAATTTACCATTGTGCTTGTTGAATGAGCCAAGATTTGTGTTTCCTTAGAGTATTATCACTGCTGGAGGAATTTTGTCAACTACCCACCTGGGGATGAAGCTCACTGGCCACAATACCCACCTCTGTGGATGATGTTGTACGCACTGGAGCTGCACTGCATAATTCTAGTAAGTCACTTTAGGGACACAAATGTTGATGCAAAAAGAAGCATCCTTCTTCAAAGGTCTTTCCTGAGAAAATTTGACTCATATCTTCTTTTTGACATTTATATTGAGATTTAGTTATTTAACTAGCTAGCTCCTCTTAAGAAAATCTCAGAGCCAGGTATGGTGGTGCACACTTGTAGTCCCAGCTACGCAGGAAGCTTGAGTCTAGGCGTTGCAAGCTGCAGTGAGCTATGATCACGCCAATATGCTCCAGCCTGCGTGGTATAACAAGATCCTGTTTCTAAAACACAGCTGGGTACAGTGGCTCATGCCTGTAATCCAAGCACTTTGGAAGGCCAAGATGGGAGGATTGCTTGAGACCAGGAGTCTGAGACCAGCCTGGCCAACATAATGAGACCCCCTCTCTATAAAAAAGAAAATTATGTATCAAACAAAGTAAACAAACAAGCAAACAAACAACATCTAAGCCTAAGAACAAGAAGTGTGTTTGTGGGAGGTAAGTGGAGAAGGGAATTTGGGTAAACCGATCTAAGATATGGGTGGTCCCCATATTAATTACATTTTATCATTTTTATTCTTATTTTATTATCATTATCTTTTAAGCCACAGGGTCTCGCTGTGTTGCCTAGGCTGGGGTGTAGCGGCTATTCACAGGCACCATCACAGCAACCCACAGCCTCAAACTCCGAATTCCTAGCCTCAAGCAATCCTCTGACCTCAGCCTTCTGGGTAGCTAGAACTACAGGCGTGTGTCATCATGTCTGGCTTTATCATTATTATTGTTCTTGTTACTACAACACATATTGGCTCTACTGTATTTCAGATATTCTCCTTTCTCTTATTAGTGTGTGTAATCTTATTGAAGAGAATGTACGTGTTCCATTGGATTCTCTTGAAAGTGGTTCAGGCTGGGTGCAGTGGCTCATGCTTGTAATCCTAGCACTTTGGGAGGCAGAGGGGAGTGGATGGCTTGAGCCCAGAAGTTGGAGACCAGCCTGGGCAACATGGCGAAACCACATCTCAACAAAAACACAAAAAAATTAGCTGGGTGTGGTGGTGCGTGCCTGTAGTCCCAGCTACTTGGGAGGCTGAGGTGGGAGAATTGTTTGAGCCTAGGAGGTTGAGGCTGCAGTGAGCTGTGATTGCACCACTGCGCTCCAGCCTGGGTGAATGCAGTGAGTCCAGAACCAGACCCTGTCTGGGAAAAAAAAAAAAGAAGAAATAGTTAAATCGTCTTCCAACTGACATTTTTAAATGTTTGTGGTGATAATATTATTAATTAAAATATTCATCCTAAGGATTAAATATAATCCTTTTTTATTCCAGAGTCTTCCACCCTGTTTAAAGATTTCAAGAAGATGGCAAAATCATCTTACATTTTTCAGACTTCATCTTCAAAACTGCCATTACCAAACGATTCCGCCACACATCCTTTTAGCTACAGGGCTGATACATCCTTCTGTGGCTTGGAGATGAATAGGATGATTCCGTGTGTGTACTGATTCAAGAACAAGCAATGATGACCCACTAAAGAGTGAATGCCATTTAGAATCTAGAAATGTTCACAAGGTACCCCAAAACTCTGTAGCTTAAACCAACAATAAATATGTATTACCTCTGGCAGTTTCTGTGGGTAAGGAATTTAGAAGCAGCTTATCTGTGTGTTCCTGTCTCAGGTCCCCCACGAGGTTGTAGTCAAGATGGCAGCCAGCGCTGCAATCATTTGAGGGCTTGACTGAGGCTGGAGAATGTGCTTCCCAGGTGGCAGGCTCAGATGGCTGGCAAGTTTGTGCTAGTGGCTGGTAGAAGGTTTCAGTTTCTTGCCACACAGGCCTCTCCACAGGGTTGCTTAAATAACCTCAGGACATGGCAGTTGGCTTCCTACAGATTAATTTACCTTTTGAAAAATTTCCTGTAGAGATGGAGTTTTGCTGTGTTGCCCAGGCTGGTCTCAAAGTCCTGGACTCAAGTGATCCACCAGCCTCGGCCTACCAAAGTGCTGGGATTACCGGTGTGAGCCACCATACCTGGCCCAGAGCGAGTGATCGAAGAGAGACCAAGGTGGAAATTTCCACGACTTTGATGACTTCATCTTGGAATCACACCCTATTTCTTTTGCAGTATTCTATTTGTTACACAGGCCAGCCATGACTCAGAGTAAGAGGGGACTCATACACAAGGATTTGAAACTCAGGACATGAAAATCACTGGAAGCCATCTTGGATTTTCCCTGTAGGGGCTTTCTCTGTTTTCAGACAAATAATTACATGGAATCAATTTCTGAAGACACAGATAGAGGGAAACAAAAGACAAAGTAGTAACATCTATTATTATTTGTTTCTTAATTAGAATATCATGAGATTCACAGGTGATTTATAGAGGACTGGATGACCAGATGCAGAGAGGAGCTACCATCTCCATGAGAGCTTCGGAGACCTGCAGAGACATTGCATGACTTGCCTGCGGAAGTTGTTTGATAGGAATTCTCATTGGTTTACAGAAATAATATTGGTTAGTGATTGGCTATACATGGTGTCCAGCACAGGGCATTTTGTGGCTGCTTAGTGTCAGTCTAGAGCCCATGTTGCAAGGGGCTTTAAGAGGTAATTAGCTCAAGCAGAGAGTGAGATGTGATTGCTGTCACATTTTTTTTTTAAGTTTTTTTTTTTTTTTTTTTTTTTTTTTGAGACAGAGTCTCACTCTGTCGCCCACGCTGGAGTGCAGTGGCACAATGTCCGGCTCACTGCAAGCTCCGCCTCCCAGGTTCAGGCCATTCTCCTGCCTCAGTCTCCCGAGTAGCTGGGACTACAGGCGCCCGCCACCACGCCCGGCTAATTTTTTGTATTTTTAGTACAGACGGTGTTTCACCGTGTTAGCCAGGCTGGTCTCGATCTCCTGACCTCATGGTCCGCCCGCCTTGGCCTCCCAAAGTGCTGGGATTACAGGCGTGAGCCACTGCGTCCAGCCTGCTGTCACATTTTAAATATTCCTCTGGGCTTGATAATTTAAAGGAGCTCACATTCCTCAGATAAAATGTTCATTTTCTTTCTCAAACCTAAACATAATATTAACCACCGCTATATTATCATTTTTAGTAGGAGGATGAGAAGGGCTAAATCAGACACAATTACAAAAAACTCTTAGCCTACTCATCAATTACTCATATAAGCTGAGTAACAGCAATTCTAATTTATAACTCCTTTATAATAATATTAAATCTACTAATGAGGCTGGGCGCGGTGACTCATGCCTGTAATCCTAGCACTTTGGGAGGTCGAGGAGGGCAGATCACTTGAGGTCAGGAGTTCGAGACCAGCCTGGCCAACATGGTGAAACGCGGTCTCTACTAAAAATACAAAAATTAGCTGGGCGTGGTGGTGCACGCCCGTAATCCCAGCTACTCAGGAAGCTGAGGCAGGAGAATCGCTTGAACCTGGGAGGCGGAGGTTGCAGTGAGCCGAGATTGCACCATTGCACTCCAGCCTGTGGGACAAGAGTGAAACTCCATCTCAAAAAAAACCCCATAAATAAATAAATAAATAATAAATTTACGAATGAGAGGAGAGTGAAAAGTACCAGTTAGGCAGATAGCTAGGACATGTCCTTGGTAGAATTCCTTTCTAACAAAGAAACAGCTTGAAAGATCAAGCTGCAAGCACAGATCGGGGGCAAGGTCCACCATAAAAATGCCTTCTGTGTAACTAACTAAGGTCACAGTCTGAGCTGTCAAAGTGTCAGTCAAAATCTTGGGTTTATATGTATTTTGGAGTCTAGTAGTTGAGGTCAATTACTCACATGTGTGGTCTGATGAGGTGTGACATACTACTCTTGCAGGGAAGGGGAATTACAATCTATGTTCTTATCACAGCAATACATGTATCACTCAAGTAGCAAACTATGGAAGTAGAATCATTTTAAAGCTTTAAAACAGCACTTTTAGCAGGAAATTTAGCCCAGGGAGGAGCCTCTGTAGATCAAACCATTTTCTCATTACACTTAGCAGGTATTTCATCAATGTTAGGTGCTACTAATCTTATCACAACAATTATTAATATACAACCACAAATTATATCTCAATGTCAAAAATCATCATTTATTTGATCTGCATTAATTACAGCTGTGCTTTTGCTACTTTCTCTTCCAGTTTTAGCATTGATATTACTATACCTGTGCTATTCAAAAACATAACCTTAATACTGCTGTTTTATCCCACAAGGAGACTCAATTTTATATCAATGTTGTATTCTGATTCTTTCTCTTGCAGAAGTTTATGTTGTTATTTTACTCAGATGTAGAAGAGTTTCACATGTAACATATTCGGTTAATAGGAATAGTCTAAACCATGATATCTATTGGTTTCTTAAGATTCACTGTATAAGCCTGATACGGTTTGGATATTTGTTCCCTCCAAATGTCATGGTGAAATGTGATTCCCAATGTTGGAGGTGGATCCTAATGGCGATATGGCTCTGATGAATGAAGGAACACCAGGGTCTTTGGTCTCCTGCTGATTTAGATAAAACAACACGGAAACACCTTGAGTGGTTTTAAGGAGTAGAGAGTTTAATAGGCAGGAAAGAAGGAAGAAGCTCTCCTGTACAGAGACAGAGGGAGTGAGGCTCCAAGGGAGAAACCTCGTGTGTGGTACGGAAGTAGTTGGTTATATTAGGAAGCTGGAGGAGGAGGTGTCTGATTTGCATAGGGCCCAAGGGATTGGTTTGACCAGGTGTGTCATTCACGTAGACCACAAAAAACCCTGGCACTCCCACCTTAGCCCTTTAACATCCAAATGCAGGCCACCAAGATGTCCTGAGCATGTGTGAGTTATCTGGAGGTGGCTATGACACTTGGCACATGTGGTGACAATGAGAAGAGGGTGGGAATTGCCATGTTGGCCATGTTGGGTGGACCTAGTTTCTAATCACTGGCATTTGCATATCAAACTTGCCGGCCTGGTTTTTCAAGCTGCCTGTTAGAAAAGAAATGGTTTGGGGGTTGCTTCTCATGACAGGAAAATTTCCACTGAGAACTTTTACCCTTTCTAGTGGCCTAAAAATTATTTCCTAATAACTCCTGTATTATTCCCTGCCTCAAGAGAAGTAAACCTAACTGCTGTTAAGGGGTGTTGGATGACAATTCTTTCTGGCTACTTCCTGTTGAAAAGGCTCGTCACGTGAGGGACAGCAGTTGGTCCTCCTCCTGAGGTTGATCTAAGTGTTCTAGGAAGAATGGTGTGTCCATGGGTGGCTCTGCTCGCAGCGTTGTTTGGAGTTTGATTGCTTCTAGGTGAAAAGAGATAAATTTTACAAGAAGATTTAAAATATAGGGTTAGAGTATGAGTATTAAGATGACCACCATTAGAGGGAATTCTGTAGACCATAACTGAGTTTGAAATCTGTTAGTTACACCAAAGGGTTGCAATACCGGTTTTCGTCCACTAGATGCCGTTGTACATTACCAGAGACTTTATATAAAAGTAACATTTTCCTTGAGAAAAGCATACATTTTCCTTGAGAAAAGCATACATTTTCCCCTTGACTTCCCATTAGAGAATAATTTTTGGCATAGGCCATTTTTGTGAGTTGCAATATGATTGGGAGAAATATGATATTGGGTGGCTAAAATAACTTTAGCATTAATCTTGGCAATTCCTTTCCTTTAATTAGTAAATTCTTTTGTGACTTTCACAGACCCTCTTACAACATACTCAAACTCTCTGACTTGTCCTAAACATCCTTCCTGTAAACAACCAGTCATTTCCTTTTAGGACAAGAATTTACCATACACAATCCTTCCTTATATAAAATCTTTCTTTATAAACTTCTTTTAATAGTTTAGAATGCATCCTATTACCAACTTTCAGTAAAAAGTCATATCAAACTTAATGATAGTAAAACTTTTATACTTTCATGCTTGCTTTTTTTCTTTTTTTGATATGGAGTTTCGCTCTTGTTGTCCAAGCTGGAGCGCAATGGCACGATCTCAGCTCACCACAACCTCCTCCTCCCAGGTTCAAGCAATTCTCCTGCCTCAGCCTCCCGAGTAGCTGGGATTACAGGCATGCGCCACCACACCTGTCTAATTTTGTATTTTTTAGTAGAGATGGGGTTTCTTCATGTTGGTCAGGCTGGTCTCGAACTCCCGACCTCAGGTGATCCACCTGCCTCGGCCTCCCAAAGTGCTGAGATTACAGGCATGAGCCATCGCGCCCGGCCTTATGCTTGCTTCTTATCCATAACTATCACTCCTGCTATAAGCAAAATAACCTTGACTAAATCTTTCCTGCAATTATTAATCCTAAGATAAGGAAGATAATCAGGCAAAATATTATAACAATTAGAATTTTACAACCAAAATTCCGCATTGTGGGTGCCACGGTGTATAGTTCCATCGCAAATAGTGGTGTAACTATAACATTTCCCACAAGAGTGGCATAGTAAATAATTTTCGTTTAAGTCTTTACTTGCCTAGATATAACATTTCCCTTTGGGGATCTACAAAGTTACAAATGCAATCCCATGTATAATTAAATCTCGCTGCAAATATGCCTTAAAAGGAATTTTAATATTTGGTGGCAGATTTTGAGAGGAAAGGCAGAAATAATAAAAAGTACCCGATGAGGTAGGAGTAGCCCTCACTCAGTTACTTATCTTTTATGATTTTCAGTTTAAGATCTTCTATTTCTCCACATTGATATTCAGGACGTGCCTCTGGGCTGTCAGAGGTTGATCCCTCAGCTGTTCAGGCTTTGACTTGAATGTGGAAGTCAGGAGTTGATTCCTGTAACTTTTACTGCCAATGGTGTTGAAAGAAGAACAGTGTAGGGCCTTTCCCAGCTTGGCTTAGGGAAGGAGACAGAGATGAGGGTTTTCACTAACACCAAATTTCCTGGGTTAAATAAAGGTGGTTCTGTTTCCTGGGGTTGGACTTCTGTTAGTTGCGTTAATTCTTGTTGGAAGTGAGCTAGAGAGGTTACATGCTTAACCAATTTAGAGGTTTCCTGCCTGAAAACAATCTCTGAGCACACTGATAAGTTTTATCCTTTCCCAAGTGAAAAGCTTGGTGAAGGATTTTAAGGACATTGGCTGGAGGCTGGCAAATGGAGTTTGCCATCCTCTGACTGTAGCCTTTCTGAGGGCTGGGAACTACGTCCTCGAGAAGTGGCCTATTTTATTTCTGCAGGGAAATACTGAGGTTTAATTTTTCTTATGGAGCCTTCCTAGATTAGAAGGGGCTTAAGTGCCTTAACGGCTTGAGGCTTCCTTGCCTCTGACTTAACTGCCTGATCAGCTAACCTATTTCCTTTGGCTACCTCATTTGTTCCCTTTTGATGTTCCTTACAATGCATTCCTGCTATTTCTTGTGGAAGAAAAACTGAAGATAACCTGCTAATTTCCTGGTGATATTTTTATAGGGGATCTATTAATGGTAAGAAAATGTCTTTTCTTTCTTTCTTTCTTTTTGAGACGAAGTCTCGCTCCGTCGCCCAGGCTGGACTGCAGTGGCGCGATCTCGGCTCACTGCAACCTCCACCTCCCAGGTTCACGCCATTCTCGTGTCTCAGCCTCCCAGGTAGGTGGGACTACAGGCGCCTGCCACCACGCCTGGCTAATTTTTTGTATTTTTAGTAGAGACGGGGTTTCACCATGTTAGCCAGGATGGTCTTGATCCCCTGACCTCGTGATCCGCCCGTCTGGCCTCCCAAAGTGTTGGGATTACAGGCGTGAGCCACCGCCTGGCCGAAAATGTCTTTTCTTTCAAATGGCAGCATGAGCATGGAGAACCAAGAAAGCATACTTGGAGTTAGTATAAATGTTAGCTACCTTTCCCTTGCTTAATCCAAGTGTGCTTGTAAAAGCTGTTAGCTCAGCTAATTGAGCGCTTGTGCCTGGGGAGAGACGTTATTTAGAGTGACTACTGCTTATCCTGCCTTATGTACTTCTTGCTTTACTGGCGGTTTGTTGGCTAAGAGCTCCCCCTAGAGGACAGTAATCCTGCCACATTATGTGGGGTGTAAACAGTTAAATTATTTCCTAGGGTTAACTTGGAGGCTTTTCTGATTAGCGAGCTGTCATGATAATGGCTTGGAAGCACGTGTCAACTAAGGTTGAGAAAAATACTGGAGTAGAGTTTTTCCTGAGATGCCCCTTCTGGTTGTGCTATGGGAAGAGGGGAGGCCTGGATTAGAGAGGAGAAAAAAGAGAGACTGGCTGAGTGTTTAGAAAGAGGTCTACTTTCCTTCTTTTAATTTCCAGAATCACTCAGAGCTCCTGTGCTGTAATGGCAGTTTGAGCCGCTGGAGCTGGAGTTTGAGCCCCGGGATCCAGTTCTGCTGGATCATCAGTAAGACTGGTTCTGAACCCAGTGACCTCCACCTCTGGGGGCAGTTCCATCTCCTGTTGTCTCTGCCACAGGCTGGAGAGGGTTGAGGTGGCTTTGTCTTGCTGTATGGGCATTCTTTCTTAACATGCTCTGGCCTGCCACACTGATAGCAACTAGCAGATGCACCTCCGGGATCCTGGACTTTGCAAGCCTGCAAAGCTGCTGCTAGAGTCTCTGTCCTTCTGACCATTGTCTCTTTCTTTTGGGCCTCCTCCTGGTTCCTATTACAAAAGACCAAAGTGGCCACTTTCAGGAAGTTCTCTAAGGTGCTATCTGGTCCTATAGCTTGCTTGTGTAGTTTCCTTTTAATATTGGCAGCTGCCTGTCTAATAAACTTGTCCTTTAGGATGAGCTGTCCCTCGACTGAATCAGGGGATAAGGAGGGGTGTTCTGTTAGTGCCTCTCTCAGCCTTTCCATAAAGGCTACAAGATTCTCATCTGGCTGTTTATCATGGACAGTTTAGAGTAATTGAGAGGTTTGGCCCTGGTTTTCCGTAGGCCCTCTAATGCACACTTAAAAAAGAGCTTCCTTTTCATCTCCTGAGTTATTGGGGTCCCAATTAGGGTTGTCAAGGGAAACTGCTTTCCTCCCAATTGGGAATGGCATTTCTGCTATTTCTTCTCTTTCCTTATCTGCTTTCTTCCCTTTTGGTGTATTATAGGAGATATGTTGCTAATCTCTGAAATCAGAGCTGCCTGCTTTTCAGCTGCAGTGAGGGTCTGACTTAGGAGCAACATAACATCCTTCCATCTGAGGTGAAATACCTGAGTTAAATTTTGGAAAGCTTTTTTTTTGAGACGGAGTCTCACTCTATTGCTAGGCTGGAGTTCAGTGCCGTGATCTTGGCTCACTGCAACCTCCACATCCTGGGTGCAAGCGATTCTCCTGCCTCAGCCTCCCAAGTAGCTGAGATTACAGGCACATGCCACAACGCCCAACTAATTTTTGTATTTTTAGTAGAGACGGGGTTTCACCATGTTGACCAGGATGGTCTCAATCTCTTGACCTCGTGATCTGCCCGCCTCAGCCTCCCAAAGTGTTGGGATTACAGGCGTGAGCCACTGCGCCCAGCCTGGAAAGCTTTTATATACCTATCAGGGTTGTGAGAAAATTGGCTAAGTCTCCCTTTATTACAGGCCTAAGGGGCTGTAACGAGAAGGGAACTTGAAGGGGCCCCCAAAGAAGGGGGATCTTCAGATGGCTCCTCTGGAAGTTGCTTTTCTAATTTTGGGGAATTATTTTCAGTGAGCGTGCCTGATATGATTCCTAAAAGAGCTGGGTTGATCTTACACTGCTTGCAAAGTTTCAGTAAAAATACCATGCCCTTGTGCAAAATAAAATGAGTTGCTCTTCTCTTTAATGTCCTGAGGCTAAGAAAGTTTCAGTGTTTCAGAGTGCACGCCAGAGGGGCACAAACTGAAGATAATCTGTTACCCATCTAGAAAGAAAAGCAATAAAAGTGTCCTTTTAATCTACTTTGATTCCCTATGACCCCCGACGGAGAATAACACAGTGGAGTGTCCTGTTTTCCTTCCCTGGTTCCTGGGACCCTGTTAAATGTGCCACCCACGATTGTAAGCATGGTCCCCCAAGCCATGGGAGCGGATGAACTAAGTGATGGTGTGTCCGGAATGGGTGGGTTCTTGGTCTCACTGACTTCAAAAATGAAGCCGCAGACCCTCACGGTGAGTGTTACAGCTCTTAAGGTGGCGCGTCTGGAGTTTGTTCCTTTTGATGTGCAGGTGTGTTCAGTTTTTTCTTTCTGGTGGGTTCATGGTCTGGCGGGCTCAGGAGTAAAGCTGCAGACCTTTGCGGTCACTGTTACAGCTCTTAAGGCAGCGCGTCGGGAGTTGTTCGTTCCTCCCGGTAGGCTCGTGGTCTCGCAAGCTTTCGTGGTGAGTGCTGTAATTCACAAAAGTAGTATGGACCCCAAGAGCGAAAGAACAAAGCCCCACCAAGGCAGAGAGACACCCGAGCGGGTTACTACTACCAACTCGGGCAGCCTGCTTTTATTCTCTTATCTGGCCCCCCCCCAACCACATCCTGCTGATTGGTAGAGGCGAGTGGTCTGTTTTGACAGGGCGCTGATTGGTGCGTTTACAATCCCTGAGCTAGGTACAAAGGTTCTCCTCCTCCCCATCAGATTAGTTAGATACAGAGTATCCACACAAAGGTTCTCCAAGGCCCCACCAGAGCAGCTAGATACAGAGTGTCGATTGGCGCGCTCACAACCCTGAGCTAGACACAGGGTGCTGATTGGTGTGTTTACAAACCTTGAGCTAGATACAGAGTGTCCATTGGTGTATTTGCAATCCCTGAGCTAAACATAAATTCTCCACGTCCTCACCAGACTCAGGAGCCCAGCTGGCTTCACCCAGTGGATCCCGCACCGGCGCTGCAGTCCCACGCCATGCGCTTGCACTCCTCAGCCCTTGGGCGGTCGATGGGACTGGGCGCCGTGGAGCAGGGGGCGGCGCTCGTCGGGGAGGCTCCGGCTGCACAGGAACCCACGGAGGCGGGGGAAGGCTCAGGCATGGCGGGCTGCAGTCCCAAGGCCTGCCCCGCGGGAAGGCAGCTAAGGCCCGGTGAGAAATCGAGCGCAGCGCCGGTGGGCTGGCACTGCTGGGGGACCCAGTACACCCTCCGCAGCCGCTGGCCCGGGTGCTAAGCCCCTCACTGCCCCGGGCCGGCAGGGCCGGCCGGCTGCTCCGAGTGCGGGGCCGCCAAGCCCACGCCCCCCCGGAACTCCAGCTGGCCCGCAAGCGCCGCGCGCAGCCCCGGTTCCCGCTCGCGCGTCTCCCTCCACACCTCCCTGCAAGCTGAGGGAGCGGGCTGCGGCCTTCGCCAGCCCAGAAAGGGGCTCCCACAGTGCAGCGGTGGGCTGAAGGGCTCCTCAAGTGCCGCCAAAGTGGGAGCCCAGGCAGAGGAGGCGCCGAGAGCGAGCGAGAGCTGTGAGGACTGCTAGCACGCTGTCACCTCTCAATGGGATTAACCACACTTTACCCACGCAACCTTAGCTTATCTGCCTTGTGTGATTCCCTTTGACTTCCTAAGCCTATGTGATCTACCTGGCTCCCTGAAAAATTGATCTTTGGAGAGACTGTGTTGTTTTTGGTCAAGGCTCCTTTAACAGAGGCAATGTGCTAGACTGCCTGCTATTATGGCCCATGCCAAACCATTTACCCTCAGAAAAATGGTTCTGGTTAACTTCTGAACTTAAAATCTCCCTACTAATTATACCATTTTAACAGGAAACAGATTAGATGTCTTAAAAGAGCGTAGGAACAGAATGGCCATTTTCCTGCTTATGGGACAATATCAAGACTAAAATGTGGCAGCAGACATATTACTTCTTTTTGAGACAGAGTCTCACTGTCACCCAGGCTGGAGTGCAGTGACGTAATCTCAGCTCACTGCAACCTCTGCTTCCCCGTTTTAAGCAATTCAATAGCCTCAGCCTCCTGAGCAGCTGGGACCGCAGGTGTGCACCACCACGCCCAGCTAATTTTTGTGTTTTTAGTAGAGACGGGGTTTCACCATATTGGCCAGGCTGGTCTCGAACTCCTGACCTCGTGATCCACCCGCTTTGGCCTCCCAAAGTGTTGGGATTACAGGCGTAAGCCACCATGCCCGGTCGAGGACATATTACTTCTAATTGCTGAAGGCAGAACTTTCCGGTTCACAGAAGTAGGTTAGAGCCTGATTTCTGGTGGTGCAAAAGGAAGTTCAGTGTTACCGTAAAAAATGTGGCCCCTGAAGAGGATTTCTACTTCCACTAGGTGGCGCTGTTGGCTTAGAAATACTATATGCTCACCAGCGCAGCCACAGAGAGCGGGCTTGTTGAGTTACTGCCTGCTGCGTTTGCCATCTTTCCTAGCAGACCTGTTTCACTGAACTGTAAAACTCCCTGCACTTTTCACAGAGAGAGAGTAAGAGACCGTGGATAGAGAAAGAAGGAAAATTTTGCAACAGGATAGTAAGAAGAGAGCCTTGAAATTGAAGGAGAGATTTGAGGTTGGGGCTCGCTCTATAGTCACCACTCCGATGAATGAATTCCCGGTCAATGCAACCAAAATGATAACTGCTCTGATGAATGGAAGAACAGCAGGGTCCTTGGTCTAACATCGTTTTAGATAAAGCGACATGGACACATGTAGAGTGGTTTTAAGGAGTGGAGAGTTTAATAAGCAAGAAAGAAGGAAGAAGCTTCCCAGTACAGGGACAGAGGGAGGGGGGCTCCCAGAGAGAAACCCCGTGTGTGGCAGAGTAGTTTGTTATAGCAGGAGGCTGGAGGAGGAGGTGTCTAATTTGCATAGGGCCCAGGAGATTGGTTTGACCAGGCGTGTCATTCACATAGCCCGTGAAAAACCTGGCACTCCTACCTTACTCCTTTAATATGCAAATGCAGGTCACCATGATATCCATGTTATCTGGAGGCAATCATGACACTTGGCACATGTAGTGATGAGGAGGAGAGGGTGGCACTCTTCCTGTTGGCCATGTTGGGTGGACCCAGTTTCTAATCGCCAGCATTTGCATATCAAAGCTTGCCGGCCTGGTTTTTCAAGCTGCCTTTCTGTTAGAAAAGAAATGGTTTGGGGGTTGCTTCTTATTACAGGAAAATTTCCACTGAGAACCTTTACCCTTTCTAGCGGCCTAAAAGTTATTTCTTAATAATTCCTGTATTATTTGGAGGTGTTTGGGTCATGTGGGTAGATCCCTCCTGAAGTAATGAGTTCTCACTGTTCGTTCACACAAGAGCTTGTTGTTTAAGAGTCTGGCATCTCGCTTGCTCCTACTCTCACCATGTGGCACACTGTCGCCCCTTTGCCTTCCACCATGATTGTAAGCTTCCTGAAGCCCTCATCAGAAGCAGATGCTGGCACTATGCTTCATGCACAGCCTGTAGAACTATGAGTCAACTTAACCCCTTTTCTTTATAGATTACCCAGCCTCAGGTATTCTTTTATAGTAATGCAAGCAGACTAACACAAAGCTCATTATATATTTACAGTAGAGATGGATGTTAATACATGAGCATATTTTATATGAGCCACTATAATTATTGCTATTCCTATAGGAGAAAAATTATTCAGCTGATTAGCAAACTTTCACAGAGAAAATATCTAATGGTCATTAGCTGTACTATGAACTTTAGGCTTTATTTTCTCATT
This sequence comes from Homo sapiens, assembly GCF_000001405.40. NCBI lineage: Eukaryota > Metazoa > Chordata > Mammalia > Primates > Hominidae > Homo > Homo sapiens. The sequence goes on along the minus strand of NC_000012.12, from coordinate 7,637,465 downwards.
CACAGTTGGAGGCTCAACAAAAATTGTATCAGCTAAATTATCATTTGATATCAACCTTCATGATAGATATTGTTGTAGTAAAGCAAAGTAAAATGAAAGTAAAGTCAAAGTAAAGCAAAGTAAAAGGCTAGAGAGTGTTGGAAGCAGTGAATCCTATTTTAGATGGACTTGCCAAGGATACTGGTAATTTTCTTTTTTTTTTGAGATGGAGTCTTTCTTTGTCATCCGGAGTGGAGTGCAGTGACTTGATCTTGGCTCACTGCAACCTCTGCCTCTGGGGTTCAAGCGATTCTCCTGCCTCAGCCTACTGAGTAGCTGGGATTATAGGCACGTGCCATCATGCCTGGCTAATTTTTGTATTTTTAGTAGAGACGGGGTTTCACCATATTGGCCAGGCTGGTCCCGCACGCCTGACCTTGTGATCTGCCCACCTCGGCCTCCCGAAGTGCTAGGATTACAGGCATGAGCCACTGCACCTGGGCGGATACTGGTAATAAAGTAAATGAGCAGGTCATGTGAAAATCTGGAGAAAGTTTATTTCAAGCAGATGGAAGAAGGTGCAGGCATTTGAAATTGGAACAAAACAAATTTGGCATTTTTTAAGGAATAAAAAATGTGGTTAGAGTGGAATAAATGAGGTGAGAAAATGTAGGAAATAGGGCCAGGGAGACAAGCAAAGGTAAGATTATGTAGGGAAGTATAGGTCATGGAAAGAAATTTGGATTTTCTTTTGAGTAAACTGGATTTTAGAAATTTGTGGTAGTGCAGGATTTATTATGTATTAACAAGAACTGGTTGCCTGCTGTATGGAAAACAGATATAGTGGGGCAAAAGTGAAGTAAGGAAGTCCAGTTAGAAATACAGCAGATATCTAGTAAAGACTAAGCTCTGATTTTTTATCTGGCCTAAATTCCTTATTAAGGGGTATGGGGAGTCATGACCCACAAACCATAAATTCTCATCAGATGGGTTTTATTTAATCCTGTATATTACGACTTACTTTCCAATCTGACTCTGGCATAACTAGAAAGAAAATAAAAATGTTTTACCCCAAAATATATTTTCTTGCCATACCTTGAAATTGCCCTGCAAAGTCCCTTGTGGGAAAAATCCACATTCTATAGAGAATCCCCTTTCCCCTTTGTTTTCCTTTCTTCCTTTCTGGATCCAGGAGATAATCAACTAAGAGCCAGGTACCCTTTTAGGTCTGATAGGAAACATTTTACAACCTGCTGTCTCTGAAGTCTGCTATCAGAGAGCTTCCTCTGCACAATAAAACTTGGTCTCCACAATTCTTTATCTTAACTTGAACATACCTTTCTTTTTTTTGAGACAGAGTCTCACTCTGTCACCCAGGCAGGAGTGCAATGACGCAATCTCGGCTCACTGCAACTTTCGCCTCCTGGGTTCAAAAGATTCTTGTGCCTCAGCCTCCCAAGTAGCTGGGGTTACAGGCACCCACCACCATGCCCAGCTAATTTTTGTATTTTTAGTAGAGACAGGGTTTCACCATGTTGGCCAGGCTGGTCTCGAACTCCTGACCTTGGGTGATCCACCTGCCTTGGCCTCCCAAAGTGCTGGGATTACAGGTGTGAGCCACCACACCCGGCCTGGACATTTCCTTTCTATTGATCCCAGCTCTTCAGATAAACTCAACCAACTGTCATACAGAAAATGTTTAAATTTACCTATAGCCTGGAAGCCCCTGCTTTGAGTTGTCCTGCCTTTCTGAACCAAACCAATGTATTTCTTAAATGTATTTGATGTGTCATGCCTTCCTAAAACATATAAAAGCAAGCTGTACCCCATCCATCCTGGGCACATGTTCTCAGGACCTCCTGAGGGCTGTGTCATGGGCCATGGTCACTCATATTTGGCTCAGAATAAATCTCTTCACATATTTTATAGAGTTTGACTATTTTCATCCATACTAGGAAATATGACTATTATCTCTACTGAAATAAAGATACAAGTGGTGAGAAGTAGTAAGATTTGGGATATATATTAAAGGTTTAGTTGACAGGATTTGTTGATGGAATAAATGTATGCTACAAAGGGAAAACTCATGACTTTTACATTTTTAGCAAGAACAACCAGATGAATGATACTGTCACTTAACTGAAATGAGGAACACAGGGCTAGGAGTGGTTTGAAAGTGAAGTCAAGAGTTCCATTTAATTATGTTAACTTTTAAAATGTTTATTAGACATACAAGTGGACAGTTATTCATGTCTGAATTTGATAGAAAAGGTAAAATCTGGGGATTAAAAAAATGGGCTTTACATATGCATTGTCTTAAAGTCACAGGAATGGTTGACCTTACTTAGACATGTGAATATGAATTGTGGACATAAGAAAATTGAAGACCAATCCACAGGATTTACCAACATCTGGAGATCAAGACAAAGACGAAGAAACAGCAAAGTTGGCTGAGTAGCAGTAGCCAATAAGATAAAAGATAAATCAGAAAACTTTTATCCCAGAAGCCAAGTGGAGAGAAAAGTGTTTTAAGAATGAAGATGGGGAAGATTCTAGGTAGGTGGTTTTAGTACAGTGCACTTTAAAAATCTCCATCTAGGGCAGCAAAACCAAGGAGCAATGAACAAAACCCATTTATAGCAAAACTAGATGGCAAAATTTCTCCATGAGCTTTCAGTTATGAGAAGATGATGACGAATTATCAGTAACTACACAACCCACAAAGTATCAGCATCTGTTTGGGAAGTTGGACAGGATCCAACTCACAGGAAAGTCTAATAGGGCCACAGTGCAATAAAGTATAAAGATGTTGGGTAAGTCTGGGCCCTATAGACTTTCTTTTTTTAAAAATTTTTAACCTTTTTTTTTTTGGAAATGGAGTCTCGCTCTCTCGCCCAGGCTAGAGTGCAGTGGCGCGATCTCCCCTCATTGCAAACTCCACCCCCCGTGTTCACGCCATTCTCCTGCCTCAGCCTCCCAAGTAGCTGGGACTACAAGCGCCCGCCACCACGCCCAGCTAATTTTTTGTATTTTTAGTAGAGATGGGGTTTCACCATGTTAGCCAGGATGGTCTCGATCTCCTGACCTCGTGATCCACCCGCCTTGGCCTCCCAAAGTGCTGGGATTACAGGCGTGTGCCACCGTGCTCAGCAAATTTTTTTAACTTTTTAGTTCAGGGGTACATGTGCATGTTTGTTACATGGGTAAACTTGTGTCATGGGGGTTTGCTGTACAGATCATTTCATCACCCAGATATTAAGCCTAGTACCCATTGTTATTTTTCCTGATCCTCTCTCTCCTCCTACCCTTCACCCTCCAACAGGCCTCAGTGTGTGTTGTTCCTTTCTATGTATACATGTGTTTTCATCATTAGCTCCCACTTATAAGTGAGAACACATGGTATTTGGTTTTCTGTTCCTGCATTAGTTTGCTAAGAATAATGGTCTCTAGCTCCAGCCATGTCCCTGAAAATGACATGATGTTTGAGCTAATGGATATCGCAATTACTTTGATTAGATGATTATATACTACATGCCCGTATCAGAATATTACATGTGCTCTATAAATATGCACAACTATTATGGATCAGTAAAAAATAAAAATAAACCAAGGCTGTCATTTTCAAGCTACAAAAGAAAAAAGGCGATTAGGTCCTACATATGTCCTTTTCCATGTCATCTAAGTCTAACTTGGCTTATAAGATCACAATCAATATCCTAAATGGGAATATGGGATTTTAAGAATTTTCTCTTAGCTTCTAATTTTCTTTAGCTTCTAATATTTCTGTAGATAATATGCCAGTATATTGAAAGTACATATATCACACAGGGGCAACAGTTATGTTTCCATGTAAGAATTTATTCCCCAAATAGTTATTCCACACTTACAATGTGCCAGCCTGGGGTATAAATTAGGAAGCAAATTAGACATATTTCCTATTATGAAGAGGTTACATTTACATATGAGTAGATATTAAAAGCAAATAAAAGGCAGTGTTGTTAAGGCCTAAGACGAGGTAAGAAAACCAAATAATGCCTCTTAACTTAGACTTGGAAGAGCAAGGATGCCCTCCTGCAGGGAATGACATCTCAAAGAATTAGGTCACTAGTAGAAGTTACGTAGCTGAAGAGTTGAATGAGGGCTGTTCTGATGAACATAGATGCCAAAGTCCTCAACAAAATATCAGCAAACTGAATCCAAAAGCACATCAAAAAGATTATTCATCACAGTTAAGTGGGCTTTATTCCAGGGATGCAAGGATGGTTCAACATATGCTAGTCAATTAATATGAGGCACCATATCAACAAAATGCAGAGCAAAAAACAATCATTTCAACTGATGCTGAAAAAGCATTTGATAAAATTCAACATCTTTTCATAATAAAAACCCTCGACCAATGAAACGTCAAAGGAATGTACCTCAAAATAATAAGAGCTATATATGACAAACCCACAAACATCATCATACTGAATGGGGGAAAGTTGAAAACATTTCCCCTAAAAACTGGAACAAGAAAAGGATGTCCACTCTCACCACTCCTATTCAACATAGTGCTGGACTCCTAACCAGAGCAATCAGGAAAGAGAAAGAAATAAAAGGGATCCAAATTGGAAAAGAGGAAATCAAATTATCTCCATTCACTGATGATAGGATCATATACCTAGAAAACCATAAAGACTCCTCCAAAAGACTCATAGACCTGATAACGACTTCAGTAAAGTTTCAGGATACAAAATCAGCATATAAAAATCAGTAGCATTTGTATACATCAATAATGTTCAATCTGAGAACCAAATCAAACTCAATCCCATTTACAATAGCCATGAAAAAATCATGTGCCAAGGAATACATTTATCCAAGGAGGTGAAACATCTCTACAAGGGGAACTACAAAACACTGGTGAAAGAAATTGTAGATGACACAAACAAAAAAACATTCCATAGTCATGGGTTGGAGGAATCCATATACTTAAAATGACCATATTGCCCAAAGCAATCTACAGTCAATGCATTTCCCATCAAATTACCAACTTCATTCCTCACGAACTTAGAAAAAACAATTCTAAAGTTCATATGGAACGAAAAAAGCCTGAATAGCCAAAGCAGTCCTAAGCAAAAAGAACAAATCCAGAGGCATTACATTACCTGACTTTAAATTATATCACAAGTCTATAGTAACTAAAGCAGCATGGTACTGGTACAGAAATAGACAATTAGATCAATGGAACAGAATAAGAGAACCCAGAAATAAAGCCAATACCTACAACCAACAAAGTTGATAAAAACAAATAATGCGGAAAGGACACTCTATTTAATAAATGGTGCTGGAAAATTGGATTGCCATATGCAGAAGAATGAAACTGGATCTCTATCCCTCACCATATTAAAAATTAACTCAAGATGGATTAAAGACCTAAATTAAATACCTAAAACCATAAAAAATCTAGAAGAAAACCTAGGAAAAAGTCTTCTGGACATCAACCTAGGCAAATATTTTATGAAAAAGGCTCCAAAAACGAATATAACAAAAACAAAAACAGGCACACGAGACTGAATTAAACTAAAATGCTTCTGCATAGCAAAAGAAATAACCTACAGAATGAGAGAAAATATTTGCAAATTATTCCTCCAATAAAGGATTTATACCCAGAATTGACAAGGAACTCAATAAGTGAAAAACAAACAACCCCATTAAAAACTGGGCAAAGGACACGAACAGATATTCCTCGAAAGAATAAATAGCAGCCAACAAACACATTGGAAAAAAAAATGCTCAACATCACTAATCATCAAAGAAATGCAAATTAAAAACACACTGAGATATGATCTTACACGAGTCAGAATGGCCATTATTAAAAGGTCAAAAAACAACAGATGTTGGCATGGATGTGGAGAATAGGGAATACGTATACACCATTGGTGGGAATGTAAATTAGTTCAATCTCTATGGAAAATAGCATAGAGATATCTCAAAGAACTAAACATAGAACTACCATTCAACCCAGCAACCCCACTACTGGGTATCTACCCAAAGGAAGGGAAATCATTATATAAAAAAGACACCAGCACATATATGTTTATTGCAGCAGTATTTACAATAGCGAAGTCATGGAACCAACCTAAGTGTCCATTAATGGCTGTTTGGATAAAGATATTGTGGTATATATACACCATGGAATACTATGCAGCTATAGAAAAGAATGAAATCCGGCCGGGCATGGTGGCTCATGCCTGTAATCCCAGCACTTTGGGAGGCTGAGGCGGGTGGATCACCTGAGGTCAGGAGTTTGAGACCAGCCTGGCCAACATGGCGAAACCCCATCTCTACTAAAAATACAAAAATTAGCTGGTTATTACGCGCCTGTAGTCCCAGCTACTCGGGAGGCTGAGGCAGAAGAATCGCTTGAACCCGGGAGGCAGAGGTTGCAGTGAGCTGAGATTGGGCCACTGCACTCCAGCCTGGGTGACAAAGTGAGACTCCGTCTAAAAAAAGAAAAAAAAAAGAAAAAAAGAATGAAATCATGTCTTTTGCAGCAACATGGATGGAACTGGAGGCCATTATCCTAAGTGAACAAACCCAGAAACAATAAATCAAACATCACATGTTCTTTCTTAAAAGTGGGAGCTTGACAATGGGTACACATGGGCATAAAGACAGAAATAAAGACACTGGGGACCCTCAAGTGGGGAGGGTAGAGGTTGAAAAATTGCCGATTGATTACAATGTTCAATCCCCTCATTAGCTGTATACCCACGTAACAAACATGCACATGAACCCCTGAGTTTAAAATTAACCCACAAAAGGAGATCTGAACAAGTCAGGGAAGTGAATTAAAGCTTTTCTGAGGGGTGACATTTGAGCTCAGTTTAAATTTACTGAAATAACAGAAAACAAGGCAAAGAAGAGAAGAGCCTTCCAGGTATGAGGAAGGGCTCTGATACAGGAATGAGCACGGCAGTTATAGAGGACAGAATGCCAATGCATCTAGACCTATCCCTGGACAAATATACCTAATATTTGCATAAAATTTCAGAAACATTGACATCCTGAGGTTCATAGGCTCCAGTACTGCTCTTGTGTCATATGGTAGCCGTGAAAGAACAAAATGATATAACCCCTATGGAGGAGAATTTGGCAAAATCTACAAAATCACGTGTTTATCCTTTGACCACCAATCTCACTTCTTGGATCCTATCTCAAAGATATGCTTGCAAAAATATGAAATGGCAGATGCACATGGTTATTTGCACCGTTATTTACAATAATAAAACTGGAGCTCCATTTGAATATTCATCAAATTCAGGACTAATGAGGCAGAGCAACACAATGGATTATTGTGCAGATATACAAGAGAATGCGGAAGCTCTGTAAAGTAGGGTGTGAACTCAAGGACACAGAGTGAAGTGAAGAAAGCAAGGTGCAGAAATTGCACACAGTATGCCATCTTTTGTACTGGGAAAAGGAATACAAAGCAGCAGAGAAAGGTGCATGCATGTATATGTAAATACAGTCATTAAAACTGAAAACTAAATGGCACAAATAAGCCTAATTCCCTATTGAGTTGGCATTGCTGTCTCAACCACATAGAGGAAAGCATTATTACATCTGACTTTGGAACACAGTATCTTCACTGTATTTCTTCAGTATGATATACTCCAAAGACAAAAATACTGCATAGACATCTCAACGTCACTTGAAGTGAAATAACATAAAAACGGGAACAGCCTCCTCCTGATGCTCCGGAAAGATGAATATGAGAAGGGGACCATTATCTCTAACGGGAAAACTTCCGGCCTAAGGGTTGGGCCAAGTCAAGGTTCTGTGTGGGAATTCTGAGCATATCAGTGGGAAGTGTGCAAGGCTTGTCATCTCCCTGAGCACTTGTTTCCTGTCCATGAACGACGAGAATAACCCAACTTTCCTGTTTTAAGTAGGGTTCTTTTTCTTCTTCTTCTTCTTCTTTTTTTTTTTTTTTTTGAGAGGAATCTCGCTCTGTCGCCAGGCTGGAGTGCAGTGGCACGATCTCGGTTCATTGCCACCTCCGCCCCCCGGGTTCAAGCGATTCTTCTGCCTCAGTCTCCCAAGTAGCTGGGACTATAGGAGCGCGCCACTACGCCCAGCTAATTTTTGTATTTTTAGTAGAGACGGAGTTTCATCATATTGGCCAAGATGGTCTCGATCTCTTGACCTTGTGATCTGCCCGCCTCGGCCTCCCAAAGTTCTGGGATTACAGGCGTGAGCCACCGTGCCCGGCCTAGTAGTGTTATTTTTCACATACACCAATAGGCATCTTGGCTCAACATACGAAAGCCCCTTTCCACAGAGACAGCTGCCTCCAGCCTGAAGAAGTTGCCACAGGAGGTAGAAGGAGGTCCCTTGCCCATGCCTGGGAGACCCAGCCAGAGTGGACAGGGAGGCGGCCCGGGCCGGGGTGCCAGACTCAGCAAATAAACACAGCACTCCCAGGTAACCCTGAATTTCAGATAACCAACGAATAACTTTGTATGATACTATATTTGTACTCAAAAGTAACTCGTTTATCTGAAATTCAAAGTTGACTGCGCATGCGTTACTGTATTGTATCTGGCAACGCTCCACCTGGAGCCCTTAGGTTGGTTTTCCTACTCGGGTTTGTGGAAGGGGCGCCCCCCGTCTTGCAGGTGCCCGCGGCGCTCTCCACAGAGGAGCGCTAGAGGAGCGGCGGCGGCGGCGGCGGCAGGGGCGGCGGCGGCAGGGGCGGCGGCGGCGGCGGCGGCGGCAGGGGCGGCGGCGGCGGCGGCAGGGGCGGCAGCCCGGCACTGACTGGAGACCCAGGTGAGTCCTAGCAACTCACACGGCCCAACCGTCAAAACCACCTCTGTGGTGGGCGCGCACCCAACGCACGCACTTAGGCTCAATCCGGGAGTCGCCTCCGGCCACTGACTGGAGACCCAGGCGAGTCCTAAGGAACTGACAAGGCCCAACGGTCAAAACGGCCTCTGTCGTGGGCGCTCACCCAATGCACCCACCTACTCTCTCTCAATCCGGGCGTCGCCTCCCGTTGCCAGGCAACGAGAGCGCGCGCAGCAAAGAGGAAGCGGGACTGACAGATGAGGAAACCGAGGTTTGCAGAGACTGAGTGACTTGTTGAAGATCACACAGCTAGTAAGAGGCAGAATCAAAGCTGGAACTTGGGGGCTGGGTGCGGTGGCTCACGCCTGTAGTCCCAGCTACTCGGGAGGCTGAGGCAGGAGAATCGCTTGAACCTGGGGGGCGGAGGTTGCAGTGAGCAGAGATCGCGCCACTGCACTCCAGCCCGGGCGACAGAGCTAGACTCCATCTAAAAACAACAACAACACAAAATCGCGCCACTACACTCCAGCCAGGATGGTGAGACCCTGTCTCAAAACAAACAGCTGCAACATAAAAAACCCAAAAACCAAACCATAACAAAAAAAACCTGGAAATTGAACTTGGGCCCAGGATGGAAACTGACTACCTGAAGAGGTGCTTTGGAAATTGCCTGGCCCAGGCACTTGCACTTGACATGCATGGGGTATATTCTTCCACGTACAATTACATATATGCATTCATATGATTATGTACAGTAGTAGTAGATTATTAAATGTTGAAGAGCACTAACACACCATGTACATAATGGAACTGTATTTAATATTTATTTTTGGTAGTGATATGGCACATGAAAATAATTTGTTTTCTCATGTAGAAAATTCAGGGAATGGCTTAAATAGAATTTCAGCTTTGGGGGCTCATAATTGAGTGAGAGGCTTCTTCCTTGATTCCCCTGAGAAGGAAGAAATCTTCATTTTTGGTTTGCAAGACCATGAAAACAGTAAGTACAACAAATGAAATACTTTACACTCAAGGAAACATGTTTTAAAAAACAGAGAAGATATAGAAAAGAAGTATAAGTAATATATTCAAAGAGAGACTAAACGATATTTTATTAATTTTAAAAGCCATAGATTATAAAAATAAAAGTTTGCCCTATGAAAATAGAAAGAAAATCCTTAAGATAGTAGGTGAAGAACAGAATGGATAATGCCAGAAAAATTTTGACCCGAGAGACCTAAATAAGTAATTCTCCCAAAATACAGTAAAAGGGGAATAATGACAAAGAATATAAAAGAGATACGGAGGATACATATACAGAAATTTCAATATGCATCCAAGTTATAGAAATATTAAATGGAGTAGAGTACAATCAATAATAATTATAACAACAATAAATGAGAAATTTTCAGGATTTAGCTAAAACATAAATCTTCATCTAAACTTCAGAGTGGAAAAACACATAATACTCAAAGGAAATACAATTATATTGACTTCCAATTTCTCATCACCAACACTAGGAAGAAGAAAATTTAAAAGAAAAATCTTTGTCACCTTGGGTAAGCAAAGAGTTCTTGGACATAAGACCAACACCAAAGGACAAACTAATAAGGTAGATATTATGAAAATTAAAAACTTTACTTCTTCAAAAGACCATTAAAAGATTGGAAGGCTAGCCATAGTCTGGAAGAAAATAATTGCACATCATATAGTTAATAAGTTTGTATCTAGAATACATAAAGAACTCTCATAACTCAATTTTAAAGAGTAAACAATAGGCAAAAAGATTTGAACAGATACTTCCCCAGGGAAGATACTCAGATAGAAAATAGGCACCTGAAATTAACATCACTAGTCATTAGAGAAATGCAAATTAAAACCACAACCAAATACCAATACACAATGATTAGAATAGCTAAAATAAAAAGACTTTACAATACCACATACTGGCAAGGAGGAGGAATAACTAAAAATTTCTTATTGTTTAAATGCAGAGTGGTACCATGGGGCTGGAGCCTACTAGTCTAATGAGGTTTTAGCTTAATAAAAGTGTTTAATTTTCATTCAATTAATGTGGGATAAAGTTTTACAGTCCTTATTTTTCAGGAATTAAGTATGATATACTTGCTTAAGACTTTGAGGGTTGTTGTTCTGGCTAACCTAAATTCCTGATCCAATGCTAAAAATATTCGTGCAAGGGGGAAAGAAAAGATTGATAATATCCTAAGTGGAGATAGAAAGGCTATTTTGTTTGTATTCTTCACCTGGCATTTTGTTTTTATGTTGTTGGTTGTTGGCAATATTTTAAGTGGTGTAGAGTAAATCAGTCAGACATAAAAATATAAACTAAGTAAAGCTATGATAGCTACAAATGTTGGTATAATAAACTATTGTTCTTTGACATGAATAATAATTCATTTAGGTAAAAATCTGGTAAGTGATGGTAGACTTCCTAAGGAAAATAAGGTAACTGAAATTGTGGTTGCTTAGGGTGATAATTGATTTCATGTGTATGATGATGATAATGCTGTGGTACATATATTTAATAATAATTGCCTTCTGGGAGCACAGCTTAAATTTCTCATTTGCTTTACATCCTGCTGCTCATTTGAAATTTTCATTGGTTCACAGATATTTTAAGTAGCAAACACAGCTCTGAGGGCAGAAAATGAGACAGTTATTGCCTTGAATTATACTTCTGATGGTGCGAAGAGTAGCTCTTTCCCCCCGCCATCATACTTACTGTGATCTCTGTGGCTCCTGTAATTTTTTTTTCCTTTCCATAAACCAGAAATACATCATCAGAACAATTTATGGCTAGGCATGCCTGTAATCCCAGCACTCTGGGAGGCTGAGGTGGATGGATCACCTGAGGTCAGGAGTTCGAGACCAGCCTGGCCAACATGGCAAAACACTGTCTCTACTAAAATACCAAAAGATTAGCCAGGTCTGGTGGTGTGCGCCTGTACTCCCAGCCACTTAGGAGGCTGAGGCAGGAGAATCGCTTGAACCTGGGAGGCGGAGGTTGCAGTGAGCCGAGATCATGCCATTGCACTCCAGCCTGGGTGACAGAGGGAGACTCCGTCTCAAAAGAAGAAAAAAAAAAGAAAAATTTATTATTGAAATACTCAGTCAGCACCTGCAGCCCTCCCTACCAAGATGGCTTTGTGGCAGGCCAGGTCTCACTAATGCAGGCCTCCATAACAACTGTTTCAGAGTGGTTAACTATTAAAAGCCAGTGCTCTTATACACAGGTTGGAATGTAACAAAAGCCCAGCAAGAGTTTTGCCTAGGCCTTTCCCGAACCTTAAAGCATGATTAAACATGTCTATTGGAAGTCTGAAGGAACTCCCCAAACCTTTGTGATTTAGCAGGAGACAAGATAAGGGTAATCACCCCAGCATCTAGACTCATTTAGATTAAGCAAATTTACTGAGGCTCCAGAGGAAGGTCATCAGGACTCAGACCTTAGTTATAGATTAAAAGAAGTTAATCACTTATGTCTTTAGATGAATGCACATTTACATGTAGACATATAGCTTAGAAGGTCTATGAACTCTGGAAAACTTTGTAATTTTGAGTTGGTCTGGCGAAAATTTCTGGGCCTTTTCCTTATAATTGGTTACAGAGATAAAAACTCTCTTCCTCCCCAGTACATTATCATCTTGTTATTGGGCCATGAGAAATAGCAGCCTGACCCTCAGTTCGGTCCAGATACTCAGCTTGGTCTCTGTTGTGCCTGGATCACAGTTCAAATTCTTCTCGTATCACATTTTGTTGTCTCATCATTCCCCGACTCTGCTTTCTTTCCAAGGTGTTAATTCCTAAAAACATTTATTTTTTAGGAATAAATGCCACTTTGTTTTAGCATCTGCTTCTGAAAAATCCAATCTGCGACAATCCTCTTCAGATGGGTTGAAGCAGAAGGAACAAGCCATGCTCACAGGGAGCAGGGTTCTCCCTCTCCCTGTGAGTCACAGTTACTTTACAATTCACTATGCTTCATCCTTGCCCCAGAGCCTTCTGAAAATAATAAACTCTCATTAACCCAGAGAAATGACAATGTTGCATCAATTATCTCTGTGAGGATTCCACAGAGCCTGAAGCCTTACATTTTCTACCAAGGGCATGAAAGAATTTTAGCTGCTGCTCAACTTCGGAAAGGGAAATGCCTTGAAAGTAAAATTGAAGGGGAGGTGGGATCCATTCAGACACTGAAATATTTCTCACATTCTAGGTTACTTAAACCTATTTTTCTAGTTTCTTCAGTAGAATTTTTAGTACACTTTGAAGTTGTTTTTGAAGTTTGAGTGCATACGAAAAACCATACAATTACATTGTTCTTTTCTACACCTTTCATAGATTGAACACACTCATGTAATTGTCATCCAGGTCAAGAAAAAACATTGCTGACACCCCCAATCCCATTTGTACATTCTTTCAGTTACCATCCTCCATCACATAACCAGTAGGTAAACATCTAACAATACCGTTTCCAGTGTACTTTGGAAATCCATATAAATAGAATTATAAAGGATATAATCCTCTCTGTTGGATTTTTTATTTTATATATTGTTTGTGAGATCCATGTATAATATTGTTGGCTGTGGTTGTAGTTTTTTCATTCTCATTACTATATTGCACTCCATTGTGTGAATAGACCACATTTCATTTATTCACTTTACTGCTGGTGTTTTCTAGTTTGGCGCTATTATAAATAAAACTGTTATGGCTATTTTGTACATGTCTTTTGATGTCTTGTGTATGGAATTGGTTCCTTCTGGTGGGTTCGTGGTCTCGCTGACCTCAAGAATGAAGCCACAGACCTTCACGGTAAATGTTACATCTCTTAAAGGTGGCATGGACCCAAAGAGTGAGCAGCAGCAAGATTTATTGTGAAGAGCGAAAGAACGAAGTTTCCACAGCATCGGAAGGGGACCCAAGCAGGTTGCCACTGCTGGCGGGTGGTGGCCAGCTTTTATTTCCTTATTTGTCCCCACCCATGTCCTGCTGATTGGTTCATTTTACAAACCTCTAGCTAGCTACAGAGCGCTGATTGGTGCGTTTTACAATCCTAGCTACAGAGCGCCGATTGGTGCGTTTTACAATCCTAGCTACAGAGTGCTGATTGGTGCATTTTACAATCCTCTTGTAAGACAGAAAAGTTCTCCAAATCCCTACTCACCCAGGATGTCCAGCTGGTTTCACCTCTCAGTATTAGTTATACTCCCTCAAGCCTGAGAAATCTATTTGCTCCACATCCTCACTGACACTTGGAATTTTCAGGTATTTTTCATTTTAGCCATTATAGTGGGATGTAGTTATATAACATTTGAGTTTTCTTTGATGATTAATGAAATTGAGCAATTTTCAAATGCTCTTTGGTTATTGGAAAATCACTTTTTGTGACATATCTGTTCAAGTATCTTGCCCAATTTTTTCTAAGTTGTTTATCTTTTTTTATTACCTGTAGGAATCATTTATATATTCTGCATATAAGCCCTTCATAGACATCTGAATTGCAAAACTTCTCCCCTTACGAGAGATACCTTTAAAGCTTTTTTAGTAGTGCTTTTTAATGAACAGAAATTCTTAATGTAGACCAGGCATGGTGGCTCATGCCTGTAATCCCAGCACTTCTGGAGGCCAAGGCGGGTGGATCACCTGAGGTCAGGAGTTTAAAACCAGCCTTGCCAATATGGTGAAACCCTGTCTCTACTAAAAATACTAAAATTAGCTGGGCATGGTGGCAGACACTTGTAATCCCAGCTACTCGGGAGGCTGAGGCAGGAGAATCACTTGAACCCAGGAAGCAGAGGTTGCAGTGAGCCAAGATTGTGCCTTTGCACTCCAGCCTAGACTCCATCTCAAAATAAATAAATAAATGAGTAAAAGAAATTCTTAATGTTAATATTGTTGGAACTTGTCTTTATTTCCTCTGGTAATTGTATACTATTTAAGAAAACCACTTACTCCAATGTCATGAAGATGTTCTCTGTTTTCTTCTGAAAAGTTTATTGCTTTATCTTTTTATGTACTTTATATTAAAGTATAATACAGCAAAATATATCCTTTTAGTGTATTAGTTCTGCAAGTGTTGACAAAGGGATATAGTCATGTAACCACTGCCATAATTAATATACAGAACAGTTAAATTACAACAAAAAATTTCCCTCCGTCCTTTTGTGATTAACTTCTCCTTTGCCAAACCCTATGCTTTCTATTCCTATAGTTTTGTCTTTTCCAGAATGTCATTCAGTGAATTCATACAGTATGGAAACTTTTGTGTCTTGCTTCATTCACTTAGCACAGTGCATTTGAGATTCATCCTTGTTGTAGCATGTATAGGTAGTTCTTCTTTTTTATTGTGGAGTAGTGTTTCATTGTTTGGATGTTCTGCAACTTGTTAATCCATTAACTAGTTGAGAGACATTTGGGTTCTTCTGGTTTGGGTAGTTACATATAAGGCCGCTATAAACAATCTTGTACAGGTTTTTGTGTAAACATTTCATTTTGGTAATATGTAGGATTGGGGTCTCTAAGTTATGTGGTACATTTATGTTTAACTTTGTAAGAAACCACCAAATTGTTTTCCAAATGATGGTACCATTTTGCATTTAAACAATAAGAAATTTTTAGTTATTCTTCCTCCTTGCCAATATGTGGTATTGTAAAGTCTTTTTATTTTAGCTATTCTAATCATTGTGTATTGGTATTTGATTGTGGTTTTAATTTGCATTTCTCTAATGACTAATGGTGTTAATTTCAGGTGATTATTTTCCATGTGACTATCTTCCCTGGGGAAGTGTCTGTTCAAATCTTTTTGCCTATTGTTTACTCTTTAAAATTGAGTTATGAGAGTTCTTTATGTATTCTAGATACAAACTTATTATTAAATATTTGATGTGCAATTATTTTCTCCCAGCCTATGGCTTGCCTTTTCAATCGTGTATAAGCCATATCAGGTGTATACAGTGAATCTTAGGGAACCAATAGATATTATGTTTTAGACTATTCCTATGTAACTGAATAATTCTTTTTTCCTGAATATGTTACAACATGTGAAACTCTTCTAAATCTGAATAAAATAAGAATATAAACTTCTGTAAGAGAAAAAATTAGAAAAAAACATTGATATAAAATTAAGTGTCCTCTTTTTGTGGGATCAAACATAGTAGTATTAAGGTTATGTTTGTGAATAGCACAGGTGTAGTAATGCCAGCGCTAAAACTAGAAGAGAAAGTAGCAAGAGCACAGCTGTAATTAATACAGATCAAATAAATATCAATTTTTGATGTTGGATATAGTTTGTGGTTGAATATTAATAACTGTTAAAATTAGTAGCATCTAACATTGATGAAATATTTGCTAAGTGTAATGAGAAAATGGTTTGATCTACAGAAGCTCCTGCCTGGGCTAAATTTCCAGCTAAAAGTGCTGTTTTAAAGCTTTAAAATGATTCCACTTCCATAGTTTGCTACTTGAGTAACGTATATTTTGATGTGATAGGAAAATGTAATTCCCCCTCCCTGCAAGAGTGTTATGTCACACCTCATCAGACCACATATGTGAGTAATTGACCTCAACTCCAAAATACATATAAACCTAAGATTTTGACAGACACTTTGACAGCTCAGACTGTGGCAAAGCCCCAAACAGGTGGGTAGACTGGTCACCCTGTTTAGCAGCAGCTTAGACTATTGCAAGAGGAGGAATGATAGGGGCAGAAGTCAGAAACCTATTCTGTATTTCTGGGAATACTTTATCTGGAGCCCCAATTATTAATGGAATTAATAAATTACTGAAACCATTGATTAGAATAGGTAAAACCATAAAAAATTATTGCAAATATATAGGCAGCAATGATAACATTACAGATTTGATC
The DNA here is from genome assembly GCF_000001405.40 of Homo sapiens. Classification (NCBI taxonomy): domain Eukaryota; kingdom Metazoa; phylum Chordata; class Mammalia; order Primates; family Hominidae; genus Homo; species Homo sapiens. The sequence goes on along the minus strand of NC_000012.12, from coordinate 7,620,769 downwards.
ATCTCCTAATACATAGCTTCTGGCTGACCCAATTTGGTATGGACATGTCCTGCACATGTACCCTAGAACTTCAAATAACAATAAAAATTTTAAAAAGCCCACAAGCTACAAAAACAAAAAAACAAAAAGAAGATGGAAGGCAGTCCCCACTATTCTGGCTTAGGCACCAAATTATAATGTGTCAGTGTTTTTGTGGTTTGTTGAGAATAATCAACGATTAATGAACATAGGGAGAAGCAAGGTAAAAATGGCTGAGTGAGCATTAGTCTATAAATCTAAAGACAGAGATTAAACCTCTTTTCACCAAGTCCTGAGGTGAAATTTCACACTGAATTTGCAAAGTTAAAGGAGCAGCTTCAATTCTGCAGCGGTAGGGGGGCACTTCTGCATTTTTTTTTCCAGGGAGGGAAAAGTAGAGTAAAGCCAGTTGGTTAAGATATTTAGCCGCTAACTAATGTATTGGATGAATATTATTATATTATTAAAATTAATAAATTATCAATTATTAAAATCCTTCTTTGAGTCTAAAAAACATAGGCCATCAATATTACTGAAGTTATGAATACAAAAACTATGAAGACCTAAACTGCAACCCTTATATAATTTCCACAGCTGACCAAAAGCCAGAGAAGCATAACTAATCAAGGTCAATGACCATAGAAAAGTCAATTTGTGTGTTAATCTCATTTGAAGATATATTATACTCATGAGCCATACCTTCATTAAGCTTAAAAACTGACACAATTTTCATACGTTTAAATCAAGAAACTTCAATATATATACCCAGCCAGGTTTATACTATGGGCAATGCTCAGAAATTTGTGAATCAAATTTCAAGTACAATGTACTTGAATTAGTACCATCAAAACGTTTTGAAAATTGATCAATATCTATATTATAATATCCTTGTGAAGCTAAATAACAACCTTTTAAGTTAAAGACTGAGAGTAAAAAAAAGTTGTCTCTGGCTTATTTATTATGTAAATCTTTATAATGATTGTAAGTTTCAAAGGCCCAGACTGTTTCAACTACAGATGCAGGTGAAGCTAACGTAGAGAAATGAGAACACTTACTATATATGGCTTGTTTTATTTTCTTGGGAGATAGAGAAAAGTTATAGGGAATTATTCCTTATATAACTCTAACTATATTTCCTATGTAACTTTAATGCTAGGATTAAGTATCAAACTTAATAGGCCCCTCTCTGCAATAGGTTCGTTTCAGGAATCACTGGCCCTAGGAATCAACAAAGCTCAGAGTTGGAGGAAAAACCAAGCTTTCAGTATTTGAGGCAGCTCCTTGTGGAAGGCAGTCATTAAAAACTAAAAAAGAAAAAAAAATTTAGAAGATATATTCTTTTAGTAGTCAAGACAAAATGCTACTAGGAAAGTAAAAAGAAAATTAGAGGAGGACATTTTCATCTGCCATTACTCCTTGTATACTTATTTACCCTGGGGAAGTCATGGAGAAAAAAGTTTCTAGATTTAGATATCTGTTGTATCTGTTGGCTAAAAAACATATGGATGCTATAAAAATATAGCACCTGTTCTTCCTCAGCATCTACTCATATTTACCATGTGATAGTCTGAGTTTTGAAATCACGGTTTAAATTATATATCTGTGTCAATTTGGATTTTTTTGAGGCAAGGTAGTATATATACCTGAACAATTTTATATTGTGTGGCAGAAATTCCTACATGTAAAATAGATCACTGTGGCCAACAGAAAACAGAGTTCTATTTAAATACTTGGAATAACTTAATTTTATATATCCTTTTATCTACAGATCCTGGCCTTCACAGTTCAAGGTTATACATAAATGGGTCTGGTTAAGATAGGCATGTCTGCACAAAGTCTTTTTGGTAAGAGAATGATACAAGCATACACAAAAGAGTTAATTCATATATTTTATCAACCGAATTCTTCTTCTTTTTTTTTTTTTTTGAGATGGAGTCTTGCTCTTGTCACCTAGGCTGGAGTGCAGTGTCACGATCTCGGCTCACTGCAACTTTTGCCTCCTGGATTCAAGCGATTCTCCTGCCTTAGCCTCTCGAATAGCTGGGGTTACAGGTGCCCACCACCACACCCGGCTAATTTTTGTATTTTTAGTAGAGACGGGGTTTCACCATGTTGGCCAGGCTGGTCTCGAACTCCTGGCCTCGTGATCCACCTGCCTTGGCCTGTCAAAGTGCTGGGATTACAGGCGTGAGCCACCGCACCCGGCCTCAACCGAGTTCTAACAAAAATATTGATTATTACAGAATGAAACCTTAACGCCTAATTTCAATTTTTGTGTTGTCCCACAGTGACACCTATTGATGGATACTGCATGAGTCTCCTTTTTCTTCCCTTTATTGCCTTGCTTAATAAATACTGCAATAAGCATCCTTGTGGATATATGCTTACATATTAGCATATCTCTTAAAGTGTACTTGGAAATAGAACTTTTGGGCAAAAGGTATGCATAATTAAATTTTGATAAGAGCTGCCAATTTATACTTCAATCTACACTCAAACTAATAATTTATAAAATTATTGGAAATATGGAATCATTTTGATTATTGTACTTTATAGTGTTTTCTCTATTTTGACTTCATAAATCTAATATACCAAATCCCTTAAATTACAGTTTTATCATATCTTTCTGAATTTTGGTACAGAACAAATTGTACCAAATGTGGAGTAGGCAACCTGTGTTCAATTTCCTAATACACTATTTATTTCCTTTGGGTTATCAGTAATTCATTTAGATCAGTGATTTTTGTACTTTTTTGACTGAGACAGCCCAAAGTAAGAAATAGCATGGCCCAGTGCATACACACAAATGCACACATACATGTGTATGGCACACACATACACTTTCATAAAGTACAAATAAAAGTTTTATAAAACTGTAGTTACCAGGATTATATGTGACGTACTCTATTTTCTTTTGTAATGCTTTGTAGTTATTTTTTATTAATGGTCACCAACAGCTAAAAGGCTTTCACTAGCTGCTAATGACTCAATACGTCATCACTCCACAGTTTGAACCATGCTGAAAACTTCTTTGAGTCTTGATCAATAAATTAATAAATAAAATAAGGTTAATAGTAATTATATAATTATGTAATATATTATATAAAAATCATGTCAAAATTTATGTTCCTGCTTTAAAATTCCATGATTCCAAGAATAGCTCTCATTCTGTTTCTTAAAATGTCTTTCATGAATTTCTAAACAGAAAAGAAAATGACATGAGCCTGAGAACAACTTTCTCTGATCCAAAACTTTCCCAAATAATTTACTACATCTTGCAAAGAGACATAAAGATGGTGATGAGACTTGAAGAAGAATGTCACTCAAAGATACAAGGAAATCCTCAGCTTTTTAATTCATTAACAACAATTTGGAATCAGAATCTATCCTGTTTTTAGTATGATTCCATAACAAATTGCATTGAAGCTAATGTATCTTCTCAGAAAAGAAAATTGTTTTCAGGAAATAAATGGCCTTACAAGCCAAGCAACTGTGGAATCTGGGGCTCATGGGAAGTAAGTGAACTGTTAGGAATGGCATGACTTGAGAAGTAACAGTGGTCTTCTTTCCACGTCATTTAAAACTTTTTTCACGTAGCTGCCAGAGTTCGTGGAATTTCAGTTTGAAGTGTGCCTATTAAGGTTTTGAATAATTCTATTAAATGGGACACCTATTACCCATGAAAGGAGGTACAGTAAGCCTTCTGCAGTCATGGTCATATTATACTAAAACAATTGGTCTGTTAGACACCATACAAGGCCTTGAGTAATAAGTCTTGATGGACACAAAGGGATTTTTGCTCTCAAGGTGATTACAGTATAGGAGCTAAATTTAAATTTTGAGCCAGATGATCTCTATTATGCTGTTGTAGACCATGGCCAGAATTGCCATGCTCAGTTGCCTTCAGAGCTTGTAATATCAGAGATATTACAGCCTGTGCAGACTAACAGTCTGGTTATCACTCCATAGTTGGAATGTAAGAGTGCACATTTGATGCTTGATCACTTTTGCCTGGAGATAATATGACAATTGGCCCTAATGGCATGATAAGATAAGGTATCCAGTCTGGGGACAGTGGCTTATGCCTGTAATCCCAGCACTTTGGGAGGCCGAGGCAGACAGACCAGCCTGAACAACATGTTGAAACCCTGACTCTACTAAAAATACAAAAATTAGCCGGGCATGGTGGCATGCATCTGTAATCCCAGCTACTCAGGAGGCTGAGGCACGAGAATCACTTGAACCCAGGAAGTGGAGGTTGCAGTGAGCTGAGGTGGGCAACAGAGGAAGACTCTGTCTCAAAAAAAAGAAGAAGATACTGTATCCAAAACCCAGATGACAGATTAGAACTCTGGGGCTAGTTACATGTACAGTCAATTCTCATTATTCATGGATACTGCATTTGCAAATATGCGTGCTTGTTAAGATTGTAACTCCAAAATTAATACTCAAGGTCATTCATGAAAATGTGCAGAGCAGCAAAAAATTTGTGTCTGTCAGTGGGCACATTCCCAGCTGAGAGTGAACAAGGGGAAACTGGCTTCTTACTTATGTCTGTGTCTTTGTGTCTTTTTCGTGGTTTATTAGGGGTGATACTTTTTTTCATTTTTGTGCCTGTATTAGTCAGGGTTCTCTAGAGGGACAGAACTAATAGGATACATATATATATCTCATATATATATGAGTTTATGAGTATTATATATGAGTTTATATAATACACTCATATGAGTTTAACAAACTAATGTAATAATATATAACACAAAACGAATGAATTCATATTATCATATGAGTTTATATGTATATTAGTTTATTATATAAATATATATGAGTTTATTAAGTATTAACTTAAATGATCACAGGTCCCACAATAGGCTGTCTGCAAGCTGAGGAGCAAGGAGAGCCAGCCCAAGTCCCAAAGCTGAAAAACTTAGAGTCTGATGTTCGAGGGCAAGAAGCATCCAACACAGGAGAAAGATGTGGGCTGAGAGAGTGCCTTTATTGGTGACTTTGCTGTTTAAAATGATCCCCAAGCCCAGTACTAGAGTCCTATATAGTGTTCCTAAGTGCGAGAAGTCTGTGACATGCTTTAAAGAGAAAATATGTATTAGATAAGCTTTGTTTGGGCATGAGCAATAGTGCAGTTGGCCATGAGTTCAATGTTAATGAATCAACAACATATAGTAAATAAGATGTCTTTATTTTTATTTTAGTACGTATGTTTTTCAGCTTTATTGAGGTGTAATTGACAAAATGTTATACAGTCAAGGTGTACACTGTTGACGTTTTGAAGTACATTGTGAAACGACTGTTTCTATCAAGCTGATTAACATATCCATCATCTCACACAGTTACCTTTTTTATGATAAGAATACTTAAGGCCTCTCTTAGCAAATTTCAAGTATAGAACAAGTTGTTAACTGTAATCCCTGTGTAGCACATTAGCTCTCCAGAATGTATTCATCTTATAACTGCAAGTTTGCACACTTTGACCAATATCTCTCCATTTCCCCAAACCCCTAACTCCTAGGAAGCACGTTTCTACTTTCTATTTCTCTGAGTTCAACTTTTCTTCCCTTCCTTCTTCCCTCTTTTCTTTTTCTTTCTTTCTTTCTTTCTTTCTTTCTTTCTTTCTTTCTTTTTCTTTCTTTCTCTCTCTTCTTTTTCTTTCTTTTCTCCTTTCTTTCTTTCTCTCTCTCTTTTTCTTTCTTTTCTCCTTTCTTTCTTTCTCTCTTTCTTTCCCCTTCCCCTTCCCCTTCTCCTTCCTTCCCTCCCTCCCTCCCTCCCTCCCTCCCTCCCTCCCTCCCTCCCTCCCTCCCTCCCTCCCTTCCTTCCTTCCTTCCTTCCTTCCTTCCTTCCTTCCTTCCTTCCTCACTCTGTCACCCAGGACTAGAGTGCAGTGGTGTAATCTCGGCTCACTGCAACCTCTGCCTCCTGGGTTCAAGCAATTCTCCCACCTCAGCCTCCTGAGTACCTGGGATTACAGGCACCGGCCACCATGCCCGGCTACTTTTTGTATTTTTTGTAGAGATGGGGTTTCACCATGTTGGCCAGGCTTGTCTTCTTTGGTCTCTTGTCTTTATTCCCACATTTTCCCTCCTCGATCCACCAGGGATCGAGGGCGGTTACAAACATATGCATGCACGTATGTCTTTATAGTAGAACAATTTGTATTCCTTTGGGTACATACCCAATAATGGAATTGCTGGGTCAAATGGTAATTATGTGAGGAATGGTCAAACTGCTCTCCACAATGGGTAAAATGGTTTACATTCCCACCAGCAGTGCATAAATATTCCCTTTTTGCCTCAACCTCACCAGCATTTGTTACTTTTTTTTTTTTTAACTTTTTAATATAGCCACTCTGACTGGTGTGAGATGATATCTCATTGTGCTTTTGAGTTGCATTTCTCTAATGATTAGTGATGTTGAGCATTTTTTCATATGTTTGTTGGATGCATGAGTGTCTTATTTTGAAAAGTGACCGTTCATGTCCTTTGCCCACTTTTTAATGGGGTTGTTGGAATGTTAATTCATTTAAGTTCCTTGTAGATTGTAGATATTAGACCTTTGTCAGATACTTAGCTTGAAAATATTTCCTCCCATTCTGGAGGTTGTCTGTTTACTCTGTTGATAGTTTCTTTTGCTGTGCAGAAGCTCTTAGTTTAACTAGGTCCCATTTACCAATTCTTGTTTTTGTTGCAATTGCTTTCGTTCTTTGTCATGAAGTCTTTGCCAGGTCTTGTGTCCAGAATGGTATTACCTAGCTTATCTTCCAGGGTTTTTATAGTGTTTGGTTTTAGATTTAAGTCTTTAATCCACCTTGAGTTAATTTTTGTATATGATGTAAGGAAGGGGTCCAGCTTCAATCTTCTGCATATGGCTAGCCAGTTATCCCAACATCATTCATTGAATAGGGAGTCCTTTCCTTATTGCTTGCTTTTTTGGATTTTGTCAAAGATCAGATGATTGTAGGTGTGTGGTACTACTTCTGCACCCTCTATTCTGTTCCATTGGTCTATGTGTCTGTTTTTGTACCAGTACCATGCTGTTTTCATTACTTGTAAGGTAGTTTGAAGTCAGGTATTGTGATGCCTCCAGGTTTTTTTCTTTTTGTAAAATAAATAACTAAATAACTAAATAAATTTCTTTGGCTATTTGAGCTCTTTTTTGGTTCCATATGAATTTTAAAATAGCTTTTTTTTCTAATTCTGTAAAGAAAATGTTGATAGTTTGATAAAAGTAGCATTGAATCTATACATTGCTTTGGGCAGTATGGTCATTTCTCCAATATTGATTCTTTCTATTCATCAGCGTGGAATGTTTTCCCATTTGTGTCATCTCTGATTTATTTTATCAGTGTTTTGTAATTCTCATTGTAGATATCTCACCTCCCTGGTTAGCTATATTCCTAGGTATTTTATTCTTTTTGTGGCTTTTATGAATGGGATTGTGTTCCTGATTTGGCTCTCAAATTGACAGTTGTTGGTATATAGAAATGTTACTGATTTTTGCAAACTGATTTTGTATCCTGAAACTTTGCTGAAGTTGTGTATTAGATCTAGGAGCTTTTGGGCAGAGAATAGGGGTCTTCTAGGTATAGAATCACATCATCTGCAATCAGGGATAGTTTTACTTCCTCTCTTTCTATTTGGATGTCTTTTACTTCCTTCTCTTGCCTGACTGCTCTGGTTAAGACTTCCCTTATTATGTTGAATAGGAATGGTGAGAGAGGGCATTCTTTTCTTGCACTGGTTTTCAAGGGGAATGCTTCCAGCTTTTGCCCATTCAGTATGATGTTGTCTCTGAGTTTTTTACAGATGGCTCTTATTATTTTGAAGTCTATTCCTTCAATGACTAGGTTGTTGAGAATTTTTAACATGAAAGCATGTTGAATTTTATCAAAAACCTTATCTGCATCTATTGAGATGATCATGTGGTTTTTGGTTTTGGTTCTGTTTATGTGATGAATCACATTTATTGATTTATGTATGTTGAACCAAAGTTGCATTTCAGGGATAGGATAAAACGTACGTGTTCATATGGATTAGCTTTTTGATGTGTTGCTGGATTAGGTTTGCTAGAATTTTGTTGAGTATTTTGCATCTATTAGGTTGGTGCACAAGTAATTGCAGTTTTGGCTTTTCTTTTCCCTTTCTTTCTTTGTTTCCTTCCTTCCTTCCTTCCTTCCTTCCTTCCTTCCTTCCTTCCTTCCTTCCTTCCTTCCTTCCTTCCTTCCTTCTTTCTTTTTTGACATGGATTCTCTATCACCCAGGCTGGAGTCCAGTGGCACCATTTCGGCTCATTGCAACTTCCGCCTCCCAGGTTCAAGCGATTCTCCTGCCTCAGCCTCCTGAGTAGCTGCAACTACAGGTGTTCACCACTACACCTGGCTAATTTTTGTGTTTTTAGTAGAGATGGGGTTTTGTCATGTTGGCCAGGCTGGTCTCGAACTCCTGGACTCAAGTGATCTGCCTGCCTTGGCCTCCCAAAGTGCTGGGATTACAGGCATGAGCCACCACACTTGGCCACTTGGCCTTTATTTTCAATGGCAAAAACTGCAATTACTTTTGCACCAACCTTATATGTTCATTGAGGATATTGGCCAGAAACTTCCTTTTTGTTTGTGTGTCTCTGCCAGGTTTTGGTATTAGGATGATGCTGGCTTCGTAGAATGAGTTAGGAAAAAGTTTCTCCTCCTCAATTTTCTTGAATACTTTCTGAAGCAATGGCACAAGCTCTTTCTTGTACATCTGGCAGAATTTGGCTGTGAATTCATATAGTCCTGGGCTTTTTCTGGTTGGTAGGCTTTTTATTACTGATTCAATTTTGGAACTCATTATTGGTCTGTTCAGGGATTCAATCTCTTCCTGGTTCAATCTTGGGAGATTGTATGTTTCCAGGAATTTATCCATTTTTTCTAGGTTTTCTAGCTTGTGTGCATACAGATGTTTGTTATAGTCCCTGAGGGTTTTTTGTATTTCTGTGGGATCAGTGGTAATCCCATTTGTTATTTCTGGTTGTGTTTATTTGGATCTTCTCTCATTTTTACTTATTAGTATAGCCAGCAGTCTATCTTACTGATTCTTTCAATGATCCAGCTCCTGGATTCATTGATCTTTTGTATGGTTTTTCACATCTCAATCTCCTTTAGTTTAGCTCTGATTTTGGTTGTTTCTTGCCTTCTGCTAGCTTTGGGGTTAGTTTGCTCTTGTTTCTCTAGTTCCTCTAGTTGTGATGTTAGGTTGTTAACTTGTGATCTAACTTTTTGATGTGGGTGGTTGGTGATACAAACTTCCCTCTTAACGCTGATTTGGTTGTGTCCCAGAGATTCTTGTATGTTGTATGTTTTTCTAATTAATTTTTTTTTTTTTTTTTTTGAGATGGAGTCTCGCTCTGTTGCCAGGCTGGAGTGCAGTAGCACGATCTCAGCTCACTGCAACCTCTGACTCCCAGGTTCAAGCAATTCTCCTGCCTCAGTCTCCTACTCAGTAGCTGGAACTACAGGCATGCGCCACCACGCCCAGTTAATTTTTGTATTTTTAGTAGAGATGGGGTTTCACCATGTTGGCCACGATGGTCTCAATCTCTTGACTTCATGATCTGCCCGCCTCGGCCTCCCGAAGTGCTGGGATTACAGGCATGAACCACCACGCTCGGCCCTCTGATTAGTTTCAAAGAATTTCTTGATTTTTGCCTTAATTTTATTGTTTACCCAGAAATTGTTCTGGAGCTGATTGTTTAATTTCCATTTAATTGTATGGTTTTGAGTAATTTTGTTAGCATTGATTCTATTTTTGTTGGACTGTGGTTTGAAAGTATGGTTGGTATGAGTTTGGGTTTTTTTGGTATTTGCTGGGGTGTTTTATGTCCAATTGTGTGGTCAATTTTAGAATATGTGACATGCATAGATGAGAAGAATGTATATTCTGTTGTTTTTGGGTGGGGAATTCTGTAGATGTCTATCAGGTCCATTTTGTCAAGTGTTGAGTTAAGGTCCAAAATGTCTTTGTTAGTCTTCTGCCTCAATGATCTGTCTAACACTGTTAGTGGGGTGTTAAATTCTACCACTGTTATTGTGTAGTTATCTAAATCTTTTCACAGGTCTCTAAGAACTTGCTTTATTAATCTGGGTGCTCCTGTTTTGGGTGTGTATATATTTAACAGGTCTTCTTGTTGAATCGAGCACTTTATCATTATTTAGTTCTCTTCTGTGTCTTTTTGAATCATTGTTAGTTTAAAGTCTGTTTTGTGTGAAATTAGAATAGCAACTCCTATTTGCCATTTTCCATTTGCTTGATAGATTTTTCTCCATCCCTTTACTCTGGGCCTATAGGTGTCATTGCATGTGACATGGGTCTCTTGAAGAGAGCGTACCACTGGGTTTTGCCTCTTTATCTAACTTGCCACTGTGTGCCTTCAAATTGGGGCATTTAGCCTGTTTACATTCAAGGTTAGCCCTCATATGTGTGGATTTGATCCTGTCATCATGTTGTTAGCTGGTAATGATGCAGGCTGTTTGTGTTCCTGCTTTATAGTGTCACTTAAGTTTTGCGGTTTTTTGGGGGGGTAGTGGCTGGTAACAGTCTTTCCTTTCCATATTTAGCACCTTCTTCAGGAATCCTTGTAAGGCAAGTCTGGCAGTAACAATTTCTGTTAGCATTTGCTTGTCTGAAAAGGATCTTATTGCTCCTTTGTTTGTAAAACTTTGGCTGAATATGAAATTCTTGGTTAAATTTTTTTTCTTTAAAAATGCTGAATATAGTCTCTAATCTCTTCTAGCTTGTAGGATTTCTGCTAAAATGTCTGCTGTTTGCCTGATGGGATTCTCTTTGTAGGTGATCTGTCCCTTCTCTCTAGCTGCCTTTAACGTTTTTCTTTCATTTTGTTGTTGGAAAATCTGATGACTATGTGTCTTGGGGATGGTCTTCTTGTGTAGTATTTTGCATGGCTTCCCTGTCCCTGCAATTCCTGAATTTGAATGTTGGCCTTTCTAGTGAGTTGGCAAAAATTTTCATGGACGATATCCTGAAATATGTTTTTCAAGTTGCTTAGTTTCTCTTTCTGTCTCTCAGGCACACCAATGAGTCATACACTGGGTCTCTTTACATAAGCCTATATTTCTCAGAGGTTTTGTTCATTCTTCTTTATTGTTTTTCTTTATTTTTCTCTGACTGAATTATTTCAGAGAGCCAGTCTTCAAGCTCTGAGATTATTTTCTTAACTCTGTCAGTTCTGCTGTTGATACTTGTGATTGCATTATGAAATGTTTGTGGAGTGTTTTTCAGCTCTCTCAGATAATTTTAGTTCTTTTTTTCAATGGCCATTTCATCCGTTGTCTCCTATATTGCTCTATAATCTTAGATTTCTTGGATTGGGTTTTGACTTTCTCATGTATATTAATAATCTTCATTTTTATCTGTATTTTGAATTCTATGTCAGTCACTTCAGCCATCTTAGCCTGGTTAGGAACCATTGCTGTGAAACCACTGTGGTCATTTGTAAGTAAGACACTCTGGTTTTTTGAGTTGCCATAGTTCTTGCACTGGTTCTTTCTTCTCTTTGTGGTCTGATGTTCCTTCAAACTTTGAAGTTGCTAAGCTTTGGGTAGGTTTTTTTTTCTTTTATTCTCTTTATGTCCTTGGGGATTTGATTGTGATATAAGGTGGGTTCAGGCAACTGGCTTTGTTTCTGGAAGATTTTAGGGGTCCAAGGCTCAGCTCAGGACTTCTGGACTGGACTGTGGTGCTGTAATTCTGAGCAGCTGGTATTAGCCCCTTGCTTTGTTTTGTAGCTCCTGAAGGTTAGAAGCCTGCTACACTGGAGAGGCCAATTTGTTCCTGGACCACTGGTCACAACACTTTGATGGATGGTGCCAGCTACAGCACTTTGTAGCAAGGTAGCAGTGGGATTCATCCTCACTTGCATATGCCAGCAACAACAGCAGTGCAGCAGGGTGCATGCTCATCAACTGTAGTGGGGTGCTGGTGAGTGCAGATATGCCAGCCATTGTGCAGGCAGTCACAGCTTTGGTGGTGGCTGTATGGCATGGGGGTAGGGGAACCCAGTGGTGCCCATACACACATTTGCACTGGCAGTGGTGTTGGCAGCGCACCGGTTGGCATGGGCTTGTGTACATCCTCTGTGTGCACGTTAACATGGGCAGCATCTACCACTGAGTTGGGGACAGGTCTGCTGGTCTCCCTCGGTAGTTTTCTGCCAGTGGCAGTGTTGGCATGGGGGAAGGGTGCTGGTGAGTGCAAGTCTGGTGGTTTCTGTGCCTGTGAATGCTGTTTTTTCAATGGTAATAGCAGCACAGCAGGGTGTTGAAGGTGTGCAGTGTACTCATGCCAGCAGCTGTGGCATGTCAGGGTGCATGCCCACACAGGCACTGACAGGGAAGTGAAGGAAAGTTCTGCCCACAAGCACATGCACCAGCAAAGCAATGTACCACATTTTCTTTATCTAATCTGTCATTGACTACCATTGATGAGCACCTGAGTTGATTCTTTGTCTTTGCTACTGTGAGTAGCACAGTGATGAATATACCAGTGCATGTGTCTTTTTGGTAAAATAATATATCTTCTTTTTTTTTTTTTTTTTTGAGACGGAGTCTCACTCTGTTGCCCCGGCTGGAGTGCAGTGGCACAATCTCAGCTCACTGAAAGCTCCGCCTCCCAGGTTCATGCCATTCTCCTGCCTCAGCCTCCTGAGTAGCTGGGACTACAGGGGCTCACCACCATGCCCGGCTAATTTTTTTGTATTTTTAGTAGAGACGGGGTTTCACCATGTTAGCTAGGAAGGTTTGAGTATATATAGAGTAACAGGATTGCTGAGTCAAATGGTAGCTCTGTTTTAAGTTTTTTGAGAAATCTCCAGACTGGCTAGATGAATTTACATTCCCACCAGCAGTGCATAAGCATTACCTTTCTCCACAATGCCACCAGCATCTGTTGGTTATTGACCTTTTAATAATGACCATTCTGACTCATGTTATAGTATCCCATTGTGGTTTTGCTTTGCATTTATCTGATAATTAATAATGCTGAGTATTTTTAATAGGTTTGTTGGCCACTTGTATGACTTCTTTTGGGAAGTATCATATCCTTTGCCTGTTTTGTTTTGTTTTTAATAGTTTGAAACAGAAATTTATTCTCAGAATAATGCACAAAAGCATAGGTCGAGGCTACTGTTGGGAGGCTTCTCTCTCTTCCTCTTCCTACTCCCCCTACTCTCTGAATGCCAGGTAGAACACAGTTGAAGGAAACATGCAATCACAAACAATGATCAACTCTAAAGACAAAAAGGTTTGGTCCAAAATAACTCAACATAATTAATCCAATAACTGTGAAGAACTTTGCTGAGTAGGATTAAGATATTGCAGATGTTTCCTGCACATGTTTCCACAGGGTGGCTCTTCAGTGCACCAGCGGGGCCTGCTTGAGGGAGATGAGGACTGAGCACCTCTGGGAGATGTCTTTAGCCTGCCTTCTGGACTTGGGGTTAAAGTTACACAGCCAGGCCACACTTTCCCACTCAGTGCCTGGGAAGAACTGGTCAATGTCATTTACAAAGGCTTCTTCTGCTGCCCTGTTTGCTTTTGTTTTCTGTAGTTGCTCATCCTATCTCACATATCACACCTCTAGCTCCTTTATTGCCTTTTCTTTCCACTCTGCTTCTTGCTTCTGAGAATTGGCATCAAGGGCTTCCAAGCGTTCTGTTTGCTCTTCTCTCCATTTACGGATACTTTCAGGCTCTGACTGCAATCTATCCACTTGTGAAATGCTGCACAACTGTCTGTTGGACTATTACTTTCCTGGTAGTATTTACCATTCATTACTCCATCAACAGCATCCAGCTTGCCATGTGCCTGGGGCCTGGGGGCACCACCTTCCAGGATGGTGAAGGCCTCGTCATTCTTTTTTTTTTTTTTTGAGACACAGTTTTGCTCTTGTCACCCAGGCTGGAGTTCAATGGCACGATCTCAGCTTACTGCAATCTCCACTTCTCGGGTTCAAGTGATTCTCCTTCCTCAGCCTCCTCCACCTCCTGGGTTCAAGCAATTCTCCTGCCTCAGCCTCCTGAGAAGCTGGGATTACAGGCACATGCCACAGTGCCCAGCTAATTTTTGTGTATTCTTAGTAGACATGAAGTTTCACCATATTGGCCAGGCTTGTCTTGAACTCCTGACCTCAAGTGATCCACCTGCCTTGGCCTCCCAAACTGCTGGGATTACAGGCATGAGCCACTGCACCAGGTGGGAGTGAGACTTTTAATGATAGTCTTGCAAGATCAGGTGTCTGGTAGGCAGGCACACCCGGGTCAGTAACAGCAGGCAATTTATTTCCTAGCACGCAAGTCCCTCCCCCAGTTCCTCATTGGTCGAGTACTATGGGGTTACAATCTTCCCAGACGTCACCTAAGTTTCATTATCTCCTTATAGGGTCACACCCTGGTCCCCTTCCTTGCTTAAGTTTTTGTTTCCCAATAGCAAAACTTTATTCCCTTTTATGGGCTGACCCCTCCTCTACATTCTGTTTGCTTATTATGACTTTCTACGTGCATAAGCTGTGCAGTTTGTCATATCCGCAGGCTGGCTGCGAGTACTTAGGTCTATCATGCCTTGAAAATGGACCATTAAAATGTTTTCTTACAAGTTCCCTTTTTTTTCTTTCCTTTCCTTTTCTTCTCTTCTCTTTTCTTTCTTGCTTTCTTTCTTTCTTTCTTTCTTTCTTTCTTTTCATCTTTTGGTCTTATTTTTACTTTAATTTTTGGGTCCTTTCGTCCTCAAATCATTTTAGGACTACTTTACTTTCTTCTTCATAGTCTGGTTCAGTGTCTAACAACAGTAAGTTATTTTGCTGGTAGGTCATGGGCATTTGTTTGTTAATAGCTGTTCCAATTAACCTTTGTGCTAGTTCCAGTATACAAGGGATAATATAGCATCCCACTGCCCTTAAGGCCCTTGCTACAATTATGAGAGATGTAAGGACTGAAGCTACCATGCCTTTCCATTTCCCAAACCAACCTTCTAGCCAACCAGTAAATCGGTCATCAATTCCAGCATTTTCTGCCAGTTTGTTGGTGAGAGTTTTCCGTCCTTGTAATGCTTTTGTAATAGTTCAATCTGGGGCAGTATTGTTGGGAATGAAAATACAACATTTCCCACCCAGCATAACACATATGCCCCCTTTATCTGCTAGTATCATGTCTAGCTCAAGCCTCTTTTCCCAGGCCATTCAGCTGGTGGCATGTAACTGGCTAGTTAATTAAACTCGGGTGTCCCGAGTATAATTGATGAATTTCTGTTGATAATAATAAATAGAATTAATCCAATCCACATTTTTATTAATAGCTGATCATGAGAGGAGTGCTGACTGAAACCCAGCAGCTATTTGGTTTCAGGCCTTAAATTCATTAGGCATCCCCTCTAGGGACTCCTATGAAGGCAACATATATATTACGATCAAAAAAATTTGTTGGGGAGCTGAGAACCTGACGTTTCTAGGAGTGCCTCGTAGAGTTAGTGATGGCCGCTTTTGGCATGGCAGCCTTTTCTGTACCAGCTGGGCCAATCCTGTCACTTAACCCGCAGGAAGATGTCGAGTTTCAAAAGGAGGTGGTAGAGGTTTGCAAGTGCACAACCCAGCAAAAAGAACAAGAACAACTTACTCCTAGAGTAGTCTTTGTGTGCCACCTACTTAATGAAACCCAGATCTTTTCGTATTTCTCCCAGTTTGGCACTGTTACATGGTTCAGACTGTTCAGAAGTAAAAGGACTGGAAATAGCAAAGGCTATGCATCTGCAAGTTTGAGTTTGAGGATGTTGCCAAGATAGTTGATGAAACAATGAACAAGTACCTGTTTGGTGAAAGACTCTTGGAGTGTCATTATATGCCACCTGAAAAAGTACACAAAGAGCTCTTTAAAGACTGGAATATTCCATTTAAGCAGCCATCTTATCATCAGTGAAATGTTATAATCAGAATCGGACACTAACACAAAAGCTACGGATGGAGGAGTGATTTAAAAAGAAACAAAGATTACTCAGGAAGAAATGAGCTAAAAAAGGAATTGATTATGATTTTCCTTCTTTGATTTTACAGAAAACAGAAAGTATTTTAAAAACTAATCATCAGACATCTACAAAAGGCCAGGTTTTCTGTAAGAAGAAGAAAAGGGTTTTTGGCACTCTTGACACTCCTGAGAAGACCGTGGATAGCCAGGGCCCCACACCAGTTTGTACACCAGTATTTTTGGAGAGACAAAAATCTGAAGTGGCTGAAATGAATGATGATGATAAATATAATGAAATAGTTTTCTAACAGCCCATATCCTGTATAAAAGAAGAAATACAAGAGACTCAAACACCTACACATTCACAGAAAAAAGAAGAAAAACAATCAGTGATTTTCAATGTATTATGTGTAATATTTCTTCTGAAAAATATAATATTTTTATGAGAAAAAAAGAATTTGTTAAGTCTCTCTTGTTCCAATGGCCATGTGTATTTTCAGGTATTTTATGGAATGCCAGGGTGAAGGGAATGGCCAATTGAACTAAAGCACAAGTCCTGGTCCAATTAGATGGTAACAGGTTACCGAGGTTCCTGTTCCCATAATACCATCAGACATCAGCCCAGGGTATATAAAAGCTGAGTAATTGCCATTGCCTGACTTACCTGTGATGTTTAGAATGTGGGTACAAGTCGAGAGTTCTCCCATAGGCTTATTGAACTCTGCCCCTGCCTAAAGAGGCAAGAGGAGTGGTTCATATTCCCTATAGAGAAGGAGGGGATTGCTCTGGAATCTGACCTCCACAATGTGGGAAAGATCAATGACAGACTCTTATGAGTCTCATTTCCCCATGCATCCTTGTCCTGGTTTAGAGCCAACATGCAACACATTCCTTCAGGATCAATACCCAGCCTAGGGGAAACAGAAACACCTGTGCCTGAGGTCCTCCCACAGCACACGTGTAGCAGTTGCTCTTGTTCAGTGTTTATACCAAAAATTTGAGCCATTTGACCCAGGCATTCACATCTCTGTTCCCTGTCTCAGTTTCTAAGGTTTGCCATAAATCCTTTACTTCAATTATTTCTACTCTTTTAGGGTCATTATTTGATGGATTAAAGTGTGTGTTAGGGACTGGGGTTGGAGTAGTCCCAGGCAAATGGGAGGTCAAGTTCTTAATCAGTTTGAGAACAAATCTCTCTATGGGGGCTTTTCCTGTGATGTCTGCCCCTAACCATATACTCAAGACACTACTTTTGGTTCTTGGTCTAGAACGGCTGGATTGTCAATGGTGATGAGTGTAGGACTGCATTCTATATTCTGGCAGTTATTTGGTGGGGAGCCCTTGGACAGATGTAGTTTATTCTTCAAGGGTCTCCAGCTCAGTGTTACCCACCCCATGTTTATTGTCCAACCATGAAATTTGGTACTCCACCATACATCATCCCAGCTGGAGCAGGGTGATGCCCTATCATAAGCTGTATCTGGTTCAGGACAAAGATATTTATCCACCTGTGAGAGCTGTCTCTGGTTTTCTAAATTCCCATGAGATAAAACCTGGCAGGCATCAAATCTTATAGTGTGGGGTGCTACTGTCTTGGTCAAATTAATCACTAACTTGATTGGGTATGGAAGAGTCCCCTGCCAATTTCCATTTTGACCTTCTGCTCTTTGTATAGTAACCCATCCCAGCCATACTGACTTCCAGAGATGAGGCCAGCTCATGTTTTCTTTTTAGTTTTTTCTCAGAGTTAATTTTAAGGTTTCCTCAGGTGACCCATGCACTTTGCATTGGTTTTCTTTTTTTTTTTTTTAAGGTGGGGTCTTGCTCTGTTGTTCAGTCTGGAGTGCAGTGGTGCGATCTTGGCTCACTGCAAACTTCACCACCCAGGTTCAAGTGATTCCCCCACCTCAGCCTCCCAAATAGCTGAAATTACAGGCATACACCACCGTGCCCAGCTAATTTTTGTATTTTTAGTAGAGACAGGGTTTCATCATGTTGGCCAGGCTGGTCTCAAACTCCTGACCTCAAGTGATCCACCCACCTCGGCCTCCCAAAGTGCTTAGATTACAGGTATGAGCCAACCTGCCCTGCCTCCATTTTTTTTTTCCTCTCCCTTCTGGCTTCTTTTTGTTTTTTTCTTTTTTTACCAGTTCCTTGACTTGAGTAAAGTGAGTCCACTCGTTCAGCTGTTTGCATGTCTGTCTTGGTGGTTAGGAGTACTTGATATGGACCTTTCCAACTTGGATGGATGTTGTCTTTTTTTCAAGTCTTAATCAGCACGGAGTCACCAGCCTGGAAGTGGTGAGTCATGAACTCAAGAGGTGGAGTTTCAATCAGAAGTCTTTTTAACCGAAGGGATGACACGATGGAGAATGTAGCCAGTATGCAATTTCTTAAGAATTGGTCCTTGGTTTCCCTAGTAGGAAGATCTGTAGCTCTGCCCAAACACAGGAGCCCATATAATAACTCAGAGGGGGACAATCCCAAGTATTTTCTTGGGGCTGTCCTAATCCTAAGGAGTGCTATTGGGAGACATTTTCTCCAAGCCATTTTAGTTTCTAAGATTAGTTTGGTAATATGCTTTTTGAGAGTTTGATTTATTCCCTCTACCTCTCCAGAGGAATGGAGATGCCAAGGAGTGTGATACTCACATCTAATGTGTAAACCTTCCATAATTCCCCTTAGCATCCTTGAGGTAAAGTGGTTTCCATTGTCCAAATCAATATTTGCCACCAGGCCAAATCTAGGTACACTGTGTTCTAATATTATTTTTACCACATTCCAAGCAGTGGCTGTCAGAAAGGAAAAGTCTTCCACCCCGCTGGAAAGGTGATCTACAATCACCAGCAAATACTTTGGTCTTCCTACCTTGGACATTTCTGTGAAATCTACTTGAATGCTCTGAACTGGTCTTAGTCCAGGAGGTCTTCCTCCAAAGGCCTGTTTTCTAATCACCATTTTGTTTATTCTTTGACAAGTTACACAGCTTCTACATAGTTATTTAGTGAGGGTGTAAATCTCTATACACCCATAATTCTTAAGTATTACATCACACAGAGCCTGGGGTTCCCAATGACTCCCTTTGTGTAATATAGACTTTAGTTCTGTCATCAGGGGTTTACTTATCATTTCTCTCCCATGAGGAAGTACCCACCCTCCATTTTCAGTCTGAGTGGCCCCTATCTTGCCTAGTTTCTCTTTCTCTTCTCTAGTGAATTGGGGCCTTAATATTACCTTCAAGATGTCTAGAATTAGGTTAAATAGTCTAATTTCTTCCTGTAGAGAGGCTTGTTTGGCAGCTTCATCAGCAAGCCTGTTCCCTACAGCTTCCATAGTGTTCCCTTTCTCATGGTCACTTATATGAACTATGGCTATCTCTGCTGAAAACAGAAGGCTCTTTAAGACCTGCTGATTAGTTTCCCATGTATCAGTTCCTTTCCCTTGCTATTTCTTAAGCCCTGCTCTGGCTAGATTTTCTCCAAAAGTGTGTACCTCCCAAAGGCATATTTGGAGTCAGTATATATAGTGCCTTCTCGGCCTTCAAGGAGCTTTAGGGCCTGGTTAAGGGCATATAATTCACAGGTTTGGGCTGACCAGCCATTAGGTAATCTACCTTCCTCACATAACGAGTGTTCATTTCCATCAATGACAGCATAACCATTATGTATCTTGCCATCTATCACTTGGGATGACCCATCCACAAACAGCCTAATCCCATTATGTAGAGGAGCTTCTCTAATGTCTGGTCTAACTCTGGTTTGGTATTCTACGATATCTAAGCAGTTATGGTCTTATGCCTCTTTGTTCTCCTCTCCTTCCCATAGGAAACTGGCTGGATTCAGACAAGTATTTGTTCTTACAGCCAAATCATCTTTTTCTAATAATATAGCTTCATATTTTAGAATCTGAGAATCCATTAACTCTCTCCCAGATATTTGATTTAATATATTCCTGACCTGATGTGGGGTGCTCACTATTAGGGCCTCACCAAAGATTAGCTTTCAACTTTCTCTACCAGTGGGGTGGTGACAGGTACTGCTTGCACACATTAGGGCCATCCTTGAGAGTCAGAATCGAGAAGCTTGGAGACAAAAGCAACAGATTGCCTCTTCCCTCCCCAGGTTTGAATGAGCACCCCAAGGGCCACACCCTGGTCTACCATTACAAACAGATGGGCTAGTTTCTCTAAAAATAGGAGGGCTAGGATTGGGGCTGTAATGAGGGCCTGCACCTAAAGTAGCCAGTTAAACCAAAAACTTTTTGGAGTTCTCGCTTTGTCTTAGACAAAGGCAGACCCACTATTCCTGATATTCTTTCTGGGTTTATTTTCCACTTCCCTTCACTAATCAGGTGTTCTGAATATTTAACTTATTTTTCAACAAATTGCAATTTGTTCTTTTTTTAATTTTTATACTTTAAGTTCTAGGGTACATGTGTGAATGTGCAGGTTTGTTACATAGGTATACATGTGCCATGGTGGTTTGCTGAACCCATCAACCTGTCACCTACATTAGGTATTTCTCCTAATGTTACCCCTCCCATAGCCCCCCACCCCACTGACAGACCCCAGTGTGTGATGTTCCCCTCCCTATGTCCTTGTGTTCTTATTGTTCAACTCCCACTTATGAGTGAGAACATGTGGTGTTTGGTTTTCTGTTCTTATGACAGTTTGCTGAGAATGATGGTTTCCAGCTTCATCCATGTCCCTGGAAAGGCCATGAACTCATCCTTTTTTATGGCTGCATAGTATTCCATGGTGTATATGTGCCACATTTTCTTTATCTAGTCTATTATTGATGGACATTTAGGTTGGTTCCAAGTCTTTGCTATTGTGAATAGTGCCGCAATAAACATAAGTGTGCATGTGTCTTTATAGTATCATGATTTATAATCCTTTGTGCATATACCCAGTGATGGGATCACCATATCAAATGGTATTTCTCGTTCTAAATCCTTGAGGAATCTCCACACTGCCTTCCACAATGGTTGAACCAATTTACACTCCTACCAACAGTGTAAAAGCATTCCTATTTCTCCACATCCTGTCCAGCATCTGTTGTTTCCTGACTTTTTAATGATCACCATTCTAACTGGTGTGAGATGGTATCTCATTGTGGTTTTGATTTGCATTTCTCTAATGATCAGTGATGATGAGCACTTTTTCATATGTCTGGTGACTGCAGAAATGGCTTCTTTTGAGAAGTGTCTGTTCATATCCTTTGCCCACTTTTTGATGGGGTTATTTGTTTTTTTCTTGTAAATTTGTTGAACTTCTTTGTAGATTCTGGACATTAGCCCTTTGTCAGAAGGATATATTACAAAAATTTTCTCCCATTCTGTAGGTTGCCTGTTGACTCTGATGATAGTTTCTTTTGCATTGCAGAAGGTCTTTAGTTTAATTAGATTCCATTTGTCAATTTTGGCTTTTGTTGCCATTGCTTTTGGTGCTTTAGTCATGAAGTCTTTGCCCATGCCTATGTCCTGAGTGGTATTGCCCATGTTTTCTTCTAGGATTTTTATGGTCCTAGGTCTTACCTTTAAGCCTTTGATCAATCTTGAGTTGATTTTTGTATAAGGTGTAAGGAAGGGGTCCAGTTTCAGTTTTCTGCATATGGTTAGCCACTTTTCCTTACACCATTTATTAAGTAGGGAATCTTTTCCCCATTTCTTGTTCGTGTCAGGTTTGTCAAAGATCAGATGGTTGTAGATGTGTGGTGTTTTTTCTGAGGCCTCTGTTCAGTTCCATTGGTCTGTATATCTGTTTTGGTACCAGTACCATGCTGTTTTGGTTACTGTACTGTAGCCTTGTAATGTAGTTTGAAGTCAAGTAGCGTGATGCCTTCAGCTTTGTTCTACTTGCCCAGGATTGTCTTGGTTATGTGGGCTATTTTTTGGTTCCATATGAAGTTTAAAGTAGTTTTTTTCCAATTCTGTGAAGAAAGTCATTGGTAGCTTTATGGGGATAGCATTCAATATATAAATTACTTTGGGGAGTATGGCCATTTTTATGATATTGCTTCTTCCTATCCATTAGCATGGAATGTTTTTCCATTTATTTGTGTCCTCTCTTATTTCCTTGAGCAGCAGTTTGTAGTTCTCCTTGAAGAGGTCCTTTACATTCCTTGTAAATTTTATTCCTAGGTATTTTATTCACTTTGTAGCAATTGTGAATGGGAGTTCATTCATGATTTGGCTTTCTCTTTGTCTGTTGTTGGTGTATAGGAATACTTGTGATTTTTCCACATTGATTTTGTATCCTGAGACTTTGCTGAAGTTGCTTATCAGCTTGAGGAGATTTTGGGTTGAGATAATGGGGTTTTCTAAATATATAATCATGTCATCTGCAAACAGAGACAGTTCAACTTCCTCTCTTCCTACTTGAATACCCTTTATTTCTTTCTCTTGCCTGATTGCCCTGGCCAGAATTTCCATTACTATGTTGAATAGGAGTGGTGAGAGAGGGCATCCTTGTCTTGTGCCGGTTTTCAAAGGGAATGCTTCCAGTTTTTGCCCATTCAGTATTATATTGGCTGTGAGTTTGTAATAAATAGCTCTTATTATTTTGAGATAAATTCCATCAATACCTAGTTTATTGAGAGTTTTTACATGAAAGGATGTTACATTTTTTCAAAGACCTTTTTTGCATCTATTGAGATAATCATGTGGTTTTTGTCATTGGTTCTGTTTATGTGACAGATTATGTTTATTGATTTGCATATGTTGAACAAGCCTTGCATCCCAGGAACGAAGCCAACTTGATCGTGGTGGATAAGCTTTTTGATGTGCTGCAGGATTCAGTTTGCCAGTATTTTATTGAGGACTTTCACACAGATGTTCATGAGGAATATTGTCCTGAAATTTTCTTTTTTTGTGGGATCTCTCCCAGCTTTTGGTACCAGGATGATGCTGGCCTCATAAAATGAGTTAGAGAGGATTCCCTCTTTTTCTATTTTTTGGAATAGTTTCAGAAGAAATGGTATCAGTTCCTCTTTGTACCTTTGGTAGAATTTGGCTGTGAATCCATCTGGTCCTGGCCTTTTTGGTTGGTAGACTATTAATTACTGCCTCAATTTCAGAACTTGCTATTGGTTTTTTCAGGGATTCAAGTTCTTCCTGGTTTAAACTTGGGAGGGTGCATGTGTCTAGGAATTTATCCATTTCTTCTAGATTTGCATAGAGGTGTTTATAGTATTCTCTGATGGTTTGTATTTCTGTGGGATCAGTGGTGATATCCCCTATACCATTTTTTATTGCATCTATTTGATTCTTGTCTCTTTTCTTTATTAGTTGGGCTAGTGGTCTGTTTTGTTGATCTTTTCAAAAAGCCAGCTCCTGGATTCACTGATGTTTTGAAGGGTTTTTTTCTGTCTCTATGTCCTTCCATTCTGCTCTGATCTTAGTTATTTCTTGTCTTCTGCTAGATTTTGAATTTGCTTGCTGTTGCTTCTGTAGTTCTTTTAATTTTGATATTAGCATGTCAATTTTAGATCTTTCCTGATTTCTCTTGTGGGCATTTAGTGCTATAAATTTCACTCACACACTGCTTTAAATGTGTCCCAGAGATTCTGGTCCATTGTGTCTTCATTCTCATTGGTTTCAAAGAACATCTTTATTTCTGCCATTATTATGTTATTTACCCAGTAGTCATTCAGAAGCAGGTTGTTCAGTTTCCATATAGTTGTGCAGTTTTGAGTGAGTTTCTTAATCCTGAGTTCTAATTTGATTGTACAGTGGGTCTAAGAGATTGTTTGTTATGATTTCTGTTCTTTTGCATTTGCTGAGGACTGTTTTACTTCCAACTATGTGGTCAATTTTAGAATAAGTGCGATGAGGTGCTGAGAAGAATGTATATTCTATTGATTTGGGGTGGAGAGTTCTATAGATGTGTATTATGTCTGCTTGGTCCACAGCTTAGTTCAAGTTCTGAATATCCTTGTTAATTTTCTGTCTCATTGATCTAATATTGACAGTGCCTGTTAAAGTCTCCCACTATTATTGTGTGGGAGTTTAAGTCTCTTTGTAGGTGTCTCTAAGGACTTGCTTTATGAATCTGGGTGCTCCTGTATTGGGTGCATATATATTTAGAATAGTTAGTTCTTCTTGCTGCATTTATCCCTTTACTATTATGTAATGGCCTTCTTTGTCTCTTTTGATCTTTGTTGGTTTAAAGTCTGTTTTATCAGAGAGTAGGATTGCAACTCTTGCTTTCTTCTGCTTTCCATTTGCTTGGTAAATATTCCTCCATCCCTTTGTTTTGAGCCTATGTGTGTCTTTACACATGAGATGGATCTCCTGAATACAGCACACTGATGGGTCTTGACTCTTTATCCAATTTGCCAGTCTGTGTCTTTTAATTTGGGCATTTAGCCCATTTACATTTAAGGTTAATATTGTTATGTGTGAATTTGATCCCGTCATTATGATGCTAGCTGGTTGTGTTTCCCATTAGTTAATGCAGTTTCTTCATAGTGTTGCTGTTCTTTACAATTTGTATGTTTTTGCAGCAGCTGGTACTGGTTGTTCCTTTCCATGTTTAGTGCTTCCTTCAGGAGCTCTTGTAAGGCAGGACTGGTGGTGACAAAATCTCTCAGCAGTTGCTTGTCTGTAAAGTATTTTATTTCTCCTTCACTTATGAAGCTTAGTTTGGCTGGATACGAAATTCTGGGTTGAAAACTCTTTTCTTTAAGAATGTTGAATATCGGCCTCCACTCTCTTCTGGCTTGTAGAGTTTCTGCTGAGAGATCTGCTGTTAGACTGATGGGATTCCCTTTGTGGGTAGCCCGACCTTTCTGTCTGGCTGCCCTTAATATTTTTTCCTTATTTCAACCTTGGTGAATCTGACAATTATATGTCTTGGGGTTGCTCTTCTTGAGGAGTATCTTGGTGCTGTTCTCTGTATTTCCTGAATTTGAATGTTGGCCTGTCTTGCCAGGTTGGGGAAGTTCTCCTGTATAATATGCTGAAAAATGTTTTCCAAGTTGATTTTATTCTCCTCGTCATTTTCAGGTACACCAATCAAACGTAGATTTGGTCTTTTCACATAGTCCCATATTTCTTGGAGGTTTTGTTCATTCCTTTTCATTCTTTTTTCTCTAATCTTGTCTTCTCTCTTTATTTCATTAAGTTGATCTCCAATCACTGATATTCTTTCTTCCTCTTGATCGATTCGGCTATTGAAACTTGTGTATGCTTCATGAAGTTCTCGTGCTGTGTTTTTCAGCTCCATCAGGTCATTTATGTTCTTCTTTACACTGGTTATTCTGGTTAGCAATTTATCTAATCTTTTTTCACGATTCTTAGCTTCCTTGCATTGGGTTAGAACATGCTCCTTTAGCTTGGAGGAGTTTGTTATTACTCACCTTCTGAAGCCTACTTCTGTCAATTCATCAAACTCATTCTCTATTCAGTTTTGTTCCCTTGCTGGTGAGGAGTTGCAATCCTTTGGAGGAGAAGAGGCATTCTGGTTTTTGGAATTTTCAGCGTTTTTGTGTTGGTTTCTCCCCATCTTTGTGGATTTATCTACCTTTGGTCTTTGAGGTTAGTGACCTTCAAATGGGGTCTCTGAGGGGACGTGCTATTTCTTTCTGCTTGTTAGTTTTCCTTCCGACAGTCAGGCCCCTCTGCTGCCAATCTGCTGGAGTTTGCTGGAGGTCCACTCCCGACCCTGTTTGCCTGGGCATCACCAGCAGAGGCTGCAGAACAGCCAAGATTGCTTCCTGATCTTTCTGCTGGAAGTTTCATCCCAGAAGGAAACCTGCCAGATACTAGCCAGAGCTCTCTTGTATGAGGTATCTCTTGGCCCCTACTGGGAGGTGTTTCCCAGTCAGGATACACGGGGGTGAGAGGCCCACTTGAGGAGTCAGTCTGACCCTTAGCAGAGCTCAAACGCTGTGCTGGGAGGTCTGCTGCTCTCTTGAGAGCTGTGAGGCAGGAACATTTAATTCTGCTGAAACTTTGCTCACAGTCTCCCCTTTCCTTAGGTGCTCTGTCCCAGGGAGATGGGAGTTTTATCTATAAGCCCCTGACTGGGGCTGCTGCGTTTTTTTCAGAGTTGCCCTGCCCAGAGAGGAGGAATCTAGAGAGGCAGTCTGGCAGCAGTGGCCTTGCTGAGCTGCAGTGGGCTCTGCCCAGTTCAAACTTCCCAGCAGCTTTGTTTACACTATGAGTGTAAAACCACCTACTCCAGCCTCAGCAATGGCGGATGTCCCTTCCCCAACCAAGCTTGAACCTCCAGGTCAATCTCAGACTGCTGCTATGCTGGCATCAAGAATTTCAAGCCAGTGGATCTTAGTTTGCTGGGCTCCATGGAGTGGGACCCACTGAGCCTGACTACTTGGCTCCCTGGCTTCAGTACCCCTTTCCAGGGAAGTGACAGTTCTGTCTCACTGGCATTGCAGGTGCCACTGGCATATGGAATAAAGGAACTCCTACAGCTAGTTCTGTGTCTCCCCAAATGGTTGCCGAGTTTTATGCTTGAAACCCAGGGCCCTGGTGGGGTAAGCACTGGAGGGAATCTCCTGGTTTGCAGGTTGCGAAGACCATGGGACAAGTGCAGTATCTGTCAGAGTTCCTCAGGCTCAGATGCTCACAGCTTCCCTTGGGTAGGGGAGAAAATTCCCTGACTCCTTGCACTTCCCGGGTGAGGTAATGCCCTTTGGATTGCCTTCCATTGGTGGCACCCACTGTCCAACCAGTTCTAATGAGATGAACCGGGTGCCTCAGTTGGAAATTCAGAAATCACCCACCTTCTGTGATGATCTCGCTGGGAGCTGCAGACCGAAGCTGCTCCTATTCAGCCATCTTGCCAGTAATCGCCCCAGCTTACCAAAAAGAGCCACACTGGGGTTTCAGCACAAGTCCAGCTAACTGTAACACGGCACTTTCTTCCCCATTGTTTTGTGTACACTTCTTTCCATGGAGAACCTTGGGAGAAAAGGGGTGGCTGAGCTGCTTGGCTTACCAAGGTAACCAGATACCACCTAAAGCTTCCCAAAGCTCACAATGGCTTTGTGGCCA
Source organism: Homo sapiens (assembly GCF_000001405.40). Classification (NCBI taxonomy): domain Eukaryota; kingdom Metazoa; phylum Chordata; class Mammalia; order Primates; family Hominidae; genus Homo; species Homo sapiens. The sequence goes on along the minus strand of NC_000012.12, from coordinate 7,593,721 downwards.
CTAACAAATGGCCACTAACATGCCACAATTTGTTCTTGAAGACTCACAATCCCATTTCTCTTTGGAAATTAAGCAAGCTTATGGCGGTTTCTGAAATCTTGGCCCTCCTCTCTCCAGAAATTAAAACATCATCCACATATTGTAATAACTGGGTTCCCCTGGAAGGTTGGAATTCCTCCAGGACTTTTTCTAAGACTTGACTAAATAAATTTGGGGCTTCTGTAAAACCTTGTGGTAGCACAGTCTAGTGGTACTGTTGTTTTCTCCCATTTATGGGATTTTCCCATTCAAAGGCAAAGAGATCCCTACTCCTAAAGTCTAGGGGACATGCTCAGAATCCATCTTTTAGATTTACCACACTAAACCACTTATGTTCATAGGGTATCTTACTGAGGAGGGTGTAGGGGTTAGGCACCACAGGGTGGCAGGTTTGGGGAATTTGATTTATGGTCCTTAGATCTTGCACTAATCTATATGACCCATCAGGCTTCTTAACTGGGAGAATTGGCATATTGTATGATGACATGGAGGGTTCCAATAGTCCATCTCTAATCAATCCCTCTATTACTAGTTGGAAACATTTTCTCCCTTCAATGTGAATCGGGTATTGTTTTCTGCAGATTACTTCTCCTGGTTGTTTTAGTTCAATCTATAAGGATGTCATTTTTAGCCCTCCCCTGTTGCCTTCCCTAACCCACACAAGGGGATTGATTTTTCTTTCCTCCTCCTCTATTAGGAGGTCCATCATTACTTTTATTTGTCCCTCCTCTATTCCTAATCCTAAACCCAGTCTCACAATCAAGTCTCGACCCAGGTTAGTTCCTGCTTCAGGAACATATAGGAGTGACCCCTCAATTTGATCTGGTCTCAATATAATTAAAATTTTCTTGAATATCAGAATGTAAAATCCCTCCCCTTTTACCCCTGATACTGTCAGTTTTTCCTTAGAGAGTTCTGTACTCTTTGGTCAGTGAGTTAGGGAGGAGCGAGCCTCCCCAGTGTCAACTAAGAATGTCACTTTTTCCCCCTCGAGTCCCACCCTCAAATCTATCAAGGGTTCCTGGTGGTACCTACTCAGAAGGAACCCCTGACCCCCCCCCCCAACCTTCATCAAAGGTCATAAAGGGGGTCACCTTTTCTTCTTTTTTCCATTTGGGAAATTCTCTTTTAAAATGCCCTGGCTTTCCACACTTGTAACATCCATTTATAGTCTTAGGAGCTTTTCCCTGCATTTCTCTTCTCTCTCTGTGTCAAAATTTATCATTCCCTTGTCTCTTTTGAGGGAGATCTTAATCTAACCTTTTTCTAACTACCTGTTCCACAGTGAAAAACATGATTTTCACTTTTTGTTTCTGCTTCTCTTCCTCTCTCCTTACAAAGACCTTCTGAGCTTCCCTCAGTCATTTTTTAATCAGTTTCTCATTCCATCTACCAATATTTTGTAGTTTCTTAGTAATGTCAGGCCAGCTTTTAGTTACAAAGTTAACCTTCAAAAGGCCTTACCCTACTGGGTCCTATGGATCTAATCCTGAGTATTTCCTCATTTGGTCTCTGAACCTCTGCAAGAATGAAGAGGGGATTTCTTCTTTTTCTTGTTGAATCTCAAACGCTTTAGAGATATTTTGTGTCCTAGGAGTGGACTCTTTAATCCCTTTAATCATTATTTCCCTGAGGTACTGCATTTGGGCCTGATCCATGGGATAATTATTATCCCATTCAGGATGGACATTTGGAAATTTTTACTCAGCTGATGAGACTCCTTTTCTGGGAGGGTGATGCCTCTCCCAGATAGTCATGGCCACTCTCCCAACAATTCCCCTTTCTTCTCCTATGAACAGAATATTTATAATAGGTATTATTCAGCCCAGGTGTAAAAGCTGGGCCATAGGAATTGGTCCAGCTTATCTGCTAAACAAAGGGGATCTTCTAGGAGTGGGTTCATCCCCTTTTTGAAATTGCTGACTTCAGTACTTGTAAGCGGAGCATTTACAAAGCCAATCTCTTCCTGTCCCGTGGGAAGTTCCCTAATGGGGAACATGCAAGATGTCTGCTGTTTGGAAAGGATAGAGTAGTCCTTAATATCCCTTTTACATTGTTCTAATTCTTTTCTTAAATTTGGGTAAGGCTCTAAAGGAGCATCTGGTTTGGCTCCCCCGCAGTCTCCAGGTCTTTCTTCCTCTAACCCTCGTGATGCCCCTTAATCTTCCCGTCCCCTATTCTGTGAGACGTATGGAGGGGGAAAGCGTGACAGGGGGTCCCTGGGCTTTTCACCAGGCAAGGGCTTTTTACTAAGCTCTTTTTCTTCTTATTCCTTGAGGGGCAACATGGGGGCTAATTCCTTGATCCAACAGAGAACATAACGTATCTTTTCTTGTGAGGATGTGGTTTTATCATTCACATAGAGAATTAAAGCTTGGCACACCCAATCCTCATCTGAGCCAAACTTAGGCCAAAACACTGATGGCTTTTATAAAAAGTCTTTGACTCCCTCTCCCTCTCCCTCTCCCCACGGTCTCCCTCTCCCTCTCTTTCCACGGTCAGCATCTCTCCCTCTCCCTCTCCCCACGGTCTCCCTCTCCCTCTCTTTCCACGGTCTCCCTCTGATGCTGAGCCAAAGCTGGACTGTACTGCTGCCATCTCGGCTCACTGCAACCTCCCTGCCTGATTCTCCTGCCTCAGCCTGCGAGTGCCTGCGATTGCAGGCGCGCGCCGCCACGCCTGACTGGTTTTCGTATTTTTTTGGTGGAGACGGGGTTTCGCTGTGTTGGCCAGGCTGGTCTCCAGCTCCTAACCGCGAGTGATCCGCCAGCCTCGGCCTCCGGAGGTGCTGGGATTGCAGACGGTGTCTGGTTCACTCAGTGCTCAATGGTGCCCAGGCTGGAGTGCAGTGGCGTGATCTCGGCTCGCTACAACCTCCACCTCCCAGCCGCCTGCCTTGGCCTCCCAAAGTGCCCAGAGTGCAGCCTCTGCCCGGCCGCCACCCCGTCTAGGAAGTGAGGAGCGTCTCTGCCTGGCCGCCCATCGTCTGGGATGTGAGGAGCCCCTCTGCCGGGCTGCCCAGTCTGGAAAGTGAGGAGCGTCTCTGCCCGGCCGCCATCCCATCTAGGAAGTGAGGAGCGTCTCTGCCCGGCCACCCATCGTCTGAGATGTGGGGAGCGCCTTTGCCCCGCCGCCCCATCTGGGATGTGAGGAGCGCCTCTGCCCAGCCGCAACCCCGTCTGGGAGGTGAGGAGTGTCTCTGCCCAGCTGCCCTGTCTGAGAAGGGAGGAGACCCTCTGCCTGGCAACCGCCCCATCTGAGAAGTGAGGAGCCCCTCCGCCTGGCAGCCGCCCCGTCTGGGAAGTGAGGAGCCCCTCCGCCCGGCAGCCACCCCGTCTGGGAAGTGAGGAGTGTCTCTGCCCGGCAGCCGCCCCGTCCGGGAGGGAGGTGGGGTTCAGCCCCCGCCAGGCCAGCCGCCTCGTCCGGGAGTTGAGGGGCGCCTCTGCCCGGCCGCCCCTACTGGGAAGTGAGGAGCCCCTTTGCCCCGCCAGCCGCCCCATCCGGGAGGGAGGTGGGGGGGTCAGCCCCCCCGCCCGGCCAGCCCCCTCGTCTGGGAGGTGAGGGGCGCCTCTGCCCGGCCGCCCCTACTGGGAAGTGAGGAGCCTCTCTGCCTGGCCAGCCACCCCGTCCGGGAGGGAGGTGGGGGGGTCAGCCCCCTGCCCGGCCAGCCGCCCCGTCCGGGAGGGAGGTGGAGGGGTCAGCCCCCCTCCCAGCCAGCCGCCCCGTCCGGGAGGTGAGGGGCGCCTCTGCCCGGCCGCCCCTACTGGGAAGTGAGGAGCCCCTCTGCCCGGCCAGCCGCCCCGTCTGGGAGGGAGGTGGAGGGTCAGCCCCCCGCCCGGCCAGCCGCCCAGTCTGGGAGGGAGGTGGGGGGGTCAGCCCCCCGCCCGGCCAGCCGCCCCGTCCGGGAGGTGAGGGGCGCCTCTGCCCGGCCGCCCCTACTGGGAAGTGAGGAGCCCCTCTGCCCGGCCACCACCCCGTCTGGGAGGTGTGCCCAACAGCTCATTGAGAACGGGCCGTGATGACAATGGTGGTTTTGTGGAATAGAAAGCGGGGAAAAGTGGGGAAAAGATTGAGAAATCGGATGGTTGCCATGTCTGTGTGGAAAGGAGTAGACATGGGAGACTTTTCATTTTGTTCTGTACTAAGAAAAATTCTTCTGCCTTGGGATCCTGTTGATCTGTGACCTTACCCCCCAACCCTGTGCTCTCTGAAACATGTGCTGTGTCCACTCAGGGTTAAATGGATTAAGGGCAGTGCAAGATGTGCTTTGTTAAACAGATGCTTGAAGGCAGCATGCTCGTTAAGAGTCATCACCACTCCCTAATCTCAAGTACCCAGGGACACAAACGCTGCGGAAGGCCTCAGGGTCCTCTGCCTAGGAAAACCAGAGACCTTTGTTCACTTGTTTATCTGCTGACCTTCCCTCCACTATTGTCCTATGACCCTGCCAAATCCCCCTCTGTGAGAAACACCCAAGAATGATCAATAAAAATAAATAAATAAATAAAAATAAAAATAAAAAGTCTTTGATCCAGATAAAACAGAAATACTTTATCATCTTTTGCTTTTTCTTGTCCCTGGTTGGAGGGTTGTCTCTCCAAAACTGCAGAATTCTCCCCAAGGAGCTATCTGGGGGAATATTAGAGGAAGTCACTTTGGCTTCCGCTTTCCTTTGTTCCCTCCGCCCAGAATTTCTGTTTCCCATTTTCGGTAAGTCTCTGTGTTTGAGTTTTTTTTCCTATGTACTCAACTCCCCCTGCTGGAGGTTTCTTGCACACCTAGAGAATTGCTTCATGGGAGAACAGAATGGTGGATTGGGACTCTGCACTTGCTTCATATCTGGGATGTGTCTCAGTCACGCACACATGACCTCCAAAAATGCCCAACCACCAAGGCAGTACTTACAGTCCAATTTTCCTACCTTGGCTCATGCACAAGTTGACTGGTTGCCATGGTGCCTGCTTTTTCTCCCTGTGTCACCTTTGCTGCCTCCTGAATAATAGTCTTGAATTTGTCTATGGCCTCTGTGGGGAGCCAAAATGCTCAGAGTGGGCCACCTAAAATTGGGTGGGACACATCTCCCGTCTCAGCCAGAGTCCCACCTCATGCAGGCACAGATGAGCCCCCAAGCTTGTGAGAAACACATTCACCTGTCCAACCCCAAAGAATGGACTCAGAGACACAAAGAACAGCAGAAGTGAGACTTTTAGTGGCAGTCTTGCAAGATTGGGTGTCTGGTAGGCAGACACACCTGGGGCAGTTACAGCATGCAATTCATTTCCTAGCACACAAGTCCCTCCCCCAGTTCCTCATTGGTTGAGTACTATGGGGTTACAATCTTCCCAGATGTCACCCAAGTTCCATTATCCCCTTAAAGGGTCATACCCCAGTCCCTTTTCTTGCTTAAGTTTCAATTTCCCAATAACAAAACTTTATTCTCTTTTATGAGCTCACCCCTCGTCTACATTCTGTTCACTTATCGTGACTTTTTAGGTGCATGAGGCATGTGGTTTGTCATGTCTACAGGCTGGTTACCAGTACTTAGGTGTATCATACCATAATGATGGACCATTAAAATGTTTTTTTCACACTATGTTGATCATTTCTTTTGCTGTGCAGAAGCTCTTTAGTTTAATCATGTCTCACTTGTCTATTTTTGTTTTTGTTGCAATTGGTTTTAGCGACTTAGCCAAAAATTCTTTGCCATGGCTGATGTTGATAAGAGTATTTCCTAGGTTGTCTTCCAAAATTTTTATAGGTTGAGGTCTTACATTTAAATCTTTAGTTCATTTTGAGTTAATTTTGCTTGTAGTAAAAGGGAGGGGCCCAGCTTCAATCCTCTGCATATGGCTAGCCAGTTATTCCAGTACCATTTATTGAATAGGGAGTCCTTTCTCTAATACTTGTTTTTGTCAGCCTGTTCAAAGGTCAGGTGGTTGTAGGTGTGTAGCTTTACTTCTGAGTTTTCTATTCTGTTCCATTGGTATATTTGTCTGTTTTTGTACTTTTTTTTGGTACCTGTTTTGTGCCAAGCTGTTTTGGTTACTGTGGCTTTATAGTATATTTTTAAGTTGGATAGTTTAATGCCTCTGGCATTGTTCCTTTTGCTTAGGATTGCTTTGGCTATTCGGTTTTTGATTCAATATGAGTTTTAGATTAGTATTTTGTAATTCTGTGAAGAGTGATGTTGTTAGCTTGATAGGAATATCTTGAATCTGTACATTGTTTTGGGCAAATATGGCCATGTTTACAGTATTTATTCTTCCAATCCATAAGCATGGAACATTTTTCCATTTATTTGTGTCATCTCTGATTTTTTCTGCAGTGTCTTGTGGTTATCCTTGGAGAGATCTTTCACATCCTTGGTTAGCTATATTCCTAGGTGTGTCATTTTCTTTGTGATTATTGTAAGTAGGATTGTATTCTTGATTAGATTCTCAGCCTGGATGTTGTTGGTGTATAGACATGCTCCTGATTTTTCTACATTGATTTTTTTTAATCCTGAAACTTTACTGAAGTTTTCTATCAATTCTAGGAGCCTTTTGGCAGAATCTTTATGATTTTCCCAAGTATAGAATTATATTGCCAGTGAATAGAGATAGTTTGACTTTTTTTTTCCTATTTGGAAGCCTTTTTATTTCTTTCTCTTGTCTGATTGCTCTGGCTAAGACTTCCAATACTATGTTTAATGCAACTGGCAAGAATGGGCATCCTTGTCTTGTTCTAGTTCTCAAGGGCAATGGTTCCACCTTTTGCCCAATTAGTATAATGTTGGCTGTGGGCTTGTCATAGATAGCTCTTATTATTTTGGGGTATGTTTCTTCTATGCCTAGTCTTTTGAGAGTTTTGTTATAAAGGGATGTTGGATTTTATTGAGAATTTTTCTGCATTTATTAATATGATGATATGGTTTTTGCTTTTGATTCTGTTTATGTGAGAATCAAACGTGTTTATTGATTTGCATATGTTAAATGAGCTATGCATCCTAAGTATAAAGCCTTCTTGACTGTGGTGTATTAACTTTTTGGTGTGCTTCTGGATTCAATTTGCTAGTCTTTTGTTGAAGAGTTTTGCATCTATATTCATGAGGGATATTGGTCTGAAGTTTCTTTGTTTTGTCTCTGCTAGACTTTGGTTTCAGGCTAATGCTGGCTTCATAGAATGAGTTAGTGAGAAGCACCTCCTCCTCAATTTTTTGGAATAGTTTCAGTAGGTTAAGTATCAGTTCTTGTTTGTATGTCTAGTAGAATTTGTGAATCCATCTGCTCAAGACTTTTTTACTGTTGTTAATAGGTTATTACTAATTCAATTTTAGAAGTTGATATTGGTCTATTTAGGGTTTTAGCCTCTTCTTGATTCAATCTTGGGAGATTGTACACTTCCAGGAATTTATTTCCTCTAGATTTTGTATTTTGTTTCACAGAGTTGTTCATAATAATCTTTGACGATCTTTTGTGGGATCAATGGTAATATCACATTTTTTGTTTCTGATTGTGCTTATCTGGATCTTCTTTCTTGTTGTTGTTGTTGTTAATCCAGCTAGGGGGTCTATCAATTTCATTTCATCTAATTTTTTTGAAGAAACAGCTCTTGGTTTCATTGATTCTTTTTGTATAAATTTTTGTATCTCAATTTCATTAAATTCTTCTTTAATTTTAGTTATTTCTTTTCTTCTAGTTTGGAGTTGGTTTGTTTTTCTTTTCCTAGGACTTTATGTGTGAAGTTAGATTGTTGCTTTGAAACCTTTCTAGCTACTTTATTAAGGCATGTAGGTCCATTAACTTTCCTCTTAACACTGTTTTGGCTGCATCCCAGAGATTTTGGTAAGTTTTGTCCCTATTTTCAATAATTTCAAAGAATTTAAAAAATTTCTGCCTTAATTTTGATGTTCACCTAGTAGTTATTCAGGTGTAAGTTGTTTAACTTCCATGCATTTGTGTATTTTTGAGAGATCTTCTTGGTATTAATTTCTATTTTTATTGCACTGTTTTCTGATATTTTGCTTGGTATGAATTCAATTTTTTTTAATGTATTGAGGCTTGCTTTATGACCAATCAAGTGTGGTTGATCTTAGAATTTGTTCCATTTGCAGATAAGGGGAATGTACATTCTGTGTTGTTGGGTGGAGTATTCTGTAGATGTCTATTAGGTCCAATTTAACAAGTATCGATTTTAAGTCCAGATTTTCCTTGTTATTTTTTTGCCTTGATGATCTAACACTGTAAGGGGGGTGTTGAAGTCTCCCACCATTATTGTGTAGTTGTCTTATGTGTTTTCATAGGCCAAAAAGTTGTTTTATGAATATGTATACTCCAGAGTTGGGCACGTATATATTTAGTATAGTTAGGGCTTCTTGTTGGATTGTACCCTTTATCATTATGTATTGCTCTTTATTGTTCTTCTTGATTTTTGTTGGTTTAAGGTCTGTTTTATCTGATATAAAAATAGAAACCCCTGCCCTTTTTTTTTGTCTTCTGTTTGCATGGTAGATCTAAATCCACCCTTTTACTTTTAAACTGTGGGTATTGTTACATGTGAGATGGGTCTCTTGAAGACAACAGATGGTTGGGTCATGTCTTTTTATCCAGTCTGCCACTCTGGGTCTTTTAAATGGGTCATTTACCTCACTTATATTTAAAGTTACTATTGAAATGTGTGATTTTGATCCTGTCATCATATTGTTAGCTGGTCGTTATGTAGACTTCATTGTGTAATTGCTTTATAGTGCCTGTGGGTTATGTGCTTAAGTGTGCTATTATGGTAGTAGGTGTTATTCTTTCAAATCTATGTTTAGCACTTTCTTAAGAACCTCCTCTAAGGCTGGTCCTATTGAAATGTATTCCCTCAGCACTTACTTGTCTGAGAAGGATTTTATTTCTCCTTTAATTATGAATCTCGGCTAGGCAGGATATAAACGTTTTTGTTCAAATTTCTTTACTTCAATGATGTTGAAAGTCTGTCCCCAATCTCTTCTGATGTGTAAGGTTTCTCCTGAGAAGTCTGCTGCTGCTTGATGAAGTTTCCTCTTAAGTAACCTGGCCCTTCTCTCTAGCTGTCTTTAAGATATTTTTTTTTTGCATTGACCTTGGAGAATCTGTTTACTAGGTCCCATGGTGATGATCATATTGAACAAGGGAGGGGAAGGGGTTCTTATCCCTGATGCAGGTAGCCCCTACTGCTTCATTGTTCCCTATTGGCTAGGGTTGGACTGCACAGTCTAAGCTAATTCTGAATGGCTATTTTAAAGAGAGCAGGGGTATGAGCCAGAGTGGCAGAGTGAGTAGTTTGGCAAGAAGGATGCTTACAGAACAGGTGACTCAGGATGACTCAGGTCAGAGCAGGTGACCAGGGGTGACTCAGGATGGAGCAGGTGACCAGGGGTGACTCAGGATGGAGCAGGTGACCAGGGGTGACTTAGGATGGAGCAGGTGACCAGAGGTGACTCAGGATGCAGCAGGTGATAGAGGATAGGAGGGTGTTGTTTACTGAAACTAGGGGCAAGGAGATGAAGAGAATGAGGAACTTAAACTTTAAAATGCGGATCAAAGAACAGGGGAGCTGAACATACTGATACATTGGTTCTTTGGAGAGGATCTCAGAACTAATTGTACTTAACAATTGACAGGCTAAAACATTTGAAGAGGAATTTATTATATGCTACAGTTGATAGGTCATTCTGGCCATGGGGCTCCCTTGGGGAGAGGTCTGATCAGGAAATAGGCCACACCTTTACTAGACCAGCCCTGTGGAGGGAGACACAGCTAGGTCCCATGCCAGCCCATAAACATGTTAAACTCAGCCTTCACAGTTTTCTGAGAGTCTGGGCTTCTCCCCTGTTTAAGTGCTGACCACAGATCCCAGCTTGGCATTACTGAGCTGCAGGCTGCTGTTCTGGGATACCAGGACTTGATGGTGCTCCCTCCTCCAGATGCTGGGGGGTGGGTTCTGCCGCGTTGTGGGAGCTGAAGCGCTCCTAGGCTGAAAGAATGCACTTAGGTGGAGCAAAGCACTCAGGCTGGGCAGCAGAGGCTGTACTGTGTACACACTCCTACAGGACAGCCAGGCAAGTGGGCAAGTAGGCCTGCAGGATAGATGTGCCCCAGTTCCGCAGAGAAGCAGTCCCTGCTTTTCCTCTAGCAGTTAGCTGGGGCCAGGGCCTCTCAAAGGGAGGGAGACAGGCAGCCCTGCGGGGTGAGTGCTTATGGCCGGGCTCCCTTGGAGCTGATGCATGGTCAAAGTTCCCAGGATCTATGCCTGCTTCATCTCTCTCTGTGTAATCTCTGGGGAGATTCTCCTGCCAGCTGCCATGTCCATGGTAGAGTGAAGTCACCTGAAGGTAGGATCCTAGAGGTCCACAGCAAGAGTGAGCAGTCCTCCAGCCCCTTTATTTACTCACCCCTTTGACAGGTCCTGTTTAGAAACCAGCCACAGCATTTGGGCACTCCACATGGGATTCCCAGCTTTCCCCCTCTTCCGACTCAGCAACTGTGTCTTTTCCCCATCCACATTTGGTGTTTTCTCATCACAGATCTGTTCAAATTATGTTGGTGTAGTCAAAATTTTGGTTTCTCTCTGTGAGGACAGCACTTCCCAGCTGCATCTAGTCAGCCATCTTTGATAAAGTCCCTCATTTTATTTCTTAATAGCTATCTAAAGATTCCCACTCTGCTGAGATGAGTCCCATCATTTTTGCTTTTCGTTTTCCTCTCAGTTTCATCTCACCAAGGTTTTTAAAATTCCCCTATTTCTTAATAACCATTTAAACATTTCCACTTTCCTGCGATGAGTCTTTAAACTCTACTCTTCACCAATCTTTTGTTAATCTATTATTTTTATTAGCATTTGTCAGACTCATGAGAAGAAGCTGAGATAGCAAATTTGATAAGGTTTCTCTGACTGTAACTTGATTTTGCAGTGGTACATTTACATTAATGCCCATGCAGAAAGGACACTCCCCCCCACCCTTTTTAAAAACATGACCTGGGTAATGGGCATGTAGAATGTGAATGTCTCAGTTCCGGTTCTCATAAAGACAGTCCCACATGGATTGCATATGAAGCTGCTTCATCTGGGCTGTTCCACTTGACATTTATAGATGGAGTTGAACAGTCTCCCTTCTCAGGGTAAGCAGACCTTATAGTGGTTTTGTCTAGTCCACCAGGCTGGCTGTTCCCTTGAGAATAACCTTTTGTATGTCAAGATCACATATAGCCATCTGTGATTGTTCAATAGTGAGCTGTGGGTCCTGCATCAACCCAAACATGTTCTCCCACTCTGCATTTAAAATGAAAGACACTTCTCCTATACAAGTTACCCTTACAATGCATTTTAGTAAAAGTTCCTCAGGGAGCTGATAAGATCAATAGTTTTAATAGTTTCTTGGTTGTTTTCTTCTCCCACATTGATAAACTTCATAGTAACCACAGATCTCAAGTTGTGTTGTCCCCCAAATATTTTGCCCACATGGGGCAGCTTTGAGGCTAGTGATGAAGCTCAAACTCACTGAAATCTAAACTTGATGTAGCATCAAGGTCAAACCCAGCATATCATTTCATTTCATGTTAGCTGTTATAGATAACAATAACCAAATGATTGGATATTTTGCTTTTTTCTTATTTGTTTGCATTTCTTTATGTGTCTAGTGAACCAACTCCCTGTGAGTTGGATTTATCTCTAAATTCCACTGGTAACTTTTACCTTAAGTCATCTTCTACCCTCCCATTCTTTTCATGAGCCAGGGCCATTCTAGCAATTCCCACTTCTGACACCAATTGTGTGTAAAAAAAACAAAAAATAAAAATGAAACCTCAAACTGTGTTTTTCTTCTGCTTTCACACCACAGTGATCAACACAGAAGACTTCTGTGACCAAATGTGGGAGGGGTTTTCCCCACCAACTAGCAAGCAATCAATTGTGCAGCAGACACCCACTCAGTGTCCTCCAATTTAATTCTGATGTTATCTACCTAAAACTAGTGTCAGATTCCACATGTTGAGGCTAAGTGTCCAAGACTGCTCCTTCCAATTTCAGATATGAGTTGCAAGTTTGGGCCTCCAGAACATCTGATCAACCAGTGATAAATCAACGTTCTCAAGACCACCCCCCAACCCTTGAGTTCAGTTAATTTGCTAGAGCTGCTGACAGAACTCAGGGGAAACACTTACTTACATTTATCAGTTTTTTACAAAGGATATTTTTAAAGAGATGAATAAACATCCAGATTAAAAGATACATTGGGTGAAGTCTGGAAGGATCCTTAGTGCAAGAGCTTCTGCCCCTGTGGAACTGGAGTGCTCTACCTCCTGACACATGGATGAGTTTTTGTTCACCTTCCTATAAGCCTCCACATGTTCAGCTTTTTGAAAGCTCTCCAAACTCTGTCTTTTGAGGTTTCCGTGGAGGCTTCGTTAGGTAAACATGACTGATTAAACCTTGGCCAGTAGTGATGAACCTAACCTTCAGCCTTTCTCCTATCCCCAGAGGTTGGGGGTAGGACTAAAAGACACAACCTTCTAATCCTGCCTTGATCTTTCTGATAACCTGTCCCATCCTGCAGCTACCTAGGGGCTGCCAGCCATCAGTCAATGATTACCACACAAAAATACATCACTTTGGAAATTGTAAGGATTTAAAATATTGTGTGTCACGAAATAAGGTCAAAGACCAAACATATTTTATGATATCACAGGGCCATATTTCTCTCTTCTTTGTATTATACATTTTTTCCCCTAGGATTTGGGTATTTGTAAAAACAGCTATCTCTTTCAGTCATTGTGTACTAGATTTTTGCAAAGGACAATTTTCACCAATCACCCCAGCTGGAGGTTCTAGGACCTCTCTAATCTTTTCTGATCTCTGTTCACTCTGGTGTCTGCTTATAGAACTGCAGTTCTAAAATGTTGCTGTCCTGTGTTCAGCAGCTTCCAAACTCTGCTGTTGTTCCTGTCTGTGCTCTTAGGTGAAATAGGAACTAATCCTTGGGAAACCCCTAGATAAGCCAGAAAGTTTGAGGCACAGTCCACTCTTTTTTTTTTTTTTTTGAGATGGAGTCTCACTCTGCCACCCAGGCTGGAGTGCAGTGGCATGATCTCGGCTCACTGCAAGCTCCACCTCCTGGGTTCACGCCATTCTCCTGCCTCCACCTACTGAGTAGCTGGGACTACAGGCGCCCGCCACCACGCCTGGCTAATTTTTTGTATTTTTAGTAGAGACAGGGTTTCACTGTGTTATCCAGGATGGTCTCGATCTCCTGACCTCATGATCTGCCCGCCTTGGCCTCCCAAAGTGCTGGGATTACAAGTGTGAGCCACCATGCCCGGCAGTCCACTCTTGCTCCAATCCCAGAGATGAGTGATACTTCTCCTACCTGCACATCCGTCTATAGGCTTTCTGTGAGAAGAAAAATATGGCTCTATCCTGCCCAAGCCCACAGGCAGTCAGACCTTATGGTTATCTTCCCTTGTTCCCTGAAAATCGCTGTTATTCTGTTCTTTTTCAGGGTGCGCTGATTTCATATTGTTCAAACACACATGTTTTACAATTAATTTGCACAATAGTGGTCCTGAGGTGATGTACATTCTCAGCTTATGAAGATAACAGGATTAAGAGATTAAAGTAAAGATAGGAATAAGAAATTATAAGAATATTATTAGGGAAGTGGTAAATGTCCATGAAATCTTCACAATTTATGTTCAGAGATTGAAGTAAAGACAGGCGTAAGAAATTATAAAAGTATTAATTTTGGGAACTGATAAGTGTCCATGAAATCTTCACAATTTATGTTCTTCTGCCTTGGCTCCAGCCAGTCCCTCCGTTCAGGGTCCCTGACTTCTTGCAACATTATATAATGATAAAATGATTAATTCAACAAAAATATATAACAATTATAAATATATATGAACCGAACTCTATAGCTTTAAGATTCATAAAGCAATTACTACTAGAACTAAGAAAAGAGATAGAAAACAACAAAATAATAATGAGGGAATTCAACACTCTATTGACAGCACTAGACAGATCATCAAGGCAGAAAGTCTACAAAGAAAGACTGGATTTAAGCTGCACTCTAGAACAAATGAGCCTAAAACAAATGGGCCTAACAGATATTTACAGAACATTCTACTCAACGACTGCAGAATATTCATTATTCTCATCAGCACATGGAACATTCTCCAAGATAGGCCATATAATAGACCATAAAACAAGTCTCAATACATTTTTAAAAATCAAAGTCATATTAAGTATCTTCTCAGATCATGGTGGAAAATAAACCTAGAAATCAATTCCAGAAGAAACCCCTAAAACTATACAAATATGTAGAAATTAAACAGTCTGGTATACATCTGCTATAGATGATATGGTTTGGCTATGTCCCCACCCAAATCTCATCTTGAATTGTAGCTCCCATATTTCCTATGTTTTATTGGGGGACCTGGTGGGAGATAATTGAATCATGGGGGTGGTTTCCCCATACTGTTCTCATGGTAGTGAATAAGTTTCACAAGACCTGATGATTTTATAAGGGGTTTCCCCTTTTGCATGGCTCTTGTTCTTTCTTGCTTGCCACCTTGTAAGATGTGCCTTTTGCTTTCTGCCATGATTGTGAGGCCTCCCCAGCCATGTGAAACTGTGAGTCCATTAAACCTCTTTTTCTTTATAAATTACCAGTCTTAGGTATGTCTTTATCAGCAGTGTGAAAACAAACTAATACAATGGAACACTGCTCAGCCATAAAAAAGAATAAAATAATGTATTTTGCAGCAATTTGGATGCAGCTGGAGACCATTACACTAATTGAAGTTACTTGGGAATCAAAAACCACATACCACATTTTCTTGCTTACATGTGGGAGCTAAGCCATGGATATGCAAAGGCATACAGAGTGGCATAATAAACATTGGAGACACAGAACAGGGTAGGTTGGGAAGGGGGTGAGGGATGAAAAACTAACTATTGGGAACAATGTACACTACTCAGGTGATTGGGGCACTAAAATCCTAGAGTTCACCACTATACAATTCATTCATGTGATAAAAGACCACATGTAGTCCTAAATTTCTGACAGTTTAAAAAAAATAAATATAAGTATATGTAGTAAATATTCTTCCAATATTTCTTTGAATGAACTTAGTTTCTGGCAGAACTCTCACATAGGTTTAATGACCTGTGGAATAAGAGCAGTTATGGAAGAAAAAGTTAAGTGAAAACCATTAATCTACATCTGTCGCTCAGCACCCCACTCTCAGAGATAGCTAATCAGATGTAATTTCACCTTTCTGGGGAGAATTTCAGATATTAATGTGACCATTAAAGGTTTTAAAAATAAAAGGGTGGTGGTCCCTTTCATATTTTCATTTTTTATTCATTTTGTTTTTAAACAGTTTTATTGAGATGTAATTCACATAACACAAACTTTACCCATTTAACCCTGATACCAAAGCCAAAGACACTGCAAGAAAAGGGAACTACAACTCAATACTCCTGATGAACATGAATGCAAAAATTCTGAACAAAATACTAGCAAATTGAATGCAACAGCACATTAAGAAGAACATGCACCATGACCCAGTGTTACTTATTCTTTATTGGTGGATGACATCAATTATTTATTTTATGTCTGATCCTCTTTTGTCTTTTTGAGCAGTCAGATTTCTACAAATATAATTAAAATGTATCATAAAGCATTTACATTGAAAAAGTATATAAAATAAATGTGAAAATTTCCTCTTTCATTATGGCTTATAGCATCCAGGTGTAGTAACTTAAAAATTTGATATACAAAATTCAATGTGGTGTACTAGCCAAGAAATAAACAATTATTCAGAATGAGAATTAGAGAAGCCTTTTGTAGGTGGTGGGTAACAAAACTTTAAAAGCAAGAGGCGGAAGGTCACTTGGCAAATGGTGTATTAAATTTATTTACTCATTTAAAGTGTACAATTCAATATTTTTAGTATATTCACAGTCATTCAATGATAACCTCAAAATAATTTTAGAACTTTTCTTCATCCTCTAAAAAATTCCATTTCCTTTTGCAATCATTTTGAATTACCTCCTCTACCCTAGCCCTATGAAAACTCCAGTTTACTTTTATTCTCCATAGACTTGCCAACTCTGTGCATTCATATAAATGCAGTCATATCATGTAGCAGTTGTCCATATTTCATTTATTTAGCTGAATATTGTATATACATCATTTTATTCATTCATTTACTAGTTATTGAAATATAGGTTGTTTTCACTTGTTTGATTTTCTGAATAATGCTACTATGAACATGCATACAAGTTTTTGTTGAGCAGAATATGCAGTTTGCTGTTGTTGAATGGTGTGTTATATAGATACCTGTTAAGACTAGTTGATTCACTTGGCTAAGTCTTCCATTTTTCTTTACTTTTCTACTTAGTTGTTCTGTTTATTATTGCATACAGGATAATGAAATTATTGAATGTTTATTTCTGTCTTTGTATTTGTCAATTTTTGCTATATTTTGAAATGTTGTTAGGTGTATACATGCTTGAATTGTTATATTTTCTTAATCAGTTGACTCTTGTGTCACTATGAGATATATATTTTTCTATGTAAAAATTGTTTTTTGTTTGAAAATCTGTTTTGTCTTATTGTAGACATGTGAGCTCTTTTATGGTTGATGTCTTCCTGGAATCTCCTTTTCTATCTTTTTATTTTCAATCTCTTTGCATCTTTGAATTTAAAGTAGGTCTCCTGTAGACACCATACACTTGGGTCTTGCTTTTTAAAATTTTAACTGACCATCTCTACATTTTGATTAAATTGATTAATTCATTCCCATTTAATGTTATTATTAACGTGGTTAGATTTCCATCTGCTTTTTTGTGTTTTGTTTTACATATATATCCTACTTTTTTTTTGTTTCTTTGCTTCTTCTTTACTGCTTTTTTGTATTACTGGATATTTTCTAGTATAAGTCCCTTAATATTTTGAAAATAATTTGAGTTATTTTTAAAATAATTGTTCTATGACTTACAATGTGTTTATTAATTTATCAAAATCCACTTCTGATTTATCCTAACTTAATTTCAGTGAAATACAGACAATTTACTCCTATAAAGATTCAGTCTTTCCACCATTTTGAGGTTTATTATTTTTGTGCATATTACATCTCTATATATTACATACTCAAAAATTCACTCTAAATAATTAATATCACATAGTATTATTTACTGTAGCTTTGTAGTAGGTCTGGAAGTTGAGTAATGTCTGTCCTCCAACTTTGTCCTTCTTCTTTGATATTGTGTTGGCTACTCTGGTTTTTCTGCCTTTTCATATAAACTTTACAGTCAGTTAGTCAATATCTACAAAACAACTTACCTAGGATGACATTTGGGATTGGATTAAATTTATAATTGATTTTTGTTTTATCCGTTTTATTATTTTATCTCTTTGCATTTCTGTTTTCAAAGTTTCTACTGACATATCTTCAAGCTTAATGATTCTTTCCTTGGCCATGTCTAGTCTACCAATGAGTTCATCAAAGGCATTCTTCATTTCTGTTACAGTGTTTTTGAATTTTAATTGTTCTTTTAAATTTTTTCTTAAAGTCTCCATCTCTATTTTTACATTACCCATCTTTTCTTGCATATTATTTACTTTTTCATTATAGCCCTCAGCATATTATTTATCATTATTTTAAATTCTCAGTCGAATAATTCCAAAATTTGTGTCATAGCTAAGTCTGGTTTGATGCCTGTTTTGTCTCTTAGAGTGCTTTTGCCTTTCATCATGCCTTATACTTTTCTTGTTGCTGTTGAAAGCTGGACATAATGCAGCAAGTAAAAGGAACTGAAGTAAATAGGCCTTAAATGTGAAGATTCACATTTTTCTGGCTAGGAATTAGCCTGTTTACCATGTGTTGTAATGTAGTGTCAGAGCTAAGATTTTTCTCTTTATGGCCATATTATTGACTCCTTATTTTCTTTAGATTTTCTTAGAGACTCTCCAAATAGGATGTGAGCCTTGTAGCATTTTTTAGCTGTAATTCACAATGTTTATAGAGGAGCCCTATTGATGTGATGGTAAGGTGTCAGGGAAGGGAAATAATTTTATAGATGGTCTTAGTCTTTTAATGAGCTTGAGTTGGTATTTCTCTTCCCACACATCAAGGGCTAGATAGGGCTGGAGTTGTGTGGTAAAATTGTTTCCCTTGAAGAGCAGACCTTAAGGAGAACAGAGAGCTCAGTGCCTATTTCAAAATGCTTACTGTTCTCCTCCCGCTACTGGATGCATAGCAGGGTTTTTCTCTGGTCCTGAGCATGAGAACCTAAAACTCAAGAAAGCATTCCCTCACCCCCTGCCAATCCCCACTCATCCCCCCAACCCCCACCGTCAAGACTGACTTCCTCAGACGTCTTAACTGTCAAGTGAATCTACACTGAGCTTCCAGCATTTCATCAATTACAGTTTAAAGTATTTCTACCAATATTGGCTCCAGCTGCTAGTTTTGCTCTGGACTTTTCTGCTCCTGGTAAGTTGTGATTCTCAGTGTTTGCCCTCCAGTCTCTAGTTTTAGGGCAGCAATTTTTCCTGTGACCTCAATCCTCTGATGGCTCTAAGAAGAGATGTTTGTCAGATTTTTTCTTGTTCTGAGGACCGGAGTCATGATTTCTCAACCTTTTACATATTAGACCGGAAAGTGGAAGTCTCACACAATGTATTTTTGAAAAATAAATATGAAATTCTGATGTACAATTTACATGTTATAGGTCATGAAAGAATTCATACTTATATCTTACCTGTTTGACATAGTTTTTATAACTTACATTAAACATTTTGTATGATTCATTCTATAATTGTTTGCTACCTACTATTGCTAGATACTGAGGAAATGGAAGCAATGTGGTCTATATTTTTGTGGATCCTCTATAGTTATGGTCTCTCTCTCTCTTTTTCTCTCTCTCTCTCTTTTTTTAGACGGAGCCTCGCCCTTCACTCTGTCGCCCAGGCTGGAGTGCAATGGTGTGATCTCGGCTCACTGCAACCTCTGCCTCCCGGGTTCAAGCGATTGTCCTGCCTCAGCTTCCTGAGTAGCTGGGACTACAGGTGTGTGCCACCAAGCACGGCTAATTTTTGTATTTTTAGTAGAGATGGGGTTTCACCGTGTTAGCCAGGATGGTCTCAATCTCCTGACCTCGTGATCCTCCTGCCTCAGCCTCCCAAAGTGTTGAGATTACAGGTGTGAGCCACCGCACCCAGTCCTCTCTCTCTCAATCTTTTTTTGTTTTTAAAGTAATGAGGAGATTTAACTTTTACGTATAACAGGAGGAACTTTAGAAGTGAGAAAGTCAAGAATTATGTAGTGACTCAGTGATGTCATGGCACTTTACTTGTGTCTCTGCCAAGTTCTCATGGTTGCAAGAAGGTTGCCAGTGCTCCTAGTCAAGGAGAGATCCCAAAGAAGGAAACGGGAAGTGGGTGAAGCAATACCTTTATATTAATTATTTTCCTTCACACTTAAACACAGATCCAAGTGGTTTAATAGCAATGAATATCCAGTTGAAGCTACAGATTTATCATTTTCGGCACAATTAATGTGTGTGTTGTCTTAACTGTAATTTTATGAGACCTATACACATTGACAGTATCATCAATTTTTTTTCTGTTTGGACTCATGTAAATGTAATAAAAGAAAATTGCTGAAAAATATTTAAATAAATGTAGCAACAAAGGTATATATCTGAAGCTAGTGGCATTGACTGTGGTACTTACTAGGATGTATAATCATGAAATACTTTCAATTATTGATTTACATATAAAAATATATTTGATATATGAGTAAGAGAACATGATGATTTTATATAAAGTATAAGTATTGTTGTGTAAAAGCTGAATAATTAAAAACTGAACTGAAAGGTATACTTGGGTCAACCAAATACTAAAGTAAAAAAGAAGCATACAAATCTAGAAAAAAATTATCCAAGGTTTGAAGGTGTACAATAAAACCAGTTAAGCATGGGCGTTAAATCTAAATTAATTAACCTAACAAACTTACAAAACAGTATGAATGTAATAACTAATCCTTAAGAAAGAAATTGAAAACCTAGAGAAAATTAGTGATTATAACAGCAATAATAATAACAGTGTGATTCAGAGATCTTTATTTTAGAAACCAAAAATGCAATAGGGTGAGGAGGTAAGAAAGGAAGTAAAATAGGTAAATTTCTTAAATTTTCAGGATGTATACTTTTTAATTATTGATGTTGCAAAAGTTAGTTTTGAATCATTTCTCTGTGAATTCAGCATTATTCTTTTTTGTAGTTTGACCATAAATCCTGTTTTATATACAGTGTATAAAGGGTATATAAAACAAAACTAGGAGAGTATCAATGGCATATAACACTTATATTTTCCTCAATATCTCCAATATCACTCTTAAAATGTAATTAAGATTACAGTTTAATGCTTGTCTAATATGTCTTAGAGAACGTAGTAAGCATTTTATAAATATTGCCTCATTTAATCTTAAGAGACTTTCAATAAAGCAGGAATGATACAGAGAAGCACCAGTATAGGACAAGGTCAATTTATTAATATCTCTCTCATTTAGACATAGATATGGAAAAGGAGGCAGAAAACAAGTTACCTTCACTGGTAAGTCAAATTTTTGTAGGTCGAAGAGAGTGAAGTAAGGGGTAAACAAGCCTGTATAGAATAAATCCAAGATACACAAGAAAATAACAGGAGTATGACCTGTTTGAGAAGTGAAGAAGGTGAAAGGTGCAAAAGAGGGCAGAATACATCAACTGGGAAGCATAAGAGAGTGTGGGTAAAGAATAAGGAAATTCTGGAGAGAGAGGAAAGTTATGAAGTAGCCATAGATGTTGGGAGCTACACCAATAGGAAGCTACACCAGTAAGAATCAAGGAAGAGATGGACACATGGATACACACACACACACACACACACACACACACACACACACACAGGTGTTTGATAAGATAAGACCCAGAAGCTACAACATCAGTGAAAGCTTATCTAATAGAAAGACAAAGAATGTCTAATTATGGCATTCAAAGGCAATCGGGGAAACTTTTCATATTTTAAATAACAATAAACCATTGAAGGAGTAGTAGTTGGGACATAATCTAGAATCTTTTAAAATGTTTTTATTTTTAATTTGTATGGGTACATAGTAGGTGTATATATTTATGGGTTACATGAGGTGTTTTGATGCAGGCATGCAATGTGAAATAAGTACACCACGGAAAATATGGTATCCACCCCGTCAAGCATTTATCCTTTGTGTTACAAACAAATCAATTCCATGCTTTTAGTTATTTTAAAATGTACAACTGTTATTATTGACTATAGTCACCCTGTTTTGCTATCAAACAGTATGTCTTATTCAAAGTATTTTTTTACCCATTGACCGTCCTCACCTCCACCCCAGTCCCTCACTACCCTTCCCAGCTTCTGATAACCATCCTTCTACAGTGTATGTTTATCAGTTTGATCGTTTTCATTTTCAGATCCCACAAATAAGTAAGAATGTGTGATGTTTGTCTTTCTGTGCCTGACTTATTTCACTTAACATAATGATCTCCAGTTTCATCCATGTTATTGCAAATGACAGGATCTCATTCCCTTTTTATGGCTATATAGTACTCCATTGTGTGTAAGTACCACATTTTAAATCTAGAATCTTCTTGGACTTCCTTATTCATATTGGAATGCTTAATTATTTTTAATTACTTATATGGAAGAGCACCATAAGGTGTTCAGGGCTTGAAAGACCCTGAAAGTTTTAATCTGTCTCTCATACAACTCTAGCTATCATTTCTTTTTTATCCCATGTCTGTGTAAGGATCACTAGCATTCAAGTAAGGTCAGACAAATATTAAACATCATGGTCACAAAGGCAAAAACTGACACAGAAAATTAATGGTCCTTTAACCCAAAGTCATAGCCTTCTGAATCATGTGAACTTTCCTGAACACACTGAAATCCTCATTTTCATTGTTGTACTTCAGAATTTACTTCCTTGCCCTGTTTAGGAAAAGGTCATAGGCCTCACAGTGACTACATTTCTTCATTCCTTCTAAACTTACTTCCTCTTCATGCTTACTTTCTCCTTCCCTTGCTAGCCCTAGAGACAGTAGCCAGGGAAGGAGGGCTGGGGAAGGAAGAAGAACATGGCAAGAGGGAAAAAATGCAACCTCAGATTCTCCTAAATAATAAACTCAGCATTTCCTCTCACACTGTTTTGCTGATTCCAAAGGGACTTGCCTGGTACGTCCTGCTGACACACATTTTCTTTCACTCCTGTTGCTTTCCTCCCTGTTCTGCTTTCCCATATCTTTCTTAGTCACTTATGTTTTTGTCTTTCTGAAGTAATTTTGGACACTGTGTGCAAGTGCACATTTTCTAAAACATTACAAATCTAAAATGTCCTACCATCCTCACACATGACAGATGGGTTGGTTGATAACTATTGGGTCATAAACATTTTCTTACAATAATCCATTACTCTATATTCATTGTCACCTGTTGCAGAAAATAAGTCTCAGGCCAGTATAATTTTGTTCCTTTACATTATAGTTTACCTATTTTTAAAATTTATGATTTTTTCCTCAGATTTTTTCTTGTGTACTTAAAATGTTGCCAAATAATATGAATGAGTCACTTTTCATTATTTATTTCCCAAAATACAATGATCCTTTTAAATCTACATGTTTAATTTATCTTTCTCCTTTTAGAAAACTTTTGTTATTCCAATCAAATTCTTGATTATTTGTTTTACCCCATTTACTGTGATTCATACTTAAGGAAGAGCTCTATTCCTTTGGTTGTATTATTCATATATGCCCCCTATAGATTATTTCTGTCTTACTCCTCAATAGTCTAATGGAGTTTCTCAGTTTTATCTTCCTGTTATAAATTTATTTTTCTGGACTGTCAATTATCTTTGCTTGTTCTAATACAGATTTTAATTATAGTATTACATTTTTAATGTTCCACAAGGCTTTTTAACTTCACCAAGCCCCCATTCCAACTCTTACTCTTTATATTATCTTGCTCTCTTCCCGTGTGTGTTTGTTTATGTCTCATAAAGGTCACAACATTTGTATACCTACTGAGGATGACAAAATATCTAACGATTGTTCTGCCTCCTTCCTTTCCTCAGGTGTTGCTTGCCCTTCATGTTGACAGTCCTCATCTTACCTATTACTTTTTAGTAAATATAATGCTGACTTTGTTTTTGTTCCTTCAGTAGGTAAAGTATGTACATACAAGTTTTCCTTATGTTTACTTCCTCATATCTACAGCGGGAGGACAGTTTGATGGGCACTGCTTCCTATGCAGTTCCAATTTCTGGAGGATATTACTTTACTTTAGCCCAGCTGGACTTAAGTACATTGCCATTCAATGCTTACTGTCTGGTTTTCACATGTTCAATTTATGGAATATTTTGAAAATTAAAACTCATTCCCATTATTCATACAAGATGTGGACATATTTCAGTTCATTTTCTACCACCTATCAGTAATTTTGGTATCATAGTTTTCAAAAGGGTATCATAATGGTTTCCTTCAAAACCAGAGAAAATAGAATGGTGGCTTCCCAGTTTTTTCAGGTAAATATAGGTACAGACTTTGTATTCTTGAGGCAGAAATAGAGAGTAGGAAAAGGATGAGAGATTAGTGAGACAATTATAAACATAATCATAAAATAGAAGATTGTTGTTGTGTAAAACATGATTTCACCCACCCAATACTAGAACGTATAATTAGCTAGAGTCCACATAACAAAACTTTAGGTAATTTAATTGTCTTCATGATAGCAACTAACATTATTTGAGCTGAAGTACAGGTCTGAGCAGTGGATCTTGACCCTTTGGTGTACTATTCAAAATTTTCACAATCTCCTCCAAATTCTCAGTTAATGTTACCTCCAATTACCAGGAAAAATAACAGAAATACTATTCAGAGAAAAGGGAGGAAACTAATTATGTCACCCTTACACAACTAAGACATTTGTTCTTAGATATATTATTTTATTCTAGTAGTTTTCTGATAACTGGTGGGACAGAAAATGTAATTTCAAACACTGGATAGATCTGGACAGTCCTGATTTTTAAATTTCATATATTTAAAGTATTACAACATGAAGTATTGATATACATATACAAGTGAAATGATTAGTACAGTCAAGCAAATTAACATATCCGTCATCTCATATTTCATTTTTTTTTGTGGCTAAAGTACCTAAAATCTTAGTAAATTTCCAGTATTCAATACCGTATTATTAACTACAGTCTACATGCCGCACACTAGAGCTCTAGGTTTATTTATCCTACATAACCGAAACGTTGTATCCTTTGACTTCCATCTCCTCGTTTTCCCCACCGTCACCTGTGGCCCGGTAACCATCTTTCTACTCTCTGTTTCTGTGTATTTGAGTTTTGTAATTAAAAAATAATCTTCCACATGTAAGTGAGTTCACATGGTATATTTATTTTTCCTGTGTTTGGCTTTTTTTCACTTAGCATGATGTCCTCTGGGTTCACCTATATTCTTGAAAGTGGCAGGATCTTTTTCTTTTTTAAAGCTGAAGAATATTCCTCTCTGTGTATGTGTGTGTGTGTGTCCTACAATTTTTTTATCCATTCTTCCATCGACAGACAGGTTGTTTCTACCTCTTGGCTACTGTGAATAATGCTGTGGTGAACACAAGAGCACAGTGTCTTTACAAGGTGCTGATGGCATTTCCCTTGGGTATATGCCCAGAAGAGGGATTGCTGGGTTACATGGTGGCTTTTTAAAAAAATTCCATTAGAAACCTCCAGATTTTTTTTCCATAATGGCGGCACCAATCTACATTTCCACCAACAGCGTACAAGTGTTCCGTTTTCTGCGCATCCTCACCAACACTGTTTTATCTCTTGTCTTTTTGATAGTAGCCATCCTAATAGATGTGAGGTGACAGCTCATTGTGGTTTTTATTTCCATTTCCTTCATGTTTCATGATGTTGAGCACCTTTTGCTACACTTGTTGGCCATTTTTACTTCTTCTTTGGAGAAATATCTGGTCAGGTTATTTGCCCACATTTTAATAGGATTATTTGTATCTTTTGCTATAGAATTGTTTGAGTTCCTTATATATTTTGGATCTCAACCCTTTTTCTGATATATGCTTCATAGATATTTTCTCCCAATCCATTGGCTGTCAGTTTTGATCATTTTCTTTGCTGTGTAGAGCGTTTTAGTTTGACATGGTTCCACCTGTTTCTTTCATTCTTATTACCTGTTCTTTTTGGTGAGATATCAAAAAAACCCTTGTCAAGGCCAATATTGAGATTTTCCTGTTTTCCTCTAGGAATTTAATGTTTCAGGTCTTTAATATCCTTCTAGTTTATTTTTGTGTGCAGTGTAAGACAAGGGTCCAGTTTCATCCTTTTTGCATGTGGATATCGGGTTTTCCAAACACCATGTATTGAAGAGACTATCTGTTCCTCATTGTGTCTTCTTGGTGGCTTTGTCAAAAATTAATTGACTGTACATGCTTAGATTTATTTATGGGTTCTCTATTCTGTTCCATTGGTCCATATCTCTGTATCTCTGTTTTTGTTTTTTTGTTTGTTTGTTGTTTTTTTGAGACGGTGTCTCACTCTGTCACCCAGGCTGGAGTGCAGTGGCACAATCTCGGCTCACTGCAACCTCCGCCTCCCAGGTTCAAGAGATTCTCCTGACTCAGCCTCCCGAGTAGCTGGGATTACAGGTGCCTGCCACCATGCCCGGCTAATTTTTGTATTTTTAGTAGATAGAGATGGGGTTTCACCATGCTGGCCAGGCTGGTCTTGAACTCCTGACTTCAGGTGATCCACCTACCTTGGCCTCCCAAAGTGCTGGGATTACTGGATGAGCCATCATGCCTGGCCTATATGTCTGTTTTTATGTCTGTTTTCATACTGCTTCATTATGCCTCTTTTGTGATATAATTTGAGATTAAGAAATGTGATGCCTTCAACTTTGTTTTCCTCAACACTGTTTTGATTACTTGAAGTATGTTGTGGTTTCACACAAATTTTAGAATGGTTTTTTCTATTTCTATGAAAAATATCTTTTTTTTTTTGGCTGAGTACAGGGGACTTTATTGATGGTAAATGACATGGTGGGGCTCCCTAGGTCTCTCCTTCTTCAGAGGATCTGGAAACTGTGAGGAGAGAAGATTCTGTGTGGTCGGGGACTGAGTGCAGCAGGGAATCCCCAGCAGCTAAGGGTCCCTCTCTTCTTCCTGCGCTCTCCCTGGGGTTAGTGATTGGGGGATTTTACTCCTCAGAGGCCATGTGTACCATGAGTCCATCACCTTGTTACTGTAGGCAAATTCATTGCCATACCAGGAAATGAGCTTGACAAAGTGGTCATTGACGGCAATGCCAGCCCCAGCTTCAAAGGTGGAAGGGCGGGTATTGCTTTTAAATTCCAAAGGGACAACCTGGTGCTCAGTATAGCCCAGGATGCCCTTGAGGGGTCCTTGGGTGCCTGCCTCACCACCTTTTTGATGTCTGAAGAAACCTGTCTAGCAGGTTTCTCCAGACAAGAGGTCAGTTCCACAACTGACACAGTGGTGCTGGGAACACAGAAGACCATGCCAGTGAGCTTCCCATTAAGCTTAGGAATGACCTTGCCCTCTCATTGCCCATTTACTTGGCAGCACCAGTAGATGCAGGAATGGTGTTCTGGAAAGCCCCATGGCTGTCATGCCAGAGTTTCCTGGAGGGGCCATCCACAGTCTTCTGGGTGGCAATGATGCTGTGGACTGTGGTCATGAGTCCCTCCCTGATGCCAAAGTTGTCATGAATGACCTTGGCCAGGGGATCTAAGCAGTTGGTGGTACAGGAGGCATTGCTGATGACTGTGAGTTTGTTTTCATGCTTATGGTTCATGCCCATCACAAACATGGGGACATCTGCAGAGGGGATGGAGATGATGAACCTTTTGGTTCCCCTCTCCAGGTGAGCCCCAGCCTTTGCCAAGGTAGTGAAGATGCCATTGGACTCCATGACATAATTAGCACCAGCATTATCTCATTTGGTTTTGGTGAGCTCTCACTCCTGGAAGATAGTGACGGGATTTCCATTGATGACTAGCTTCCCATTCTCAGCCTTGATGGTACCATGGAACTTGCCATGGGTGGGATCATAATGGAACATGTAGACCATGTAGTTGAGGTCAATGAAAGGGCCATTGGTGGTAACAGTATCCACTTTGCCAGGATTAAAAGCAGCTATCATGAACAGGCACCTAATATGGCCAAATCCATTTACTCCTGCCTTCACTTTCACTCTGGTGTCTCAGGAAGAGGGCTGATGCTGCATAAGAAAATTGGATATTTGTCCAATGGGAGAAGCAGGGAGGTCGCTGGAATTTTGATGGGGTTGCACTGAAAATGCTTATCATTTTAGGTGGTATAAACAGTCCTAATATCTTGAGACCAAAGATGTCAGGTATTTATATCTGTTCTTTCCAGTTCCTTCTAGATACCCTCAGCTAAGACAACTAAAAAACATGCACAAGCCTTATATATGAAATAAGGAAAGTATAAAATGCTAATGTTACAATTACAATTGTTAAAAAGCTGGTGATCATTCTTTTCAGAGATACAACATACCTACTGTTGACACACACTTAAAGTATTTAACCTGGAAACAAATTACTTGCTGGGGCTATAATGCTATCACATGAGATAGGAGCCCAACTTAATATACTACTATTATTAGCTCATATATCCCATCTCCCAATCTTTTCTAAAAATTATTTTACTTTAAGTTCCCAGATACATGTGCAGAATGTGCAGGTTGGTTACTTTGGTATATGTGTGCCTTGGTGGTTTTCTGCACTATTGACCCATCCTCTAGGTTCCCTCCCCTCACCCACAAACCCTCAACAAGCCCTGGTGTGTGTTGTTTCCCTCCCTATGTCCACGTGTTCTCATTGTTCAACTTCCACTTATGAGTGAGAACATGCAGTATTTGGTTTTCTGTTCCTGTGTTAGTTTGCTGAAGATGATGGCTTCCAGCTTCATCCATGCTCCTGCAAAGGACATGATCTCATTCCTTTTTATGGCTGCATGGTATTCCACAGTGTAGATGTACCACATTTTCTTTTCCAGTCTGCCATTGATGCATATATTCTCTTTAAATTGATTCCAACAGAAGTTGTGTTTCCTTTTTTTTAACCTAGAAGAATAAGCTTGGATAAAAGTTATGTTTTTCTTAATAAAGAGACATATTTCTTTTTTTCTTTTTTTTAAATTATACTTTAAGTTCTAGGGTGCATGTGCACAACGCGCAGGTTTGTTACATATGTATATATGTGCCACGTTGGTGTGCTGCGCCCATTAACTCATCATTTACAGTAGGTATTTCTCCTAATGCTATCCTTCCCCCCTTCCCCCACCCCACAACAGGCCCCGGTGTGTGATGCTCCCCATCCTCTGTCCAAGTGTTCTTGTTGTTCAATTCCCACCTATGAGTGAGAACATGTAGTGTTTGGTTTTCTGTTCTTGCGATAGTTTGCTCAGAATGATAGCTTCCAGCTTCATCCATGTCCCTGCAAAGGACATGAATTCATCTTATTTTATGGCTGCATAGTATTCCATGGTGTATATGTGCCACATTTTCTTAATCCAGTCTATCATTGATGGACATTTGGGTTGGTTCCAAGTCTTTGCTATTGTGAATAGTGCCACAATAAACATACGTGTGCATGTGTCTTTATAGCAGCATGATTTATAATCCTTTGGGTATATACCCAGTAATGGGATGGCTGGGTCAAATGGTATTTCTAGTTCTGGATCCTTGTGGAATTGCCACACTGTCTTCCACAATGGTTGAACTGGTTTACAGTCCCACCAACAGTGTAAAACTGTTCCTATTTCTCCACATCCTGTACAGCATCTGTTGTTTCTTGACGTTTTAATGATTGCCATTCTAACTGGTGTGAGATGATATCTCATTGTGGTTTTGATTTGCATTTCTCTGATGGCCAGTGATGATGAGCATTTTTTCATGTGTCTGTTGGCTGCATAAATGTCTTCTTTTGAGAAGTGTCTGTTCATATCCTTTGCCCACTTTTTGATGGGGTTGTTTGTTTTTTTCTTGTAAATTTGTTTAAGTTCTTTGTAGATTCTGGATATTAGCCCTTTGTCAGATGGGTAGATTGTAAAAATTTTCTCCCATTCTGTAGGTTGCCTGTTCACTCTGATGGTAGTTTCTTTTGCTGTGCAGAAGCTCTTTAGTTTAATTAGATCCCATTTGTCAATTTTGGCTTTTGTTGCCATTGCTTTTGGTGTTTTAGACATGAAGTCCTTGCCCATGCCTATGTCCTGAATGGTATTGCCTAGGTTTTCTTCTAGGGTTTTTATGGCTTTAGGTCTAACATGTAAGTCTTTAATCCATCTTGAATTAATTTTTGTATAAGATGTAAGGAAGGGATCCAGTTTCAGCTTTCTACATATGGCTAGCCAGTTTTCCCATCACCACTTATTAAATAGGGAATGCTTTCCCCATTTCTTGTTTTTGTCAGGTTTGTCAAAGATCAGATGGTTGTAGACGTGTGGTATTATTTCTGAGGGCTCTGTTCTGTTCCATTGGTCTATATCTCTGTTTTGGTACCAGTACCATGCTGTTTTGGTTACCGTAGCCTTGTAGTATAGTTTGAAGTCAGGTAGCGTGATGCCTCCAGCTTTGTTCTTTTGGCTTAGGGTTGTCTTGGCAATGCGGGCTCTTTTTTGGTTCCATATAAACTTTAAAGTAGTTTTTTCTAATTCTGTGAAGAAAGTCATTGGTAGCTTGATGGGGATGGCATTGAATCTATAAATTACCTTGGGCAGTATGGCCATTTTCACGATATTGATTTTTCCTATCCATGAGCATGGAATGTTATTCCATTTGTTTGTGTCCTCTTTTATTTCATTGAGCAGTGGTTTGTAGTTCTCCTTGAAGAGGTCCTTCACATCCCTTGTAAGATGTATTCCTAGGTGTTTTATTCTCTTTGAAGCAATTGTGAATGGGAGTTCACTCATGATTTGGCTGTTTGTTATTGGTGTATAGGAATGCTTGTGATTTTTGCACACTGATTTTGTATCCTGAGACTTTGCTGAAGGTGCTTATCAGCTTAAGGAGATTTTGGGCTAAGACAATAAGGTTTTCTAAATATACAATCCTGTCATCTGCAAACAGGGGCAATTTGACTTCTTGTTTTCCTAATCGAACACCCTTTATTTCTTTCTTCTGCCTGATTGCCCTGGCCAGAACTTCCAACACTATGTTGAATAGGAGTGGTGAGAGAGGGCATCCGTGTCTTGTGCCAGTTTTCAAAGGGAATTCTTCCAGTTTTTGCCCATTCAGTATGATATTGGCTGTGGGTTTGCCATAAATAGCTCTTATTATTTTGAGATACGTCCCATCAATACCTAGTTTATTGAGAGTTTTTAGCATGAAAGGCTGTTGAATTTTGTCAAAGGCCTTTTCTGCATCTATTGAGATAATCATGTGTTTTTTGTCTTTGGTTCTGTTTATGTGATGGATGACGTTTATTGATTTGTGTATGTTGAACCAGCCTTGCATCCCAGGGATGAAGCCCACCTGATCATGGTGGATAAGCTTTTTGATGTGCTGCTGGTTTCCATTTGCCAGTATTTTATTGAGGATTTTTGCATCGATGTTCATCAGGGTTATTGGTCTAAAATTCTCTTTTTTTGTTGTGTCTCTGCCAGGCTTTGGTATCAGGATGATGCTGGCTTCACAAAATGAGTTAGGGAGGATTCCCTCTTTTTCTATTGATTGGAATAGTTTCAGAAGTAATGATACCAGCTCCTCTTTGTATCTCCGGTAGAATTCGGCTGTGAATCTGTCTGATCCTGGACTTTTTTTGGTTGGTAGGCTATTAATTATTGCCTCAATTTCAGAGCCTGTTATTGGTCTGTTCCAGGATTCAACTTCTTCCTAGTTTAAGTCTTGGGAGGGTGTTATGTGTTCAGGAATTTATCCATTTCTTCTAGATTTTCTAGTTCATCTGCATAGAGGTGTTTATAGTATTCTCTGATGGTAGTTTGTGTTTCTGTGGGATCAGTGGTGATAGCCCCTTTATCATTTTTTATTGCATCTATATGATTCTTCTCTCTTTTCTTCTTTATTCATCTTGCTAGTGGCCTATTTTGTTAATCTTTTAAAAAAAAACAGCTCTGGGATTCATTGATTTTTTGAAGGGTTTTTTGTGTCTCTATCTCCTTCAGTTCTGCTCTGATCTTAATTATTTCTTGCCTTCTCCTAGCTTTTGAATATGTTTTCTCTTGCTTCTCTATTCTTTTAATTGTGATGTTAGGGTGTCAATTTTAGATCTTTCCTGCTTTCTCTTGTGGGCATTTAGTACTATAAATTTCCCTCTACACACTGCTTTAAATGTGTCCCAGAGATTCTGGTATGTTGTGTCTTTGTTCTCATTGGTTTCAAAGAACATCTTTATTTCTGCCTTCATTTTGTTATGTACCCAGTAGTCATTCAGGAGCAGGTTGTTCAGTTTCCGTGTAGTTGAGCAGTTTTGAGTGAGTTTCTTTTTTTTTTTTTTTTTTTGAGACGGAGTCTCGCTCTGTCGCCCAGGCCGGACTGCAGACTGCAGTGGCGCAATCTCGGCTCACTGCAAGCTCCGCTTCCCGGGTTCACGCCATTCTCCTGCCTCAGCCTCCCGAGTAGCTGGGACTACAGGCGCCCGCCACCGCGCCCAGCTAATTTTTTGTATTTTTAGTAGAGACGGGGTTTCACCTTGTTAGCCAGGATGGTCTCGATCTCCTGACCTCATGATCCACCCGCCTCGGCCTCCCAAAGTGCTGGGATTACAGGCGTGAGCCACCGCGCCTGGCCTTGAGTGAGTTTCTTAATCCTGAGTTCTAGTTTGATTGCACTGTGGTCTGAGAGACAGTTTGCTATGATTTCTGTTATTTTACATTTGCTGAGGAGTGCTTTACTTCCAACTATGTGGTCAATTTTGGAATAAGTGCAATGTGGTGCTGAGAAGAATGTATATTCTGTTGATTTGGGGTGGAGAGTTCTGTAGATGTCTATTAGGTCTGCTTGGTGCAGAGTTGAGTTCAAGACCTGGATATCCTTGTTAACTTTTTGTCTCATTGATCTGTCTAATGTTGACAGTGAGGTGTTAAAGTCTCTCATCATTATTGTGTGGGAGTCTAAGTCTCTTTGTAGGTCTCTAAAGACTTTCTTTATGAATCTGGGTGCTCCTGTATTGGGTGCATATATATTTAGGATAGTTAGCTCTTCTTGTTGAATTGATCTCTTTACCATTATGTAATGGCCTTCTTTGTCTGGTTTTGATCTTTGTTGGTTTAAAGTCTGTTTTATCAGAGAGTAGGATTGCAACCCCTGCTTTTTTTTGTTTTCCATTTGCTTGGTAGATCTTCCTCCATCCCTTTATTTTGAGCCTATGTGTGTCTCTGCACGTGAGATGGATCTCCTGAAAGCAGCACACTGATGGGTCTTGACTGTTTATCTAATTTGCCAGTCTGTGTCTTTTAATTGGGGCATTTAGCCTATTTACTTTTAAGGTTAATATTGTTATGTGTGAATTTGATCCTGTCATTATGATGTTAGCTGGTTATTTTGCTCGTTAGTTGATGCAGTTTATTCCTAGAATTGATGTTGTTTACAATTTGTCATGTTTTTGCAGTGGCTGGTACTGGTTGTTCCTGTCCATTTTTAGTGTTTTCTCCAGGAGCTCTTGTAAGGTAGGCATGATGGTGACAAAATCTCTCAGCATTTGCTTGTCTGTAAAAGATTTTATTTCTCCTTCACTTATGAAACTTTCTTTGGCCGAATATGAAATTCTGGGTTGAAAATTCTTTCTTTAAGAATGTTGAATATTGGCCCCCACTCTCTTCTGGCTTGTAGGGTTTCTGCAGAAAGATCTGCCTTAGTCTGATGGGCTTCCCTTTGCAGGCAACCTGACCTTTCTCTCTGGCTGCCCTTAACATTTTTCGCATTAGCCAGGTGGCTATTTGGGGAACAATATTCAAGGAAAAGGGAACAGCCAATGCAAAAGCCCTAAATCAGGACTAAAAGTGGGGTGCTTGAGAACAGCAAGATGGCCAGTGTGGGTGGATATTAATAGATAGGGAAATAGTCAAAGAAGATTCAGAGAGGTGAGGAGAGTGGTGGTAGTCGTGGGGTGAGCTGGTTACTTCCCTATAGACTGGCCATTTTAAGTAACAGCTTTTATTCTGAATGAGATAGGGACCCTTTGAAGGGTTTTGAATTAACCAGTAACATGATCTGACATAAAATTTAAAAAGTTTACCCTGGTTATCTTGATGAGAATAGATACTTAGGAAAGGCAAAAGTAGTTAGGAGGCTGGAGTGGGATTCCAGGCAGGGGATGATGGTGACCCTGATCAGGATGATGTCAATGGATGTAGATGTATTTTGGAAGTGGTGCAAATGGGATTTCCTGAAGAATTGGATATGGAACATGGAAGTAAGAGAGGGATCAAGGATGACCCCGAGAATTTTGCCCTGAACACTGAAAATTGGTGGTGTTGCCATTAACATCCTTTTCATGTATGTGACAGGATCTATATTGGTAATACATGGATTTTACCCATTTATATCTTGTAATGTCTAATTATACTTAGATTAACAAAGTTCTTCCAAGAGATTTTACTTTCTGTTTCAGGTTGCCTTTTTAATTTTGTTTATGGAGTGGAGAAAGGATTAAAGCTGAGCTCCAATCTGAATTAGAATCAGTCCCCAGAAATACCCCATTCAGACTTACATAGCCATCCATCTTGGCATATTTCTTGAATTGTTGCTCATACTGGCTCTCTAACAATTTTTCTCCCAGCATCTAAGTCACATTCTTGATTTGATGGTCAAAATGATAGATGTCATTTGTCCTGTTCATAAAAACTGTCACAGAATAATAAGCCACTTTTCTTCAATAACAAATGTCTTTTTAACTTACCTGCCACATTTTTCCTTTTTATCAACTGACTTTTGTTATTATTGTTGGGCACTCGTTTTTCTGCCTACTTGTATGTCGAATTTATTGGTAAGACATGAAATGTATGAATGATTCTTCTCTTTTCTTATCCATTCTCTGAAGATTTTTACTTTCTTTTTTCAGTGCCTCCCCATAATGCCAGACACCTGAGGATTAGCTTTTTCAGAATAATCTCAAATTCATATTGAACTCTAAAACACTTGTGTACCCAAAAACTTGTGTACCAGTATTTGTAACCACATTGAAGATCCCTCTGATCTTCTCCAACCTATTTGCTTGGCAGAAAATCTGGAAGTCATCTACACCACTCCATTAGTGCCTGCATCCATTAACCAAATTTATTTACTTCTTTATTCTAATATCTATTAACTGTCTTCTCTTAATGTGCCCTTGCATTAATTCAGGCCCTTATCATTTTTCTTGAATTACTCCTGTACCACATACCACAAAACATTACTGATTTATAAGCTGTTCCTAGTTACTTCAACATTTAGGAATTGCAGAAGACATGTTTAGGGGCTCTTTTGTTTGGGAGAACTCCTCAATTACCCTCGATTATGCCAGGTGTTAAAACACTTAGCCAAAACTAGGGGGAAAAGCTCTGCAAAATAAAGCAAAATGATTATTTTTTATTGGTGTTGAGGTTACTATATATTAAATAATGACAGATTATTATATTTTTACTTGTAGGGGCCATGGTAAATATGTAATAACAGAGAGAGACCTCTGCTTTGAGTAGAAGCAAGTCCCAGAAACATGAGAAGGTTGGGGCTAAAAAGGGAGTTGTTGGTTCTCCACTAAAGAACCTCTATAACAGGGCAGTATTAATGGTCACAGGGCAAGGATTATCTGATATTCACTTTTAAGTTTTCTGTTTTCTCTTGCTTTCCTAATGAATTCTTTAAATCTTCATGAAAGGTTATTAGCAGCAATATTAGGAAGAAAAATGTATAAGAGAACAGAGGTGGTCCTAGAGAAGGGAGAAGGGATACTTTGAGAAGTGACCAAATCATGTAAACATTCACGGGAGAGTTTTGGAGATTCTAGGCAGAAGGACTGAGTTCTCTGCAGGACCACAGGATAAGGACTCAAATTACAGATAATTTACTATTAAACTGAAGACTTTTGTTGTTGTTGTTTTGGTTTGTTGTTGTGTTATTCTTGGTGGTGGGTTTTTTTTTTTTTTTTTTTTGAGACAGGCTCTTGCTCTGTCACTTAGGCTGGAGTGCAGTGGCACAATTATGATTCACTGCAGCCTTGAACTCCTGGGTTCAAGCAATCTTCCCACCTCAGCTGCCTAAATAGCTAGGACTACAGGCACACAGCACCACACCTGGCTAATTTTTCTATATTTTGTAGAGATGGGGTCTCACTGTATTGGCCAGGCTGATCTCAAACTTCTGGCCTCAGCAATCCTCCTGCCTTGGCCTCCCAAAATGCTGGGATTACAGTGAGCCACTGTGCCCAGCTAAACTAAAGATTAACTTTAGATATCGGGAGATTTCATAACCACTTGGAATACACACTTTGCTTTTCATTTTATTTTTTATTCTCCTTCTGGTTGTCTTTCTGTGTTTCAAACGTAACCATATTCCCCTGATAAATTACACATAGGGAGCCATATGCTATTTTAAAAAGTTATTTCTTTACTTTTAATATAAAATAAAATATATAGTACAGGTCAGTCAGAAATAAGTAAAGTATAATTCAATTTTTATCATTTCAGACCTTTTAATATATATATAGATATATGTAAAAATATAAATATGTGTAGGTATTTGTAAAATGTAATTATATATTTTAATGTTCTGCAACCTTCCTTTCTAACTTATAAAATAATACTGATTTTCTATATCAGCACCTAGAGTGTCATTATCATTTTTAATAGCTGCATAATAGTCTGTTGAATTGATGTCCTAAATTTTATTGAAAATTTTATTCTCTTATTGGATACACATTTATTTCAAAATTTTCACTACTATAAATAACTCTGCATATGTATCTTGTTCACTTGCTTCCTTAGGATCGATGCCTATTAATAAATTCTTAAATATTTTTGAATTAAGGATTTAATAATAATCACATGGGGAAAATCTATGCTTTGTACATTTTGTACTCAATTTTTATTGTGGATGTAAAAGGCTGAGGTTTTCAGCAAGTAACTGGATGTACTGTTTCTGGGTTTTGCAAGCAGCT
The DNA here is from genome assembly GCF_000001405.40 of Homo sapiens. Lineage (NCBI taxonomy): Eukaryota > Metazoa > Chordata > Mammalia > Primates > Hominidae > Homo > Homo sapiens. Next base: position 7,557,442 of record NC_000012.12, on the reverse strand, counting down.
GCCTTTAAAAAAGGGAAGCACATTACGCTCTTCCTTTAAAAAACCGTTATGAAAACACTCATCTCTATGCTCATAAGCTTTAAAGAAACTTAACAAGGATGACCATAAATCTCACATACCACTTTTGGAATTTAATAGAAAGAATAAATTTGGTTGTTATCTGACATATTACTCCTTTTTTTTTCTACAGAGAATAGGAGAAAAGATTCTATACTATAAATAAGTGGTAACATTCTTCCATCTGGAGCATTGACAATAAAGAAATGATACAAATATTTCTGAAGCCCACTACATTCTCTTTGCCCATTTGTACTGGCACTTTTACTCTGGATTTAAGTTTTGCTTAGAGTTTACATTTTTTTTCTTCAGACTAAATGAAAGTTTCTGGTCTCTGAGATTGTGTTCTTCATGATGAAAATTCATTGTGCAATTTGCTTTTCTTTGCCATAAAGTTTTCTGGGATCTTTTTATAAAGAGTTTTCTAATCCTATCAGAATATGTTTAAATGGAAAGGAAAATGGGCATGGAGTCAAAGTGTCACTGTTTCAATCCTTGTTCTTCTACATAATACAATGTTGAGTACAGCATTTAACTTATTTAAGCCTCAGTTTTCTTATCTGCAAGATGCAGAAATTATTAATGATTTTATAAAGTGCCTGGCAAGATGAAAGGAGGCCATGTGCCTGAAAATGCACAGCATATGCCCTGGGTAAAGAATGGGTCCTCTGCGATTGTTAGTAGACAGGATTGGCTTGACTTCTGCAAAGGCCTTAGTTTTCTTTATTTTTTTCTTTTATATGTTAGAATTTGGTATTTGTGCTTCTTTGCTCCTGAAGCTATATTTTCCTTTTTCATGTTTAATATCTTATTATTATTATTATTTTGACAGAGTCTCACTCCGTCGCCCAGGCTGGAGTGCAGTGGCGTGATCTCAGCTCACTGCAACCTCCGCTTCCAGGGTTCAAGCTGTTCTCCTGCCTCAGCCTCCGGAGTAGCTGGGATTTACAGGCATGCGCCATCACACTCGGCTAATTTTTGTATTTTTAGTAGAGACGGGGTTTCACCATGTTGGCCAGGCTGGTCTCAAACTCCTGACCTCAGGCGATCCGCCCGCCTTGGCCTCCCAAAGTGCTGGAATTATAGGCGTGAGCCACCGCGCCCAGCCCTAATATCTGATTTTTAAAGTGACTTCTTAATTTTTAAAGGTCTAATTTTTTATAACTTTGATACATAGTTTCTAGACTTTATGATTTTGAAGAAGTAAAAAGACTTCTGCAATTCCCGTTTTCTCTCCTGAATATTCTTTCACTTTTGCCATTATTGAAATTACAAACTTACGGTGGCAATCCTGCTTTCTTATACAAGCATAGCACCAGCATTTTGATGAACCAAGAGGTGTGACATTTTGTCCTATATTTTTGCCTGATCACTACAACTGGGCTCCACTCCTGCCTCATATCCTGTTTCTATTTTTAACACTAAAGGAAACATTCTCATGTCCTAAGCAGTCTCTGTAATCTGATCAGTCTGTGCTTTCCCCCGACTTCAGTCATTCTAATTTCGTCACTATTTACTGGACCTACTTTTTAAATAGTCTTTATATCCTGCTTTGTTGTTCTTTTAACTTTAAATTCTTGGATTTAAAGTGCATTGAAGATTGAACTTCTTATTGTGTGCCACTTGGACCATGAAATAATTCAGTTACTAAAGCCAAAAAAAAACCCAAAGCAACAACAAAAAAAACCCACCATGGTTTAGAAGACACTTTTGGAAATGCAGTGAAACCACCATTTGAGAGGGACTCTGAGGGCAATTTATAATGTAATACTATCCCCTGCTTAAATACCTACAGGTTTTTTTTTTCTGTATCACTTATTTACTTATATAAGTATTTAAAATAAGAATATCTGACATTATTGAACTGGAATTTGTTGTGAACCTTCAATTAGAGTACCAAGAGCAGAGTTAATAGGTTCTTTTTTATATATATTCATAATATCATTCTTTGTGTAAATCTCATAACATCATTTGTAATTGCCTAGTCTCCAAATAAGATAGTAAATTCTTTTTTTATTTTTTATTTTTTATTTTTCTTTTTTTAAATTTCATTATTATTATACTTTAAGTTTTAGGGTACATGTGCACAACGTGCAGGTTTGTTACATAGGTATACATGTGCCATGCTGGTGTGCTGCACCCATTAACTCGTCATTTAGCATTAGGTATATCTCCTAATGCTATCCCTCCCCCCTTCCCCCACCGCACAACAGTCCCCGGTGTGTGATGTTCCCCTTCCTCTGTCCATGTGTTCTCATTGTTCAATTCCCACCTATGAGTGAGAACATGTGGTGTTTGATTTTTTGTCTTTGCGATAGTTTGCTGAGAATGATGGTTTCCTGCTTCATCCATGTCCCTGCAAAGGACATGAACTCATCATTTTTTATGGCTGCATAGTATTCCATGGTATATATGTGCCACATTTTCTTAATCCAGTCTATCATTGTTGGACATTTAGGTTGGTTCCAAGTCTTTGCTATTGTGAATAGTGCCGCTATAAACGTACGTGTGCATGTGTCTTTATAGCAGCATGATTTATAATCCTTTGGGCATATACCCAGTAATAGGATGGCTGGGTCAAATGGTATTTCTAATTCTAGATCCCTGAGGAATTGCCACACTGACTTCCACAATGGTTGAACTAGTTTACAGTCCCACCAACAGTGTAAAAGCATTCCTATTTCTCCACATCCTCTCCAGCACCTGTTGTTTCCTGACTTTTTAATGATCGCCATTCTAACTGGTGTGAGATGGTATCTCCTTGTGGTTTTGATTTGCGTTTCTCTGATGGCCAGTGACGATGAGCATTTTTTCATGTGTTTTTTGGCTGCATAAATGTCTTCTTTTGAGAAGTGTCTGTTCATATCCTTTGCCCACTTTTTGATGGGGTTGTTTTTTTCTTGTAAATTTGTTTGAGTTCATTGTAGATTCCGGATATTAGCCCTTTGTCAGATGAGCAGGTTGCAAAAATTTTCTCCCATTCTGTAGGTTACCTGTTCACTCTGATGGTAGTTTCTTTTGCTGTGCAGAAGCTCTTTAGTTTAATTAGATCCCATTGGTCTATTTTGGCTTTTGTTGCCATTGCTTTTGGTGTTTTAGACATGAAGTTCTTGCCCATGCCTATGTCCTGAATGGTATTGCCTAGGTTTTCTTCTAGGGTTTTTATGGTTTTAGGTCTAACATGTCAGTCTTTAATCCATCTTGAATTAATTTTTGTATAAGATGTAAGGAAGGGATCCAGTTTCAGCTTTCTACATATGGCTAGCCAGTTTTCCCAGCACCATTTATTAAATAGGGAATCCTTTCCCCATTGCTCGTTTTTGTCAGGTTTGTCAAAGATCAGATAGCTGTAGATATGCCACATTATTTCTGAGGGCTCTGTTCTGTTCCATTGGTCTATATCTCTGTTTTGGTACCAGTAGCATGCTGTTTTTGTTACTGTTACCTTGTAGTATAGTTTGAAGTCAGGTAGCGTGATGCCTCCAGCTTTGTTCTTTTGGCTTAGGATTGACTTGGCAATGCGGGCTCTTTTTTGGTTCCATATGAACTTTAAAGTAGTTTTTTCCAATTCTGTGAAGAAAGTCATTGGTAGCTTGATGGGGATGGCATTGAATCTATAAATTACCTTGGGCAGTATGGCCATTTTCATGATATTGATTCTTCCTACCCATGAGCATGGAATGTTCTTCCATTTGTTGGTATCCTCTTTTATTTCATTGAGCAGTGGTTTGTAGTTCTCCTTGAAGAGGTCCTTCACATCCCTTGTAAGTTGGATTCCTAGGTATTTTATTCTCTTTGAAGCAATTGTGAATGGGAGTTCACTCATGATTTGGCTCTCTGTTTGTCTGTTATTGGTGTATAAGAATGCTTGTGATTTTTGTACGTTGATTTTGTATCCTGAGACTTTGCTGAAGTTGCTTATCAGCTTGAGGAGATTTTGGGCTGAGATGATGGAGTTTTCTAGATATACAATCATGTCATCTGCAAACAGGGACAATTTGACTTCCTCTTTTCCTAATTGAATACCCTTTATTTCCTTCTCCTGCCTGATTGCCCTGGCCAGAACTTCCAACACTATGTTGAAAAGGAGTGGTGAGAGAGGGCATCCCAGTCTTGTGCCAGTTTTCAAAGGGAATGCTTCCAGTTTTTCCCATTCAGGATGATATTGGCTGTGGGTTTGTCATAGATAGCTCTTATTATTTTGAAATACGTCCCATCAATAATTTATTGAGAGTTTTTAGCATGAAGCGTTGTTGAATTTTGTCAAAGGCCTTTCCTGCATCTATTGAGATAATCATGTGGTTTTTGTCTTTGGTTCTGTTTATATGCTGGATTACATTTATCGATTTGGGTATGTTGAACTAGCCTTGCATCCCAGGGATGAAGCCCACTTGATCATGGTGGATAAGCTTTTCGATGTGCTGCTGGATTCGGTTTGCAAGTATTTTATTGAGGATTTTTGCATCAATGTTCATCAAGGATATTGGTCTAAAATTCTCTTTTTTGGTTGTGTCTCTGCCAGGCTTTGGTATCAGGATGATGCTGGCCTCATAAAATAATGAGTTAGGGAGGATTCCCTCTTTTTCTATTGATTGGAATAGTTTCAGAAGTAATGGTACCAGCTCCTCTTTGTACCTCTGGTAGAATTCGGCTGTGAATCCGTCTGGTTCTGGACTTTTTTTGGTTGGTAAGCTATTGATTATTGCCTCAATTTCAGAGCCTGTTATTGGTCTATTCAGATATTCAACTTCTTCCTGGTTTAGTCTTGGGTGGATGTATGTGTCCAGGAATTTATCCATTTCTTCTAGATTTTCTAGTTTATTTGCATAGAGGTATTTATAGTATTCTCTGATGGTAGTTTGTATTTCTGTGGGATCATTCGTGATATCCCCTTTATCATTTTTTATCGCATCTATTTGATTCTTCTCTCTTTTCTTCTTTATTAGTCTTGCTAGTGGTCTATCAATTTTGTTGATCTTTTCAAAAAACCAGCTCCTGGATTCATTAATTTTTTGAAGGGTTTTTTGTGTCTGTATTTCCTTCAGTTCTGCTCTGATCTTAGTTATTTCTTGCCTTCTGCTAGCTTTTGAATGTGTTTGCTCTTGCTTTTCTAGTTCTTTTAATTGTGATGTTAGGGTGTCAATTTTAGATCTTTCCTGCTTTCTCTTGTGGGCATTTAGTGCTATAAATTTCCCTCTACACAGTGCTTTGAATGTGTCCTGGAGATTCTGGTATGTTGTATCTTTGTTCTCATTGGTTTCAAAGAACATCTTTATTTCTGTCTTCATTTCATTATTTACCCAGTAGTCATTCAGGAGCAGGTTGTTCAGTTTCCATGTGGTTGAGTGGTTTTGAGTGAGTTTTTTTAATCCTGAGTTCTAGTTTGATTGCACTGTGGTCTGAGAGACAGTTTGTTATAATTTTTGTTCTTTTACATTTGCTGAGGAGTGCTTTACTTCCAACTATGTGGTCAATTTTGGAGTAGGTGTGGTGTGGTGCTGAAAAGAATGTATATTCTTTTGATCTGGGGTGGAGAGTTCTGTAGATGTCTATTAGGTCTGCTTGATGCACGGCTGAGTTCAGTTCCTGGGTATCCTTGTTAATTGTCTGTCTCGTTGATCTGTCTAATGTTGACAGTGGGGTGTTAAATTCTCCCATTATTATTGTGTGGGAGTCTAAGTTTCTTTGTAGGTCACTAAGGACTTGCTTTATGAATCTGGGTGCTCCTGTATTGGGTGCATATATATTTAGGATAGTTAGCTCTTCTTGTTGAATTGATCCCTTTACCATTATGTAATTGCCTTCTTTGTCTGTTTTGATCTTTGCTGGTTTAAAGTCTGTTTTATCAGAGACTAGGATTGCAACCTCTGCCTTTTTGTGTTTTCCATTTGCTTGGTAGATCTTCCTCCATCCCTTTATTTTGAGCCTATGTGTGTCTCTGCACATGAGATGGGTCTCCTGAAAGCAGCACACTGATGGGTCTTGACTCTTTATCCAATTTGCCAGTCTGTGTCTTTTAATTGGAGCATTTAGCCCATTTACATTTAAAGTTAATATTGTTATGTGTGAATTTGATCTTGTCATTATGATGTTAGCTGGTTATTTTGCTCATTAGTTGATGCAGTTTCTTCCTAGAATTGATGTTCTTTACAATTTGGCACGTTTTTGCAGTGGCTGGTACCACTTGTTCCTTTCCATGTTTAGTGGTTCCTTCAGGAGCTCTTTTAGGGCAGGCCTGGTGGTGACAAAATCTCTCAGCATTTGCTTGTCTGTAAAGTATTTTATTTCTCCCTCACTTATGAAGCTTAGTTTGGCTGGATATGAAATTCTGGGTTGAAAATTCTTTTCTTTCAGAATGTTCAATATTGGTCACCACTCTCTTCTGGCTTGTAGAGTTTCTGCTGAGAGATCAGCTGTTAGTCTGATGGGCTTCCCTTTGTGGGTAACCCAACCTTTCTCTCTGGCTGCCTTTAACATTTTTTCCTTCATTTCAACTTTGGTGAATCTGACAATTATGTGTCTTGGAGTTGCTCTTCTCAAGGAGTATCTTCTAAACTATAAGGTTTCCTACATTCTCAGGACTAAGATTTAGTGCTTTGGGGAGTTAATGATAATATAAGCCTCAAATATAATTGGAGATTTAAAAGGTGTTTTCTTTTTTTCTTTCTTTTTAAAAGAAAAAGAGTTTATTTGGCTCACAATTCTCATGGTGGCCAGAAACCTTGAGCATCTTCATCTGATGACAGCCTCAAGCTACTTCTGCTCATGGGGGAAGGCTAAGGAGAGCAGTGTGAAGAGATCACATGGTGAGAGAGGAAGAAAACAGGCAGGCAGGTTCAGCCTCTTTTTTTTTTTTAATTTTTACTTTTTGTGGGTACATAGTATGTGTATATATTTATGGGGTGCATGAGATATTTTGATACAGCCATACAATGCATGATAAACATAACAAGATATATGGAATATCCATCACCTCAAGCATTTACCATTTCTTTTTTTTTTTTTTTTACTTTTTATATGGACTTTTTTACTTAGTAATATACACTTAAAGTTTCTCTATGTTTTCCATAACTTGGTAACACATTTCTTTTAAGTGCTGATAAAATTCCAATGATTGAATATATCCAAGTCCCTTTATTCATTCACCTACTAATACAATTCCATTGATTGAATGTACCCGAGTTCATTTATACATTCATCTAGGACATTTTGTATGCCTCTAAATTTTGGCAGTGATGACTAGAGCTGCTATAAACATCCATGTGCAGGTTTTGCATAGACTTAAATTTTCTTGTTTTCTTTCTTTTTTAATACTTTAAGTTCTAGGGTACATGTGCACAATGTGCAGGTTTGTTACATAGGTATACATGTGCCATGTTGGTTTGCTGCATCCATCAACTCATCATTTACATTAGGTATTTCTCCTAATGCTATCCCTCCCCCAGACCCCCAACCCCTGACAGGCCCTGGTGTGTGATGTTTCCTGCCCTGTGTCCAAGTGATCTCATTGTTCAACTCCCACATATGAGTGAGAACATGTGGTGTTTGGTTTTCTGTCCTTGTGATGTTTGCTGAGAATGATGGTTTCCAGCTTCATCCATGTCCCTGCAAAGGACATGAAACCATCCTTTTTTACAGCTGCATAGTATTCCATGGTGTATATATGCCACATTTTCTTAATCCAGTCTATCATTGATGAACATTTGGGTTGGTTCCAAGTCTTTGCTATTGTGAATAGTGCTGCAATAAACATATGTGTGCATGTGTCTTTGTAGTATCATGATTTATAATCCTTTGGGTATATACACAGTAATGGGATCACTGGGTCAAACGGTATTTCTAGTTCTAGATCCTTGAGGAATCACCACACTATCTTCTACAATGGTTGAACTAATTTACACTCCCACCAAAAGTGTAAAAGTGTTCCTATTTCTCTACATCCTGTGCAGCACCTGTTGTTTCCTGACTTTTTACTGATTGTCATTCTAACCGGCATGAGAGGGTATCTCATCGTGGTTTTGATTTGCATTTCTCTGATGACGAGTGATGAGGAGTATTTTTTCATATGCCTGCTGGCTGCATAAATGTCTTCTTTTGAGAAGTGTCTGTTCATATCCTTGGCCCACTTTTTGATGGGGTTGTTTGTTTTTTTCTTGTAAATTTGTTCAAGTTTCTTGTAGATTCTGGATATTAGCCCTTTGTCAGATGGGTACATTGAAAGATTTTCTCTCATTCTGTACATTGCCTGTTCACTCTGATGGTAGTTTCTTTTGCTGTGCAGAAGCTCTTTAATTAGATTCCATTTGTCAATTTTGGCTTTTGTTGCCATTGCTTTTGGTGTTTTAGTCATGAAGCCTTTGTCCATGCCTATGTCCTGAATGGTATTACTTAGATTTTCTTCTATGGTTTTCATGATTTTAGGTCTTACATTTAAGTCTTTAGTCCATCTTGAGTTAATTTTTTTGTATGGTGTAAGGAAAGGATCCAGTTTCAGCTTTCTACATGTGGCTAGCCAGTTTTCCCAGCATCACTTATTAAATAGGGAATCCTTTCCCCATTGCTTGTTTTTGTCAGGTTTGTCAAGGATCTGATGGTTGTAGATGTGTGGTGTTATTTCTGAGGCCTCTGTTCTGTTCCATTGGTCTATATATCCGTTTTGGTACCAGTACAATGCTCTTTTCGTTACTGTAGCCTTGTAGTATAGTTTGAAGTCAAGTAGCATGATGCCTCCAGCTTTGTTCTTTTTGCTTGGGGTTGTCTTGGCTATGCGGGCTGTTTTTTGGTTCCATACGAACTTTAAAGTAGTTTTTTTTTTTAATTTTATGAAGAAAGTCAGTGGTAGCTTGATGGGGATAGGATTGAATCTATAAATTACCTGGGGCTGTATGGCCATTTTCACGATATTGATTTTTCCTATCCATGAGCATGGAATGTTCTTCCATTTGTTTTTGTCCTCTTTTATTTCATTGAGCAGTGGTTTGCAGTTCTCCTTGAAGAGGTCCTTCACATCCCTTGTAAGTTGGATTCCTAGGTATTTTATTCTCTTTGTAGTAATTGAGAGAATGGGAGTTCACTCATGATTTGGCTCTGTTTGTCTGTTGTTGGTGTATAGGAATGCTTGTGATTTTTGCACATTGATTTTGTATTCTGAGACTTTGCTGAAGTTGCTTATCAGCTTAAGGAGATTTTGGGCTGAGACAGTGGGATTTTCTCAATATACAATCTTGTCATCTGCAAACAGAGACAATTTGATTTCCTGTTTTCCTAATTGAAAACCCTTTATTTCTTTCTCTTGCCTGATTGTTCTGGCCAGAACTTCCAACACTATGTTGAATAGGAGTGGTGAGAGAGGGCATCCTTGTTTTGTGCCCATTTTCAAAGGGAATGCTTCCTGTTTCTGCCCATTCAGTATGATATTGACTGTGGGTTTGTCATAAATAGCTCTCATTATTTTGAGATATGTTCCATCAATACCTAGTGTTTTGAGAGTTTTTAGCATGAAAGGTTGTTGATTTATATTGAAGACCTTTTCTGCATCTATTGAGATAATCATGTGGTTTTTGTCATTGGTTCTGTTTATGTGATGGATTACGTTTATTGATTTGCGTATGTTGAACCAGCCTTGCATCCCAAGGATGAAGCCGACTTGATTGTGGTGGATAAGATTTTTGATATGCTGCTGGATTCGGTTTGCCAGTATTTTATTCAGGATTTTCGCTTTGATGTTTATCAGGGATATTGGCCTACAATTCTCTTTTTTTGTGTGTATCTCTACCAGGCTTTGGTATCAGAATGATGCTAGCCTCATAAAATGAGTTAGGAAGGATTCCCTCTTTTTCTATTGATTGAAATACTTTCAGAAGGAATGGTACCAGCTTCTCTTTGTACCTCTGGTAGAATTCGGCTGTGAATTCATCTGGAACTGGACTGTTATTGGTTGGTGGGCTATTAATTATTGCTTCCATTTCAGAGCCTGTTATTGGTCTATTTAGAGATTCAACTTCTTCCTTGTTTAGTCTTGGGAGGGGCATGTGTCCAGGAATTTATCCATTTCTTCTAGATTTTCTAGTTTATTTAAGTAGAGGTGTTCATAGTATTTTCTGATGATAGTTTGTATTTCTGTGGGATTGGTGATGATATCCACTTTATCATTTTTTATTGCGTCTATTTGATTCTTCTCTTTTCTTCTTTATTAGTCTTGCTAGTGGTATATTTTGTTGATCCTTTCAAAAAACCAGCTCCTGGAATCATTGATTTTTTTGAAGGGTTTTTCATGTCTCTATTTCCTTCAGTTCTGCTCTGATCTTAGTTATTTCTTGCCTTCTGCTAGTTTTGGAATTTGTTTGCTCTTGCTTCTCTCGTTCTTTTTTTTTTTTTTTTTTGTGAGATGGAGTTTTGCTCTTTCACCCAGGCTGAAGTGTGGTGGCATGATCTGGGCTTACTGCAACCTCTACCTTCTGTTTCAAGTGATTCTCCTGCCTCAGCCTCCCAAGTAGCTGGGATTACATGTGCCCACAACCATGGCCAGCTAATTTTTGTATTTTTAGGACAGACGTGGTTTCACCATGTTGGCCAGGCTGGTCTTGAACTCCTAACCTCGTGATCTGCCCACCTCGGCCTCCCAAATTGCTGGGATTACAGACGTGAGCCACCGTGCCCGGCCTCTCTAGTTCTTTTAATTGTAATGTTAGGGTGTCGATTTTAGATCTTCCTTGCTTTCTCTTGTGTGCATTTAGTGCTATAAATTTCCCTCTACACACTGCTTTAAATGTTTTCCAGAGATTCTGGTACATTCTGTCTTTGTTCTCATTGGTTTCAAAGAACATCTTTATTTCTGCCTTCATTTTGTTATTTACCCAGTATTCATTCAGGAGCAGGTTGTTCAGTTTCCATGTAGTTGTGCAGTTTTGAGTGAGTTTCTTAATCCTGAGTTCTAATCTGATTGCAGTGTGGTCTGAGAGACAGTTTGTTGTGATTTCTTTTCTTTTACATTTGCTGAGGAGTGTTTTACTACTAATTATTCGGTCAATTTTAGAATAAGTGTGATGTGGTGCTGAGAAGAATGTATATTCTATTGATTTGTGGTGGAGAGTTCTGTAGATGTCTACTAGGTCTGCTTGGTGCAGAGCTGAGTTCAAGTCCTGGATATCTTTTTTAACCTTCTGTGTCGTTGATCTGTCTACTATTCATAGTGGGGTGGTAAAGTCTCCCATTATTATTGTGTGGGAGTCTAAGTCTCTTTGTATGTCTCTAAGGACTTGCTGTATGAATCTGGGTGCTCCTGTATTGGGTGCATATATATTTAGGATAGTTAGCTCTTCTTGTTGAATTGATCCCTTTACCATTATCTAGTGGCCTTCTTTGTCTTGTTTGATCTTTGTTGGTTTAAAGTCTGTTTTATCAGAGACGAGGATTGCAACCCTTTTTTTTTTTTTTTTTTTTCATTTTCTTGGTGGATCTTCCTCCATCCCTTTATTTTGAGTCTATGTGCATCTCTGCATGTGAGATGGGTCTCCTGAATACAGCACACAGATGGGTTTTGACTCTTTATCTAATTTGGCAGTCTGTGTTTTTTAATTGGGGCATTTAGTCCATTTACATTTAAGGTTAATATTGTTATATTTGGATTTGATCCTATCGTTATGATGTTAGCTGGTTATTTTACCTGTTAATTGATGCAGTTTCTTCATAGCATCAGTGGTCTTTACCATTTGGCATGTTTTTGCAGTGGCTGGTACTGGTTGTTCCTTTCCATGTTTAGTCCTTCCTTCAGGAGCTCTTGTAAAGCAGGCCTGGTGGTGACAAAATCTCACAGCATTTGTTTGTCTGTAAAGGATTTTATTTCACCTTCACTTATGAAGCTTAGTTTGGCTGGATATGATATTCTGGGTTGAAAATTCTTTTCTTTAAGAATGTTGAATATTGGCCCCCACTCTCTTCTGGCTTGTAGGGTTTGTTTAGAGAGATCCACTGTTAGTCTGATGGGCTTCCCTTTGTGGGTAACCCGACCTTTCTCCCTGGCTGCCCTTACCATTTTTTCCTTTGTTTCAACCTTGGTGAATCTAATAATTATGTGTCTTGGGTTGCTCTTCTCAAGGAATGTCTCTGTGGTGTTCTCTTTATTTCCTGAATTTGAATTTTGGCCTGTCTTTCTAGGTTGGGGAAGTTCTCTTGGATAATATCCTGAAGAGTTGGATATTAACTAACTTGGTTCCATTCTCACCATCACTTTCAGGTGCACCAGTCAAACGTGTATTTGGTCTTTTCACGTAGTCTCATATTTCTTGGAGGCTTTTTTCATTTGTTTTTACTCTTTTTTCTCTAATCTTGTCTTCTCACTTTATTTTATTAATTTGATCTTCAATCACTGATATCCTTTCTTTCACTTCATCAAATCAGCTACTGAAGCTTGTGCATGCATCATGAAGTTCTCATGCCATGGTTTTCAGCTCCATCAGGTCATTTAAGGTTTTCTCTACACTGTTTATTCTAGTTAGCCATTTGTCTAACCTTTTTTCAAGGTTTTTGGCTTTTTTGCGATGGGTTAGAATATGCTCCTTTAGCTCAGAGAAGTTCGTTATTACCGGCCTTCTGAAGCCTACTTTTGTCAACTCATCAAACTCATTCTCTGTCCAGTTTTGTTCCTTTGCTGGCGAGGAGCTGCGATACTTTGGAGGAGAAGAGGCACTCTATTTTTTTGAAGTTTCAGCTCCTCTTCCCTGGTTTCTCCTCATCTTTGTGGTTTTATCTACTTTTGGTCTTTGATGTTGATGACCTACAGATGGGTCTTTGGTGTAGATGTCTTTTTTGTTGATGTTGATGCTATTCCTTTCTGTTTGTTAGTTTTCCTTCTAACAGTCAGGTCCCTCAGCTTCAGGACTGTTAGAGTTTGCTGGAGGTCCACTCCAGACCCTGTTTCCTGAGTATCACCAGCAGAGGCTGCAGAACAGCAAATATTGCTGCCCGATCCTTCCTCTGGAAGCTTCATCCCAGAGGGGTACCTGTCTGTTTGGGGTGTCTGTTGGCCCCTATTGGGAGGTGTTTGCTAGTCAGGCTACACGGGGGTCAGGGACCCACTTAAGGAGGCAGTCTGTCCATTCTTGGAGCTAGAACGCTGTGCTGAGAGAACCACTGGTCTCTTTAGAGCTTTCAGATGGGGACGGTTAAGTCTGCAGAAGCTGCTGCCTTTTGTTCTACTATGCCCTGCCTGCAGAGGTGGAATCTATAGAGGCAGTAGGCCTTGTTGAGCTGAGGTGGGTTCCACCCAGTTCGTGCTTCCTGGCCTCTTTGTTTACACTGTGACCTACTCAAGCCTCAGCAATGGCAGGCACCCTTCCCCACATCAAGCTGCTGCATCGCAGGTGAATCTCAGGCTGCTGTGCTAGCAGTGAGCAAGGGTCCATGGGTGTGGCACCCATTGAGCAAAGCACAGGAGGGTATCTCCTGGTCTGCTGGTTGCTAAGACTGTGGGAAAAGTGCAGTATTTCATCAGGAGTGTACTGTTTCTCCAGGTACAGTCTGTCACTGCTTCCCTTGGCTAGGAAAGGAAATCCCTCGACCCCTTGCAGTTCCCAGGTGAAGCGATGTCCTGCCCTGCTTCAGCTCGCCCTCCATGAGCTGCACCCACTGTCCAACCAGTCCCAGTGAGATGAACCAGGTACCTCAGTTGGAAATGCAGAAATCACCCGTCTTTTGCGTCGATCTCACTGGGAGCTGCAGACCGGAGCTGTTCCTATTCGGCCATCTTGGAAGTGCTCTCCAAGATGTTTTCTTGAGATGCAAATAATTTGAATGCCCTTTCAAACACTGTGACAGAACAGCAAGGCCCACACTTTTCCTCCTTCCACTTTATCAGTTCAACTTAGCAGGGCCAGAATTCAAACTCATGTTCATAGAGATTTCATTTAATTTTCAGCAAAGAGCATTGTGTAAATCAATACATTCTTTCTTGTTTTTCACTGCCCCTTTGGAACTATATACAGGTGTGCTATGATTATGGAGGACTGAAATCAGCACACGATGTAGGAACTCTTGTTGGTCTGCACTGCTGTTTTTCTCTGTTTGCTTTTCTGATGGTAGATTATGTTAATGTTATCTTTCTTGTCTTTAATTTCTGAGTTGACACAAAGTAAACAATCTGACATTCCTTTAAGAAACAAACTATTCCTCTTTCTGAAAACACTGACATTTGACTTTCATTTTAGGCAAATTTTTACTGTCTCTGCTTTTGGGAACTGCAGTAAATGGTTAAGAGTACCAGAAGAACTTGTCATCTATAGCATTCCTGTTAGAACATTTCACAAGGACTAGAAATCTTTTTAGACAGTAGAGTGGAACAGAAAGAATGGGAAGTAGCTCTTTCTTGGCAGGGTTGCAGTATACTTTTTTTCTGGAATTAGTAAGAATGATGAACTGTTACACAATGATGGGGAAGTTGTGAGTGGGTGACCCAGAGAGACATGATAGCTAAATTTCACTGGGATCCTGTTTCTCATTCTGTTTTCCTCCTTTGGCTGTGATCACTGCTGGATAAAACAACATAGCTGAGCAGATAGAAAACACTTTAAATCACTCTCCCTATCCTCACCTGGCCTTCAGTTCTGTCATTAAGCTCACTCACAATCTGTACTACATCATTTATTCATATTTCACAAAAAATAAAAATAACTTCACTGAAACTCTTCTCACCAAGTTCATTATTGACCTGCACTCTACAAATCCAGAAGAATCTTTACAATCTTTATTTTGTCTGATGTGTTAATATGATTTGACACATGGACAATTGTCTTGTAGCAGGATGAGCCATGGACAAAACCCCTCAGACACCGAGATAGTGAAGGGAGTGGCTTTAATCAGCTGGGAGCATCGGCAGGCTAGCGTCTTAACATCTGAGCTCATCAGGTGCTCAATTTTTGTCCCTTTTAAGAGCTCACAACTCTAAGAGGGTCCACGTGAGAGGGTCTTGATCGATTGAGCAAGCCAGGGAGTACGTGACAGGGGCTGCAAGCACCGGTGGTTAGAGTGAAACAGAACAGAGCGGGAGGTTTCACAGTGTCCTTCCGTACAATGTCTGGAATCTATAGACAACAACAGTTGCTAGGTCAGGGGTCGAATTTTAACTACCAGGCTTAGGTCAGGCAGGCCCTGGCCTGATTTCAGGTCTGGTTCCTTGGTTTCTGGTCTGGTTCCCAGGCGCCAGGCTACCTGCCTTTAGTTTCACTTCTCTTTCCTTTTCTGAGTTTAAAACAATATAAAAAATATGAGAGGGTCTCTCTCTTCCCTCAGTTTCTGTTTTGAATATTTCTTTTTTTTGGCTATGGGGTCTCACCTCCTGCTGGATTTTCTTACATAGATCTGGCGACTCCTTCTATGTTTCTTTTGAAAAGAAAGATCCTGGTAGGTGATCTCTTTGACATCTTTGATTTTCAACTGCCATTGAAGACCAGCTGTTGTGATTTTCCTCGAGTTTTTGTTCCAGAAGAGGTTGCAGTGGGTGTTTACAGTGTGTCTTTCATGGGACACTTTTTTTTATCCTGGAAGACAACTCAATGCCTAAGTGTCTGCCCCTTCACCAGGTGTTCCTCTCACAGGAAACTTTATTAAGCTAGCAGATGTTCTTGCACTCTTCTCTGACCTGTGTCCAGTTTATTCCTACCAAGATAGCCACTCTCTAAGAGAGCCCTGCCTGGGAGGAGTGTTCAGTTCAGGTGTATTGGTCAGGTGAGAAACAGAGGAGCCAACATAGCAAAACACATGAAATAACAGAAGCACTGTATTAATTACAGATCCCAGAGAGAAGGGAGCAGCAAGAAAAATTCTGAGGTCAAGTGTTCACTGTTTGAACTCTCTCAAAAAACAAAACAAAACAAACAAACAAACCCTACAACTATGGAGCAAACATGTAAAGCTTTCTAAGTTTTGTGTCTGTCTCTACTTTTTTTCCTGCCTACTTTGAATCTGATAACTCTTCTATTGGTGTTGAGATAAAATGGATGGCTTATGGCGCTCCAGCCAAGACTTTTTAAAAAGTCTTAAAAAGCTTTCAACTGAATGGCTTTACAAATTACAACAGCTTCATTATAACCAACAACCTAAACACCTTTTGAAAATGTACATATTTAGTTAGGCTTGTCTGACCAATGTATGCTCAGGGTGATGGAACAATTAGTTGAATAATTAATATTCTGAAAAAAAAAGAACTAGACAAACGTTTATAAAAAGTTAAGCTCTCAGATTAAACAGATCAAAATCTTGAGCTCAGAGAAATAACGTAAACTGTATCTGCCACAAAAATTGCTCTGTCTGCCACACAGGGACCAACAGACAAAGCAAAACAAACAAACAAACATAACTTCTAAAGCGCTTCCCCATCTGCATTGACTAGTCAACCAAACAAAAAGTACCTCCTTGCATATGATTTGCAGGAATGCATCACTGCCTTTTGCTCTTTTTCTTTCTCCCCTTGAAAAGGTGTTTGTTTGTTTGTTTGTTTGTTTTGATTAGCTGGGGTGATAAGTCTCCCCTTCAACTTTTTTGTCAGCTCCCATAACTATTTTTCTCCAGTTCTAACTCTGCTATTATGGCCTGATGCTCATTTACCTAAGACAATCTGAGTAAAATTTCTTAAGAGATTTCTGGCTGACCATATCAGATTTTACCATGTAAACACAATATATGACATAATACATGTACACATGGATAAACACACCTAAACACACATACATTCACACAAATGTATTATAGCTTTTGTTTTAGAATTTTAGCCATGAGACAGTAAAACAAACTTACTGGTTTACAAAAGGCAGCTGGATTAAAAAACTGGTTATAGTGGCTCATGCATGTAGTCTCAGCTTCTGAGGAAGCTGAGATTAGCGTCTCCCTTGAGCCCAGTAGTTTGAGTCCAGTCTGGCCAACATAGTGAGATCCTTTCTCAAAAAAAAAAAAAAAAAAGCAGTTGGATCCAAATTATATTTTTGACAAAATGAGGCCTGTTCACATGGCTAAACATCACTTGTCCTAATTAAGTTAATGGGCCAAAATTGGGGGTAAAGCAGATTCCATAGCAGTTTGATTTTTAGCAGCCTACTTTTATGCTTTTTTTCAATTTTTAATAACTGTAGGGTTACATTTTTAATGTTTACATTTTAGCCGAACTGGCTGAATTGTGTAAGAAAGCCAATATCTCAAAGTTTTTCCCCAATTTGATTCCGTACTAGTGGTTTTTTTAATGTGTCTAAATTATTCCATGTATCCAGGATACTTCCCATACTGTCCTGAAAAACCATGTATTCCCCTGCTCAAGATAATAGTTTTCTTGTTTACATTCCTCTATAATATGTGGTACACTCATAGCTTTGGACATCATTATTCCCACATCTGATTAAAATCAAGTGCCTTCTTCATCAGACTCAACCTCAAGGATATCTAAATGGGCTTCCCATAAGGAGAAGCAATCACAGTGAAGGAGTTTTTGTTTTAGTTTAAAAATTTTTTTTTAATTTTTTTAACTTTTTTGGTACCCAGCCTAATAAACAAAAAAGAATTTACATTTTATCAAGATAATTTTCCAATGTCATCTTTATCAGTTTTTTAAATTAGGAAAGCAGAACTTTGAGAGGTTAAGGTTTTTAAAATCCATGTAACTTTCTTTAATGCTTTTGAAGTCTTTATTTTCACTATGGTTTAATAAATGACTGCTATTTCAAAGTGACCTATTATTCTGTTTTGATCAAGTGTTTTGAACCTTTTGATATCTTTGGCAGGCTTTCCAAGGACCAGAATTCTAAATGAAGTCTTTTTGAACTAAAATTAACTTTGAAATTTTCAATCTAAGCCCCTAGAGAGACTCAAAGAACACATCTCTCATCCTGCAGATTTTAAATGATTAGGCTTATTTGGTAAATGATATAAAAAGCATAGTCAAATGACAAGTGATACTAGATCTTCTTTTAGTTGTACTTATGGATAAATTATTGAGATGAATATTTCAAAAATTATATAAATTTATAAAAATCTAATATGTTAGTCATAATTTTGGTTGTTAGGTTAAATCTTCTTTTAAGTTATATTTTTATGGATGTTATTGGTCTAAGTATTCTAAAGATTAAGTGAAATCTATGAAAGTCTGGTGGACCTGTTATGAGCTCACAATCATGATTCTGGTTGTTATCTTAAAATGTTGTAAAGAAATGACAAGAAAACTAAATTTTCTTTTCAGCTGTGAACTTTCATCATATTTTAACCATAACTATTCTAAGTCTTTGTTATCCATAGTTATTATTTTTATTTTTCTCTATAATTATTTATAATTGGCTATAGTCCAAAATTGCTTTTCATAAAAAAGACTCTAACAAGTACTCTTAAACTCATAGTTCTAATAATTTTAAAATTAATAGACTAAATAAAAATTTCCGGAATTCTGATGAAGAAACTGATGGGCTCAGGAAATTGCTAATCAAGGTCAAGCAAACAAAATTTTAATTACATGAGATTTAATAATTGATGAAAATATTACTTTTATAACTTTTATTTAAAACATTATGAGAGGGAGAAAGCAAGGGAAGAGAACAGGAATCTCTGCCTAGTAATTTAGATAATTCTCACAGATCTTGTCCAAGACCATCAGTGTGACACATCTACAAGTTTGCAAGAACCACAGTATTACTGGGCTTGAGGTGCCCCCTAAAGCAAATACAGCTTAGATCACAACACCCAAGCCCTGTGGAATATCTGGAAAGCTTTCTCAAGAAGGATGGGAACAAACAAGCCAAGACAGTGAAGACTACAGTAAATGCCTAACTCTTCCATGCCCACAAACCAAAGAATGTCTATGAGCATCAACACCATCTAGTAAAACAGGACCTCACCAAGTGAACTAAATAAGACACCAGGGACCAATCCTGGAGAAACAGAGATATATGACCTTTGAGACAGAGAATTCAAAATAGCTGTGTTGAGAAAAATCAAAGAAATTGAAGATAACACTGAGAAGGAATTCAGATTTCTGTCAGATAAATTTAACAAAGAAATTGAAATACTTAAAAAGAATCAAGCAGAAATTCTGGAGCAAAAAAATTGCAGTTGTCATACTGAAGAACACAACATAATCTTTTAATAGCATAATTGATCAAGCAAAAGAAAGAATTAGTGTTGGCCAGGTGTGGTGGCTCATGCCTGTAATCCCAGCACTTTGGGAGGCCAAGGTGAGCAGATTACCTGAGGTCAGGAGTTCGAGACCAGCCTGACTAACATGGAGAAACCCTGTCTCTACTAAAAATACAAAATTAGCTGGACATGGCAGTGCATGCCTGTAATTCCAGCTACTCAGGAGGCTGAGGCTGGAGAATTGCTTGAACCTGGGAGGCAGAGGTTGCAGTGAGCCGAGATCATGCCATTACACTCCAGCTTGGGTAACAAGAGTGAAACTCCATCTAAAAAAACAAACAGACAGACAAAAACAGTGAAGTATGCCTACAGAATCTAGAAAATAGACTCAAAGGGATAATTCTAAGAGTTATTGGCCTTAAAGAGGAAGGAGAGAAAAATATAGGAATAGAAAGTTTATTTAAGGGCTAATAACAGAGAACTTCCTTATTGGAAGGGATAAGAACAGAGAACTTCTCTTCACAACCTAGAGGAAGATATCAATATTTGAGTTCAAGAAGGTTATACAACAAGTAGATTTAACTCAAAGAAGACTACTTCAGGCATTTAATAATCAAACTTCCAAAGTTCAAGAATAAAGAAAGGATCCTAAAAGCGGCAAGAGAAAAGAAGCAAATAACAAACAAGGGATCTCCAATACATCTGGCAGCAGACTTTTCAGTGGAAATCTTACAGGCCAGGAGAGAGTGGCATTACATATTTAAAGTGCTGAAGGAAACAACAACAACAACAAGAACAACAACAACAAACAACAACTTTTACTCTAGAATAGTAAATCTGTGAAAATATCCTTCAAACATGAAGGAGGAATAAACACTTTCCCAAACAAACAAAACTTGAGAGACTTTATCAACGGTAGACCTGTCTTATAAGAAATGCTAAAGACAGTACTTCAATCAGAAAGAAAAAAACATAATGAGAAATAAGTAATCATATGAAGGTACAAAACTCACTGGTAGTAGTAAATACACAGAAAAACACAGAATATTATAACACTGCAAGTGTATTTTGTAAACTACTCTTATCCTAATTAGAAAGACTAAACAATGAACCAATCAAAAATAATACCTATAACAACTTTTCAAGACATAGTCAAGACAAAAAAAATTAATAGAAACAAGAAAAGGTTAAAAAGTTGGGGGATGAAGTTAAGGCATAGAATTTTTTTTATTTTTGCTTCTTTGTTTATGCAAACAGTGGTAAGTTATTATCAGGTGAAAATAATGGGTTGTAAGAGAGTATTTGCAAGCCTCATGGTAACTTCAAACAAGAAAACACACAGCAATACCAAAAAAAAAAAAAAAAAAAAGAAAAGCAAGAGACTAAATCCTATCACCAGAGACAATTACCTTCACTAAAGGAAAGAAAGAAAAGGCCACAAATAATCAGAAAACAACAAAATGGCAGGAGTAAGTTCTTACTCGTTAATAATACCATTGAATGTAAATAGACTAAACTCTCCAATTGAAAGACATAGACTGGTTGAATAGATGAAAAAACAAGACCTATTGATCTGTTGTCTACAAGAAATGCACTTCACCTGTAAAGACACCAGAGGACTGAAAATAAAGAAATGGAGAATGATATTTCATGCCATTGGAAACCAGAAAGGAGCAGGAGTAGCTATCCTTATACCAGACAAAATAGATTTCAAGGCAAAAACTGTATGAAGAGAAAAAGAAGGTCACTATATGATGACAAAGTGGTCAATTCAGCAAGAGGATGTAACAATTTTAAATATATATGCACCCAACATGGGAGTTCTCAGATATATAAAGTAAATATTATTAGCACTAAAAGGAGAGATAAGTTCCAATACAATCATAGCTGGAGACTTCAACATCCCACTTTCAGCATTGGACAGATCATCCAGACAGAAAATCAACAAAGAAACATTAGACTTAATCTGCACTATAGACCAAATGGATCTAAAATATATTTACAGAACATTTCATCCAACACAAGAATTTAAAAATTTAAAAAAATTGAAATAATACTAAGCATCTTCTCTGACCATAATGGAATAAAACCAGAAATCAATAATGAAGAATTTTGGAAACTATATAAATACATGGAAATTAAGCCATGTGTTCCTTAATGACTAGTGGGTCAATGGAAAAATTAAGAAAATGTAAAATTTTCTTGAAACATATGATAATGGAAACACAACACAGCAAAACCTATGGGATACAGCAAAAGTACTATGAGGGAAGTTTATAACTATAAGTGCGTACATTAAAAAAAGAGGAAACTTCAGATAGACAAGCTAATGGTGCATCATAAAGAACTAGAAAAGCAAGGGCAAACCAACCTCAAAATAAGTAGAAAAAAGGTAATAAAAGGGGATGGAGCCAAATAAAGACAGATCTGCTCTGAAGCTCCCACTGAGAAGGATGGTGTATTAGTCTGTTTTTATGCTGCCGATAAAGACATACCCGAGACTGGGAAGAAAAAGAGGTTTAATTGGACGTACAGTTCACATGGCGGGGGAGACCTCAGAATCATGGCAGGAGGGAAAACCTACTTCTTACATGGCAGTGTCAAGAGAAAAATGAGGAAAAAGCAACAGCAGAAACCCCTGATAAACCCTTCAGATCTAATGAGACTTATTGACCATCACAAGAATAGCACAGGAAAGACTGGCCTCCATGATACAATTACCTCTCCCTGGGTTCCTCCCACAACACTTGGGAATTCTGGGAGATACAATTCAAGTTGAGATTTGGGTGGGGACACAGCCAAATCATATCATCCCACCTCTGGCCCTTCCAAATCTCATGTCCTCATATTTCAAAACCAATCATGCCTTCCCAACAGTCCCCCAAAGTCTTAACTCATTTCAGCATTAACCCAAAAGTCCACAGTCCAAAGTCTCACCTAAAACAAGGCAAGTCCCTTCTGCCGATAAGCCTGCAAAATCAAAAGCAAGCTAGTTCTTCCTAGATGCAATGGGGGTACAGGTATTGTCCTTAAAGAGGAAGGAGAGAAAAATATAGGAATAGAAAGTTTATTTAAGGGCTAATAACAGAACTTCCAGCAATTCCAAATACAGCAATTCCAAATGAGAGAAATTGGCCAAAACAAAGGGGTTACAGGGCCCACGCAAGTCCAAAATCCAGTGGGGCAGTCAAATTTTAAAGCTCTAAAATAATCTCTGTTGACTCTGGGTCTCATATCCAGGTCATGCTGATGCAAGAGGTGGGTTTCTTTGGTCTTGGGCAGCTCTGCTTCTTTGGCTTTGCAGGGTATAGCCTCCCTCCTGGCTGCTTTCATGAGCTGGCATTGACTGTCTGTGGATTTTTCAGGTATACAGTGCAAGCTGTCAGTGGATCTACCATTCTGGGGTCTGGAGGATGGTGGCTCTCTTCTCACCGCTTTACCAGGTGGTACCCCAGTAGGGACTCTGTGTGGGGGTTCCAACCCCACATTTCCCTTCCACACTGCCCCAGCAGAGGTTCTGCATGAGGGCCCCACCCCTGCAGCAAACTTTTACCTGGGCATCCAGGCATTTCCATAAATCTTCTGAAATCTAGGCAGAGATTCCCAAACCTCAATTCTTGACTTCTCTGCACCCACTGGCTCAACACCACATAGAAGACACCAAGGCTTGGGGCTTGCATCCTCTGAAGCCACAGCCTGAGCTCTACATTGGCCACTTTCAGCCATGGCTGGAGTGGCTGGGACACAGGGCACCAAGTCCCTAGACTGCACACAGCATGGAGACCCTGTGCCTGGCCCACAAAACTACTTTTTCCTCTTGGGCTTCCAGGCCTGTGATGGAGGGTCTGCCATAAAGGTCTCTGACATGGCCTGGAGACATTTTCCCCAAGGTCTTCAGGATTAGTATTAGGCTCCATGCTACATATGCAAATTTCTGCAGCTGGCTTGAATATCTTCTCCAAAAATTGGTTTTTCTTTTCTATCACATGGTCAGGTTGCAAATTTTTCAAACTTTTATGCTCTGCTTTCTTTATAAAACTGAATGCCTTTAACAGTACCCAGGTCACCTCTTGAATGCTCTGCTGCTTAGAATATTTTTTTTTTGTTATTATACTTTAAGTTCTAGGGTACATGTGCACGACGTGCAGGTTTGTTACATATGTATACATGTGCCATGTTGGTATGCTGCACCCATTAACTCTTCATTTACATTAGGTATTTCTCCTAATGCTATCCCTCCCCCCTCCCTCCACCCCATGACAGGCCCCAGTGTGTGATGTTCCCCACCCCATGTCCAGTGTTCTCATTGTTCAATTCCCACCTGTGAGTGAGAACATGCGGTGTTTGGTTTTTTGTCCTTGTGGTTTTGATTTGCATTTCTCTGATGGCCAGTGATGATGAGCATTTTTTCATGTGTCTGTTGGCTGCATAAATGTCTTCTTTTGAGAAGTGCCTGTTCATATCCTTTGCCCACTTTTTGATGGAGTTGTTTGATTTTTTTCTTGTAAATTTTTTTGTAGATTCTGGATATTAGCCCTTTGTCAGATGGGTAGATTGTAAAAATTTTCTCCCATTCTGTAGGTTGCCTGTTCACTCTGATGGTAGTTTCTTTTGCTGTGCAGAAGCTCTTTAGTTTAATTAGATTACATTTGTCAATTTTGGCTATGTTTCCATTGCTTTTGGTGTTTCAGTCATGAAGTACTTGCCCATGCCTGTGTCCTGAATGGTATTGCCTAGGTTTTCTTCTAGGGTTTTTATGGTTTTAGGTCTAACATGTAAGTCTTTAATCCATTTTGAATTAATTTTTATATAAGGTGTAAGGAAGGGATCCAGTTTCAGCTTTCTACATGTGGCTAGCCAGTTTTCCCAGCATCATTTATTAAATAGGGAATCCTTTTCCCATTTCTTGTTTTTGTCAGGTTTGTCAAAGATCAGATGATTGTAGATGTATGGTATTATTTCTGAGGGCTCTGTTCTATTCCATTGGTCTATATCTCTGTTTTGGTACCAGTACCATGCTGTTTTGGTCACTGTAGCCTTGTAGTATAGTTTGAAGTCAAGTAGCATGATGCCTCCAGCTTTGTTCTTTTGGCTTAGGATTGTCTTGGCAATGCAGGCTCTTTTTTGGTTCCATATGAACTTCAAAGTAGCTTTTTCCAATTCTGTGAAGAAAGTCATTGGTAGCTTGATGGGGATGGCATTGAATCTAAAAATTACCTTAGGCAGTATGGCCATTTTCACGATATTGATTCTTCCTATCCATGATCATGGAATGTTCTTTCATTTGATTGTGTTCTCTTTTATTTCATTGAGCTGTGGTTTGTAGTTCTCCTTGAAGAGGTTCTTCACAACCCTTGTAAGTTGAATTCCTAGGTATTTTATTCTCTTTGAAGCTGTTGTGAATGGGAGTTCACTCATGATTTGGCTCTCTGTTTGTCTGTTATTGGTGTATAGGAATGCTTGTGATTTTTGGACATTTATTTTGTATCCCAAGACTTTGCTGAAGGTGCTTATCAGCTTAAGTAGATTTTGGGCTGAGACAATGGGGTTTTTCTAAATATACAATCATGTCATCTGCAAAGAGGGATAATTTGACTTCCTGTTTTCCTAATTGAATACCCTTTATTTCTTTCTGCTGCCTGATTGCCCTGGCCAGAACTTCCAACACTATATTGAATAGGAGTGGTGAGAGAGGGCATCCTTGTCTTGTGCCAGTTTTCAAAGGGAATGCTTCCAGTTTTTGCCCATTCAGTATGATATTGGCTGTGGGTTTGTCATAAAAAGCTCTGATTATTTTGAGATATTTCCCATCAATACCTAGTTTATTGAGAGTTTTTAGCATGAAGAGCTGTTGAATTTTGTCAAAGGCTTTTTCTGCATCTGCATCTATTGAGATAATCATGTGGTTTTTGTCTTTGGTTCTGTTTATGTTTATTGATTCGTGTACGTTGAACCAGGCTTGCATCCCAGGGATGAAGCCAACTTGATCGTGGTGGATAAACTTTTTGATGTGCTGCTGGATTCAGTTTGCCAGTACTTTATTGAGGGTTTTTCCATCGATGTTCTTCAGGGATATTGGTCTAAAATTCTCTTTTTTTGTTGTTGTGTCTCTGCCAGGCTTTGGTATCAGGATGATGCTGGCCTCATAAAATGAGTTAGGGAGGATTCCTTCTTTTTCTATTGATCGGAATAGTTTCAGAAGGAATGGTACCAGCTCCTCTTTGTACCTCTGGTAGAATTCGGCTGTGAATCCATCTGTTCCTGCACTTTTTTTGGTTGTCAGGCTATTAATTATTGCCTGAATTTCAGAACCTCTTATTGGTCTATTCAGGATTCAACTTCTTCCTGGTTTGGTTTTGGAAGGGTGTATGTGTTGAGGAATTTATCCCTTTCTTCTAGATTTTCTAGTTTATTTGCATAGAGGTGTTTACAGTATTCTCTGATGGTAGTTTGTATTTCTGTGGGATCTGTGGTGATATCCCCTTTATCATTTTTTATTACATCTATATGATTCTTCTTTCTTTTCTTCTTTATTAGTCTTGCTGGCAGTCTATCAATTTTTGATGTTTTCAAAAAATCAGCTCCTGGATTCATTGATTTTTTGAAGGGTTTTTTGTGTCTCTATCTCCTTCAGTTCTGCTCTGATCTTAGTTATTTCTTGCCTTCTCCTAGCTTTTGAATGTGTTTTCTCTTGCTTCTCTAGTTCTTTCAATTGTGATGTTAGGGTGTCAATTTTAGATCTTTCCTGCTTTCTCTTGTGGGCATTTAGTGCTATAAATTTCCCTCTACGCACTGCCTTAAATGTGTCCCAGAGATTCTGGTATGTTATGTCTTTGTTCTCGTTGGTTTCAAAGAACATCTTTATTTCTGCCTTCATTTCATTATGTACCCAGTAGTCATTCAGGAGCAGGTTGTTCAGTTTCCATGTAGCTGAACAGTTTTGAGTGATTTTCTTAATTCTGAGTTCTAGTTTGATAGCTCTGTGGTCTGAGAGACAGTTTGTTATAATTTCTGTTCTTTTACGTTTGCTGAGGAGTGCTTTACTTATAACTATATGGCCAATTTTGGAATAAGTGCGATGTGGTGCTGAGAAGAATGTATATTCTGTTGATTTGGGGTGGAGAGTTCTGTAGATGTCTATTAGGCCTGCTTGGTGCAGAGCTGAGTTCAATTCCTGGATATCCTTGTTAACTTTCTGTCTCATTGATCGGTCTAATGTTGACAGTAGGGTGTTAAAGTCTCCCATTATTATTGTGTGGGAGTCTAAGTCTCTTTGTAGTTCTCTAAGGACTTCCTTTATGAGTCTGTGTGCTCTTGTATTGGGTACATATATATTTAGGATAGTTAGCTCTTCTTGTTGAACTGATCCCTTTACCATTATGTAATGGCCTTCTTTGTCTCTTTTGATCTCTGTTGGTTTAATGTCTGTTTTATCAGAGACTAGTATTGCAACCCCTGCTTTTTTTTTGTTTTCCCTTTGCTTGGTAGATCTTCCTCCATCCCTTTATTTTGAGCCTATGTGTGTCTCTGCACATGAGATGGGTCTCCCGAATACAGCACAGTGATGGGTCTTGACTCTTTATCCAATTTGCCAGTCTGTGTCTTTTAATTGGAACATTTAGACCATTTACATTTAAGGTTAATATCATTATGATGTTAGCTGGTTATTTTGCTCATTAGTTGATGCAGTTTCTTCCTAGCATCGATGGTCTTTACAATTTGTCATGTTTTTGCAGTGGCTGGTACTGGTTGTTCCTTTCCATGTTTAGTGTTTCCTTCAGTAGCTCTTGTAAGGCAGGCATGGTGGTGACAAAATCTCTCAGCATTTGTTTGTCTGTAAAGGATTTTATTTCACCTTCACTTATGAAGCTTAGTTTGGCTGGATATGAAATTCTGGGTTGAAAATTCTTTTCTTTAAGAATGTTGCATATTGGCCCCCACTCTTTTCTGGCTTGTAGAGTTTCTTTAGAGAGATCCACTGTTAGTCTGATGGGCTTCCCTTTGTGGGTAACCCAACCTTTCTCTCTGGCTGCCCTTACCATTTTTTCCTTCATTTCAACCTTGGTGAATCTGACAATTATGTGTCTTGGGTTGCTCTTCTCAGGGAGTATCTCTGTGGTGTTCTCTTTATTTCCTGAATTTGAATGTTGGCCGCCTTGCTAGGTTGGGGAAGTTCTCCTGGATAATATCCTGAAGAGTGTTTTCAAACTTGGTTCCATTCTCCTCATCACTTTCAGGTACACCAGTCAGACATAGATTTGTTCTTTTCACATAGTCCCATATTTCTTGGAGGCTTTGTTCATTTCTTTTTACTCTTTTTTCTCTAAACTTCTCTTCTCACTTCATTTCATTCATTTGATCTTCAATCACTGATACCCTTTCTTCCACTTGATCAATTGGCTACTAAACCTTGTGCATGCATCACGTAGTTCTCATGCTATGGTTTTCAGCTCCATCAGGTCATTTAAGGTCTTCTCTACACTGTTTATTCTAGGTAGTCGTTCGACTAATCTTTTTTCAAAGTTTTTAGCTTCTTTGTGATGGGTTCAAACATCCTCCTTTAGATATTTGTTATTATGGATCATCTGAAGCCTTCTTCTCTCAACTTGTCAAAGTCATTCTCTGTCCAGCTTTGCTCCATTACTGGCGAGGAGCTGCATTCCTCTGGAGGAGAAGAGGCACTCTGATTTTTAGAATTTTCAGGTTTTCTGCTCTGGTTTCTCCCATCTTTGTGGTTTGTCTACCTTTGATCTTTGATGATGGTGACGTACAGATGGGGTTTTGGTGTGGATGTCCTTTCTGTTTGTTAGTTTTCCTTCTAACCATCAGGACCTTCAGCTGCAGGTCTGTTGGAGTTTGCTGGAGGTCCACTCCAGACCCTGTTTGCCTGGGTATCGCCAGTGGAGGCTGCAGAACAGCAAATATTGCAGCACAGCAAATGTTGCTGCCTGATCGTTCCTCTGAGAGCTTCGTCTCAGAGGGGTGCCCAGATCTATGAGGTGTCAGTCGGCCCCTACTGGTAGGTGTCTCCCAGTTAGAGTACTCAGTGGTCAGGGACCCACTTGAAAAGGCAGTCTGTCCGTTCTCATATCTCAAACTCCATGCTGGGAGAACCACTACTCTCTTCAAAGCTCTCAGACAGGGACGTTTAAGTCTGCAGAAGTTTCTGCTGCCTTTTGCTCAGCTATGCCCTGCTCAAGAGGTGGAGTCTACAGAGGTAAGCAGGCCTCCTTGAGCTGCGGTGGGCTCCACCCAGTTTGAGCTTCCTGGCCACTTTGTTTACCTACTCAAGCCTCAGCAATGGTGGACGCCCCTCCCCCACCCTCGCTGCCACCTTGCAGTTCGAAATTTCTTTCACCAGGTACCCTAAATCATCTCTCAAGTTCAAAGTTCCACAAATCTCTAGGGCAGGGGCAAAATGCCTCCAGTTTCTTTGCTAAAACATAAAAAGAATTACCTTTACTCCAGATTCCAACAAGTTCCTCATCTCCATCCAAGACCTCAGCATGGACCTTATTGTCCATATTGCTATCAGCATTTTGGGAAAAGCCATTCAAAATGTCTCTAGGAGTTTCCAAACTTTCCCACATTTTTCTCTCTTCTTCTGAGCACTCCAAACAGTTTCAACCTCTGCTATTACCCAGTTCCAAACTCACTTCTACATTTTTGGGTATCTTCTAAGCAATGCCCCACTCCACTGGCAGAAATTTACTATATTAGTCTGTTTTCATGCTGCTGTTAAACATATACCTGAGACTGGGAAGAAAAAGAGGTTTAATTGGACTTACAATTCCACATGGCTAGAGAGGCCTCAGAATCATGGTGGGAGGCAAAAGGCACTTCTTACATGGCAGTGGCAAGAGAAAAATGGGAAAAAGAAAAAGCAGAACCCCCGATAAACCTATCAGATCTCGTGAAACTTATTCACTATCATGAGAATAGCACGGGAATGACTGGTCCTCATGATTCAATTACCTCCCCCTGGGTCCGTCCCATAACACGTGGGAATTCTGGAAGATACAATTCAAGTTGAGATTTGGGTGGGGACACAGCCAAACCATATAAGATGGAAACTGTGAGTGAACTCTGCATCTTGAATTGAGGTATTAAAGTTCTCTTATTGGGACTGGCTGGGTGGAGAGCAAGCAACAGCAGGGTGAAGCAAGGTCCCACCCAGAAGCTGCACATGCAAAAGTAGTTCCCTCCCCCAGCCAAAGGAGACAGTGAGGGACTGTGCTTTCCCTCACTGAAAATGAAGTTTTTCCTACAGATCCTTGCAACTCGCAGATGAGGAAGTCCTCTCCTGAGCACATGCTACCAAAGCCTTGGATCCTAAGCACAAAGCTATGCAGAATCATGGCAGTTGCTCAGGTGGGTGGCCACTTTGAACAGGCACTGAGACACAGGAGTGTTGGCATACTCCAGCTCTCAGAAATCCCATGAGGAAGATATCTGTCCACTTTCATAAGGAGGGGGCTGAAGCCAGGGAGCCAAGTGGCCTTGCTTCCATAGAACTCCACAAGCCAAAACCCACTAGCTTGGAATCCTCCCCCAGCCAGCACTACCAGCTAGAAACTGCCTTAGAAGACTGAGTTCCCCAGGGAGAGTGGCAGCTGCCACCATTGTGGCTCCAGTCAGCCACTTTCCCTTGCCACTGGCACCAGTGAGATGGGGAAGGACTCAGATCCACTCCTCCTCACTGGGTGGGTCCTCCCTGTGGGAACCTCAGCATCCCCAGCCAGTGATTTATGGACGGAACACTGGCAATTCTGAGGGGAGCCCCTAGGAAGAGGAGCAGCTGCAGTATTGTGGATCAATGATCTTAGTCTTTTCTGCTTGCTGGGTCTGGAGAGTCAGGGCAGCCCAGACAAGGGTGATTTCCCCAAGTTCAATACACCCATCCTGTCAAGGGTCAGACACACTGCTTATTTAAGTGGGTCTCTGACCCTGCTTTTCCTCTTTGAGTGAGATCTCAACAGGAGTCTCCAGAACACCTTGTACAGGAGCGTTCTGGCCTGCATCAGGCCAGTGCCCCTCTGGGACAGAGCTCCCACAAGAAGGAGCAGGCTGACATCTTCACTGGTCTGCAGCCTTCACTGGCAATATCTCCAGGGACAGGAAGGACCCAGGTGAATAGGGGCTAGAGTAGATCGTGAGAAAACTGCAGCAGCTCTACAGAAGAGAGGCCTGACTGCTAAAGGAAAAACAAACAAAATGCAACAACATCAACAAAAAGACACCACAAAAACCCCTTCCAAAAATCAGCAACTTCAAAGATCAAAGGTAGGTAAACCCACAATGATGAAAAAGAAACATTGCAAAAATGATGAGAACTCAAAAAGCCAGAGTGCCTCTTCTCCTCCAAAAGGTAGTAACATGTCTCCAGCAAGAGTACAGAACTGGGCTGAGGCTGAGATGGATGAATTGACAGAAGTAGGACTCAGAAGATGGGTAATAATGAACTTTGCTGAGCTAAAGGATTATGTTCTAATGTACTGCAAAGAAGCTAAGAACCGTGATAAACATTACAGGAGCTGTTAACCAGAATAACCAGTTTGGAGAGGAACATAAATCACCCAATGGAGCTGAAAAACACAACATGAGAACTTCATAATGCAAATACAAGTATCAATAGCTGAATAGACCAAGTGAAAGAAAGATATAAGAGCTTGAATACTGTCTTCCTGAAATAAGGCAGACAGACAAGATTAGAGAAAAAAGAAGGAAAAGGAATGAGCAAAACCTCTGAGAACTATGGAACTATGTTAAAAGACTGAACGTACAAATGATAGGGGTATGTGAAAGAGATGGGGAGAATGGAACCAAGTTGGAAAACACACTTCAGGATATCATCCAGAAGAAATTCCCTAACCTAGCAACACAGGCTATCAATCAGATTCAGGAAATCCAGAGAAACTCAGTAAAATACTCCATGAGATCAACCCCGAGACACATAATCATCAGATTCTCCAAGAATGAAATGAAGGAAAAAATGTTAAGGCCAGCCAGAGAGAAGGGCCAGGTCACCTATAAAGGGAAGCTCATCAGACTAACAGCAGACCTCTCAGCAGAAACCCTACAAGCCAGAAGAGATTGGGGGCCAATTTTAACATTCTTAAAGAAAGAATTTTCCACCTAGAATTTAATACCCTGCCAAACTAAGCTTCATAAATGAAAGAGATATAAAATATTTTTCAGACAAGCAAATGCTGAGGGAATTTTTCACCACCAGGCCTGCTTTGCAAGCACTCCTGAAGGAAGCATTAAATATGGAAAAGAAACACTGTTATCAGCCACTACAGAAAACACACTGAAATATACAGATCAGTGACACTATGAAGCAAACACATAAACAAATCTGCAAAATAACCAACTAGCATCATGATGTCAAAATCAAATTTACACATAACAATATTAGCCTTAAATGTAAAATGGCTAAATGCCCAAATTAAAAGACACAGAGTAGAAAGCTAAATAGAGTCAAAATCCATTGGTGTGCTGTATTCAAGAGACCCATTGCAAATGCAAGGACACATATAGACTCAAAATAAAAGGATGGAGGAAAATTTACCAAGCAAATGGAAAACAGAAAAAAGCAGGGGTTGCAATCCTACTTTCTGACAAAATAGACTTTAAACCCACAAAGATCGAAAAAGACAAAAAAGGGCATTACATATTGGTAAAGGGGTCAATTCAACAAGAAAAGCTAACTATCCTAAATGTATATGCACCCAATACAGGAGCACCCAGATTCATAAAGCAAGTTCTTAGTGACCTACAAAGAGACCTAGACTCCTACACAATAATGGTGGAAGACTTTAACACCACACTGTCAATATTAGACAGATTTTTGAGTCAGAAAATTAACAAAGATATTCAGGACTTGAATTCAGCTCTGGACCACGTTGACCTGATAGATATCTACAGATCTTCCCACACCAAAACAACAGAATACATTTTCTTCTTTGTGTCACTTACTCTAAAATTAATCACATAATTGGAAGTAAATCACTCCTCAGCAAATGCAAAATAACTGAAATCATAACAGTCTCTCAGACCACAGTGCAATCAAATTAAACTCAAAAGTAAGAAGCTCACTCAAAATTATACAACTACATGGAAATTGAACAACCTTCCTGAATGACTCCTGGGTAAATCATGAAATTAAGACAGAAATTAAGAAATTCTTTGAAACCAATGAAAACAAAGAGACAATGTACCAGAATCTCTGGGATGTAGCTAAAGCAGTGTTAAAAGAGAAATTTATAGCACTAAATGCTCACATCAAAAAACTAGAAAGATCTCAAATTGACACCCTAGCATCACAACTAAAAGTACTAGAGAACCAAGAGCAAGCAAAACTCAAGGCTAGCAGAAGACAAGAAATAACCAAGATCAGAGAGGAGCTGAAGGAGACTGACAAAAAAAACCAATGAATCCAGAAGATGATTTTTTGGAAAAAATTAATAAAATAGACTGCTAGCTAGACTAAGAAAGAAGAAAGGAGAGAAGAATCAAATAGACACAATAAAAAATGATAAAAGGGATATCACTGCTCACCCTACAGAAATACAACAACCATCAGAGAATATTTTAAACAGCTCTATGCAAATAAACTAGAAAATCTAGAACAAAAGGGTATATTCCTGTACATATACACCCTCCCAAGACTGAACCAGGAAGAATTTGAATCTCTGGATAGACAAATAACAAGTTCCAAAATTGAGGCAGTAACAAATAGCCTACCAACAACACAACAAAAAGCCCAGGACCAGAAGGATTTACAGCTGAATTCTGCCAGAAATACAAAGAGGAGCTGATACCATTTCTTCTGAAACTATTCCAAGCAATTGGAAATGAGGAATTCCTCCATAACTCATTCTATGAGGCCAGAATCATCCTGATAACAAAATCAGGCAGAGGTACAACAAAAAGGAAAACTTCAGGCCAATATTCCTGATGAACACTGATGCAAAAATTTTCAATAAAATACTGCGAATTGAATCCAGCAGCACATCAAAAAGCTTATCCACCACAATCAAGTAGGCTTCATTTCCAGAATGAAAGGCTGGTTCAACATACATAAATCAATAAACGTGATTTGTCACATAAACAGACCTAAAGACAAAAAACACATGATTATCTCAATAGTCACAGAATAAGCCTTTGATAAAATTCAACATACTTTCATGTTAAAAACTCTCAACAAACTAGGTATCGAAGGAACATACCTCAAAATAATAAGAGCCGTTTATGGCAGATCCACAGCCAATATCATACTGAATGGGCAAAAGCTGGAAGGGTTCCCCTTGAAAACCAGCACAGACAAGGATGCCCTCTCTCACCACACCTATTCAACATAGTTTTGGAAGTTCTGGCCAGGGCAATCAGGCAAGAGAAAGAAATAAAGAGTATTCAGATAGGAAGGGAGGAAGTCAAAATTTCTTTGTTTGCAGATGACATGATTGCATATCTAGAAAACCCCACTGTCTCAGCCCAAAAGCTTCCTAAGCTGATAAACAACTTCAGCAAAATCTCAGGATACAAAATCATTGTGCAGAAGTCACAAGCATTCCTATACACCAACAACAGGCAAGCAGAAAGCCAAATTATGAGTGAACTCCCATTCACAGTTGCTACAAAGATAACGAAATACCTAGGAATACAGGTAACAAGGGAAATGAAGGATCTTTCCAAGGAGAACTACAAATCTCTGCTCAAGGAAACCAGAGAGGACACAAACAAATGGAAAAATATTCCATGCTCATGGATAGGAAGAATCAGTATTGTGAAAATGGCCATACTGCCCAAAGTAATTTATCAATTCAATGCTATTCCCACTAAAGTACCATTGATATTCTTCACAGAATTAGAAAAAACTACTTTAAATTTCCTATGGAACTGAAAAAGAGCCTGTGTAGCCAAGACAATTCTAAGCAAAAAGAACAAAGCTGGAGGCATCACCATACAGGACTTCAAACTGTACTATAAGGCTACAATAACCAAAACAGCATGGTACTGGTACAAAAACAGACACATAGACCAATGGAACAGAATAGAGAACTCAGAAATAAGATCGCCCATCTACAACCACTTAATCTTTGACAAACCTGACCAAAACAAGCAATGGGGAAAGGATTCCCTATTTAACAAATGGTGCTGGGAAAACTGGCTATCCATCTGCAGAAAATTGAAACTGGACCCCTTCTTCACACCTTATACAAAAATTAACTTAAGATGGATTAAAGACTTAAATGTAAAACCCAAAACTGTAAAAACCCTAGAAGAAAATCTAGGCAATACAATTCAGGACATAAGCATGAGCAAAGATTTCATGATGAAATCACCAAAAGCAATTGCAACAAAAGCAAAAATTGACAAATGGGATCTAACTAAACTAAAGAACTTCTGTAGAGCAAAACAGATTATCATCAGAGTGAACAGGCAACCTACAGAGTGGGAGAAATCTGCAATTTAGCCATCTGATAAAGGTCTAATATCCAGAATCTACAAGGAACTCAAACAAATTTACAAGAAAAAAAAACCATTAAAAAGTGGGGAAAGGACATGAACAGACGCTTCTCAAAAGAAGACATTCATGCAGCCAACAAACATATGAAAAAAAGCTCAACATCACTATCATTAGACAAATGCAAATCAAAACCACAATGAGATACTGTCTCATGCCAGTCAGAATGGCCATTATTAGAAAGTCAAGAAACAACAGATGCTGGTGAGGTTGTGGAGTAATAGGAACACTTTTACACTGTTGGTGGGAATGCAAATTAGTTCAACCATTGTGGAAGATGGTGTGGTGATTCCTCAAAGATCTAGAACCAGAAATACCATTTGACCCAGCAATCCCATTACTGATTATATACCCAAAGGAATATAAATTATTCTTTTACAAAGATACATGCACATGTATGTTCATTGCAACACTATTCACAATAATAACATGGAATCAACCCAAATGCCCATTAACGATAGATTAGATAAATAAAGTGTGGTACATATACACCATGGAATACTATACAGCCCTAAAAAGGAAAGGGATCATGTCCTTTGCAGGGACATAGATGAAGCTGGAAGGCATTATCCTCAGCAAACTAATGCAAGAACAGAAAACCAAACATCGCATGTTCTCATTTATAAGTGGGAGCTGAACAGTGAGATCACATGGACACAGGGATGGGAGCAACATACACTGGGGCCTGTCAGGCAGTGGGGTGGGGGCAGGGAGATTATTAGGAAAAACAGCTAATGCATGCTGGGCTTAATACCTAGGTGATGGGTTGACAGGTGTGCAAATCACTATGGCATATGTCTACTTATGTAACAAACCTGCACATCCTGCACATATACCCCAGAACAAAAAAATAAAAATTTGAGGTAAAAAAGGAAAGTGATAATGAAGATTAGAGCAGGAATAAATGAAATTGAAATAAAGAAAACAATATAAAAGATTAATGAAACAAAAAGTTGCTGTTTTGTTCTCACTCAGAGGTGGGAATTGAACACTGAGAACACTTGGACATAGGAAGGGGAACATCACACACCGGGGCCTGTTGTGGGATGGGGGGAGGGGGGAGGGATAGCATTAGGAGATATACCTAATGTAAATGACGAGTTAATGGGTGCAGCACACCAACATGGCGCATGTATACATATGTAACAAACCTGCACGTTGTGCACATGTACCCTAGAACTCAAAGTAAAATAAAAACAAAAACCAGAAAGAAAATTTAAACACAATTCATAAACCTTTAAACAGACTAAGGAAAAAAGAAAGAAGATCAAAATAAAATAAGAAATGAAAAAGCAAACATTACAACCAATACTGCAGGAATTCAAAGTATCATTAGTGGCTACTATAAGCAACCAAATGCAAAGGGATGGAAAATCTAGAAGAAAGGGACAAATTCCTACACACATACAATCTAGCAATATTATACCAGGAAGGAATCCAAAATCTGAAAAGTCCAATAACAAGTAATGGGATTGAAGCCATAATAAAAAGTCTTCCCCTAAAGAGAAGCCCAGAATCTGATGGCTTCACTGCTGAATTGTACCAAACATTTGAAGAACTAATACCAATTCTACTCAAACTATTCTGAAAAATAGAGGAGGAGAGAATACTTCCAAACTAATTATATGAGGCCAGTATTACCGTGATACAAAAACCAGACAAAGGCACATCAAAAAAGGAAAGCTACAGGCCAATATCACTAATGAATATTGATGGAACAGTTCTCAGCAAAATACTAGCAAATGGAATTTAATAATATGTTAGAAAGATCATTCATCATGACCACGTGGGTTTTATCTCTTGAATGAAAGGATGGTTAGGCATATGCAAATCAATGTGATACACCATATCAACAGAATAAAGGATAAAAACCATATGACCATTTCAATTGATGCTGAAAAAGCATTCGATAAAATTCAACATCCCTTATGACAAAAACTCTCAAAAAACTGGTTACAGAAGAACCATATCTCAACATAATGAAAGCCATATTTGACAGACCCACAGCTAGTATCATACTGAATGGTGAAAAACTGAAAGCCTTTCATCTGTAATCTGGAAGACGACAAGGATGCCCACTGTCACCACTATTATTTGACATAGTACGGGAAGTCCTAGCTAGAGCAATCAAACAAGAGAAAGATACAAAGGGTATCCAAATTGGAAAGAGGAAGTCAAATCATTCTTGTTTGCTGGTGATATAGTCTTATATTTGGAAATACCTATAGACTCCACCAAAAATATTAGAACTGATAAACAAATTCAGTAAAGTTGCAGGATATGAAATCAACATGTAAAAATCAGTAACATTTCTATATGCCAACCGTAAACAATCCAAAAAAGAAATAAAAAAGTAATCTCATTTACAGTAGCCACAAATAAAATTAAATACCTAGGAACTAACTTAACCAAAGGAGTGAAAGATCTTTATAATGAAAACTATAAAACAGTGATGAAAGAAATTGAAAAGAACACCAAAAAATGGGAAGATATTTCAGGTTCATGGATGGGAAGAATCAATATTGCTAAAATTCCACACTACCCAAAGCAATCTATATATTCAATGCAATCCACATCAAGATAACAATGGCATTCTTTACAGAAATAGAAACATATTCTAAAATTTATATGGAACTACAAAAGAGCCAGAATAGACAAAGCTATCCTAAGCAAAAAGAATAAAACTGGAGGAATCACATTACCTGACTTCAAATTATATTACAGAGCTGTAGTAACCAAAACAGCATCACACTGGCATGAAAACAAACACAAAGACCAATGGAACAGAAAAGAGAACCCAGAAACAAATCCAAACACCTATAGTGAACTCATTTTTGACAAAGGTACCAAGAACATACACTAGGGAAAACTGTCCCTTCAATAAATGGTGCTAAGAAAGCTGGATATTCGTATCCAGAAGAATGAAACTAGCCCCCCATCTCTCACCATATACAAAAATTAAATCAAAAAGTACTAAAGACTTAAATCTAAGACCTCAAACTATAAAACTGCCATAAGAAAACATTAGGGAAAATCTTCAGGACATTGGTCTGGGCAAAACTTTATTGAGCAATACCCCACAAGCACAGTCAACCAAAGGATAAATAGACAAATGGGATCACATCAAGTTAAAAAGCTTCTGCACAGTAAAGAAAACAGTCAACAAAGTGAAGAGAAAATCCACAAAATGGGAGAATATATTTACTACTTATCTGACAGGGGATTAATTACCAGAATATATAAGGAGTTTAAACAGCTGTATAGGAAAAAATCTAATAATCTGATCAAAAAATGGGCAAAAGATTTGTAGACATTTTTCAGGAAACATACACAAGGCAAACAGGCACATGAAAAGGTGTTCAACATCATTGATCATAAGAGAAAGCAAATCAAAACTACAATGAGATATCATCTCACACCAGTTAAAAAGGCTTACATAAAAAAAAAACAGGCAATAAATGCTGATGAGAAAGTGGAGAAAAGGGAACACTCCTACATTGTTGGTGGGAATGTACATTAGTACAACCACTATGGAGAACAGTTTGGAGGTTTCTCACAAAATGAAAAATTGCGCTACCATATGATCCAGCAATCCCACTGCTTTTGGGCACACATCCAAAAGAAAGAAAATCAGCATATCGAATAGGTATTTGCACTCCCATGTTTGTTGCAGTACTGTCCACAATAGCTAAGATTTGAAAGCAACTTAAGTGGCCCTCAGCAGATTAATGGATAGAGAAAATTTGGTACTTATACATAATGGAGTACTATTCTGCCATGATTCTGTACTTTGCAACAACATGGATGGAACTGAAGATCATTATGCTAAGTGAAATAACCCAGGCACAGAAAAGCAAACATGTTCTCACTTATTTGTGGGAACTAAGAGTCAAAACAATTGAAATCATGGATATAGAGAGTAGAAGGATGGTTACCAGAGGCTGAGAAGAGTAGTGGGGAGCTGGGGGTAAGGTGGGGATGGTTAATAGGTACGAAAAAAGTTAGAAAGAATGAATAAGACATACTATTTGATAGCACAAGAGGGTGCTGATAGTCAATAATAACTTAATTGTACATTTTAAAATAACTAAAAGTGTGTAATTGGATTGCTTGTAATACAAAATATAAATGTTTGAGGGGATGAATACTCCATTCTCCATGATGTGATTATTACACATTGCATGCCTGTATCAAAACATGCCACGTGCCTCACAAACATATATGCCTACTATGCACCCACAAAAATTTAAAAAAAATTTAAAAAGATCTTATATAAAATTAAAAAATAAAGCATTGATTATTTGCTTAAATATTTTGTTTTCCATATTTAAGGAAATTTTCTCTTTTAAGCTATGTATAGTTTACAATATAAACAAAGCAATTTGGTAAAGTATACTTTTATGAACAAAGATAAAAGCATTTGCTTTTTCTCCCTACCTGATCTCTCTAAAATTTGGAAACTATTTATAAGTGTTTTTATTTTTATAACAATTAGGTTAGTTGAATAAGTCCAATAATAATCTGCCTTCTCTTTATAGCAGGATACAGTTGGAAACATTGATTATATTACCAGGGATTTGACTAAAATATCATATTTGAAAATGTGCATAGAATGCCTGACTTCAATGATTCTCAGCCTTACAGTGAGTGAGTAAAAATGGTCACTTCCTGGAAGGGCCAGGAACCTTAAAATTGTAGGCAAAATGTAAACTCAGCCTTGGTTTACCTTCCTAGCCTAAAGAGTTATTTAAATCTGAGATTCCTATATGGTATTAGGGAAAGTTATGTTTCTAAAGAAAAGCTATAATATACTTATTATTGGATTGTATCTCTGTGCATTGTTTTTGAGTTTTTGTTGTTTAACTATGGACTAGACTAGATCCTGAATTCTTTTAGATTCCTCCAATCCAGCCTTCTTTTTCTTTTTTTCTTTTCTTTTCCTTCCTTTCTTTCTTTCTCTTTCTTTCTTTCTTTCTTTCTTTCTTTCTTTCTTTCTTTCTTTCTTTCTTTCTTTCTTTCCTGCTTTCTTTCTTTCTTTCTTTCTTTCTTCTTTCTTTCTTTCTTTTTTTTTTTTGAGACAGAGTTTTGCTCTTGTTGCCTTGGCTGGAGTGCAATGGCACCATATCAGCTCACTGCAATCTCTGCCTCCCAGGTTCAAGCCATTCTCCTGCCTCAGCCTCCAAAGTAGCTGGGATTACAGGCGTGTGCCACCACCCAGCTAATTTTGTGTTTTTAGTAGAGACAGGGTTTCACCATGTTGGTCAGACTGGTCTTGAACTCCTGACCTCAAGTGATCCACCTGCCTCTGCCTCCCAAGGTGCTGGGATCACAGATATGAGCTGCCACATCCGGCCCAATCCAGCTTTCTTCCATGGAATTGCTAAAAACAAGAACTGCTCTCTTCCTGAACTCCTATAAGCTGAAACTAGATGAATTTTAAGGAATAAGTTTCATGCTTGTTGCTTTGGTCACAAGAAAGTTACCAAACCACCCAATTCCATAATTCCACCTATAAACCAGGATGAGAAGTTGATGTTTCCATGCTGTAGATAGCTTTTCTGAAGGTTTCACAATAAGACTATATGTCATAATGAGACTCTTACCGCTCTTAATGCCCACTTTTTTACTTGCGAAGATAATGGTTACTTGATTTATACAATTCGTTGTTCTTAGCCTGGGTTCATGGCTCAAAACCATCATGCAAACTTGGATTGTCATATTAGTATGAATTTTACTTTGTATTTTCCCTTTTAAAACTTCTTATCTGTTACTTGTTAATTTTTTTTCAGAAGTACAATTCCTGGCAAAATAATACTGGCCTAACACTTCGAGATGATAACAAAAAACTATGGAATAGACAAAATTAAACTATGTAATGAACACCATCCAGGTAGAAAGCCTGAGAGTCGCTTTCTTCAAAACTCCCTTCTTGCTCTAATGTTACTAAAAGGGTTTTGAAACTGACTGTTAGCCTCCATTTACTCCCTCTAGTGTGAGATTAGACCAGCAACCTAGAACAGGTTCATCCCAGCACTGAGGGACCTCAAAACCTAACTATGAGATGATTGATCAATTATGCTTTTGGAGAAAGATCTTTTTATTTTATT
Organism: Homo sapiens; assembly: GCF_000001405.40. Taxonomy (NCBI): domain Eukaryota; kingdom Metazoa; phylum Chordata; class Mammalia; order Primates; family Hominidae; genus Homo; species Homo sapiens. The sequence continues at coordinate 7,516,645 of NC_000012.12, read as the reverse complement.
TTATTTTATTTTATTTTATTATTATTATACTTTATGTTTTAGGGTACATGTGCACAATGTGCAGGTTAGTTACGTATGTATACATGTGCCATGCTGGTGTGCTGCACCCATTAACTTGTCATTTAGCATTAGGTATATCTCCTAAAGCTATCCCTCCCTACTCCCCACAACCCACAACAGTCCCCAGAGTGTGATGTTCCCCTTCCTGTGTCCATGTGTTCTCATTGTTCAATTCCCACCTATGAGTGAGAATATGTGGTGTTTGGTTTTTTGTTCTTGTGATAGTTTACTGAGAATGATGATTTCCAGTTTCATCCATGTCCCTACAAAGGACATGAACTCATCATTTTTTATGGCTGCATAGTATTCCATGGTGTATATGTGCCACATTTTCTTAATCCAGACACCCTCCCAAGACTAAACCAGGAAGAAGTTGACTCTCTGAATAGACCAATAACAAGCTCTGAAATTGTGGCAATAATCAATAGCTTACCAACCAAAAAGAGTCCAGGACCAGATGGATTCACAGCCGAATTCTTCCAGAGGTACAAGGAGGAACTGGTACCATTCCTTCTGAAACTATTCCAATCAATAGAAAAAGAGGGAATCCTCCCTAACTCATTTTATGAGGCCAGCATCATCCTGATACCAAAGCCTGGCAGAGACACAACCAAAAAAGAGAATTTTAGACCAATATCCTTGATGAATATTGATGCAAAAATCCTCAATAAAATACTGGCAAACCGAATCCAGCAGCACATCAAAAAGCTTATCCACCATAATCAAGTGGACTTCATCCCTCGGAGAAAGATCTTGATCAAAAGGGGAAAATGAGAAAGTTCTCAGAATCCAAATGGAGTCACTAGTGTTTTGTTTGTTTGTTTCTTCAAAAAAAAAAAAAAAGCGAAAACCAAACCAAAACAGAACAAACCCTGACAAATAGAGCTGGGAAGGCTGTGAAGAGAGGGTTCTCATGCATAAATGCCTGATAACAAAAATTATCACAAAAAACTGCAAAAAACACAAGGCCATCACATCCATACACACACAAAAATACTTCTGCAAGGACATCTGTCCAGCCATTTCCTGTCTAACCTTGAATTGGTATCACCCCTGTTATTGATCTTTGTAGCCAAGAATAATTATATCAAAATAATCAGGTAATCCTCCTCATTTTTTCTTTAAAAACCTTCGTCTTTCTTCCCTGAACATGCACAAGTTTACGATGGCACGTGTATTCTCATTGCAGTGCCCTATTCCTGAATAAATATCATTTTCTTCTAGAAAGCCTCTGTTTGTTATTTAGGTTGACACATATATGCATTTATTTTTTGTTTCGTCTACTTTTGGATTTCAAGTGGACATAATTGAATCAATGATAAGCCTTGGGAAATGGAATATTATTATTGGTACATCTATATACTTTATTTGGCTAGTTAGGCAGTCATTTATTCCAGTAATAATTAAACACTGGTGAGTCCACCTCTACATCCCATCATTTCTACCAAATCTCATTGTCACTAAACACTATATGACCCTTCTATAAGGCATTATTACATATACTTTTGCCCTTTTGTGAGCTCTCTTTTATACCGTAGTCAGAGTCATCGTTGAAAACAGAAATTCGATTATATCACTACTCTGCTTGCCACCCTTCAGGGTCTTCCTTATTACTCTATGTTCTATTTCCATAAATATTTTTGGGAAAGCAAGACTCCCAGTCATAAATCACCCATTCATCTGTAGAGATAGTCAAGGCAGCAAGTAAAGCATAAGTAGATCAAATAAAACAAACTCCTGGAATGGAACTTGACACAAACTTTGTCACAAAGCATAAACAAAACAAAAATCCAATTACTAGAACCAGGCAAAAAAAATCAGAATATGATGAAATCAAAACTATTAGTCAATAAGCAGCCCACAATGAACGAATTATATGCAATACGCATATGCCATATTATGCCAATGTGCGCATTTTGTATGTTCCTTGTAAATGACTGAGTTTCCAAATGCATAGCTTAAAGTTGTATTCAACATACTAGAATAGTAAGGGGGAATAATCTGAGATAAGAACAAAATTGAGTTAATTAAAGAGTAAGAGGAGTCAGGGCTGGGCGCGGTGGCTCACGCCTGTAATCCCCGAACTTTGGGAGGCTGAGGCAAGCAGATCACTTGAGGTCAGGAGTTTGAGACCCGCCTGGCCAACATGGTGAAACCTCCTCTCTACTAAAAATACAAAAGTTAGCTGGGCGTGGTGGCACACGCCTGTAATCCCAGCTACTCAGAGGCTGAGGCAAGAGAATCACTTGAACCGGGAGGCAGAGGTTGCAGTGAGCCAAGATCATGCCACTGCACTCCACCCTGGGCGACAGAGAGAGACTGTGTCTCAAATAATAATAATAAAAATAAAATAAAGAAATGCAGCCCTAAAAAATGTTTTTTGTATCCTGCAAATTTACCGAGTTCATTTATTAGTTCTAACAGCTTTTTTTTTTCTTTTTCTTTTTCTTTTTTTTTCTTTTTTGGTAAACTCTCTAGAGTTTACTGTATATAAGAAAAAAAGAAAATAATAATAATGTTATTCAGTGATTGGTTGAACCTAAGGAAAAAAAGTTGAACTTGAGTTTGCTCAGCATTCTAAAGAGGCTATATATTGGACAAATTAAGAAGAGAGCACACATTCTGTCTTGTTGGGTGGTAGAAAACTGAGTAAGAAAAAGGCATGGGCTTGTCCCAGAATTTACATAATACCATACACCTGCAATTTATATGTAGAGATTTTCAATGCAGCAATACAGAAACTTATTTCACTATTAAAAACCTATCTGACTTTGACAAAATTAGTGACTTTATTCTGAAAAAGGACACGATGAGATTACTAACAAGCCTCAAATCTATTCCAAAATTCAGAACAAGTTTCAAAATCTGATACCATTCCCTTTATTTATTCCTCTTCTTTTTCCCATTCCCCATGAATATGCCCACATAAAAATGTCACAAATTTCTGAGTAAATCATCTGCTAACCTACAGGTCCACTCAACATTTTTGTGTCTTCAGCTTCCCCCAAGCCTGGCCCTTTTTGGAGGGTTTGACTTCACAATTGTTGTAAATCTTAAAGATTGAGCTGCTGGTGGACTTCTCTCTTTCTTTTGTCCTCCACCAATAATAGCTCACAAAGATTTTTAAAAACATCTTTATTGGAGCATAGTTAATATACAATAAGCTGCACATATTTAAGTGTTCCATTAGTTTAGTTTTGACGTATGTGTATACCTGTGAAATTATCAACACAATAAAGACAATGAACATATCAATTACTCCAAAAAACTTCATCATGATTACCCCTCATTGTGATTCTTTCCTTGCACTCCTTCCCATCCATCTCTAAGCAACCACTGCATCTAGTCACAGTCGATTAATTTTCACTTTCCAGAATTCTATATAAATAGAATCACACGGTATAAGATTTGTAAGAATATACTGTCCAACACTGCTATTGAAATTAACCTATTTTCTGTTTTTACAGCACCAATAACAATTAGCTTTTAAACTTTATCTTTTGCCATTATCTAGACTTGCACACTTAATCACAACATTTTACAAGAGTAAAATTTCACAGTCTCTTTCACTGTGTCATAAAATACCGTAAGAAGGAATCAATTTGGCTTCCCCAATACCAAATCTGTATTAGTCAGGGTCCTTCAGAGAGGCGGATCCAGTAAGACATATATATATATAGACATTGAGAGAGAATTTATTAGGGGAATTGGCTTGCATAATTTTGGTGGCTGAAAAGTCCCATGATAGGCTTTCTGTAAGCTGAAGACCATGGGATGACTGTAGCATGACTCAGCCCAAGTCCAAAGGCCTGAGCACCAGGGGAGCCCATGGTGTAACTCTCAGTCTGAGACCAAAAGTCTTAGCATTCTGGAGCCACTCCAGATGTAAGTGCTGAAGTCGAAAGGCCAGTGAGCCTGCAGTTCTGCTGTCCAAAGTAGCACAAGAAAAGTCTGGCCCAGCTCTCAAAGAGAGACCAATTTTCCTTCTGTATTTGTTCTCTCTGGATCCCTGATGCAGGCCAGCGCTGAGGGAAGATCTTCCCCACCTAGTCCACTCAGACTCACACACTAATCTTATCCATTATTTTGGATGTGTCTGGAAGCACTCTTACAGACATGAAAAATAATGCTTTATCAAGTGTCTAGAATCCTTAATCCAATCAAGTTGACACCTAAAATTATGTCTATAAATCCACCCCTTGTCAACTTGGCACCCATACTTAATTGCATCTCCTTAACCTATATTTAATTTCCAAATAAAGACAATACCAAGGGAATAGTTCCGCCTAACGTGTTGTAAACAACAGAATGCAACTATCCTGTATGCAACCAAAAATGTACTGATCTGTTCCACAGAATTCAACTTTCAGAATTTCAACATTCTGAATTGTAATTTTTGCAATTTTTGATGTTAGGAATTTTTAGATTTCAGAGATGTTGATCTTTAGGGATTTTGAACTTTGGGATTTTAACATTTAGGATTATGGCATTTGTAATTGCATGTTTTGAGATTATAATCAGCACTCTCCCCAACTCCCCAAAAAAGAAACTACACAACATAGACTCCGAGTTTTATAAACAGCAATTTATTTCTTTGTTTTGGAGGCTGGAAGTTCAAGATCAAGATGCTGTCAGATTCAGTGTCTGGTGAGAGTCCACTTCCAGGGTTATAGATTACCATTTTTTAGCTGTACTTCACACGGCAAAAGGGATCAGTCTTCTCTCAGGGATCTCTTTCATGAGGGCAATAACCCCATTCATGAAGGCAGAGCCCTCATGACCTAATTATCTCCCAAAGGCCCTACCTACTAATACCTTTGAGGTTAGGATTTCAACATATGAATTTTGAGGAGACACAAACATTTAGACCATAGCACTAAGTAATATTTTGTTTAATTCCAGACATTGTAAACTAAACTTCGCTGAGTTTTAAATTATTTTTATTGCTTTAGATATTCTAACGTTTAGTCTAGAATGTTGTTATATTCTTGGAAACAATTTGATTCTTTGGGTCTTGTCTTTAAAATTTGTTAGGTGGGATCTAATCAGCAAGTAGCTAGGGCTACTTATTTCCCACCACTGTGGTAAGACTCATCTGTGAACTCTACCCAATACCCCATGACTTGTGAGTTTTCCATGTGAACAGTCACTTTTCCTGGCCCTGTGTGTAACTCTAATCCTTTCATTATTCTTTCCCCAGGCTCAGGTGATTTGCTCACATGCATGCACTTAACAATACTCAGCTGAATACTCAAAGGGGACTCTACAGATATTCAGCTCTCTCTCCTTGCCTCCTCCCTACTCTCTCTCTCTCTCTCTTTCTTCTTGCAAGTTTCTCCTCTGTGAGACTATTTGCTGTGAATTCTAGCCACCTTAGTCTCCCAGATTCTCAGCTGCTTCTTCCCAACTCTGAGACTCCTCTGATCATTCTCTGGGTTTCCTATTCCATGGTAGCCTGGAAACTATCTCAAGGCAGTAAACTCAGCTTAGCTTCTCATCTCTCATGGATCACTATCTTTGAGATCCAGGCAACAACTCTTCTTGTTGCCTCATTTTCAGTGTCTTGAAAATCATTGTTACACATGTTTGGCTTTGTTTTTAGTTGTTTCTGGTGGGACAGTAAACACACTTCCTGTTTCTTCATTTTGAATAAAAGCAAAAATGTCTTGTTCACCTAGCTTTTTAATTTTGCACCAATCTATTTCTTCCATTTTTCTACTATATCTTTTCAATCGGGCTCTTATTCTATTAGATTTTTGCTATAATATTCACTTGCACTGCATTTAATCTTGCTCTTATTTCCATTTTTACCCTGGCCACCAATCATCCTCAAAGTTGCTACCAAGATGAGATATGTAAAAGACAAAGCAATTTAATACTCATGTTTCAAACTATTTAATGTCATTACTTGCCTACAGTGTAAAATTATAATTCTTTAACATGGTATATAAAACTCCTCTTCATGTAGTCCTTGTTTACCTCAGCAATAATAACAACATTGTCAACAACAACAACAAAATAGGTAATATTGAGCCTAGCATCTGGCAGGGACTGGTAGATATCTTTTTGAAAAAAACACAGTTCCTATCCTGGTATCTTAAGACTAGCAAGTAAGATAAACAATAAATATAAAAATATAATTGGGAGGGGTGGAGCCAAGATGGCCAAATAGGAACAGCTCCGGTCTACAGCTCCCAGTGTGAACAACGCAGAAGACGTGTGATTTCTGCATTTCCATCTGAGGTACTGGGTTCATCTCACTAGGGAGTGCCAGACAGTGGGTGCAGGATAGTGGGTGCAGCGCACTGTGCACAAACCGAAGCAGGGCGAGGCATTGCCTCACTAGAGAAGCGCAAGAGGTCAGGGAGTTCCCTTTCCCAGTCAAAGAAAGGGGTGACAGAGGGCACCTGGAAAATCAGGTCACTCCCACCCTAATACTGCGCTTTTCCAATGGGCTTAAAAAACAGCACACCAGGAGATTATATCCCGCACATGGCTCGGAGGGTCCTACACCCATGGAGTCTCACTGATTGCTAGCACAGCAGTCTGAGATCAAACTGCAAGGCAGCAGCGAAGCTGGGGGAGGGGCGCCTGCCATTGCCCAGGCTCGATTAGGTAAACAAAGCAGCTGGGAACCTCGAACTGGGTGGAGCCCACCACAGCTCAAGGAGGCCTGCCTGCCTCTGTAGGCTCCACCTCTGGGGGCAGGGTACAGACAAACAAAAAGACAGCAGTAACCTCTGCAGACTTAAATGTCCCTGTCTGACAACTTTGAAGAGAGTAGTGGTTCTCCCAGCACGCAGCTGGAGATCTGAGAATGTGCAGACTGCCTCCTAAAGTGGGTCCATGACCCCCGAGCAGCCTAACTGGGAGGCATCCCCCAGTAGGAGCAGACTGACACCTCACATGGCCGGGTGCTCCTCTGAGACAAAACTTCCAGAGGAACAATCAGGCAGCAGCATTTGCAGTTCACCAAGATCCGCTCTTCTACAGCCACTGCTGTTCTGCAGCCACTGCTGCTGATACACAGGCAAACAGGGTCTGGAGTGGACCTCCAGCAAACTCCAACAGACCTGCAGCTGAGGGTCCTGACTGTTAGAAGGAAAACTAACAAACAGAAAGGACATCTGCACCAAAAACCCTTCTGTACATCATCATCATCAAAGACCAAAAGTAGATAAAACCACAAAGATGGGGAAGAAACAGAGCAGAAAAACTGGAAACTCTAAAAAGCAGAGTGCCTCTCCTACTCCGAAGGAATGCAGCTCCTCACCAGCAATGGAACAAAGCTGGATGGAGAATGACTTTGACGAGCTGAGAGAAGAAGTCTTCAGATGATCAAACTACTCCGAGCTACAGGAGGAAATTCAAATCAATGGCAAAGAAGTTAAAAACTGTGAAAAAAAAATAGATGAATGGATAACTAGAATAACCAACGCAGAGAAGTCCTTAAAGGAGCTGATGGAGCTGAAAGCCAAGGCTCAAGAACTACGTGAAGAATGCAGAAGGCTCAGGAGCCAATGCGATCAACTGGAAGAAAGGTTATCAGTGATGGAAGACAAAATGAATGAAATGAAGTGAGAAGGGAAGTTTAGAGAAAAAAGAATAAAAAGAAACAAACAAAGCCTCCAAGAAATATGGGACTATGTGAAAAGACCAAATCTACGTCTGATTGGTGTACCTGAAAGTGATGGGGAGAATGGAACCAAGTTGGAAAACACTCTGCAGGATATTATCCATGAGAACTTCCCCAATCTAGCAAGGCAGGCCAACATACAGATTCAGGAAATACAGAGAACACCACAAAGATACTCCTCGAGAAGAGCAACTCCAAGACACATAATTGTCAGATTCACCAAAGTTGAAATGAAGGAAAAAATGTTAAGGGCAGCCAGAGAGAAAGGTCGGGTTACCCACAAAGGGAAGCCCATCAGACTAACAGCGGATCTCTCGGCAGAAACTCTACAAGCCAGAAGAGAGTGGGGGCCAATATTCAACATTCTTAAAGAAAAGAATTTTCAACCCAGAATTTCATATCCAGCCAAACTAAGCTTCATAAGTGAAGGAGAAATAACTTTATAGACAAGCAAATGCTGAGAGATTTTGTCACCACCAGGCCTGCCCTAAAAGAGCTCCTGAAGGAAGCACTAAACATAGAAAGGAACAACTGGTACCAGCCACTGCCAAAACATGACAAAATGTAAAGACTATCAAGGCTAGGAAGAAACTGCATCAACAGAAATCATAGTAAACTGTCTCTCAGACCACAGTGCAATCAAACTAGAACTCAGGATTAAGAAATTCACTCAAAACTGCTCAACCACATGGAAACTGAACAACCTGCTCCTGAATGACTACTGGGTAAATAATGAAATGAAGGCAGAAATAAAGATGTTCTTTGAAACCAACGAGAACAAAGACACAACATACCAGAATCTTTGGGACACATTCAAAGCAGTGTGTAGAGGGAAATTTATAGCACTAAATACCCACAAGAGAAAGCAGGAAAGATCCAAAATTGACACCCTAACGTCACAATTAAAAGAACTAGAAAAGCAAGAGCAAACACATTCAAAAGCTAGCAGAAGGCAAGAAATAACTAAAATCAGAGCAGAACTGAAGGAAATAGAGACACAAAAAACCTTTCAAAAAATTAATGAATCTGGGAGCTGGTTTTTTGAAAACGTCAACAAAATCGATAGACTGCTAGCAAGACTAATAAAGAAGACAAGAAAGAAGAATCAAATAGACGCAATAAAAATTGATAAAGGGGATATCACCACCGATCCCACAGAAATACAAACTACCATCAGAGAATACTACAAACACCTCTACGCAAATAAACTAGAAAATCTAGAAGAAATGGATAAATTCCTCGACACATACACCCTCCCAAGACTAAGCGAGGAAGAAATTCAATCTCTGAATAGACCAATAACAGGCTCTGAAATTGTGGCAATAATCAATAGCTTACCAACCAAAAAAAGTCCAGGAGCAGGTGGATTCACAGCCAAATTCTACCAGAGGTACAAGGAGGAGTTGGTACCATTCCTTCTGAAACTATTCCAATCAATAGAAAAAGAGGGAATCCTCCCTAACTCATTATTTTATGAGGCCAGCATCATCCTGATACCAAAGCCTGGCAGAGACACAACCAAAAAAGAGAATTTTAGACCAATATCCTTGATGAACATTGATGCAAAAATCCTCGATAAAATACTGGCAAACCAAATCCAGCAGCACATCAAAAAGCTTATCCACCATGATCAAGTGGGCTTCTTCGCTGGGATGCAAGGCTGGTTCAACATACTCAAATCAATAAATGTAATCCAGCATATAAACAGAACCAAAAACAAAAACCACATGATTATCTCAATAGATGCAGAAAAGGCCTTTGACAAAATTCAACAACGCTTCATGCTAAAAACTCTCAATAAATTATTGATGGGACGTATCTCAAAATAATAAGAGCTATCTATGACAAACCCACAGCCAATATCGTACTGAATGGGCAAAAACTGGAAGCATTCCCTTTGAAAACTGGCACAAGACTGGGATGCCCTCTCTCACCACTCCTATTCAAGATAGTGTTAGAAGTTCTGGCCATGGCAATTAGGCAGGAGAAGAAAATAAAGGGTATTCAATTAGGAAAAGAGGAAGTCAAATTGTCCCTGTTTGCAGATGACATGATTGTATATTTAGAAAACCCCATCGTCTCAGCCCAAAATCTCCTTAAGCTGATAAGCAACTTCAGCAAAGTCTCAGGATACAAAATCAATGTACAAAAATCACAAGCATTCTTATACACCAATAACAGACAAACAGAGAGCCAAATCATGAGTGAACTCCCATTCACAATTGCTTCAAAGAGAATAAAATACCTAGGAATCCAACTTACAAGGGATGTGAAGGACCTCTTCAAGGAGAACTACAAACCACTGCTCAATGAAATAAAAGAGGATACCAACAAATGGAAGAACCTTCCATGCTCATGGGTAGGAAGAATCAATATCATGAAAATGGCCATACTGCCCAAGGTAATTTATAGATTCAATGCCATCCCCATCAAGCTACCAATGACTTTCTTCACAGAATTGGAAAAAACTACTTTAAAGTTCATATGGAACCAAAAAAGAGCCCACATCCCCAAGTCAATCCTAAGCCAAAAGAACAAAGCTGGAGGCATCACGCTACCTGACTTCAAACTATACTACAAGGCTACAGTAACCAAAACAGCATGGTACTGGTACCAAAACAGAGATATAGATCAATGGAACAGAACAGAGCCCTCAGAAATAATGCCGCATATCTACAACCATCTGATCTTTGACAAACCTGACAAAAACAAGCAATGGGGAAAGGATTCCCTATTTAATAAATGTTGCTGGGAAAACTGGCTAGCCATATGTAGAAAGCTGAAACTGGATCCCTTCCTTACACCTTATACAAAAATTAATTCAAGATGGATTAAAGACTTACATGTTAGACCTAAAACCATAAAAACCCTAGAAGAAAACCTAGGCAATACCATTCAGGACATAGGCATGGGCAAGGACTTCATATCTAAAACACCAAAAGCAATGGCAACAAAAGCCAAAATAGACAAATGGGATCTAATTAAACTAAAGAGCTTCTGCACAGCAAAAGAAACTACCATCAGAGTGAACAGGAAATCTACAAAATGGGAGAAAATTTTCGCAACCTACTCATCTGACAAAGGGTTAATATCCAGAATCTACAATGACCTCAAACAAATTTACAAGAAAAAAACAAACAACCCCATCAAAAATTGGCGAAGGATATGAACAGATACTTCTCAAAAGAAGACATTTATGCAGCCAAAAAACACATGAAAAAATGCTCATCATCACTGGCCATCAGAGAAATGCAAACCAAAACCACAACGAGATACCATCTCACACCAGTTAGAATGGTGATCATTAAAAAGTCAGGAAACAATAGGTGCTGGAGAGGATGTGGAGAAATAGGCATGCTTTTACACTGTTGGTGGGACTGTAAACTAATTCAACCATTGTGGAAGTCAGTGTGGCAATTCCTCAGGGATCTAGAACTAGAAATACCATTTGACCCAGCCATCCCATTTCTGGGTATATACCCAAAGGATTATAAATCATGCTGCTATAAAGACACATGCACACGTACGTTTATAGCGGCACTACTCGCAATAGCAAAGACTTGGAACCAACCCAAATGTCCATCAATGATAGACTGGATTAAGAAAATGTGGCACATATATACCATGGAATACTATGCAGCCATAAAAAATGATGAGTTCATGTCCTTTGTAGGGACATGGATGAAACTGGAAACCATCATTCTCAGCAAACCATCGCAAGGACAAAAAACCAAACACCACATGTTCTCACTCATAGGTGGGAATTGAACAATGAGAACACATGGACACAGGAAGGGGAACATCCCACTCCAGGGACGGTTGTGGGGTCAGGGGAGGGGGGAGGGATAACATTAGGAGATATACCTAATGCTAAATGACGAGTTAATGGGTGCAGCACACCAGCATTGCACATGTATACATACGTAACAAACCTGCATGTTGTGCACATGTATCCTAAAACTTAAAGTATAATAATAATTTAAAAAAAGGAAAAAAATATATATATAATTGACAACCCTCATAAGTACAGGCTATCATGAGTGCATATTTTCTGGGGTCTTTCAGCGTTAGAGTTATTTCTCCTAGTGAAGGGAGGTTTAACTGAGAAATAAAGTATACGTGAGTGAGAGTTATCTTAGAGAAAGGTACGGGTAGGGAGGCAGTAAACACAGAAGGAACAATATGTATGACATACCATGAGGCAGGGAGAGATTTGGCATGCCTGAGAAGTGGAAGAAAACTGGGGTGCCTTTGTTGACTGGGTTCTAGTGAATGTCTCTCTGGAAGGCTGGAGTTGCTCTTTAATTCCCCATTTCAGGCCCATCACTAACACCTGACAATATGTATGCCATGATGAACTATTAGTAGTTCTTTTGAGCTTATATGTTTTTATATACAAATATTCATTTGTATGTGCTATTTTTTATGCCTTAAACTCCTTTATCATTTGTCCCTTTGGCAATGTTTTTCTCATCTTTTAGGACACAATTTAAGCCTGTCCTCAGAGAAAATAGTTTTCTGACTGTTCATTCCTTTCTCTCAATAGATAGGACTACTTTGTCCATTATTTTTAACACTGCACTTTAGCTTTATGTTCATTGTTGTTATCATATGTGTTTCTCTTACTTGAATCTGAGTTATATAGAGCTAAAATCATGTGTTGCTAATTTTTGTTTCACCATTTGTAATATCAGTAATAGTCATGGCTAATTCTCTTGGTGTACTTCATCCCATTAGAAAAGAAATGACAAATGCTGTGTCTCAACAACTTACACAAAATTACTCATTAGACACATTTGATTATGGAAATAAAATTAAAAGTGCATATGATAAAATGTTATTTAATTATGTTTTGCCTGTTTTGCTTTAGTTTTTTACATAATTTTTCTACATGACAATTAGTAATTTTTTGTGTCTTATATATTTGTCCAAAATGAAGTTCAAAAATGTAAAATATTTAATTCAGCAACAGCAGCATATGAGTTAGTATTTCCTCTAATTTTTCGAAATCTGTGGGAAGTGTTTCCCAATTTCCTTTGGTTGTTTCATGTGCTATATTGAAGAAAACATGAGTATGAAATGGAACCTCAGCTCTTTCAATGACTTCCCTTTTTGAGTTGACTCCGCCTCCATATGTAGCCTTTTCATTTTCATGAAAGTGAAGTGATTTTTAGAATTCTTAGTTGTTTTCTTTAGAAGAACATTTCTAGGGAATAATACAAGAAGATTTAGGAATCATTGAAGTTATAAATCTTTGGAATGAGCAAACTCAGAATGGTGCTACTTGAAGACTCTGGATCTGCTGGTAAAAGCTTCTCATTTATTCTACATTTCCCCTTTAATGGGGTATGTAATTATTATGACAGTCAATGGATGTGATTTAAAAGTGATTGGCATCAGGAGAGTAAGGAGTGGAAAAAGGACATAGGCTTATATGGCAGCACCTTTGATCTGCCATAGATTCAAAATTGAAGATGTGATATGGGAATCAGAGTCGGCATTAATTTTGTAAAACTGCTGAGGTGAAATTAAGTCAGGAACTAAAGTTAACTGAAATGTACTGAGTATGAAAAAATAGTTGTTAGAAAAGATAGAATATGCAGAAAGGAATATTGATAGAGAGTTAATTACATAAAGAAAGTTATCTACTCTGATAAGTGAGTTATCTATTTTAAGACTTATTTGGACATGTTAAAATCATTTAGCATTTTTAGTTTTAAATTAGTGTTGGGTTAGAGTAACGAGAAGATATGAGAGTAATAACAGCATTAAAGAGTGTATTATGTGATAAGGATACAGGTAGAGATGACAAGATTTAATATTTGAGTTTTTCAGATATGGATATCATCACTTAGGTATTGTTCTGCTAGCTACTATTTGGCAAGCATCAAGCCAGGTACTGGTGAAATTATGGTGAACATGATAGATATAATTCGTTTACTCATGGAACTTATCCTCTATCAGTGCGGCTAGGTAGTCTTAAAGATGGGGGCATCCATAATTGAATATCAAGGTGGTTAGGGAATAGAGAAATCTCAGGATACCTTCCCTGTGCCTGCTGGGAGAATTGTCCACTACTAAGTTTCATTGATGTTGTTTCCATTTTCCAGGTTTTAAGGGTTGACCTTGCAATTCTCGTTTCCACCACCAACCTTCTGCTAATCCGTCACCTCTAGGTTGCCTATAAACATGAACATTTTCAAAACCATTTCACTGAAACTATATGAGCCTGGGTATGAATGTTTTCTGCCTGCCTTGCAATTTAGAATGAAGAGTTTTCTGTCTTGGTTTGAGCTTCTTTGTTAATTAACCTCTGAAACCATCTATCTTCTCCAAAGTCTCTTTTTGGGAAGATGCTACTTTTGCCCTCTTTTCTTTTTCACAGACTTCAGAAGACATTTTGTCAACTTGAGTCCCTTCACCATTACTGTGGTCTTACTTCTCAGTGCCTGTTTTGTCACCAGTTCTCTTGGTGAGTACTTTGTCAAATTTACTTACAGCCTTAGCCCACTCTGACAAGAACAGTTAAAAGGCAAACAATTTTTCTGAAGGCCAAGTAGCATCTAAAAACTAGGTGACATGCTCCATGTATTCAAAGGATCAGATATTATTAAAAGCACACAATAAAAATCTAACCAAAATATTAGCATGGTTCCTCACCAAATGAAATAAACTCACAGGAGAGAAATGAATTTTACTTAAAGATTAGAAATAATGTTGAACTGAAAAATAGGAAAGAATACAAAGGAGGAGAAACTTCAGAATCATTAAAACAAAAGTGAATTTGGGAAACACATTAGTAAATTCAAATGCCAAAATTTATCTAAAAATGTATTGAGAGATGCCAGGTTGGTGGGACCAGATTCCTACATAAAGCTAAAATAATGCCAAGGAGGCAACTGAGATCATCTATCATCTGGGGATGGGAAGAGAGTACAAAGAGGTTTATTTTATGGTAGAAAATAGCAGAAAATATCTCCATCTTAATTTTAGATAAGTTTCAGTCTAGCGTTTTTAAGATTTATGCTATTTTACATATACGTATGAAATAAGAGTTAAATTTCTTACAACTAGTCTTTTCATCTTCATAAATTCTCTATCAGCCTTCTTTCTATCGACCTTAGGATTTTGGAGAAATGTAAAAAGTTCATCCCCATAACGTTTTGTAGCATCTTATTTAACTCGAAAATGCTTCACAGGAATTATATAAATTGCCACTATTAAGGCTATCCAGCCATAAAATAAAGCTATTAAACACTATTGTGTTACTTACCTTTACTGGTCATATAGCACTGCTTAATTTGAAACCAGTGATACTGATACTTATATTTGAATGACTGTGAAATAACATTCTTCTGTTTTACCATGGATAGGACTAGGATGGTTCTCAAATCTGAGTTTGAAGGATAAATAAGTAATGTAAAAAAATAATTTTCTACTTGCTCTTTGCGACCTTGGCCAATTACTGTCTTAATCCATTGTTGCAGGAGGAACAGACAAGGAGCTGAGGCTAGTGGATGGTGAAAACAAGTGTAGCGGGAGAGTGGAAGTGAAAGTCCAGGAGGAGTGGGGAACGGTGTGTAATAATGGCTGGAGCATGGAAGCGGTCTCTGTGATTTGTAACCAGCTGGGATGTCCAACTGCTATCAAAGCCCCTGGATGGGCTAATTCCAGTGCAGGTTCTGGACGCATTTGGATGGATCATGTTTCTTGTCGTGGGAATGAGTCAGCTCTTTGGGATTGCAAACATGATGGATGGGGAAAGCATAGTAACTGTACTCACCAACAAGATGCTGGAGTGACCTGCTCAGGTAAGACTTGCATTAGTCAAAGCCTCAACACAAAATCCTTGGTGGGAAAAAAATATGTAGATGGGTTAAAACCTAGAATAAGCCACTTTCCTGTAAGCAATCTAGTTCATGTATAAAAGTACTCCATCCATTGCTAGAAAACCACAAAACACGAGGTCATTTTTTTTTAATAAAAAAAATTCTGAACACTGTGATTAATGAGGAGGTGACTGGCTTCAATTTTATACATGATCTTAGCCAAAAAGCCAAGAAGTGGTGGTTTAAATTTGATATTCAGTAAGCTTACTGTAACCTACTATTCCTATATCATAAAAATATCATGACATCTAAGTTATTTCCTTGTTCTTTCCCAGTGACTTGTTTTGATATGTTGACCCACAAATTATTACCATTTTGTCCATTAACTGATAATCAACTTAGTAAATCAAAAAACAACTATTTCTAGCATTAATACATCATTTCTTGTTGTAGGAAGGATTCTTTGAAAGTATAATTGCTTGACCAGTGTGCAATGCTAGTCATTTCATTTACATTGTGCTTTTAATTTACAAAACATCTCCATATGTTTTATTGCAATTGACCCCACAATAACTGAGAAAGTCATGTGTCAGGCCTTTCTGCTGACAAATCCCAAGGGCACATTTCTGATCCAACTCAGATTCCTGGGATCCCCATTTCTTTTTGTTTGTTTCATTCCTTTTTTTTTTTTTTTTTTTTGGGACGAATTGTCGCTCTTGTCCCCCAGGCTGGAGTGCGATGGCGCTATCTCGGCTCACTGCAACCTCCACCTCCCGGGTTCAAGCAATTCTCCTGCCTCAGTCTCCCGAGTAGCTGGGATTATAGGCACCTGCCACCACACCTGGCTGATTTTTGTATTTTTAGTAGAGACAGGGTTTCACCATATTGGCCAGGCTGGTCTCGAACTCCTGAGCTCAGGTGATCCACCTGCCTCGGCCTCCCAAAATCCTGGGATTACAGGTGTGAGCCACCGTGACTGGCCTGTTTCATTAATTTTTATACAATCCTCTCACCTCCCAGCCTCTCTCTCTCCCATAGGACTGACTATAGAAAGGACTTATCTCTGTCCAGGCATCATGATGTGATAAGAGAAACACACAGTAGCATCTAGAAAAATGCTGAAATAAATTTTCACATAGCTAATATCCTGTGATTTTGTGCAAGTTGTCAAATCTCTCTAAACTTCAGTTTCTGAGGATTCAATGATATAATACATGTAAAACTACTGGTACACTGTTTGGTATGTAACAGGTGCTGAAGATCCTCATGGCTCAGTTCTCTTGGTGACTCAGTTCTCTTTCTTCTTTCTCCGCTTCCTCTTCCTCTTCCTTCTCCTCCTTCTCCTCCTTCTTTCCTCTTATTTTTAACCACTATGGGAGGTGTGAAATGGGGAATAACAAAAGTAACATCTACTGCAAAGTTTAAAATTATCATAAATTTTAGCAGGCTCTTATCATAATTATTGCTGTGTATAGAACTGGCTGTTTAGCTAAAACAGTGTAGTACTTTTAGCTCTTTTTTTCTGTTGTTTTATAACTACCAGTGGAGTTAATCAATTTGCTTTTTGAAATTTATACACTTAAAGCTTTAACCTGAGTCAAATTTAAATAACTTGAGTCGAATTTATCTATTTCTGTACAAAAAAGAGTATTTACATCTGTCCTAGTAATAGATGGAAACAAAACAAAACAGAAAGTTTAAAAACTTTAACCTGTAAACATTTTCCTTTGTAAGTAGATATAGATAAAAATCCTAATTGCTTCCTAGATTTTAACATATTAAAATTCTCTACCGTGTGGAGCTGGGCAATGTCCAAAATCAGGCACCATTTTAAGGACAACATAAAATCCCAAGTGTCCAGAGGAAACTTCTTTTCTAAAATCACTTCTAAATGAATGTAACTTCTGAACTCTGGTCTTTTCTCTGCTCCAGATGGATCCAATTTGGAAATGAGGCTGACGCGTGGAGGGAATATGTGTTCTGGAAGAATAGAGATCAAATTCCAAGGACGGTGGGGAACAGTGTGTGATGATAACTTCAACATAGATCATGCATCTGTCATTTGTAGACAACTTGAATGTGGAAGTGCTGTCAGTTTCTCTGGTTCATCTAATTTTGGAGAAGGCTCTGGACCAATCTGGTTTGATGATCTTATATGCAACGGAAATGAGTCAGCTCTCTGGAACTGCAAACATCAAGGATGGGGAAAGCATAACTGTGATCATGCTGAGGATGCTGGAGTGATTTGCTCAAGTAAGGACTGATCTTGGCTCATTCTATTCTCCAGGAGAGGACAAAAGAAAGGGGTAATAAATCTTAAGAGCCTGAACTCTTAAGAACATAATGAAGTCTGCTTCTTTTGTCACCGCATTTTAACCTAACTTCAGGTTCCAGTTCTGATACCTGTGGACTTTTTACCTTAACTGAAATTAGGAGAAATAGGTTAGGGAAGTGCATAGTGAAACTGAGATCCAGGTCATAAGAAAAGAAGAAAGTGTTTAGGAAAAGCCCATAAAGAAAGGGAGAGACCGAAAAGAAAAAGAGGGGAAAAAGGAAAGAAGGAAGGGCTTTACTAGGATATTTTGCACTATGAAGTTTTATGACCAAACCACTCCAGTTATCATCTAATCCACAAAAGCCTCCTCATTAGCCTCATTAACCCACTCCTTCCCAAATCATTTTTCAAGTTCACAGAATCGAATCACTTGTTAAAAATCAATATTGGTTTCTCATTAAAACTTTATTTATACTAGATATGCATTGTATCTGTCTAGAGACTTTCACGTTGTATACTCAGACTGGGGGCGGGGAAAATCGTTTGTGTGTGCAGAGATACCACTCTTCGTTTTTCTGTTGAATTCTTAGTATAAAAGGAGATTGAGTGTGTCTTGAACCCCAGAGAACACTTAGGAAAATAAGAGTAAAAAATCCCTATCTTCACCAGATCCCTTTCTCTCTCTCTCTCTCTCTCTCTGTGTGTGTGTGTGTGTGTGTGTAAATAAAGGAACTTCCATTCAAACTTGTTTAAAAAGAAGAGAATACTGGCTCACAAAACTGGGAAATCCAGAGGGTATAGTTAGCCTCATGCATGGTTGGATTCAGGTTCTTGAACAATGTCATCTGGGTTCTATCTCTTTCTGCATGTCTTGAACAAGCTTTTTCTTGTTGAACAATGTGATCAGCTATAGCCTGAACCACAATGAATGGAACTCCTACAAGAAAGATAGATTTTGTTAGGTTAAGAATGTGAAGAATTTGGAGTAGAAAAAACACAGACTGTACCTTCCATTCTCTTTTACCCATCAACATTTCTCTAGGCCCCCAGTTAGCACATGCTGACGAATCACAATCCCACAATGAATAACATTGTGGGAATGAAAACGGAAACTGCCAGAGGAAACAACCAGTTTAATTTATTACAGAATATTCTTCAGAATCAACGTCTGTTCTTTGAAGAATATTGATTTGGGGAAGGTGAAAATTGTAGTACTGAAGCCTCCTTTCTCTTTGCTCTGCTTTTAAACTAAGGAAGTGGTCACAACAGGTTCAGGTGTACAACACAGGCTAGGTAGTATCAATGGAGAATGCAGTCAGAGGCAAAAGGGATTGCTAAGTATGGAGGCAAACTGAAGGATGAGGGAGTCACCTAAACACATGCAAATATATTTTAACCAGAAAAAGTAAACAGTTCTAACAAGAACTCTGTGGTGGTCAAATAGCAGGTCTCTAGATGAAATTCAGTCCCTGTATCTCCTGTTAGAAACACTTCCTGTAGTATATGCTGTCTATACTGAGATGTCCCATCTTCTTGCCTGATCCACTCCTCCTTCCATCTTGAATGATTTCCAGTGGTAGTACAGTACATCACAGTTTTCTCTGTCTCCACTTATATCTCTCCCCTTTTCCTTAACTCATCTCAGGTATAGCTATTTATAGTCTCATGTTCTTGCTTCCTTATCGCAGACCTGTTGTGTGTCTCTGTTACAGAGGGAGCAGATCTGAGCCTGAGACTGGTAGATGGAGTCACTGAATGTTCAGGAAGATTAGAAGTGAGATTCCAAGGAGAATGGGGGACAATATGTGATGACGGCTGGGACAGTTACGATGCTGCTGTGGCATGCAAGCAACTGGGATGTCCAACTGCCGTCACAGCCATTGGTCGAGTTAACGCCAGTAAGGGATTTGGACACATCTGGCTTGACAGCGTTTCTTGCCAGGGACATGAACCTGCTATCTGGCAATGTAAACACCATGAATGGGGAAAGCATTATTGCAATCACAATGAAGATGCTGGCGTGACATGTTCTGGTAAGTTAAAACCAAACCAAAACCAAAACACTAAACAAAAAGAAAAGCAGAAACGGAAAGTCCTGTGCTCCTTAAGAGTAGGAACGTGCTCCTTAAGAAGTAGAAATGCCTAGTAAATTCCTTGCTGGGAATTCCTTTATACCTGTAATCTTTGACACATTCTTTATTCAACTAGTTTGGAAGGTTGTCTGACGGCATTCTCTGTAATAATTACTCAGACTGCTTTTATGGAGCACACTTCAAACTCAGAATCTACCTGGAGCTCAGAGAGACAAAATTTCCTAGGAATCTGTTTTTAAATTTTTTTAATTTACTTATTTTTTTACTTTAAGTTCTGGGATAGATGTGTTGAATGTGCAGGTTTGTTACATGGGTAAACATGTTCCATGGTGGTCTGCTTCACGTATCAACCTGTCATCTAGGTTTTAACCCCCCATGCATTAGGTATTTGTCCTAATGCTCTCCCTCCCCTTTCCCCCCACCCATTGACAGGCCCCAGTGTGTGATGTTCCCCTCCCTGTGTCCGTGTGTTCTCATTGTTCAACTCCCAGTTATGAGTGAGAACATGCAGTGTTTGGTTTTCTGTTCTTGTGTGTTAGTTTGCTGAGGATGATGGTTTCTAGCTTCATCTGTGTCCCTTCAAAGGACATAAACTCATTCTTTTTTATGGCTGCGTAGTATTCCATGGTGTATATGTACCACATTTTCTTTATCCAGTCTATTATTGATGGGCATTTGGGTTGGTTCCAAGTCTTTGTTATTGTAGATAGTGCTGCAATAAACATACATGTGCATGTGTCTTTATAGTAGAATGATTTATAATCCTTTGGGTATATACCCAGTAATGGGATCGCTGGGTCAAATGGTATTTCTAGTTCTAGATCCTTGAGGAATCACCACACTGTCTTCCATAATGGTTGAACTAATTTACACTCCCACCAACAGTGTAAAAGCTTTCCTATTTCTCTACATCCTTGCCAACATCTGTTGTTTCCAGACTTTTTAATGATCGCCATTCTAACTGGGATGAGATGGTATCTCATTGTGATTTTGATTTGCATTTCTCTAATGACCATTGTTGATAAGCTATTTTTCATATGTTTGTTGTCCGCATAAATGCCTTCTTTTCAGAAGTGTCTGTTCATACCCTTCACCCACTTTTTGAGGAATCTCTTTTAAAGCTGAATTGCTCATATCTTTCTGCCATTGACAATTTTTATCAACCCTTGAAACTACAGTCCCATTTCTAACAAAAATTTATGGTCTATATTATTGTTTCTTAAAAAGTCAGGAAATAAGTTACCTATAATTTTCAATGCATCAGTATCAGAGAAGAAAAAAGACAAAAAAAAATCCTCTGGAAGCTAACCTCCATATGTATCGATGGTTTAAGTTTATGTTTCTTTTGCAGATGGATCAGATCTGGAGCTAAGACTTAGAGGTGGAGGCAGCCGCTGTGCTGGGACAGTTGAGGTGGAGATTCAGAGACTGTTAGGGAAGGTGTGTGACAGAGGCTGGGGACTGAAAGAAGCTGATGTGGTTTGCAGGCAGCTGGGATGTGGATCTGCACTCAAAACATCTTATCAAGTGTACTCCAAAATCCAGGCAACAAACACATGGCTGTTTCTAAGTAGCTGTAACGGAAATGAAACTTCTCTTTGGGACTGCAAGAACTGGCAATGGGGTGGACTTACCTGTGATCACTATGAAGAAGCCAAAATTACCTGCTCAGGTATGACTTTCAATCAACTTGTTAAGAAGAAGGGTGTAAATTTCCAGTACTACCTTTGAAATTGAAAAGAAACATTGGTCCTTATGACTAGATCACTCTCAAGAAACCAGGAAATATCTACACAAATTCCACTGGGAGAGTCAGATAAGTTTACAATTCATGTTGCACTTTAGATAGAAGTGTTTGGGTTTTGCTCACTTTGGTTTTTGAGTAATTTTTAGATCAATAGAGGTATAAGATTAAGGAGGATTAAAATTTAAAAAATAGAATTCAATATTTCTTTCACAGGATGTCACCAAAAGATTTAAAAAATAACCATGTTAGATAAACTGACATAACCTTCAGCTCCCTCTATTGTACTGTGAAAGAATTTTCTTTTTTTTTGGAAAACCTGTGAATATTTCACTGCAACCTCTTTAAAAAGCTCAAAAATGAGTTGTAAACTGGTTAGGTTTGTGGATAATCTTTAGTATTTTATGCTAATTATATTTATACAAATGTTAACTTTGTTGAAAAGTGATGCTTTTTAAATAACTCTAAAGTAAATGTAACTTTTACTCATGCAACAAAAAGGCTTTAGAAAACACAGTGTACAAGAAAACCATTAAACATGTAGAGACCTCACAGAATGGAAACTTGTACGTGCTGCATGTCCTCTAACCAACAATATGGCTCCAGATACCTCCCAACCTAGGCATGCAGTGAGGGGCATTTCCCTGATGTTACAAATGGTGCTTACCTCTAGTTAAGTAGAAATTATCCTCCGATTGAAAAAAGGCAATCATTTAAGATATAAATTTGAATTTCTATATTACTTTTTAAAAAATATTCTGGACCAGGCAATATAATCACATGGTTTAAACTTCAAAATAAAAAAGTGTAAACTCTTCCCCCACTACTATCCAATTCTTTTCCTCACAGACAACTTATGTGGTTGGAATATTTATATATTATTTGAGATATTTCATGTAAATACAAGAAAATACAAACAAATCTATATATAGCTATCATTTGCTTTCATTATCCAAATGGTGGCATGTTGTATAAATTGTTTTGTACCTGAAGTATTCACTTAGTAAAATTTCTTGATCAAATTTCACATCAGTATTTAAAGAGCTGTCTGAAATTACTTCCATATCTATAACATTTCTTATAATTTATTACCGTGTGTATTCATTTATTCTTTTAATTTTTTACCTGACAAGGTTAGCCATTCTTTTACCTAAATTTTTTTTTAAAAAACCATTATTTGGATTTTAAAAAATTAATGTTACTTTTATTTCCTTTCTAATTCATTAAAATTTACTTTTCTTTCTAATAATTCTCTTCAGATTTCCTAAAGTTTGATTTCTTTTTGGCCCCCAACTTCTTGAGTTGAATCTTAAGTTTTATTTCTTCTGATTTACTAATATAAATATTTTAGGTTATAGATTTTCCTTCTAAATTTATAATGGTTTGTATATTTTCTTATTAATTGTATTTTACATTGATTAGCATTAAGTTCTGCTGTATCTAAAAGAGAAACAAATAATAGTGACTGAAGAAAGACAGTGTTCACTTTTTCTCATTTAAAATTAGTCAAATAGATAAGCAGTTTAAGGCTGTTTTGGTGTCTCTGTTGTCACCAAGAAACATCCAGAATAGATTTGCTGCAGTAAGTATCAAATCCTACCGGACAGGAAGGATAAGCCACCCCGCAGCTCAGTGAGTTCCTTGGAAAGCCAATCTGGTAGACGAAGTGCTGGCCTCTGAGAAGGTGTCTTCTGTCCGCTGTCCTTCATGGGCCCCAGTGTTGCTCTCAGGGCAGTTCTTCCTGGCACATTATTCTTCACAGTTACATCCAAGTTTGGTTTGGAGAGTATCTCTATCTAAGGACAGCACACCTTTCACAACCCACTTTCTGCTAATATTGGTTTAGGGACCTTTGGATTAAAGATTGACTAATCAAGGGCTGATGTCAGCTGCCCTCAAATTCAACAAAAAAGTTCTTTCCAAGGTTACTAAGCTTCTAGTCTACTTGCTTTATAACCCAATGCCATCTGAAAGTAACTATAGTCCAAGAGCATATAAATATACTTTGATCTATGCTGTGACCAGCCCTTCTCTTTAATTATTGACCACTGCCTTAAGGCCGTTTGAAACTGTGGGTTTGGGAGGAAGGACAAGACCTAAATTCCGTCTTTGCCGGTAGACTCATTGCCTTTGTATCTGGAGTATCAATTTTATCTTCTGACAAGGCTACAGTTTTACCACCACCTCAATTTGGGGGGACAGGATACTTAGAGTTTTTTCTTCAATTCTTCAATTCCAAATTATAGGACTCTTGATTAACAATATACAACACCTGCAGGCAGACCATACCCCCTTATAAAATTGATATTTCTCCTCCCATTTCTGCTTGCATTCTGACTGCTTGTAGTCTGAATTCATCTTTCTTGTAAATGCTAAAAGTGGCAAGGAGAATCCACGTCATGCAAATATTCTGATTTTTTGTAGTTTTGTTTCTTGTACTTTGCCCAATAAATTCTGCATTTTTTAAGCATCAGTGAGCACACGGTTTTCTTTTCAAAGTGAGGCTTACCCAAATATTTTACCATGTGTAAGACTCCTTAGGTTTTTAGCCTCTCACACCTGAGTCATTAATGCATTCTGCCCATCAACTCCATTCAACCACACCCATATTTTAGGTTGCATTACTAGAATACCTTACTTATGGTAACATGTTCTAAATTATTCAGGATTCTATTCAGATGTGTATAATAGAAATCATGAATAACATAAATTTGCAACTTAAGGTGGGCTCCGTACTTCACAGAGCTGTATTTTTGTTTGCTATTTGCCATGTGCACTTTTTGTTTCCTTTTACAAACTCTTTTGTTATATTGCTGTAGGTTTTGGAAGTTCTTCTACTTATGTTGGGGGCCTTGGTTTTTAGCTTTTTACATGTTTTGTTAGTAATATAGTTTGTACTTTTGTTTCTTTATTTACTTGATACTTTCAATGATGACATACTGTCTCTGTCAATGATGATATGCTGTCTCTGTGCCTGCCAAATTCAAGCTACGAATTTGATCATCTGTTTAAATTGTTTAACTTTTATATAGTACAGGGCTATACAGCTTAAAAGAACCAGGAGAATTCAACTAAGCAGGAGAATTGGAAACAATTTAAGATAAATTGTTGACAGAAAAAGGTCTAGGAAATTTTGGCCACAAAATTACTTTGAATCTCAGACATTTTGTTTGTGATGTCTGTGTATGTACTGTAGAGGACATCTGACCTTAAGAAACAGTTCATTTGAGCTATGCTGTCTTTTAACTTAGGATGGAGAAATAATTCTGAGATTATGATGATCTATACTTCTTCAGAGTCTGAAAAGCATTAAATGTTGAAAATACATTAAAGCTTCTTTAAATCATAATTGTATATTTTATTTATCACTAAACAAAAGGAAGTAATTCTAGTTAATTATGTCTCTAATTATGTTAAAGCTCTTTGTAGATCTATTTATTTTTCTAGAAAAAGAAAGAAAAACAGATTCAGTTACTTATGCCAGGGGAAAACTGTAGTTGTTGATCAATGGTGCTAAATCCAGGTGCAAAAATTTACTTAATGGTTTTTATGTAAAAACACAGTCAGAGACTTAGCAGAAAAAAATCCATTAAAGGGATACATTTCCAATATTCTATCCATGTCTAAAGAGTAACGATATAAGCAAAGCGACCCATAGGATAGATTAACATGTTACTAGCAGATTCACGAAATAAAGGCTGAGGATGGAGTCTCCAAGTCACTTTCTGAGTTGGAGAATTTGTCCTCTGCCTTGACTCAAATATGTTAGTACAAAGAAAACAAGAGGATACTTATAGAAGGGACTTTTTCTCAATTGCTTAATGAGTTTTCACAATGGAAAAGAAAATATTTTTGTTTGTTTGTTTGTTTGTTTTTCACTGGTTTTCTTTTGGTTTATTTTGTTCAAGATGGGTCCAAATGAAAGAGTAAGAAGTTACAAGAAACCAGAATTTGGCTTGATCTAGGAGACTGCCTTTACTTAAAGATTTAGGGCTGTCCAAAAGAGGTTGGGATCATATGAATACTAGTTAATGATATCTTAGAGAAATTTCATGCTTGAATAAAGATTCAAAAAGAAGAAATGAAAGACCATCCCACTCAAGGGTCATTAATTATTTGTATTGTAGAGGTGTTATTTGCTTTAAACTCTGAGCTATGTTTAGAAAGCAACATGTTTTTCATTTCAAATTTGGATAGGAATTTGCTTTGCGCAGATTTAATGGATAATGGGTGAAATTTTGACATGTTGAGGTATTCTATATTGCTGTAGTACAGAACATGGTCATATTCGAAACATTTTCTAAGACATTTTTGTATCAGGTGAAAGGTTTATGAGAGATGAAAGGAAATCAGAGTATGTAGATTGGCAAGGGCTGATGGTGTATCTATATCATTGTGATAGTAACATCAAGAGATTACAAAAATTGTTGATATTTGATAGCAGGTATCTATAAAGGACTTAAGACCTTCAGAAGGTCTAATTTTCAACTGCATTTTCTTTATTTCTCTTAAAGAACAAGTTAAAAGAAATAGTTTGTATCTCTTAAGTACTTTATATTGCCTCTGAGTATTTTCAAAGAAACTCACTTATCTTGATGATTGTGTTTCTTAACTTGACAAAGAGCATCTTCATAATATAAATTCCATTTATTATTTCTGGTGTGTCTTTTCTTTATATTTTAAATTTCAGCTACAGTAAGTTACTTATAATTCTTCAATGACACCATGCATTTCGTGACCATATTCCTTAAAGATTGTTTCACACACTGTGTATTTGGCAAACTCCTCATCTTTTTTCAAGATCCAGTTTAGATCTATGTTATTCTCTCCCCCATAGTCTAAAACAGAGTGAATGACTCCTTTATTTGTTAGTTTTATGTCTAATACATATTTCTATTTTTGGGTTCATCACTATTAAAATATGTATATCTTGTAGTGAACTGTGTTCATGGAGGAGAAGGCTATTAGTGAGAAATTGAACAGCCTTGAAAAGAAGTAGCCTTTTCCTAGGTATATAAGGTAGGGAAATAAATTTTAAGTAGAGAGAAAAGTTTCTACAGAGGCACAGAAGCATGAAAATTACGGCATGCCCAAGCATCTTTAGGCTGGAGCATCAAATTAGGTTGATAAAGTAATAGATATTAAAGCTTTTAAGGTAACAGCATACTATTTTAAAGTGTACTAAAGAATTAGTGTTTATCACCTCTCCTTAATTTTAATAGCTGGACGAAATTAGGGAATCTATGAAAACTGTTTGTGCTGCAGTTTGCTCAGAAGAAAAATGGGAGTGGTAATAGGGCCTACCTCACAGGAATTACACAGTGAGCTATAAATACATGTTAGCTAATATGATTATGATTATTATTTTTAGTATTATCTATCTTCACTGACAGACTGAATTCTGTGGCGGCCTTTTTAACCCACCCATCATCAAATGCCTAAAATAGAGTCAGAGAACATTACAGGTTGTTACATTATAGGTCATTACATTGATACTTTTGGATTAATTATTGCATACATGATTATTACAGAAATTATAAGAAATTATGTAAGGGATCATTGCATACATTTTAAGGAAACGTTAAGTCATCTAAAGGAAAAACATCACATGAAAATATTTGAAATTTATTAATATATTTATAATCATGGCATAAATTTCTTGGAAAAAAGACTTTGAAGCAAGGAAACAATTTACGAAGCTATTGTAGAGGTCTGCATGACAGATGATGACAAATCACTTTATGGCAATAGCAACAAATATGCAGAAGAAGAAATATGCTGGAGGACCAACAGATATGGTGGTTTTCTACATGTTCAATGTATCATGAAAGTCAACATTCTAGGCTCTGGAATATACTGTCTGGCTTCAAATTCTGTTCTCTTACTAATTCTGTAGTAATTTCTTGTGTGACCTTAGCAAATTACTACACCTCACCTCTCTATGTTTCAGATTCCCTGTCTGTAAAATCAGAATGATATTAACAATTATCTCCTAAGGCAATTTTAAGGATTGAATGAAATAATGTTTGTTAAATGCTTATTGGAATGCCATATATGTAATATAATAGACGCTCACTTAATATTCACTGCTATCATTATTACCATTATTTGTGGTGAGATAAAGTGGGTCAATTTTAGGTGGTTCTAATTTGGCCTGTATATCATTAATTAAGTAAAGAATATAGTGGGCTTGTCATACAATAATTCATTCAACTTTGAATACTTTAAGCTCCACATGTCTAAGCAGATACGTTTGTGGATCTAAAATTAAAGAAAAAAGTATGGATGAAAATATATTTATTAGCAGTTGAGACATGTCCATTGAGCAGATGAGAAGGTTACGGACAGAACTTTGACTCAAGGAATACACGAAATGTTTTGATAAAGCACTGTCAGAAAGAATGGAGGAGAAAATGGGACAAGAAGGGTCACGTATACCAAACGTAACAGACGTCAAAAGGAAGAAGTCTGATGTTCATTCTGAAAATTAGAAGTATATTGAAAAGCTTTACATAGAACAATTCAAAAAGGTTGAGCAGACCCCAGATTGCAGTACATGGAGGAATGAGTGCAAGACTAAGAGATAGCGATAGTAGATACACATTGTTTGTGGTCTCTAATGTTATTATGAATAAAGTAAGCAAAATTTTGGAAGAACAGAGTTATCATTGCCTTTGGGGATGGTTGGCTGCACAAGGTGAAGTCCCAGAATTCTCTCAGATGGATGAGTTCAGCTAGGAATGGGGAGGTCTAGATTTATCCATACCCAACTCGAGGCAGAAAAGCCAAGACAAACAAGTGTAGGAAATCACTGAGCACCCTGGTCTCCATTTCCCACTCCACACCACCTTCTTCACCCTCATCATGAATGGAAATCTGGAAATCATATTACCTCTCACTGAAATAATATTTATTTTTCAGCCCACAGGGAACCCAGACTGGTTGGAGGGGACATTCCCTGTTCTGGACGTGTTGAAGTGAAGCATGGTGACACGTGGGGCTCCATCTGTGATTCGGACTTCTCTCTGGAAGCTGCCAGCGTTCTATGCAGGGAATTACAGTGTGGCACAGTTGTCTCTATCCTGGGGGGAGCTCACTTTGGAGAGGGAAATGGACAGATCTGGGCTGAAGAATTCCAGTGTGAGGGACATGAGTCCCATCTTTCACTCTGCCCAGTAGCACCCCGCCCAGAAGGAACTTGTAGCCACAGCAGGGATGTTGGAGTAGTCTGCTCAAGTAAGACCCAGAAAACATCTTTAATTGGTTCTCATACTGTGAAAGGGACAGGGTTAGGGAGTCATAGCTGTCTTTTTCTAAAGCCCTGTCTCCTTCCAGGATACACAGAAATTCGCTTGGTGAATGGCAAGACCCCGTGTGAGGGCAGAGTGGAGCTCAAAACGCTTGGTGCCTGGGGATCCCTCTGTAACTCTCACTGGGACATAGAAGATGCCCATGTTCTTTGCCAGCAGCTTAAATGTGGAGTTGCCCTTTCTACCCCAGGAGGAGCACGTTTTGGAAAAGGAAATGGTCAGATCTGGAGGCATATGTTTCACTGCACTGGGACTGAGCAGCACATGGGAGATTGTCCTGTAACTGCTCTAGGTGCTTCATTATGTCCTTCAGAGCAAGTGGCCTCTGTAATCTGCTCAGGTAAGAGGATGACGGGCAGCCAGTGATGGGTCTTAAGAGAAGGTGTACATAGGGATGAAGAACAAAAGTAAAACGCAGTGATCCATTTTGAAGGGTCATGAGAAGAATGAATACTAATTCATGCTTCAGAATATTAACCTCATTTGTCTTTTCAGAGGGTGAGCAAACCTAATTTTGATGGACTTCTTAGTTATCCAGTGCTTACTATGTGCCAAGCCCATCTCAAAGCACCTGATTTATTTCAAACTTGTTGACCATCCACCTTCCCCTCTCTCTCTAAGCTATGTTTGTCCTCAACTCATCCATATAACATTTCATCTGACTCCCCTAACCTTTTGTGTCTTGTATGACTGAGTACCTTGGTGTTTGCAGGAAACCAGTCCCAAACACTGTCCTCGTGCAATTCATCGTCTTTGGGCCCAACAAGGCCTACCATTCCAGAAGAAAGTGCTGTGGCCTGCATAGGTAAGACTCTGTGACAAATCTATGAAAATATTAATAACAAGTGGAATGCTCATTATTAATAGTTTCATTTCTCTTTGCAGAGAGTGGTCAACTTCGCCTGGTAAATGGAGGAGGTCGCTGTGCTGGGAGAGTAGAGATCTATCATGAGGGCTCCTGGGGCACCATCTGTGATGACAGCTGGGACCTGAGTGATGCCCACGTGGTTTGCAGACAGCTGGGCTGTGGAGAGGCCATTAATGCCACTGGTTCTGCTCATTTTGGGGAAGGAACAGGGCCCATCTGGCTGGATGAGATGAAATGCAATGGAAAAGAATCCCGCATTTGGCAGTGCCATTCACACGGCTGGGGGCAGCAAAATTGCAGGCACAAGGAGGATGCGGGAGTTATCTGCTCAGGTAAATTATGCATATGACCTTTGGTCATAATTACATAGAGAAAGGACTGAGGAAGGGTAGTGAGGGGTATTAATCTTAAAGATTTTCCTGAAAAGTTGATCCAAAAGGAACTATTGTGGGAGTCAGGACAACAGAAGTCTGGGTTTGATGTGCTAGTGGTACTTCATGAGCAAGGTAGTGCAACATTGTAAAGAGAAAAGACCAGAAATGGTCTTGTATATCATGAAAATGACAACAAAGTTAATAATGAAGGTTTTTAATAAATATATTTGGGGCCAGATATTAGATAGCGATCCAATAGCAACACTTGATAATTACAGTATTAGTAAAGAAGTAGATTTAAAGGGACAAGAAGAAATATATATGTTGCATCATTCTACAGAAAAAAAGATAATTACTATGCCCAAGCAATTTTTCATGGCAGATAAATGAGACTTACTTGTCATAGAAACAAAAAGTAGCATGAGGTTACTGCCCTCATACTGCTTTGTATACATGGTGAGTTTTAGAAAACATTCTGAAATTTAAAAATGTACTATTTCATATGTATTATGGGGAACAGAACTATGATTCAGTAACTTAAGGAAGTGAAAAACTCTGTATCTCAGAAGTGATTTATTCCTATTTTAATGACATAAATCTGGTAGAAGACATGCACTGCAAAACTGTGAAGTGTCAGCAAATGAACTGTCATTTTAAGAGATGTACACAAAACATTGATTTTAGTGCCTGAGTGTCTAACAATTTTAACTATCAAAGACAGTTGCAAAAAAAGGAGAATATTTTTGGGAAAAAATCCAAACTATGTAACTGAAAAAAGCCTATTAGAATGATTGAGGGTAATCTAAAGAGGACTCTGAGTCCAAAACCAAAGACCAAAAAACTATAATGTATTTATAGAATAAATAAAATATTTTAATAATATCTATGAAATCATCCAGAAGTTACTAACGAATTATTAGTAACTGACATATTGTACTATTGTACCTATTTTTAAAGCCATTCTTACATCAAGGTAAAGGGAAGGAGTCTCTGAATCTTCAGAAAAGATGCAAAACTACTAATTCTATGTTTCGCTGCAGAATTCATGTCTCTGAGACTGACCAGTGAAGCCAGCAGAGAGGCCTGTGCAGGGCGTCTGGAAGTTTTTTACAATGGAGCTTGGGGCACTGTTGGCAAGAGTAGCATGTCTGAAACCACTGTGGGTGTGGTGTGCAGGCAGCTGGGCTGTGCAGACAAAGGGAAAATCAACCCTGCATCTTTAGACAAGGCCATGTCCATTCCCATGTGGGTGGACAATGTTCAGTGTCCAAAAGGACCTGACACGCTGTGGCAGTGCCCATCATCTCCATGGGAGAAGAGACTGGCCAGCCCCTCGGAGGAGACCTGGATCACATGTGACAGTGAGTATCCATCGACCTATATGAAAATTCCATTCTGCAGCCCCGCTATCATCTTCTGATAATGGACACTGGATTTTATTTTCCTATTCTCACACTGGCTTAAATTGTTAGATTGAATTAAGCAAGAATGGGTAACTTGTGGGTAATATCTATTCTACCTGGATAGTGTAACTGGTTTTATTTAATTTGGCCTGTAGATATTCAGGATCAGCTATTATTATTCTAAAGAATATCATACTCCCCATGGTCTGCTTGAAAGATTTATTCAATTGCTTTCTCTGAGGAGGAGAGAATATGTGGTTTAATATTTGACTGTTGAATGGTCTACCTTACCTTCCCATTTTTCTTTCAAATATTATCTTGTTACACTAATATAAGGAGAAAAGCAGTCAGAAATCAGAAAGATCAATTCTGAAGTATTTCCACATTCTACAGGTTTTTTTTTTTTTTTTTTTTGAGACAGAGTTTTGCTCTTGTTCCCCAGGCTGGAGTGCAATGGCGTGATCTTGGCTCACTGCAACCTCTGCCTTCTTGGTTCAAGCAATTCTCCTGCTCCAGCCTCCTGAGTAGCTGGGATTACAGGCATGAGCCACCATGCCCAGCTAATTTTGTATTTTTAGTTGAGATGGGGTTTCCCCATGTTGGCCAGGCTGGTCTTGAACTTCTGACCTCAGGTGATCCACCCGCCTTGGCCTCCCAAATTGCTGGGATTACAGGTGTGAGCCACTGTGCCTGGCCTCTACATCTTCTTAAACTGTGAGATTTGTGACAACCTGCCAGTTTCCCAAGATCTTGCCTATTTGAAAGAATTTGACATCACATATTTATAATGTTAACTTTAATCATTTAACATTTACTGGGTCACATTATGTATCTTATGTGCAGGATGGAATATACCTAGTTGGCTGTAATGACAAGTCCTCTTATAAAAGATAAATTTTGTAAAAATATAAATTTTAGGCCAGGCACGGTGGCTCACGCCTGTAATCGGACTTTGGGAGTCCGAGGTGGGCGGATCACGAGGTCAGGAGATCGAGACCATCCTGGCTAACATGGTGAAACCCCGTCTCTACTAAAAATACAAAAAATTAGCCGGGTGTGGTGGTGGGCGCCTGTAGTCCCAGCTACTTGGGAGGCTGAGGCAGGAGAATGGTGTGAACCTGGGAGGCGGAGCTTGCAGTGAGCCGAGATTGTGCCACTGCACTCCAGCCTGGGTGACAGAGCGAGACTCTGTCTCAAAAAAAAAAAAAAAAATATATATATATATATACATATATATATATAAATTTTAATATGCACATTCAGTAAAATTTTAAATAGTTTTTTTTTTTTTTTAAGTTTCAAATCTCTCTTTTCACCTGTGAACTCCTGGAAACTTTTAGAAGTCTTAGAAATAGGCTACATGTCTCTGATTTTTCAGACAAGATAAGACTTCAGGAAGGACCCACTTCCTGTTCTGGACGTGTGGAGATCTGGCATGGAGGTTCCTGGGGGACAGTGTGTGATGACTCTTGGGACTTGGACGATGCTCAGGTGGTGTGTCAACAACTTGGCTGTGGTCCAGCTTTGAAAGCATTCAAAGAAGCAGAGTTTGGTCAGGGGACTGGACCGATATGGCTCAATGAAGTGAAGTGCAAAGGGAATGAGTCTTCCTTGTGGGATTGTCCTGCCAGACGCTGGGGCCATAGTGAGTGTGGGCACAAGGAAGACGCTGCAGTGAATTGCACAGGTAAGTGCCAGAAGCCTGGATTGAGCTTGGAATCTCTGGCAGCAAAGAGGGGTTGGGCAGTGATGTGTGTTGTGTAAAAACCGGATTTATCAGCACAGGGATCTGGTGGGGATTCTCAGAGAATCATAATGTCTCTACTGAAAGAATGATGAAAACAATTGTTATACAACGGCCTTCACCAAGGAGACACATACAACCTATATTCCCTGTGCAGAGAAAGAAAGACTAGAGGACTCTAGTTTTAGGTGGGAAAGAGTCATATACTTGGTTGAGAGGTACTAAGGGGTCAGACAAGGAAATCAGAAGGCTTGTTCTATATATCATGCAAAGAATTAACCCTCTCTCTTTCTTTTCTCCTACAGATATTTCAGTGCAGAAAACCCCACAAAAAGCCACAACAGGTATATCATGGAGTTTATGATGATGAGACCAATTATCTGCATACATAGAATTTTTCTTGTTTAGAAATTTTAGGTCAGACGTTCTGAGGATTTGATATTTACCTCAGGGATCAAGTATTTGACCTAAGAGAGAATCAGTAACTAGGGACCTTGATCTTTTCGATAAGACATGATCATATCTCTTGATATTTACTTTTACTTAGGTCGCTCATCCCGTCAGTCATCCTTTATTGCAGTCGGGATCCTTGGGGTTGTTCTGTTGGCCATTTTCGTCGCATTATTCTTCTTGACTAAAAAGCGAAGACAGAGACAGCGGCTTGCAGGTTTGAGCCAAATTTGGTTTATCTAATATGTCTACAGGATAAGGGGGTTCTTGTAAGACGAAAATATTAGACTCAAGTCTAATGGCCAGAAAGATGGACTCTAAAAGAGGTTTGAGCAGTTTCTCAAAACAGAGGGAAGGGCCAGGCACAGTGGCTCACACTTGTAATCCCTACACTTTGGGAGGCTGAGGCAGGAGAATTGCTTGAGTCCAGGAGTTCAAGACCAGCCTGGGCCACACAGGGAGCTCCCATTTCTACAGATTTTTTTCATTTTTTAAATAGAGGGAATAAGATTTCAGAGGAGAAAAGGGGTTTAGGTTGCATTGATGATTCCTGTGTTCTATCTACATGCTTAACTGGAACATTACAGAATTGAAAGTTCAGAATGAATATGTTAGATATTGTTTAGGATGACTTTTTACCTAAACATTTATTTTCTCTTACTATAATCAATCTCCTTATTACAAATTTTACTGTTCTGTTGAGCAATGTATTAGGCTCTGAAGATACAGACATGGACAATAAATCTTGGTGGAACTTCAAGTCTAGTGGAAGAGATATATATGTAAACAAATACACTACAATGTAGCCATTTTACATTAATAGGAAAAAGGAACAAAAGTGGCACAGAGAAGGGAGTAATTAACTGAAAGGGGAGGGGGATTACTGGAGGCTTCAAAGAGGCTTGGGGACAAATTTCGAACATAGAGGCTCAGAGAATTGGGTGAGGAACATTCTAGAGAAGAATATGTACAAGTCTAGAGAAGCCTAAAGGATGAAGCATTTCTTGTTTTTTTCCTGAGGGGCGGGGGGAGAAAAGTTGAGTGTGAGGAGAGAGGCTGCTAAGTCTGAAGAAGAGAAAAGGCACAAATTATGAAGTTCTTATGTTTCACATAAGATTCATAGTCATTAAAGAGTATCATGTAGGGGAGTGAAATGGTCAAGATATCTTTTAGGAAGATCTTTTGGCAACGGGATCTAGGAGGATTGAAGGAGGACCACTTGACTGACAGGAATGGCATTTTGTAACAGTTGAGGTGAAAAATGAAAAGTACTATAACATATATAGTGAGAATGGAGGGGAGAGGAAAGACTTTTAGAGATACTTAAGAAAAGCTCCAGTGAGTTATGGAAGACTGCTGGCTTCCTTGGGTAAAAACAGTGGGTTGTTTATATTAATACAATGGCAGTGGGGAAGATTTAGCCTTGTGCCTATTTCATTTGAGTGTGCGGAATTGTAAGGGAAGAGCTTGGTAGTAGAATGGGATAGAAACAATAGCAGGGATAAAGACGAGGTATGTTTGCAGCGCTTGGAAAAAACACACTTACAGCAAGGGAAATTTTATTATGATAGCTGATCCCTAACCTAGGGATCTCTGTTTTCAGTTTCCTCAAGAGGAGAGAACTTAGTCCACCAAATTCAATACCGGGAGATGAATTCTTGCCTGAATGCAGATGATCTGGACCTAATGAATTCCTCAGGTCTGTGGGTTCTTGGAGGGTCTATTGCCCAGGGGTTCAGATCAGTGGCTGCAGTTGAGGCACAGACATTCTACTTTGATAAACAGTTAAAAAAGTCTAAAAATGTAATAGGAAGCTTAGATGCATATAATGGACAAGAATGACTGAAAATTATTCTTGGAGAATATCAAAATTGCAATCATAGGGAGGCCTTTAGCTTAAGAGGCCTGTGATTATTCCTGATAGAGGTATGGAAAGAACCATGCAGAGGAATATTATGACTTGGACCTCATTTTATTAAAACAGAAATTAATCTTACAAAA
This sequence comes from Homo sapiens, assembly GCF_000001405.40. Lineage (NCBI taxonomy): Eukaryota > Metazoa > Chordata > Mammalia > Primates > Hominidae > Homo > Homo sapiens. The sequence goes on along the minus strand of NC_000012.12, from coordinate 7,480,858 downwards.
GATTGTCATAAGTGACAGTTTAACTTTTTTCTTTAAATTTTGTTGTGTATATTTAAGGTATACAACATGATTTTATGGGATGTATATAGATAGTAAAAAGCTTACTAAAGCAAAGCAAATGAACACACCCATCATCTGACATAGTTACCCTTTTTTGTGTTGTTCTTGTGGCAAGAGCAGCTAAAACCTACTCACTTAGCATGAATCCTACATACAGCACAATGTTATTACCTATAATCCTCATGTTGTACATTAGACCTCTAGACTGGTTCATTCTACGTATCTGCTACTTTGTATCCTCTGACCTACATACGTCTTTCACAGTTTCTTCCATTCCCATTTCCTGTCATTTTTTTTCTCTAGCTTGATATTTATTATATTTTTCCCTAAAAGTCTAAAACCTTAAACTTTCAATATCTTTATTGCATGAGAAGCCATACAAATCCACAGAACTAGCCTTATTTCTCATCACATCATGCTGTTTTATCCTTGAACTTCTATTTAGCACCAGTGCACTAATTCTGCATCTGGGCAGGATGACTTTACTGGGTTGGAAGAAATATCCCAAAACCCATTGTCTTTACTCCATGAAGGGTCCCTGACCTTCTGAGAGGGGCCTGCCTCACTTCTTCCATCCAAAGAATTATGCATCTGCTACTGTGTCAGGGAACATATTTAAGGAACATGTACTGTTACTGTGTCAGGAAACATATTTAAGAAATAGGAAAGACTTTCTCTGCCCCTTAAATCACACATGCTTTTCTTCCTAGTTATGGGTGGTGTTTTTAGTTGCTCAAAGAGCCTCACAGTTACGTGAGAAGAGGTCTGGTTTATTTCCCAGTAATTATTTTCTTCCTTTCAGAAAATTCCCATGAGTCAGCTGATTTCAGTGCTGCTGAACTAATTTCTGTGTCTAAATTTCTTCCTATTTCTGGAATGGAAAAGGAGGCCATTCTGAGCCACACTGAAAAGGAAAATGGGAATTTATAACCCAGTGAGGTGAGTGATGAGAATTTATTAGTCATTGTTCAAAACAGCTGCATTCCTTTTGAGGACTGAGAGCTCTTCTGGCATTAGAAAGAAAGAATGTATATAAACATATTTTATTTGCTTATGTGCATATGTTTGTATATGTATATATCTATATTGAGAATATATAAAAGCTTATAAATATAACTGATTCATCTCTTAATTATACACACAAATAGTAATAACACATCCATGGAGCTAAGGAGAAACTGAGTAAACAAATACAAATTAATCTTTTGAAGACATTACAGGTATCATTTCAGGAAAAAGATAAGACATATTATACATCTACATCGTATAATACATGCTATGGTAAAGACTGTACAAGGCACTACAGAAAGTTTGCCTAAGAAACTTTGGGGTTGTTGTAAGATGATATGATATTTAAGGTAAACTTTAAAAATAACTGAAAAATAGACAGTTCCAAAGAAAGGACACAGTATGTGCAAACTAGAGGCAGAAAAAAGAACCATGCCTTTAGGGAACTATAAGAAGTTTTTTATTCAAAAACGTATATTGAACGTATTTATGGTAACAAGTGGCACCGTGAGCACTGAAGATAGAGATAAAATCTACTATTGGCAAAGACATGATTGTTTAATAAAAGATATCATAGTCTATAGGTGGTAATATGAAGAGGCCATGTGGAGAGAAGAGAGGTGGTTAGAATCTAAGCTGAAAAGGCTGCATAGAGCCCTGTAATGAATGGTCTTACCTGCTATACTTTATGTTCTCTTTCACTGGGGGTCTGTTGAAGAGGTGATGATGAGCTTTGAAAGTTTCAGATGAGACAAGATGATTAGAATTGCATTTTACAACTTGCTTTCATGAGAAAAACATAAAAAAAAATTCAAATGTGAACAAGACGTATAGTTAAGCTATACATCAAGAGAAAAAGATTGTGAAATGAGTTACTAGATACATTTTCTGTTTTTAAAATAATAATTTGGGGAAGACTACATCTAGAAATGAAATGTAGAAAAAGTATTTTTTATAGAAATATTATATATTCCTATAATTCATCTACATATTATATATCTACATTGTATAATACATGCTATGGTAAAGACTGTACAAGACACTACAGAATATTTGTATATACGAAATATAGATTAAGACAAAGGATAAGAGTTGGAACTCTTAAAGTACATGAAATATAAATTGTGAATATCTATAAAATGCAGAGCTAATTTTACATACTATATATATACACACATAGATACATAGAGTTCTTAGAAACTGTACAGAGCACAAAAGGGTTAATATATGTGAATGTAAATTGTATGTATGTGTATGTGTAACATCTAATAGATAATTGGGCAAAGCTATGAAAAGACAATTGACACAAAATGAATTTCAAATGACAGACATTTTTAAATGTCTGGAGGATTGAAATTATAATTAACAATGAGCTATCACTTTATACAAATCAGACTAACAAAAATTTGAAATACCATCAATATTTATTACTGGCGGGAATACAGAGAAAAAGGCCATTTCAAACACTGCTTTTGGAAGTGTGAGATATGGTAGGTAGCCTTTGGAGAAAGCAATCTGGCAGTTTCTATTAAAAATTATTTTCAAAGATTCACAGACCCTTTGACCCAATAATTCTATCCCTGAGAATTTCTTCTTACCAATAAAGTCACTAGTATGTAATGACAAATATACAAAGATTCCTTTCTGCCATGTTGTTGAAAGTGGCAAAAACTAGAAACAAAGTGAATGCCAATTGATGGAGTAATGACTGGAAAAATGACGGTTTAGGCAACTAAAAAAGAAAAAATCATTATAAAATATAATAATATTCCATTTATGTATTGGCTATAATTAAATACAATGCTTACATCTATAAAATTATGCATTCATATGTGCATAAAGAAGCTAAAAATTCTAGTGTTGTAAACTGAGAACCATGAATAATATTTGATTTATAATCTGAAGCATATGAATGTTTTCTGATGTGATAAATGATAATTGAACTACTTTTCCCTGAAAGAGTAATCACTGCTGAATAACTGCTTCAGAATCACATGAGGGTGCTTTTAAAAAATGACGATTCTTTTTTTGTTTTTAATCTTTAAGTTCTGGGATACATGTGTTGAATGTGCAGGTTTGTTACATAGGTATACACGTGTCATGGTGGTTTGTTGTGCCTATCAACCCGCCATCTAGGTTTTAAGCCCTGCATGCATTAGGAGCTTAAATTTGTCTTAATGCTCTCCTTCCCCTTGCCCCCACCCCGCAGCAGGCCCCATGTGTGATGTTCCCCTCCCTGTGTCCATGTGTTCTCATTGTTCAACTCCAACTTATGAGTGAGAACATGCGGTGTTTGGTTTTCCGTTCCTGTGTTAGTTTGCTGAGAATGATGGTTTCCAGCTTCATCCATATCCCTGCAAAGGACATGAACTCATTCTTTTTTATGGCTCTATAGTATTCCATGGTGTGTATGTGCCACATTTTCTTTATCCAGTCTATCATTGATGGGCATTTAAGTTGGTTCCATGTCTTTGCTATTGTGAATAGTGCTGCAATAAACATGTGTGCCTGTGTCTTTATAGTAGAATGATTTATAATCCTTTGGGTGTATACCCAGTAATGGGATTGGTGGGTCAAATGGTATTTCTGGTTCTAGATCCTTGAGGAATTGCTACATTGTCTTCCACAATGGTTGAACTAATTTACACTCCCACCAACACTGTAAAAGCATTTCTATTTCTCCACATCCTCTCCAGCATCCGTTGTTTCCTGACTTTTTAATGATCACCATTCTAACTGGTGTGAGATGGTATCTCATTGTGGTTTTGATTTGCATTTCTCAGATGACCAATGATGATGAGCCTTTCTTCACATGTTTATTGGCCACATAAATGTCTTCTTTTGAGAAGTGTCTGTTCATATCCTTTGCCCACTTTTTGATGGGTTGTTTGTGTTTCTCTTGTAGATTTGTTAAAGTTCCTTGTAGATTCTGGTTATTAGCTCTTTGTCAGATGCCTAGATTGCAAAAATTTTCTCCCATTCTGTAGGTTGCCTGTTCACCCTGATGATAGTTTCTTTTGCTGTGTAGAAGCTATTTAGTTTAATTAGATCCCATTTGTCAATTTTTGGCTTTTGTTGCCATTGCTTTTGGTGTTTTAGTTATGAAGTCTTTGCCCATGCCTATGTACTGAATGGTACTGCCTAGGTTTTCTTCTAGGGTTTTTATGGTTTTAGGTCTTATGTTTAAGTCTTTAATCCATCTTGAGTTAATTTTTGTATACGGTGTAAGGAAGTGGTCCAGTTTCTGTTTTCTGCATATGGTTAGCCAATTTTCCCAGCGCCATTTATTGAATAGGGAATCCTTTCCTCATTGCTTGTTTTTGGCAGGTTTGTTGAAGATCAGATGGTTGTAGAGGTGTGGTGTTACTTCTGAGGCCTCTGTCCTGTGCCATTGGTCTATATATCTGTTTTGGTACCAGTACCATGCTGTTTTGATAACTGTAGACTTGCAGTAAGTTTGAAGTCAGATAGCGTGATGCTTCCAGCTCTGTTCTTTTTGCTTAGGATTGTCTTGGCTATACAGGCTCTATTTTTGTTCCATATCAAATTTAAAGTAGATTTTTCCAATTCTGTAAAGAAAGTCGATGGTAGCTTGATGAGAATAGCATTGAATCTATAAATAACTTTGGGCAGTATGGCCATTTTCACAATATTGATTCTTCCTATCTATGAGCATGGAATGTTTTTCCATTTGTTTGTGTCCTCTTTTCTTTCCTTGAGCACTGGTTGGTAGTTCTCCTTTAAGAGGTCCTTCACATCCCTTGTAAGTTGTATTCCTAGGTATTTTATTCTCTTTGTAGGAATTGTGAATAGGAGTTCACTAATGATTTGGCTCTCTGCTTGTCTATTATTGGTGTATAGGAATGCTTGTGATTTTTGCACATTGATTTTGTATCCTGAGACTTTGCTGAAGTTGCTTATCTGCTTAAGGAGTTTTTCGGCTGAGACAATGGGGTTTTCTAAATATACAATTATGTCATCTGCAACAAGAGATAATTTGAGTTCCTATTCCTGTTTGAATACCCTTTATTTCTTTCTCATGCCTGATTGCCCTGGCCAGAACTTCCAATACTCTGTTGAATAGGAGTGGTGAGAGAAGACATCCTTGTCTTGTGCTGGTTTTCAAAAGGAATGCTTCTAGGTTTTGCCCATTCAATATTATATTGGCTATGGGTTTGTCATAATTAGCTCTTATTATTTTGAGATACGTTTCATCAATATCTAGTTTATTGAGAGTTTTTAGCATGAAGCACTGTTGAATTTTATCGAAGGCGTTTTCTGCATCTGTTGAGACAATCATTTGGTTTTTGTGATTTGTTCTGTTTATATGATGGATTACGTTTATTGATTTACATATGTTGAACCAGCCTTACATCCAGGGATGATGCCAACTTGATTGTGGTGGATAAGCTTTTTAATGTACTGCTGGATTTGGTTTGCCAGTATTTTATTGAGGATTTTCGCATCAATGTTCATCAGGGATATTGGCCTGGAATTTTCTTTTCTTTGTTGTGTCTCTGCCAGGTTTTGGTGTCAGGATGATGCTGACCTCATAAAATGAGTTAGGGAGGAGTCTCTCTTTTTCTATTGTTTGGGATAGTTTCAGAAGGAATGGTATTTGCTCTTCTTTGTACCTCTGGTAGAATTTGGCTGTGAATTCATCTGGTCATGGTTTTTTTTTTTTTTTTTTTTTGGTTGGTAGGCTATTACTTACTGCCTCAATTTCATAACTTGTTATTGGTCTAGTCAGAAATTCGACTTCTTCCTCGTTTAGTCTTGGGAGGATGTATGTGTCCAGGAATTTATCCATTTCTTTTAGATTTTCTAGTTTATTTGTGTAGAGGTGTTTATAGCATTCTCTGATGGTAGTTTGCATTTCTGTGGGATCAGCGGTGATATCCCCTCTATCACTTTTTATTATATCTATTTGATTCTTCTCTCTTTTCTTCTTTATTAGTCTGGCTAGTGGTCTGTCGATTCTGTTTATCTTTTCAAAAAACCAGCTCCTGGGTTGATTGATTTTTGAAGGGTTTTTCATGTCTCCATCTCCTTTGGTTTTGCTCTGATCTTAGTTATTTCTTGTCTTCTGCTAGCTTTTGAATTTGTTTGCTCTTACTTCTCTAGTTCTTTTAATTGTGATGTTAGGGTGTTGATTCTAAATATTTCCCACTTTCTGATGTGGGCATTTAGTGCTATACATTTCCCTCTTAACACTGCTTTAGCTGTGTCCCAGAGATTTTTGTATGTTGTGTCTTTATTCTCATTGGTTTCAAAGAACTTCATTATTTCTGCCATAATTTTGTTACTTATTCAGTAGTCATTCTGGAGCAGGTTGTTCAGTTTCCACGTAGTTGTGAGGTTTCGAGTGAGTTTCTTAATCTTGAGTTCTAATTTGATTGCACTGTGGTTTGAGAGACTGTTATGATTTCTGTTCTTTTGCATTTGCTGAGGAGTGTTTTATTTCCAATTATGAGGTCCATTTTAGAATAAGTGCTATGTGGTGCTGAGAAGAATGTATATTCTGTTGATTTGGAGTGGAGAGTTCTGTAGATGTCTATTAGGTCCATTTGGTCCAGAGCTGTGTTCAGGTCCTGAATATCCTTGTTAATTTTCTGTCTCATTGATCTGTCTAATATTGACAATGGGGTTTTAAAGTCTCCCACTACTATTGTGTGGGAGTCTAAGTCTATTTGTAGGTCTCTAAGAACTTGCTTTATGAATCTGGGTGCTCCTGTATTGGGTGCATATGTATTTAGTATAGTTAGCTCTTCTTGTTGCATTGATTCCTTTACCATTATGTAATGACCTTCTGTGTCTTTTTTTAATCTTTATTGGCTTAAGGTCTATTTTATCATAGACTAGAATTGCAACCCCTGTTTTCTTTTTTTTGTTTTCCATTTGCTTGTTATGTTTTCCTCCATCCTTTTATTTTGAGCCTGTGTGTGTCTTGAACATGAGGTGGGTCTCCTGAATACAGCACGCCGATGGATCTTGACTCTTTATCCAATTTGCCAGTCTGTGTCTTTTAATTGGGGGCATTTCACCCATTTACATTTAAGGTTAATATTGTTGTGTGTGAATTTGATCCTGTCATCATGATGCTAACTGGTTATTTTGCACATTAGTTGATGTGGTTTCTTCATAGTATCATTGGTCTTTATATTTTGGTGTGTTTTTGCAGTGGCTGGTACTAGTTTTTCTTTTCCATATTTAGTGCTTCCTTCAGGAGCTCTTGTAAGGCAGGCCTGATGGTGACAAAATCCCTCAGCATTTGCTTTTCTGTAAAGGATCTTATTTATCCTTCACTCATGAAGCTTAGCTTGGCTGAATATGAAATTCTGGGTTGAAAATTGTTTCCTTTATGAATATTAAATATTGGCCCCCACTCTCTTCTGGCTTGTATGGTGTCTGGAGAAAGTTCTGCTGTTAGTCAGATGGGCTGCCCTTTGTAGGTAACCTGACGTTTCTCTCTGGTGCCCTTAACATTTTTTCATTCATTTCAGCCTTGGAGAAACGGATGATTATGTGTCTTCGGGTTGCTCTTCTTGGGGAGTATCTTAGTGGTGTTCCCTGTATTTCCTGAATTTGAATGTTGGCTTGTCTTGCTAGGTTGTGGAAGTTCTCCTGGATAATATCCTGAAGAGTGTTTTCCAACTTGGTTCCATTCTCCCCATCACTTTCAGGTACACCAATCAATCATAGGTTTGTTCTTTTCACATAGTCCCATATTTCTTGGAGGCTTTGTTTGTTCCTTTTCATTCTTTTTTCTCCAATCTTGTCTTCATTCCTTTTTTCAGTAAGTTGATCTTCAATTACTGTTATCCTTTCTTCCACTTGATCGATTTGGCTATTGATACTTGTGTATACTTCACGAAGTTCTCATGCTGTGTTTTTCAGCTCCATCAGGTCATTTGTGTTCTTCTCTAAACTGGTTATTCTAGTTAGCAGTTCCTGTAACCTTTAATCAGGTTCTTAGCCTCCTTGCATTGGGTTAGAACATGCTCCTTTAGCTCAGACAAGTTTGTTAGTATCCACCTTCTGAAGCCCACTTCTGTCAATTCATCAACCTCATTATCTGTCCAGTTTTGTGCCCTTGCTGGACAGGAGTTGTGATCAATTAAAGGAGAAGAGCCATTCTGGTTTTTGGAATTTTCAGCATTTATGCACTTGTTTTTCCTCATCTTCATCGATTTATCTACCTTTGATATTTGGAGCTGATGACCTTTGTTGGGGTTTTTGTGTAGGGGTCCTTTTTGTTGATGTTAATATTATTGATTTCTGTTTGTTAGTTTTTCTTATAACAGTCAGGCCCCTCTTCTGTAATTCTGCTGCAGTTTGATGGAGGTCCACTCCAGACCCTATTTGCCTGGGTATTACCAGCGAAGGCTGCAGAACAGCAAAGATTGCTGCCTTCTCATTCCTCTGGAAGTTTCGTCCCAGAGGGGTACTGGCCTGATGCCAGCCAGAGCTCTCTTGCATGAGGTGTCTGTTGACCCCTGCTTGGAGGTCTCTCCTAGTCACTAGGCATGGGGGTCAGGGACCCACTTGAGGAGGCAGTCTGTCCCTTAGCAGAGCTCGAGCGCTGTGCTGGGAGAATTCTCCTTGTCAGGATCTGCTGCTCTCTTCAGAGCCAGAAGACAGGAATGTTTAAGTGCGCTGAAGCTGCACCCACAGCCGCCCCATTCCCCCAGGTGCTCTGTCCCAGGGAGATGGGAGTTTTATCTATAAGCCCCTGAGGGGGGCTGCTGCCTTTCTTTCAGAGATGCCCTGCCCAGAGAGGAGGAATCTAGAGAGGCAATCTGGCCAACGGCCTCCTTGGCCTCCTTAGCGCTGTCACGGGAAAACCGTCTACTCAAGTCTCAGTGATGGCAGATGTCCCTCCCCCGACCAAGCTTGATTGTCCGAGTTCGACTTCAGACTGCAGTGCTAGCATCGAGAATTTCAAGTCAGTAGTTCGTGACTTGCTGCGCTTTGTGGGAGTGGGACCCGCTGAGTGAGACCACTTGGCTCCCTTGCTTCAGCCCCCTTTCCAGGGGAGTGAAAGGTTCTGTCTCCCTGGGGTTCTAGGCGCCACTCAGTTGGAAATGCAGAAATGACTCAGTTGGAAATGCAGAGACTTCTGCGTTGGTCTCACTGGGAGCTGCAGACTGGAGCTGTTCCTATTCAGCCATCTTGCCAGCTCCTATAAATGGCATTTCTTAATCTTACTGTATTTCCATGGAATAAAAGTAATTCTTATGCACACTGAAGTTAAAAAAAAATAGCATTTAAAATTTCTGCTCAGGAAAGTAGTATAATTTTTAACATAAGTGAGTTTCTCTTTGTGTTATAATGTAATGAATTCTTATACGCATATGGAGAGGAAAATGACATTTTTCTATTTATGGTTTTAGTTCAGCCTTTAAGATACCTTGATGAAGACCTGGACTATTGAATGGAGCAGAAATTCACCTCTCTCACTGACTATTACAGTTGCATTTTTATGGAGTTCTTCTTCTCCTAGGATTCCTAAGACTGCTGCTGAATTTATAAAAATTAAGTTTGTGAATGTGACTACTTAGTGGTGTATATGAGACTTTCAAGGGAATTAAATAAATAAATAAGAATGTTATTGATTTGAGTTTGCTTTAATTACTTGTCCTTAATTCTATTAATTTCTAAATGGGCTTCCTAATTTTTTGTAGAGTTTCCTAGATGTATTATAATGTGTTTTATTTGACAGTGTTTCAATTTGCATATACAGTACTGTATATTTTTTCTTATTTGGTTTGAATAATTTTCCTATTACCAAATAAAAATAAATTTATTTTTACTTTAGTTTTTCTAAGACAGGAAAAGTTAATGATATTGAAGGGTCTGTAAATAATATATGGCTAACTTTATAAGGCATGACTCACAACGATTCTTTAACTGCTTTTTGTTACTGTAATTCTGTTCACTAGAATAAAATGCAGAGCCACACCTGGTGAGGGCACAAAGACTCAGTGGTTTCGTTTCTCATTCCTCAGGACATTATAAGTAAAGCTTAAATACATACATAAACTATGTCTTTTCTATGTAAATATAATGGTTATAAAGTAAGTTTGTATATTACTAAAAGTTACTTATGATACATATTCACATAAAGAAAAGATAGCATTTAAAGTAGTACAACACTAAACTTAGGGCCTACTAACTTGCTAAATATCCTAGTTTTCTATGCAATTGATTTTTTTTTAATTTTAGTGGGTCCACTGTAAGTGTATATATATATGGGGTATATGAGATATTTTGATAAAGGCACACAATGTGTAATCATCACATCAGGGTAAATTAGGTATTCATCACCTCAAGCATTTATCCTTTCTTTGTGTTATTTATTTTTTAAATGACAAAATTTTACATATTTATCATGTTCAATATGATATTTTGAAATATGTATACATTGTGGAATGGCTAGATCAAGCTAATTGACATATGCATTACCTAACATACTTACTTTTTTCTGTGAGAACACTTAAAACCTCCTCTGAGTGATTTTCGAGAATACAATACCTTGTTATTAACTGTAGTCACCATGTTGTACAATAGATCTCTTAACTTTCTCCTCCTACCCAATGAAAATTTTGTATCCTTTGACCAACATCCTCTAGACACCTTCCTCCAGCTACTGGTAACCACCACTCTACTCTCTGTTTCTATAAGTTCAACTTTTTCACATTCCACTTATAAATGAGGTAATATGACATTTGTCTTTCTGTGCCTGGCTTATTTCACTTAACATAATGTCCTCTAGGATCATTTGTTTTGTTGCAAAGGACAGGATTTCCCTCTTTTTAAAGGCTAAATAGTATTCCATTGTGTATATGTACCACATTTTCTTCATTCATCCATCAGCGGACACTTAGGTTGATTCCATATGTGGGTTATTGTGACTAGTGCTACAATAAACATGAGCATGCAGATGTCTCTTCAACATGCTGATTTCCTTTACTTTGGAAATATAGACAGAAGTGGAATTGCTGAATCATATGGTAATTCTATTTTTAATTTTTAAGGCTGTCCTAATTTGCATTCTCACCACTAGTTTACAAGGGATCCCTTTTCCCCACAACCTCATCAATCCTCATCTTTCATGTTTTTGATTATAGCTATCTAATAGGTATAAGGTGAGGTGATACTGTGGTTTTAATTTGCCTTTTCCTGATGATTAGTGATGTTAAGGATTTTTTTTCATATACCTGTTTGACAGTTGTATGTTTTCCTTTGACAAATATCTGTTGTTCTGCCCATTTTTAATGAGGTTGTTTTCTCAATATTGGGTTGTTTGAGTTCTCTCTATATTTTGGATATTAACCCATTATCAGTATGATGTAAACTCATTCGTTTACGTTCATCTTTGTTGTCTGTGTTTTATTTCCAAAGAATCATTGTCATGAAATTTCCCGTGCCCCACCCTTTATTATTATTATTGTTGTACTTTAAGTTCTGGGATACACGTGCAGAACATGCAGTTTTGTTGCATAGGTATACATGTGCCATGGTAGTTTGCTGCACCTATCAACCCATCATCCAGGTTTTAAGCCCTGCAGGTTTTAAGGTATTTGTCCTAATGCTCTCCCTCTCCTTGCACCCAACTCCCCGACAGGCCCCAGTGTGTGATGTTGCTCTCCCTGTGTCCATGTGTTCTCATTGTTCAACTCCCACTTATAAGTGAGAACATGTGGTGTTTGGTTTTCTGTTCCTGTGTTAGTTTGCTAATAATGATGGTTTCCAGCTTCATCCATGTCCCTGCCAAGAACATAAACTCATTCTTTTTTATGGCTGCATAGTATTCCATGGTGTACATGTGCCACATTTTCTTTATCCAGTCTATCACTGATGGACATTTGGGTTGGTTCCAAGTCTTTGCTATTGTGAATAGTGCTGCAATAAATATACGTGTGCATGTGTGTTTATAGTGGAATGATTTATAATCATTTGGGTATATACCCAGTAATGGGATTACTGGGTCAAATGGTATTTCTAGTTCTAGATCCTTGAGGAATCGCCACACTGTCTTCCACAATGGTTGAACTAATTTACACTTATACAATGAGTTTGGAAGTATTCACTCCTCCTCTATTTTTTGGAATAGTTTGAGTAAGATTGGTATTAGTTCTCTTCTTTAAATGCTTGGCAGAATCAGCATTGAACCCATTGGATCCCAGAATTTTTATTTTTTAATGGGAGATTTTTTACTATGGCTTCAATCTTATTATTGTTATTGATCTGTTCAGGTTTTGGATTTCTTTATTGTTCAATCTTCGTAGGTTGTATGTGTCTAGGAGTTTGTCCATGTCTTCTAGATTTTCCAATTTATTAGCTTATAGTTAGTCATAGTTGCCACTAATGATCCTTCGAATTTCTGCAGTAATAATTTTCATGTCTTCTTTTTCATCTCTGACTTTATTTATTCGGATTCTCCCTCTTTTTCTTAGTCTAGCTTACTAAACTAAAGGTTTGTTAATTTTGTTTAATTTTCAAAAAACCAACTGTTTGATTTGTTGATCTTTTGTATTGTTTTATTCATTTTAATTTTATTTATTTCTGCTCTGATTTTTATTATTTTGTTTCATCTTCTAATTTCGGCTTTGATTTGCTCTTGTTTTTGCTCCAGTTTTTTAAGATGCATGATTAGGTTGCTTATTTGAAGTCTTTCTACCTTTTTGATGGATGTGTTTATTGATATATATTTTCTTCTTAATATTGCTTTTGATGTATCCAATAAGTTTTGGTATGTTTTGTTTCCATTTTCATTTGTTCACAAAATTTTTAAATTTTATTTTTAATTTCTTCATTGACCAATGTTCATTCAAGAGCATATTTTTTAATATCTGTGTATTTATAGTTTCCAATGTTACTTTTGTTACTGATTTCTAGTTTTTTTCTACTGTGGTCAGAAAAAAAAATTGATATGATCTCAATTTCTTTGAACTTCTTGAGGCTTGTTTTGTCCTCTAACATGTGGTCTATCTTGAAGAATATTCTAAGTGCTGAGAAGAATGTGTATTCTGAAGCTCCTGAATGAAATGTTCTATAAATGTCTCTTAAGTCTATTTAGTCTATAGTGCAGATTAACTCTGATGTTTCTTTGTTGATTTTCTGTTGTGATGATCTATCCAGTGCTGAAAGTGGAATATTGAAGTTCCCAACTTCAGTTGTATTGGGTTTATTTCTCTTTAACTTAATAACATTTAATAACATTTGCTTTATGTATTTGGGGACTCCAGTACTGGGTGCATATATATTTACAATTGTTATATCCTCTTGCTAAGTCGACTCCTTTATTATTATATAATGATCTTCCTTGTTTCTTTTTATAGATTTGTCCTGAAATCTATTTTGTCTGATATAAGAGTGACTATTCCCTTTTCTTTTTTGGTTTAAATTTGCATGGAATATCTTTTCTATCCTTTCATTTTTAGTCTATGTGTGTTTATATAGGCAAAGTGAATTTCTTGTAGGAAGCATGCAGTTGGGTCTTTTTGTTATTATTCATTCAGCCACTCTATGTGTTCTAATTGGAGAATTTAGTCCATTAACCGTCAATGTATTATTGACAGGAAAGGACTTACTACTGCCATTTTGTTATTTGTTTTCTAGTTGTTTCATTGGTCCTGTCTTCATTTCTTACTGTCTTCCTTTGTGTACAAGTGATTTTCTCTGGTAGTATGTTTTAGTTTTTTGCTTTCTAGTTTTTATGTATCTATTTTAGTTTTTCTTCTCATGGTTACCATGAGGCTTGTAAATAACATCTTATAACAGATTTTTTTAAGCTGATGAAAACTTAATTATACTCATAATAGAAACGGAAACAAGCAAAGAGAAAACTAAAAAATCTACACTTTAACTTTATTCTCCCCTTATCATTTTTTGAGTTGTTGTCTATATATCTTTTTATATTGCCTGTATTTAACAAATCATTGTAGTTGTTATTATTCTTGATAGGCTTGTCTTTTAGTCTTCATACTAAATATATGCATGGTTTACACACTGCAATTACAGTGTCAGAGGTGTTCTATATTTGTTTGTGTACTTACTTTTACTGGTGAGTTTTATACTTTCAGGTGATTTCTTGTTGTTTGTTAGCACCTTATCTTTCAGACTGAAAAATTCCCTTCAGCAAATTTTTGCAAAGCAGGGCTGATGTTAATGAAATCCCTTAGGTTTTTGTTTGTCTTGGAAAGTCTTTATTTCTCCTTCATGTTTGAAGGATAATTTTGCTGGATATAACATTCTAAGTTGAAGAGGTTTTTTTCTTCACTACTTTGAATATATTATCCCCATCCCACTTGGCCTGTAAGGTTTCCACTAAAAAGTCAACTGCCACATGTATCAGAGTTCCTTTACATGTTATTTGCTTCTTTTCTCTTGCTGCTTTTAGGATACTTTGTCCTTGAACTTTGAGAGTTTGATTATTTTGTGTCTTGAGGTAGTCTCATTTGAATTGAATCTCCTTGGTCTTCTTTGAGCTTTATGTACCTGGGTATTCAAATCTTCCTCTAGGTTTGAAAAGTTGCTATTTCTTTGAATAAAACTTCTTCACTGATCTCTTATTTTACATCCTTTTTAAGGCCAATAACTCTTAGATTTGCCCTTTTGAGGGTATTTTCTAGAACTTGTAGGTGTTTTCACTCCTTTTAACTCTTTTTTTCTCCTTGGACTCTGTCTTTTTAATATAGCTATTTTCAAGCTCACTAATTCTTTTTTTTCTTTACGTCTTCTAAAAAAATGGGATACATGGGCAGAATGTGCAGGTTGGTTACATAGGTATATGTGTGCCATGGTGGTTTGCTGTAACTATTGACCCATCCTCTAAGTTCCCTCCCCTGACTCCCCACCTCCCAATAGGCTCTGATGTGTGTTGTTCCCCTCCCTGTGTCCATGTGTTCTCAATGTTCAACTGCAACTTATGAGTGAGAACATGTATTGTTTGGTTTACTGTTCCTGTGTTAGTTTGCTGAGGATGATGGCTTCCAGCTTCATCCATGTCCCTGCAAAGGACATGAACTCATTCCTTTTTATGGCTTCATGGTATTCAATGGGGTAAATGTGCCACATTTTCTTTATCCAGTGTATCATTGATGAGCATTTGGGTTGGCTCCAAGTCTTTGCTATTGCAAATAGTGCTGCAATAAACATACCTGTGCATGTGTCCTTATAGTAGAATGATTTATATTCGTTTGGGTATATATCCAGTAATGGGATTGCCGGGTCAAATGGTATTTCTGGTTCTAGATCCTTGAAGAATCACCATACTGTCTTCCACAATGGTTGAACTAATTTACATTCCCACCAACAGTGTAAAAGTGTCCCTCACCAGCATCTATTATTTCCTGACTTTTTAATAATTGCCATTCTGACTGGCATGAGATGGTATCTTATTGTGGTTTTGATTTGCATTTTTCTGATGAACAGTGATGTTGAGCTTTTTTTATGTTTGTTGGCAGTGTAAATGTCTTCTTTTGTAAGCTCATTAATTCTTTATTCTGCTTGATCAATACTGCTGAGAGACACTGTTGTATTTTCCAGCTTGTCAATTGAATTTTTCTGCTCCAGAATATCTGCTTTGTTTTTTAAATTATTTAATATCTTTGTTAAATTTCTCTGATAGAATTCTGTACTTCTTTTCTGTGTTATCTTGAAGTTTGTTGAGCTTCTGAAAGACAGCTATTTTTAATTCCATGTCTGAGAGGTTGCATGTCTCCATCACTCTAGAATTAATCACTGGTGCCTTATTTAATCTACTTAATGAAATCACATTTTCCTCAATGTTCCTGATGCTTGCAAACATTCACTAATGTCTAGACATTGCAGAGTTGATTGTTTATTTCAATCTTCACAATCTGGGCTTGTTTTTATTCATCCTTTTTGAAAGGGCTTTTAAATAATTCAAATTAGAAATTAAGACAGAGAAATTCACCCAAAGCCATACAGTTACATGGAAATTGAATAACATGATCCTGAATGGCTTTTGGGTAATGAAATTAAGGCAGAAATCAAGAAGTTCTTTGAAACTAATGAGAACAAAGATAAATATACCAGAATCTCTGGGACACAGCTAAAGCAGTGTTAAGAGGGAAACTCATAAGACTAAATTCCCATATCAAAAACTTAGACCGATCTCGTTAACAACCTAATATCACAACTAAAAGAACTAGAGAACCAAATGCAAACAAACTCCAAAAGTAGCAGAACACAAGAAATTACCAGTCAGTGCTGAACTGAAAAAAATAGAGACATGAAAGAACATCCAAAAAATCCAGAAATTCAGGGGTTGGCGTTTTGAAAAAATTAATAAAATAGACCACTAGCTAGACTAATAAAGAAGAAAAGAGAGAGGATTCAAACATACACAGTCAGAAATGATAAGGGGGATATTACCACTGACCCCACAGAAATACAAACAACCATCAGAGAATATTATGAACACCTCTATGCACATAAACTAGAAAATCTAGAAGAAATGGATAAATTCCTGAACACACAACACCATCCCAAGACTGAACCAGGAAGAAATTGATTTCCTAAGCAGACCAATAATGAGCTCTGAAATTAAGGTAGTAATAAATAGCCTACCAAACAAAAAAAAAAAAAAAAAGCCCAGCACCAGAGGGATAGAGGGATTCACAGCTGAATTCTACCAGCTGTGCAAAGAAAAGATGGTACTATTTATATTGAAACTATTACAAAAAATTGAGGAGAAGGAACTCCTTCCTAACTCATTCTATGAAGTTAGCATCATCCTGATACCAAAAACTGGCAGAGATACAACAAAAAGAGAAAACTTCAGGCCAATATCCTTGATGAACATCGATGCAAAAATCCTCAACAAGATACTGGCAAACTGAATCCAGCAGCACATCAAAAAGCTTATCCACTACGATCAAGTAGGCCTCATCCTTGTGATGCAAGATTGCTTCAACATATGCAAATCAATAAATGTGATTCATCACATACACAGAATTAAAGACAAAAACCACATGATTATATCAATAGGTGCAGAAAGGACTTTCAATAAAATTCATCATCGATTTATGCTAAAAACTGTCAATAAACTAGTTGTTGAAGGAACATACCTCAAAATAATAAGAGCCATCTATGACAAACCCACAGCCAACATCATACTGAATATGCAAAAGCTAGAAGCATTCACCTTGAAAGCCAGCACAAGACAAGGATGCCCTCTCTCACACTCCTATTCAACATAGTATTGGAAGTTCTGGCCAGGCCAATCAGGCAAGAGAAAGAAATAAAGCGCATCCAAACAGGAAGAGAGGAAGCCGAACTATCTCTGTTTGCAGGCGACATAATCCTATATCTACAAAACCCCATAGTCTCAGCCCAAAAGCTTCTTACACTCATAAATATCTTCAGCAAAGTCTCAGGATACAAAATGTGCAAACATCATTAGCATTCTTATACACCAACAACAGTCAAGCAGAGAGCAAAATCAGGAACACAATTATCATTCAGAATTGCCACAAAAAGAATATAATGCCTAGGAATTCAGCTAACCAGGGAGGCGAAAGATCTCTACAAGGAGAACTACAAACCACTGCTTAAAGAAATCAGAGATGAAAGAAACAAATTGAAAAACATTCCATGCTCATGGATAGAAAGAATCAATATTATTAAAATGGCTATAGTGCCTGATATGGTTTGACTCTCTGTCCCCACCCAAATCTCACCTTGGATTGTAATAATCCCCACGTGTCAAGGGTGGGACCAGGTGGAGATCATTGAATCATGGGGGCAGTTTCCACCATGCCGTTCTGATAATGAGTGAGTCTCTTGAGAGCTGATGGTTTTATAAGAAGCTTCCCCCTTCACTCTGCTCTCATTCTCTCCTGCCATCCTGTGAAGAAGGATGTATTTGCTTCCCCTTCCACCATGATTGTAAGTTTCCTGAGGCCTCCCCAGCCATGCAGAACTGTGAGTCAATTAAACCTCTTTTCTTTATAACTTACCCAGTCATGGGCAGTTCTTTATAGCAGTGTGAGAATGAACTAAAACAATGCCCAAAGCAATTTATAGTTCAATGCTATTTCTGTTGAACCACCATTGACATTCTTCACAGAACTAGAAAAAAACTATTTTGAAATTCATATGGAACCAAAAAGGAGTCTGAATAGCCAAAGCAATCCTAAGTAAAAAGAATGAAGCTGGAGTTATCACGCTACTTGGCTTTAAATTATACTACAGGGATACAGTAACCAAAACAGCATGATACTGGTATGAGAACAGACACATAGACTGATGAAACAGAATAGAGAACCCAGAAATAAGACCACACACCTACAACTATCTGATCTCTGACAAACCTGATAAAAACAGGCAATGGAGAAAGGATTCCCTATTCAATAAATGGTGCTGTGGCCAGGTGTGGTGGCTCAGGCCTCTAATCCCAGCACTTTGGGAGACCGAGGTGGGTGGATCACTTGAGGTCAGGAATTCGAGGCCGGCCTGGCCAATATGGCGAAACCTTGTCTCTACAAAAGATACAAAAATTAGCCAGGTATGGTGGCAGGTGCCTGTAATCCCAGCTGCTTGGGAGGCTGAGGCACGAGAATTGCTTGACCCCAGGAGGCAGACATTGCAGTGAGCCAAGATCGCACTACTGCACTCCAACCTGGGCAACAGAGTGAATCTCTGTCTCAAAAAAAAAAAAAAATGGTGCTGGGATAACTGGCTAGTCATATGCAGAAGATTGAAACTAGACTCCTTCCTTACACTATACACAAAAATTAACACAAGGTGGATTAAAGATTTAAATGCAAAACCCAAAACTGTAAAAACCCTGAAAGACAACCTAGGCAATAGAGTTCAGGACATGGGCAGGGCAAAGCTTTCATGATGAAGATGCCAAAAGCAATTGCAACAAAAACAAAAACAGACAAATTGAATCTAATTAAAGAGCTTCTGCACAGCAAAATAAACTATCAAGAGAGTAAACAGACAACCTACAGAATGGGAGAAAAATTTTGCAAACTATGCATCCAACAAAGGTCTAATATCCAGCATCTATAAGGAACTTAAATTTACAAGAAAAAAACAACCCCATTAAAAAGTGGACAAAGGACATGAACAGAGACTTCTTAGTAGAAGATGTACATGCAGCCAACAGGCATATGAAAAAAGCTTGATATCGCTGATCATTAGAGAAATGCAAATTAAAGCCACAATGAGATACCATCTCACACCAGTCAGAATGACTATTATTAAAAAGTCAAAAAATAACGGATGCTGGCAAGGTTGTGGAAGGAAAAGAATGCTGTTGGTGAGGGTGTAAATTAGTTTAGCCATTATGGAAGACAGTGTGGCGATTCCTCAAAGACCTTAAAGACAGAAATACCATTTGACTCAGCAATGCCGTTACTTCGTATATACCCAAGGAATATAAGTCATTCTGTTATAAAGACACATTCACGTGTATGTTCACTGCAACACATTCACAACGGCAAAGACACGTAATCAACCTAAATGCTCATCAATGGAAGACTGGATAAAGAAAATGTGATACGTATACACCAAGGAATTCTATGCAGTGAGACTAAGTCCTTTGCAGGGACATTATTCTTGGCAAACTAAGTCAGGAACAGAAAACCAAATGCCACGTGTTCTCACTTACAAGTTGGAGCTAAATGATGAAAACACACGAACACATAAAGGGGAGCCACACACACTGGGTTTTTCGGAAGGTAGAAGGTGGGAAGAGGGAGAGGATCAGGAAAAATAACTAATGGGTACTAGGCTTAATACCTGGGTGTTAAGGGTAGGCTATTGGGTGATAAAATAAGCTGTACAACAAGCCCCCATGACACAGCTTTATCTATGTAACAAACCTGCACATGAACCCCTGAACTTAAAATAAAAGTTAAACAAAAAAAAGAGACAGAGAATTCAAATGGGTTTGAGTGTTGTTACCTAAGCCTGTGGTCATGGCAGCCTCTCAGCACTAGGGGGAACCCTAAGCCTCAGAATGCTACAATTTTTGCAGACTCAGATACACAGCCTTGGTGGACTTGGGGAAGATAAAAGAGAGTTCCCTGGGTTCCCAGGTGGATTCTCTTGCTCTCTTTCTTCAGTTTTCCCCAAGCAGGAGTCTCTTTCTATGCTGGGCTGTCTGGAGCTGTGAAAGGCATGATTCAGGCACTCTCATGGCCACCACAGCTGGCACCACACTGAGTCACACCTGAGGCCAATGGCCTTCCAGACCGACACAGTACTTGGGCTTACCCAAAGTCTGCGGACACTACTACCTGGCTACCACTGATGTTTATTTAAGACCCACCGCTACCTTTAGTCAGCAGCTGGGGAATTCTGCTAGGGCTGGGTCTGTCCCACCAGAACAGTGGATTCCCTTTTGGCCTGGGGTGGGCCTAGAAATGCTATTCAGGAGGAAAGTCTTGGAACTGAGATCGTCAAGAATCTGCCTGGTGCTTTATTTTACTGTGGCTCAACAGGTACCTGAGTTGCCAAAGTCCTCCATATTCCTCCATCTTCTTCCCCGAAAAGGAAGGAGTCTCTCCACATACTGCAGTGTCTGGAGTTGAGGGAGAGGTGATGCAGGCACTCCCATGGCCACACAGCTGGTGTCACACTGTCATATTCCAAGCCCACTGCCTCCAAGACCAGTACAGCACCAAGGCTTGCCCAAAGACTGCCGTCACTGTGGCCTGACTGCCACTTGAATTTATTAGAGGTCCCAGCCATTGTAGTCAGCCAGTGGTGAAGCTGGCTGGGACTCAGTTTTCTTCCATTGGGATGAAGGATTCCCCTCTGGCCCAGTGCTGGTCCAAATGGGCACTGGCAGAATGCTGCCTGGTGTTGAGTTCCACTGTGAGAGGGTGGCACTGAGCTGCAATGCAAAGTCTCACACTCACTTCACTCTTCTTCCCCTAAGCACACAGATTTTCCCTCCATGCTGTGTTGCCTGAGGCTGGGGTTGGGTAGTGTAGACAACGCAGGACTGTCCTTTCTACCTTCTTCAGTGTCTCTTTCCTTGTGATTATGTTTAAACCAGGTACCATGACCTCTCACCTGTTTGTTCTGTTTTGTTTGTTCTTATAAATGTGCTTTCTTGCTTGGATATTTGTTCAATTTAGTGTTCCTGCAGGGGCACAATTGCTGGAGGGTTCTGTTTGGCCATATCTCCACCTCCAACCATTAAAGTCTTTAATCCATTTTGAGTTTATTTTTGTATATGGTGTTAGGTAAGGGTCACATTTCATGATTCTTGTGGATATCCAGGTTCCCCAAAACTATTTAATACAGAGACTATTCTTTCTCCATTGTGTGTTCTTGGCACCTTTATAAAAAGTAAATTGACCATATTTCTTGGCTCTCTGTCCTGTTCCTCTGACCAACGTGTCTGTTTTTATGCCAGAACCACTCTGTTTTAATTACTATAGCTTTGTGATCAATTTTGATGTTAGGTACTATGATGCCTTTAGCTTTTTTATTTTTGCTCATGATTGCTTTGGCTATTGGAGGTCTTTTGTGGTTCCATTCAAATTTTAGAATTGTTTCTATTTCTGTGAAATTTTGATGGGATCACATTGAGTCTGAAGATTGCTCTGGGTAATATGGATACTTTAACGATATTAGTTCTTCCAACCTATGAACACTTGATAACTCTGCATTTATTTAAGTTGTCTACAATTTTTCATCAATGTTATTGTTTTCCATATATCGATTTTTCACATCCTTGATTAAAGTTACTCTTCATTATTTTGTTTATGGCATTGTGAATGGGGTTGGTTTCTTAATTTCTTTTTCTTTCTTTTTTTTTTTTTTTTGAGACAGAGTCTCATTCTGTTGCCCAGGCTGGAGTGCAGTGGCGTGATCTTGGCTTACTGCAACCCTCGCCTCCCAGGTTCAATCAGTTCTCTTGCCTCAGCCTCCTGAGTAGCTGGGATTACAGCTACACGCCACTACGCCCGGCCAATTTTTGTATTTTTAGTAGAGATGGGGTTTCGCCATGTTGGTCAGGCTAGTCTCGAACTCCTGACCTCGTGATCCGCCCGCCTCAGCCTCCCAAAGTGCTGGGATTACAGGCGTGAGCCACCACACCCGGCCGATTTCTTTTTCAAATAGTTTGTTGCTTGTGCTGAGAAATGTTACTGATTTTTGTGTACTAATTTTGTACTCTACAAGTTGACTGAATTTATCAATTTGAATAGTTTTTGGTGGATTTTTGTTTTTTTTGAGATAGAGTCTCACTCTGTTGCCCCGCTTGGAGTGCAGTGGTGAGATCTCAGCTCATTGCAACCTCCGCCTCACAGGCTCAAGCGATTTCTCATGCCTCAGCCTCTGGAGTAGCTGGGATTACAGGCATGCGCCACCACACCCAGCTAATTTTTGTAATTTTAGCTGAGACAGGGTTTCACCATGTTGCCCAGGCTAGTTTTGAACTCCTGGCCTCAAGCAATCCTCCCATCTCGGCTTCCCAAAGTGCTGAGATTACAGCGTGAGCCACTGCGCCTGGCCCTTTTTAGGATGTTCTATATGTAAGATAATGTCATCGGCAAACAGAAACAGTTTTACTTTTTTTCTATTTGGATGCTATTTATTTCTCTTGTCTCATTGCTCTGGCTAGACTTCCATAACTATCTTGAATAAATGTGGTGAGAGTGAACATCCTTGTATTCCTGATCTTAGAGGAAAAACTTTCAACTTTTTACCATTGAAAACACGATGATGTTACATGTAGGGTTTTCATATGTGGCCTTTATTGTGTTGAAGTACATTTTTTAATATCTAATTTACTAATAGTTCTTCTCATGAAAAAATATTGTTTGTCAAATGATTTTACTGCATCTATTGAGGTGATCATATAGTTTTTGTCTTTCATTCTGTTATTATCATGTATCACATTTGTTGACATGATATGTTCAACCATCCTTGCATCCCAGGGATAAACCCCATTTAATCATCGTGAATGATCCTATTAATGTGTTGTATTCAGTTGCTAGTATTTTGTTGAGGATATTTGCATCTATGTTCATCAGAGATATTGGCCTGTAATTTTCTTTTCTTATAGGGTTTTGTTTTTTGTTTTTTGTTTTTTGTTTTGCTTTGCATCAGGGTAATGGCTGACATTGTAAAATGGGTTTGAAAAATTTTCCTCCACTTCCACTTTTTGGAAGAGTCTGAAGAGAAGCGGTGTTAGTTTTCTTCTTCTTTAAATGTTTGGCAGTATTTCACCATGAAGCCCTCTGGTTCTGGAATTTTCATTGACAGAAGATATTTTATTATTAATTCAATTTTCTTACTCATTATTAGTCTGTTCAGTTTTTCTATTTTTTCTTGATTCAGCCTTGATTGGGTTGTACATATCTAGGAATGCATTCATTTCTTCTAGGTTGTCCAATTTTTTGGTATGTAATTGGTTATAGTAGTCTCTTGTGGTCCTTAGTATTTATGGGACATCAGTTGTAATGTCTCCTTTTTCATACCTGATTTTATTTATTTGAGTGTTCTCTCTTTTCTTCTTAGTCTAGGTAAATGTTTGTCAAATTTGTCTATCTTTTTAAAAACCAACTTAATTTTTTCAGTCTTTTGTTTTGCTTTTCTAGTCTGTTTGGTTTACTTCTGCTCTGTTATTTATTCTTTCCTTTTTGTACTTAGCTTTAGGGTTAGTTTGTTTTTCTTTTTCTAGTTCCTTGAGTTATAGCATTAGGTTGCTTATTGGAGATTTTTTTTTATGTAAATGTTTAATGCTGTAAACTTCCCTCGTAGAACTACATTTGTTGCATCCTATAAGCTTTGATATGTTATTTCCATTTTCATTTGTCTCTAAATACTTTTTGATTTACCTTTTAATTTCTTCTTTGACCCATTTGTTGTTCAGAAACATTCGATTAATTTCCATATATTTGTGAATTTTTTCAATGTTTTTGTTACTGATTTCTATTTAATAGTATTATGTTTGGAAAAGAGACTTGATGTAATTTTAGTCTTGCTAAATTTGTTTAGACTTGTTTTGTGACCTAACATGTGATCAATACTGGAGAATGTTCCATGTGTGCTTGATAAAAATATTTATTCTGCTGCTGTTGGATAGAATGCTTTGTATATGTCTATTAAGTGTAGTTTAATCTGATGTTCCCTTATTGATTTTCTGTTTGAATAATTTGACAACTGCTGAAAGTTGAATATTTAAGTCCCCTAATATTTACTGTATTATATTCTATCTCTCCCTTCAGATCTATTAATATTTACTTTATATGTTTAGGTTCTCCTATGTCAGATGCATATAGATTTACAATTGTTATATCCTCTTGATGAATTGACCCCTTTAGCATTATATAATGACCTTCTTTTTTTTCTTCCTTTTAAAGTTTCTTTCTCCTTTTCCTTTTTTTTTTTTTTTTTTGAGCCAGAGTCTGGCTCTGTCGCCCAGGCTGGAGTGCAGTGGCACAATCTCCACTCACTGCAACTTCTGCCTCCTGGGTTCAAGCGATTCTCCTGCCTCAGCCTCCCTAGTAGCTGGAATTACAAGTGCCCACCACTGCGCCTGGCTAATTTTTGTATTTTTAGTAGAGACGGAATTTCGCCATGTTGACCAGGCTGGCCTCAAACTCCTGACCTGAGGTGATCCACCCGCCTCAGCCTCCCAGAGTGTTAGGATTATGGGCATGAGCCACCGCGCCTGCCCCTTTTACACTTTTTAATTTAAAGTTTATTTTGTCTGATATAGGTATAGCTACCTCTGCCCTGTTTTAGTTTCCATTTGCATGGATTAACTTTTCCCAGCATTTCACTCTCATCCTATGTGTGTCCTTAATTTTAAAGTGAGTTGCTCATAGTCAGTGTATAGCTGAGTCCTGTTTTTTAATCTATTCAGCCTGTCTTTTGATTACAGAATTTAATCCATTTACATTCAAAGTAATTATTAATAAGTAAGGTCTTACTACTGCCATTTTGTTAATTATTTGCTGGTTGTTTTGTAGATCTTTTGTTACTTTCTTGCTTGCTGTCTTCGTTTGTCATTATGCTTTGATTTACTCTTTTTAAAAATAGACAGGGGGTCTCACTATGTTGCCCAGGCTGGAATGCAGTAGCTATTTACAGGCGTGATTATAGTACACTATAGCCTCAAGCTTCTAGACTCAAGTGACCCTCCTGCCTTGGCCTCCCAAGTAACTGGAACTACAGTCATGTACCACTGCATTGGTTCTGATTTGTTACTTTTTTTTGGGGGGTATCTACTATGGGATTTTGCTTTGTAATTACCATGAGGCGTATATAAAATACCTAATAGTTATAATAGGATATTTTTAAGCTGACAACAATGTAACTTTGATTGCATAAAAAACAAGATTTTCTGCTGCTCAATGCATTTTATGTTTTTGATGTCATAATTTACATCTTTTTACATTGTGTACCTCTTAACAAATTATTGGAGCTATTATTATTTTATTCATTTTGTCTTTCAACTATCTTACTAAATAAAGATATAAAAAATTTACGGCAGGGCGCAGTGGCTCACGCCTGTAATCCCAGCACTTTGGGAGGCCGAGGTGGGCGGATCACGAGGTCAGGAGATCGAGACCATCCTGGCTAACACGGTGAAACCCCGTCTCTACTAAAAATACAAAAAATTAGCCAGGCGCGGTGGCGGGCGCCTGTAGTCCCAGCTACTCAGGAGGCTGAGGCAGGAGAATTGCATGAACCCGGGAGGTGGAGCTTGCAGTGAGCCGAGATAGAGCCACTGCACTCCAGCCTGGGTGAAAGAGCAAGACTCCGTCTCAAAAAAAAAAAAAAAAAAAAAAAAATTACGTACTAAAGATATAAAAGACATAAAAATTTCATCATTGTTAGAGTATTCTGAATTTGACTATGTACTTACTTTTTATTAGTAAGTTTTACACCTTCATGTCTTCATGTTGCTAATTAGCTTCCCTTTTTTTCAGCTTGAAGAACTTCCATTAGTATTTTTTTAAGACAAGTATAGTGGTCATGAGCTCCCTTAGCTTTTCATTTTCTGGAAAAGTCTACCTCTTTTTCATTTTCAAAAGACAGATTTTCTGGGTAAAATATTCTTGTTTGTTTTTTTCCTTTGGCACTTTGAATATATCATCTCACACACTCCTGCTTTGTACATTTTCTTCTGAGAAGTCCACTGCTCTTCTTATTGGATCTCCCTTGCATTTGGTATGCTTCTTTTCTCTTTCTGCTTTTAGGATTCTCACTTTGTCTTTGACTTTTGACAGTGTGATTATAATAATATGTCTTCTTGGAGTCTTGTCTGCATTAAATCTGATTGGAGACCTTTGTCTTCCCTATACCTGGATATTTATTTTCTAAAATATGTTTTCTGGCCTTTTGTCTCTTTCTTCTCCTTTTTGTAATTATTTAATTTGTATATTTACTCATTCGATATTATCTCATAAGTTTCATAAGTTTTTGTCATTTCTTTTTATTTCTTTTTCTCCTCTGACTGGTTTTGAGTTCACATATATTATACTTTCTTCTGCTGGATCAATTCTGTGGTAGAGGCTCTCTATTGCATTTTTATTTCTTCATTGTATTTATTAGGTCCAGAATTTTTATTAGATTTTTTTCTTTTTTAGAATTTTAACCTTCCTGTTAATTTTTTTTTAATTTTGGTAATTAATTGTTTTCCGAATTATATTGAATTGCTTCTCCGTATTATCTTGTTCACCAAGCTTCTTTAAAACAATTGTTTAGAATTCTTTGTTAGACAGTTCATATATTCATTTCTTTACAGTTGGTGTCTTAGTCTGTTTTGTGTTGCTATAAAGACATACCTGAGACTGAGTAATTTATAAAGATAAACATTTGTTTGGCTAACAATTCTCATGTCTGGAGAATCCAACAGTGAGCATCTTGTAAGGGCCTCAGGTTGCTTTTACTCATGGCAGAAAGAGAAGGGGATGCCAATGTGTGCCAAGAAAACTTGACAAGATGGAAAGCAAGAGATAGGGTCGAGGTGTCAGGTTCTTTTTAACAAATAGCTCTCACAGGAACTCATAGAGTAAGAACTTACTTAACCATTACCCCAGGGAGAGCATTCATTTATTCAAGAGGGATCTGCTGCCATGACCCAAACACTTCCTATTAGGCTGCAGCCCCAACACTGGGGATCAAATGCCAACATGAGACTTGGTGGAGATGAACAACCATATCCAAACTATATTAGTTTTTACTGGTGCTTTATGTTGTTTCTTGGCGATGCCGTGTTTGCCTGATCCTCGTGGCTGTGTTGGCGTCTGTGCATTTAAAGAGGTAGGGACTTATTGCAGTCTTTGGAGGTATGCTTTGTATTGGAAAGCCCTCTATCACTCAGCCCATCCAGAAATTATGGACAGCCCATTTGGCATGGTTCACAGAAAAGCATGCTACTGAAGTCTTCATGCAGGTAGGCCTGGGACCTTGGCCAGAAAGTGGGTGAGCCTGGTGTCAGGGTCCATGGGGTTGGGCCTGGAGCCTCGATCTACTTGGGTGTACCTTCTGATTGGGTCCATGGGAGTAAGCATAGATCCTGGGGCCATAGGCATTGGCTTGATGCTAGATGGGCCTCAATCCTGTAACTGCAGGTGTCAATCTGGAGACTTGGTCCATGGATGCTAGCTTGATGTCTCGGGCTGCATGAAAAGGCTGGGAGTCTGAGTCTTTGGGGAATGGCCTGGCACTGGGGTATATCTGAAGCCCAGGACTGCTGGGGTCAGCCTGGTACCAAGGCAGTCTGGAGCCTGAGGCCATTGGGGTAGGTCTGGTGGTATGGCAGGACCCAAGACTGAGTCCAACAAGCATGGTTGGAGCCTAGAGCTGTAGGATCTGGCCTGGCACCATTGTGGGCCTGGAACCCAGCCCATGGTTGCTACCCTGGAGTCTGGGGCCTTGGGCCTGCCCAGTGTTGGGTTTTGCTGGGGCAGGCTCAGTGTTGAAGTTCTAGGCAAAATCTGATGCTTACTTCCCTTTCCTTCCCTCACAGGGAGGGTATCTGTCTCCACATCATGCTTTCTGGGGTTGGGGCAGAGGATGTTGGTAATGTAAAACTGTCCTTCCTCTCCAATACATCTTTTCTTATTGCTGTGCTACACTATGTTCTATAATCTGTCACCTGGTTTTCTTAGCTTTTGTGAGTGTATTTTTGTGCATGAATAGTTATTCAAATGTTTCTATAGGGAGCCAGCGTTGGAAAGCTGTATTGTGCCGTCTTGCTGACATCCAGATGAAAGGTGAAAATTGATTTTTAATCCTTTCTTAGTATCCAGGTATTACAAACACGCTTCTCTGACATTTAAGTCTACAAAGCAACTCTCTTGTGGAAACATGCCATTTGGCACACTTTCTGTATTTTTGCACTTCTTCTCAATTTCAAATATATATTTGACATAGATTAACTAAATTACTTAGTCATTTATTCAACAAAACTTTTTGAGCACCTACTATTTGTCAGGTATTATGTATTAAATACCCAATTGTATTCCATACACTATGCATCCAGTCATATGCCAGGTACTATATATATGTGTGTGCAAATATGAACATATGTATACATCTTTGTAGAGTATATATACTGAGGAACTCTGCCTATATACTAATATAAATCTTTATGTACATGCTTCAAAGTAATATTTAATATAAATAAAGTCTTTACCTATATTTTAGATTTATTTTTACCAGAATTCTATATCAGACATTAATTGTTAAAATAGTTCCTATTAATACATTCCTGGATGGTTAAAAAATATTGTTGTGGTGCTTTCAGAATTTCCATTATTGTCTGACAGAATATTAGTAGTAACGTTCTCTCCCCTTCTTTTGTTGCTCAATATTTCCTCTTTATGGTGAAATCTCCACTCCATATAATAAGAGTTAACATTTACACGGTGCTCACTATGTGCTAGGGACTGTTTCAATGCTTTATATGAATTAAAAACTTAATACCCACAATAACTTTATGACGTAGGTACTTTTTTTTACCCATTTTAGATTTGGGGAAGCTAAAATACAGGGAGGTTAAATGACTTGCTTAAAAGCATGCAGCTAGTAATGACAGAGCTGAAATTTGAACCCAGGTGCTCTGGCTCAAGCGGCCACATTCCTCACCATCATGTTATATTGCTTTTCAAAACAAAATACAGTTTATATGGAGCCAAGACATTTCAATTTCCATTGTCTTATACCCACTTAAGCATAAATTTGTGAAACTGTTAGTCTTTGTAGGTAACCTGTTTACTTTGAGGAAACAAGGGCAAGCCTAGAATAAGGGCCACCTCCATACAGATAAGAAACAAATCTATATGAGCAAAATTGTCCTCTCAAGGTTTGCCTTTGTCTCTGTCTAGTCTCAATTTTTCTTATTTTTAATGTCTATATCACTTGGTCACTTCAGTCACCTAGTTAAAAAAATCACGTTCTTTGGAAAATGATGTACTTTAGAAATAAAAATGTTTATCTTTGCCACCTTAATAATTATTAGATTACTTTTCTTAATGACTCCTTTACAGAATTCTCTCCTTCTGTTGTCAACCCAATACAATTCATTCATTATTAATAATCTCTCTCTCTCTCTCTCTATTGTACGTTGTAATATAACAGTCCTAACATTTCTTGTTTAATTGGCTCCTAAGTAAGTTTGTGCATTTGTTATCATTATAAATGTATCTTTTTTCTTCCAATTTTAAACCGGATTATTACTAATGTAATGCAGATTTCTGTTTCTCTTGAAAATCAGGAGGTCTGAAAACATTGGGCCATCATTTCAACATGACAACGGTGAATTGGAGGTGAGTAACCTCTTCTTCCTTTCAACAGGACGTGCACTTGCCATTTTACCACATTCCGATCTCAACCCACTTCGTGCATTTACATTAGTTGCCTCGTCACTCTGGGCAAATGCATTTATTTAGGATTGGGTGAGTCATAGATACAGGTGTTAGCGTTACTTTGATGACACAGTATCATGTCTTCTGCTTGGTGCTGCTGTTGACTCTGTGACCTCACCAGCTCAATCTGTAAATATAAGCTCTCCTTCTTGGCCCGTGGGGCTTTCTGGGTTCTTATAGCTCTGTCTCTTTTCTGTAACCTGCCACTGTCCTCTCAGACCAAAAGCAAATGCTATGTCCTCCTACCTAGTCATACCCTCCATGGTCTTGCCCTTCTTGCCTAGTATGATCTCATGGTTATCTGACAAATAGGTAGCCCTAGAGTGGTTGTAAATATTTTTTGTCGTCTAAAACCTTGTTTGCATCTATGTTCTAGTTTTCGCTAAAGGTTTTCTAGTTAGAAAGAAAAGTTTTAAAGCCAAAATTTTAAAAAATATTTCTGGCCCTAGAATTCCTCACTTTTTCCTTACCATATTATTGCTTCTCCTGAATTTCTGCTACAGTATCTATAAGGAGACCACATAATCTATAGGGAAGAAAAAAGGAATTTGTCACTCACCACTGCAATTTATTATTTTTGGGATCATAGTGGACTATAAAAACTCCTAATAAATAAATCTAAAGAAAGACTATATTATAATTTAAGAAACTTATATACATATATTTATAAATATATAGCTGTGATTTATAATAACATCATAAATTATACAGATAGATTATGTTTGCATTTGAAGATGTAGGGTAGCTTGCTCATGTTCCTTCTTTCACCATATTTCCTCAAATATTTTATAAGAATACTTTTAAAAGATATATTTCTCACTTCTCTTTTAAATAAACTTTTTATATTGGAATAATTTAGATTTACAGAAAAGTTGTGAAGATAATAAAGAGAGTTTCCATTTACTGCTCATCCATTTTCAATTTCCCCTAATCTAATAATTATCATCTACTATCATCATGGAACATTTGTCAAAACTATGAAACCAGCATTGGTACATTATTGTTGTGGATTGAATTGTGTCCCCACAGAAGATATGTTCAGGTCCTAATCCCTTGTATCTATGAATGTGGCCTCAATCCGAAATAGGGTCTCTGCAAATGTAATCAGTTAAAATGAGGCTATACTGGATTAGAGTAAGCCCTAATCCAACAATGTGTCCTTACGAAAAGAGGAAAATTTGGACTTAGAAACACACAGGAAGGATGCTATATGATGGTGGAGGCAGAGATTGGAGTGATGAATCTTCAAACCAAGGAATGCTTATGATTGCCAGCAACAAGCAAAAGCTAGGAAGAGGCAAGGAAGGATCCTCCCTTAGAATCTTTGTAGGGACATGGCCTGCTGACATCTTGATTTCATTCTTGTCATTTCCAGAACTGTAAAAAAAATAAATTGCTATTGTTTTAAGCCACCCAGTTAGTGGTACTGTGCTATGGCAGCCCTGGAAAACAAACCCAATTACTGTTAAATAAACTCCAGATTTTTTAAAATTAATGTCTCTTTTCTGTTTCAGGATCCAATCCAGGATATCACATTGCATTTTGTTGTCCTGTCTTTATAGTGTCCTCTGGTCTATGCCAGTTTCTCAGTCTTTTCTTATTTCTTATGACCTTGACAGTTTTGAAGAGTACTGGTCAGGTGTTTTTTAGCATGTCCCTCACCTTGGGTTTGCCTCATGTTTTACTCATGAATAGATTGGAGTAATGGGGTTTGGGAAAGAACACCACAGCAGTGCCCTACTCATCACACAATATCAGGGCATACATGATATACACATGTTATCTCTGGGGATGTGACTGTTGATCATTTGTTTGAAGTGGTATTTGCTAGATTTCTCCGCTGTAAAGTTATTTACCATCTTTCATACTCCATGCTTTGGAAGTAAATCACTAAGCCTAATATAGGTCTGCTAGTAATGACGTCTCTCAAGCTTTGTTTAAGGGTTTTTAAAATTTCTCCTTCAGTTTTGAAATATATACTCACTATGCAGAGTATTCTTGATTGACAGGTTATTTTCTTTCTTTTAGCACTTAGTAGATATCATCTTCATTGTCTTCATGCATGCACAATTTTGACAAGAGGTCGTCTGTAATTTTTTTTTCTCTCTCTCTCTATATATACGTAATGTGCTTTTTTTCCTTTGGCTGCCTCTCTCTCTGTCTGTCTCTCTGTCTCTTTCTCTCTCTCTCTGTATCTCTCTCTCTCTCTCTCTCATGCCTGTGCAGGTTTAAATATGTTATACCTAGGTAGAGAGTATGTGAGTGTGTGTGTTATTCTTTTCTTACTTGGTGTTCTTTAAGTACATTGTACTGTGGTTTGGTGTCTGTCATTATTCCTAATCATTATTTCTCTGAGTCTTTCTTCTGCCCCATTCTGTCATCATTTTTCTCCTAGCATTCCAATTATAAGTCTGCTGCATATTGTCCTATAGCTTTTGGTTTCTCTGGTCTATTTTTTGTTCACTTCTTGTAGATTTCTTCCAAAATTGTTCCAAATTATGGCTGCCTTCATGTATTCATGTCCAGTGTAATCTGCTCCCCTTGTGTGTGGGCTGGATCTAGTAACTTGCTTCTAATGAATAGAATATGGCAAAAGTGCTGAGATATCAATTTCAAGATTAGGTTAGAAAGGACTGTGACTCCATATTTCTCTCTCTTTCTCTCTCTCTCTCTCTCTCTGCAAGATTTTACACGCTTTCTGCTCTATGGGTGATGTCCTCCTGGTAAGAAACTCAGGGCAGCCTCAGTCCAATTTGGCAAGAAACTGAGCCCCTCAGTACAACATTCTGCCAGCAACCATATTAGGGACTGTATTAGTCTGCTCTGGCTGTCATAACAAAATACCACAGACTGGGTGGCTTCAGCTACAGAAATTTATGCTCTCACAGTTATGGAGGCTAGAAGTCCATGTTCAAGGTGCCAGCAAATTTGGTTTCTGGTGAGGGCTCTCTTCCTGGCTTGCAAACAGCCACCTTCTCTCTGTGTCCTCACATGGCCTTTCCTCTTTGCATGTGTGAAGAGAGTTCTCTGTGTCTTGTTTTGTTCTTATAAGGATAGTAATCCTGGATTAGGACTTCACTCTTATAACTTTATGTAATGTTAATTACTTCCCTAAAGGCCCTATCTTCAAATATAGTCACATTAGGGCTTCAACCTGTGGATTTTGTGGGGGACAAAATTCATTCCGTAACATTCTACCCTCCACTCCCAAATTCATGTTATTCTCACATGATAAATATATTAATCCCATTCCAACAACACATAAAGTCTTAACCCTTTCCAGCATCAATTCTAAAGTCTAAAGTGCAAAGTCTCATTTAAATCAGGTATGGGTGAGACTCAAGTTATGATTCATCCTGAGGCAAAATTCCTTTCCAGTTGTGAACCTGTGAAGCCAGACAAGTTATGTGCATCCAAAAAACAGTAGTGGGACAGGCATAAGACAGACATTCTCATTCCAAAAAGGAGAAGTGGCAAATTCCATTAGATCTTAAGATTCAACAATAATTATCTTTGGCTGAATCCTCTGCCCTCCAGGCCCACTGGGGTGGCATTGTCACCACCACAGCTGTAAGTAGCAGACTGTTAAAACTTTTTGTGGCTGCTCCACTCCTCAGGCACGGATGGAGGCAGCCTGGTCTACTGAAACTGAGGAGATGGTCCCATCCTCTGAAACTGAGGACAAAACAGCCTTTCCTCTGGGCCTATAGTGGGAGTTACAGCACTGATGACCTCTGAATCACCTTCAAGGTCATTTATCCCTTTCCTTGAAGGATAAAGCATGTTCACAGCTGAATATCTCTATTATTTCATCCTACAGAATCTCAGAAGTCAGAAAGCTTTCCATGATTTATTTCAACCCATTTCTATTCTCTTTGGTCCAAACTGGCAGGGTCTCTGCTGATATAATCCCATCTCTATTCAAGGCTCCCGCTAAGGTGGATGAAAAAAGTCATGGTTAATTTCCCTATGGAGTGATTGAGGCGCCACACCATTGATGTTCTCTCCAGAACACATTTTATCATTTTTTTGCTATATAAATAGGCCGAGATTTTTCCAAATCTTCAGTTTCTGGGTTGCTTTTGTTTTTGTTTTTTGCTTAACAATGCTGTCAATTTATCTTTCCCCTCTAGCCTTTTACCATGAGCAATTAGGAAAAACTAGGCTGTGCTTTTAACACTTTGCTTATATATCTTCCCTTTTAAAAATCCAAAGTTGTAATTCACAAGTCCTACACTTTACAAAACACTAAGACACAATTCAGACAAGTTCTTTGCCACTTTAAAACAAAAATCATCTTTTCTGCAGTTTCCAATAACATGTTCCTCACTTCCATGGAAGACTTCATCAGAATTGCTTTTAGCATTCATGTTTTTATTAACAGTCCCTTCAAGGCAATTTAGGCTTTCTCAGGCATGCACCTGAAAACTTTTCTAGCCTCTATTCACTACCCAGTTCCAAAGGCACTTCCACATTTTTAGGTTATCTGTTACAGAAGCATCTCCCTTCTCAGTACCAACATCTGCATTTGTCTGCTTGGATCAACATAGCAAAGTACTGTAGACTGAGTCACTTAAAAATGACAGAAATTTATTTTTCACATTTCTGGAGGCTAGAAGTTCATTATCAAGGTACCAGGAAATTTGGTTTCTAGTGAGGGCTCTCTTGCTGGCTTTTAGACATCCACTTTTTGTCTGTGTCCTCACGTGGCCTTTCTTCTGCACATTTGTGGAAAGAGAGAGAACAAGCTCTGGTGTCCCTTCTTGTAAGGACATCAATCCTATTGGATTAGGGCCTCACCCTTATAATCTCAAGTAACCTTAATTACCTCCTTAAAGGCCCTGTCTTGAAACATAGTCACACTGGGGGGTTATTGCTTTAATCTATAAATTTTGAGGAGACACAATTCAGTCCATGGAATAGCAGTGGCCATGGGAGCAGATCCTTCCTCAGTCAAGCTTCCAGGTGAGACCACAGCCCCAGTTTACAATGTAATTATAGCCCTGTGTGAGATCTTGAAGCAGAATATCCAGCTATTTCCCCAAAGAGATAGTTATCACATCCCTTATGCTTTTTTATCATAAAGGCAAGAAAGGGACTCATTTAGATTAGAACCTGCTACGAAATATTTGAGAGTGAGAGAACTTGGGTGTCTAGAAATGGGAGAAACTCAAAACAGTAGCAGAGATATTGTGGAGACATTTATTCTATCAAAGAATAGCAATAATCAGGTTTTCATTGTTTTCTATTTTCAGTTCCCACTTCTGTGAGATCATTTTATCAGCAGTTAGTTTGCTATGGATTCTGTTAGCATGAAAGCGTTTCCGGTCATACTGTATTTTAAAAATTTCAGGAAATTTTCTCAGCATGGCTGAGAAATAATATACTAAAACAAGTTTCAGCATCCTCTTTTTGTGTCTTCCATTCTTCCATCATGTGACTTATCCTAGTTAGTGAATTACATTTCCCCAAAGACATTTCATCTCAAGCTTTCCAAGAAAAAATTCTCCCTGTTTTCCTCCTGATTTCTTCTGACTTTGGGCACCTACCTCAGTTCTGAGAAGTAAGAAAGAGACTATATTTTGAGAATGGCACTTTATCATTTCAGAGGCACATCTCGCTCATATCTAGCAAGCTCCGATGTTTAATTGGACTTCAAAATACATTTGGCATTAATTGCAGCAGAATTTTATTTAACCTCTGTTATATAAAGCCTTGTCAGGTATCTAAGTTGAAAAGGGACAAGAAAAAATAAAGTTCTTGAATTTATCAATGGAGATTTATAAGGACTTATTTATCTAAAGTATTTAGATATTTTATATCTCATTTTAATTTCTGTATATATTAGCTTCTTTTTTACTAATAGGCCTACTCGACATGGAAGTATAGGACGAAAAATCCTGGCAAACACTCTGATGGGCTCACTTGGGTCATTGGCTTTTCCTTGAACTTGTCACTGTAATCGGGGAGACGTGGGCGTGTGAAAAGATGTGATCTACCATTCTTAACATATCAAGGAAGGGAAAAAGCAATTTTCCCAAAGAAGCAGGGCAGGACATACAGGCCTATCCGAACACAGAACAATCACTATGAGCTCAGAAGCCACTCATGGTTTTCTACCTAATGGTTGAAATCATTTAAATGAATGTTTTCCAAACTCATTTGATGACTAAGCTTTATTTTCTTTTACATAATCATTAACAATAAAAAACTAATTTTAAAGGACTCCATTTTGTTAAACATTTTTATAGACATGAAATTTTTTCAAATATGTTTATCTGTGCTCATGTTTCATCAGCAAAGCTTTCGTAGACTAGCCAGTTTTCAGCAATGTAACCTCTTCTGATCCTTTTAGCATAACTGGTTGAAATATGTATGCTAAAGTAAACAAACCTGATGATATATTTTATCTTTTAGATAAATATCTATAAAACTGTGCTGACAAGATCACATTTATGGAACAAAAATTTTTAAATGTGAAACATGAGTCTTTTTGAAAATTTAGAGTGGCAATTTACAGTTCCCTTTATTCTGTGAGACTTTCCAGGCATATTATTTAACTTCCTTTGTTTTCCATATCCTAACGTGATAAGGAAGTAGCAAAGAAAAAACAACCTCAGCTTTTATAATGACTTCCCCTTTGGAAAACTATGAACTCAATTTTACAGTATTGTCATTTCCAAATAGCAGATCTGTTTTCACCTCATGAGCAGTTCTGAGATTATATATAAGAGGACCCAGGAGTTACATCAGGACTCAGGAAGAGATAGACCCATAATGATGCTGCCTCAAAACTCGTGGCATATTGGTAAGGTTTTGCTTTTATTTTGCTCTGCCATTTGGGAGATGGTGGGTATACTAAGAATATGTGTAACAACAAACAGATATAAATATTATGTAGTAAGGTAAAAAGAAAACAGGACATGAGAAATATAAAAAAATTGAAAGTTTTGTGGAACTTAGAGTAGCAGCAATATTGGAGGCAAAACTGAAATCCAAGAAAGGAGGAAAACATTAATAAAGTAAACAGAAAATGTATTATAAAGACTGGAGATTAGAAGTCACACAAGGATATGAAGTTGTGGAAATAGAAAGAAGGGATAAATTAGAAACTTATTGTTATCAAGTGCCAGGTACTACAGTAAATGCTTTAGGTCATCTCAATTTAATTCACACATGTAACCTATTTTATAGATATTATTGTCTCCATTGGTAGATGGAAAATGAAGACTTATAAGGACTAACTGACTTATGTAAGGTCATGTAGTAGAATCTCAAGTGTAATTTAAATTCAGGACCAGCTAAGTCTGAGCCCTTGATCTTTCTGCTATAAATTTTAATAAAGCAAATAAATAAGAAGACATTATGATAAAAAACAAAGAACAAGTCTTTGATGGACCCTAAAGAGTAAGGACTAAGAAAGGAATACATGGCTAAGAAGTCTTTCACAGCACATCTGAAATTAGTAGTAACCTTTGCACTTGCACTTCATAGACATTTCGTGGAAATAAAGAATCACGAAGGGAGGTTTTTGCTGTATTTGGGACTTATAACTCCTAAATAGGATTGAGGCTTTTGAAAATGCAGTGCTACTCCTGTTGGCATTGTGTCTCTGTGCCATTCCTCAGTGCAATTACTACAAGTCAACTTAATATTTTGTAACTGTTTTGCTTATGACTAAAGACCAGCACATTTCTAGAAAACCAGCAGAAGTTCTGATATTTTTCAAAGCCTCCTTTTTGAAAAAGGGTTTCTACAGTTTGAGAAGCTTGGCTGCCTTCTATCTAGCAAGGCTCATCTTAATGAATTACAGTTCTTCATAATTCATGTGTGTTACTTAAAAGATAATATTATTTAACTTTCAACATGCTGTCTGCCATGTATCTAATTAGAAAAGGAATGGGAAAGATGAAGGTCTTGAATTGGTGAGATGGTATTAGATATATAGAAGGTCACAAGTTCTGGCAATTATACTTTAATTCTCCTTCTCAAGAATTTCCTACTGCACTATTTGTTCACGTTCATCAGATCTTGATTGTGCTGGTGTCAGAGCTTACTATTCTTTTTTCTTTATAGTTCATCTTTAGCTCTAACCATTCTTACAAATGGGCACTCAGAGTTTCCTGGAAGGATTTAGGAAGATGAAATGGCCTCCTAGGATAATCCTACACATGAGGTTTGATGGAACTAAATATTCTTATTAGGAACAAAAGAAATAAGAGAAAAAAGAAGACCAACTTAAAGTGTTTTGGACAAGATGGAAAAGAAGGAAATTGGGACACTAATTGCCCATTCCACACTTATTTCTCCCTGTTTCGTTCTATAGGGAGGGTTTTCTCTTGATTTGGGTACATTTTCCAAGAATGATGGATGTGACTGATGATAATTGTAATAATAAAGTCTCCTCTATGGTTATTACTGACTGTTGCCAAACTCACTTGGGATTACTTCTTAGAGAAGTGCCCGGGATCCATTTTAGTTTCAAAGCATCATTTGAAAAACTAAAGATGTCCACCAAAGCAGGTTGCGCCTTCTGTCTCTGCTTTTGCGTAGCCCAAGCAGCATGGGCCTTTCCCCGATGGGTACTGTTCCTTCTGTCCTCTTAGGGTTTTTGTTTTTTGTTGTCTGGGATTACACATGCTCAGTTTAACTCTGACTTCATCTTTTCCATAAGATACTAATGAAAATACTATTTAAGATAGTTCTCTAACAGTTACAGCTGTTACATACCCCTCAAGTAAACAGGATGATAAATATTATTTTAAAGTATTTCTTATACATTTATTTACCCCTATGAATTAATCATCCCATCTGCTTTTAAAATAATCTTTCTATAATGTAAATTTTATTTATTACACTGATTCAATTCTTTATAGTCTCCAAATAACTCTCAGAATAAATTCTCAACTCCTTCGCTTGTGTATTGCTCCTGCCTATCTTAGTTCATTCTTTCCCCACACGTGTAGCATAAACTTTATTAGATGCAGAACTGAGCATGACTGAAAAGACAGGGAGAAGTGAGGAAGTGGCAAGATTCTGTAGGAATAATAGAATAGTGACCCTGAAGAAAAGTGGATAGC
The DNA here is from genome assembly GCF_000001405.40 of Homo sapiens. Lineage (NCBI taxonomy): Eukaryota > Metazoa > Chordata > Mammalia > Primates > Hominidae > Homo > Homo sapiens. The sequence goes on along the minus strand of NC_000012.12, from coordinate 7,441,824 downwards.
TTTGGTAAATAATCATGAGCTCAATCAGCAGTTATTATAGTGACCTCCAAATGTTGATTTGCTTGTACATTCCAGTCACAAGCCACTGAGTGGAATACAGGCAAGAACACTTATTCATTCCTCTATTCCCATAATGAAGCACAAGATCGGGTACATATGTCATACTCAATAAAGGAGCAAATGAATGAACAAAGTAGGGGGATAACGTTAGGAGGAAAAACAGTAAAAATGAGGAGAGGGTCAAAGAGTTGAGAAGTAAAAATTACTCAGTAACCCAAAATGCTAATCAATTACCCCAAACAGCCACAAAATATATTTGGACACAGAATGCAATTTTTCAATGAATCACATGCTAAAATATCTGCCCTGTTACAAACCACTTGGTGCCTTTCCATCACAAACAGGAGCTAGTCCTGTGGCTTTTCCTGGGAAAAGGACTTTCTTGTGCGGTATCCTTGACAGGTGGAAGAATAATTCATCTTACTCCTTCTATTTTATTTTGGATTTAAGTCATTGAGGTCATCTAACATTTCTTAGAAAGACATGAAATTCTACCCTGCTATATTTTGTTTCTCCAGATTTTGGAAGATGCTGCTGTCATCAGAACCTTTTCTCTGCTGTGGTAACTTGCATCCTGCTCCTGAATTCCTGCTTTCTCATCAGCAGTTTTAGTGAGTTCTGATGGATGATAACTTTTGGGCTTACAATCCTCTATTCTACCTTTCCCCTACTCACTACCCTAAGTGCATATTTTGAGGGAAATAGAACATGTAAAAATAATGTTGGACCTTCAATAGCTATACCCTGTAAATAAAGGTGTCCAAATTATTTTTATGCATTTCATATTACATTTTTCGTTGACATTTTTCTCCTTCAGATAAAGAGAATTTCCAAATCCGGCCGGGCACAGTGGCTCAGGCCTGTAATCTCAGCACTTTGGGAGGCCAAGGTGGGGAGATCACCTGAGGTCAGGAGTTCGAGACCAGCCTGGCCAACACAGTGAAACCACATCTCTATTAAAAATACAAAAATTAGCCGGGTGTGGTGGTGTGCACCTGTAACCCCAGCTACTTGGGGGGCTGAAGTGGAAGAATTGCTTGAACCCAGGAAGTGGAGGTTGTAGTGAGCCGAGATCGTGCCCCTACACTCCAGCCTGGGCGACAGAGCAAGACTCCATCTCAAAAAAAAAAAAAAAGAAAAAAGATAAAGATAGTTTCCAAACGTAAAATGTCTCACTGAAAAAATATGGATATTGTATTTTTGCAAATAGAAAAATCGGTTAATAAAAACTTACAAGATACAGAAATCAAAGAATTAAATACAATTAAAAATATATATGTGTTACACACCATGGAATACTATGCAGCCATAAAAAGATGAATTCAAGGGCCGGGCTGGGCGCGGGAGCTGGCCGGGCTGGGCGCGCCGCGGTCCCGCACCCACTTCCGCTTCCCGTGCGGCGGTGGGGGGATGGCGGCAGGGCCGGTGGGCGGCGGCGGCTCCAGGTCCCTGCCCGGGCGCGGCACTGCGCAGTCCGCCCTCCCCGTCGCAGGGGCGCTCCTGAGCTTCGCGGGGCCGCCTCCAGGGCTGCCTGCGCGGAGGGCCGGCCGCGGCCGACGCGAGTGTTAAGTGTCCGCCCTGGCCGGCTACCCGGAGCCAAGAGCAGGCGGCGGAGCCTGAGCGGGACGTGGCCACGCTGGCGCGGCGGGTCCAAGCCCGCCATTGGTCGGCTTCCGTTACGCCGCTGATGTGGAGTAGGGCGGAGCGCGGAACGCGAGGAGCTGCTGGGGTGTGTGTCGCAGCGGGTTTTCCTCGGCGGTTTGCGGAGCTGCTAGGATGGAGCAGGCTGCGGAGGGAGCGAGTGTGACCGCAGCCCCTGTGTCAGCTGCCGACAGCACTGAGGAGTTGGCCGAAGTCGAAGAAGGAGTTGGAGTAGTGGGCGGGGATAATGACGCAGCCGCGAGAGGAGCGGAGGCCTTTGGCGACAGTGAGGAGGACGGAGAGGATGTGTTCGAGGTGGAGAAGATCCTGGACATAAAGATCGAGGGGGGTGAAATTCTTTACAAAGTTCGCTGGAAAGGCTATACATCGGATGACGATACCTGGGAGCCCGAGACTCACCTGGAGGACTGTAAAGAAGTGCTTCTTGAATTTAGGAAGAAAATTGCAGAGAACAAAGCCAAAGCAGTCAGGAAGGATATTCAGAGACTATCCTTAAATAACGACATATTTGAGGCGAACTCTGATAGCGGTCAGCAAAGTAAGACAAAAGAAGATACTTCCCCAAAGAAGAAAAAGAAAAAATTAAGGCAGAGAGAGGAGAAAAGCCCAGATGATCTGAAAAAGAAAAAAGCAAAGGCCGGGAAGCTAAAAGACAAGTCCAAACCAGACCTGGAGAGCTCCTTGGAAAGTTTAGTTTGATTTAAGGACAAAGAAAAGAATTTCTGAAGCCAAAGAAGAACTAAAGGAGTCCAAAAAGCCCAAAAAAGATGAAGTAAAAGAAACAAAGGAATTAAAGTTAAAAAGGGTGAAATAAGAGATTTAAAGACGAAAACAAGAGAAGATCCCAAAGAAAATAGAAAAACAAAAAAAGAAAATTTGTCGAATCCCAGGTGGAATCTGAATCAAGTGTACTTAATGATTCCCCCTTTCCGGAGGATGACAATGAAGGGCTACATTCCGACAGCAGAGAAGAGAAACAAAACACTAAAAGTGCAAGAGAGAGAGCAGGGCAGGACACAGGGCTGGAGCATGGCTTTGAGAAGCCCCTAGACAGTGCCATGAGTGCTGAGGAGGATACCGATGTCAGAGGCAGGAGGAAAAAGAAGACCCCGAGAAAGGTTGAGGACACTAGAGAGAGCAGGAAGCTAGAGAACAAGAACGCATTCTTAGAGAAGAAAACTGTGCCTAAAAAGCAGAGGAATCAAGACAGAGGCAAAAGTGCTGCAGAGTTAGAGAAGCTTATGCCTATATCTGTCCAAACGCCAAAGGGCTGGAGGTTGAGCGGGGAAGAGAGAGGCCTCTGGTCCATGGACTCAGCCGAGGAGGTAAGGGCCACGGGAGGCAGCAGAAAACCCGTGTTGAGTGGCCAAGACATTTCACAAGCAAGGAAAGGGAAACAGTCAAGCTATGAGAAAGTGTTTATGACCATGGGCGGTCATAAATGAAGATCCTCCAGCTCTTGGACACTGCAGCTTATCTCTTAGTCTCTGGTTTGTTTCTCTTAGAATGATTTTGACTAGAAAATTATAGGCTAATTTGTGAGCAAAAATCAGGATGGTTTTTAGAGGTACTCAGATGATATATGGAGCATTGTATACTCAGGTTTATAGCTTCATCAGCTTATTTTATTAGCTTTTCACATCCTGCTTGGTCATTTCCCCTGTTGTCTTGAGTATACCACTATTAAATAATAGGACACAAACTACATTAACCAGTATTTTAATGCTTATAAAAATGTATTTAATAGAGAATTTGTCCCATTATAAAAATTATTTTTATATGGCTTTGCAAAATGGATATATTTTCCAAATTATGAGAGTATTTATATATGCAATATTTATCAAGGGCTATAAAAAACATCATTTTTTTCATCCATTATTTCCAGTTTTGGGAATTTATTTTAAGGAAATCATTTTAAAGAAGGAAAAGCTGTGCATACATAGTTATTTATGGCAGTATTATCTTCATTAGTGCTACAGCAAAATAGAACAACTTAGAAAATGCAGTGGAGAAGAAAAACCCTACATAAATGTGAACACAGTCATGTAAAAATATGTGTGTAATGTAAGCAAAAATGAATTTTAAAAAAGATTATGCATGTAAAAGTACAAGGACCAGAAGGGGGAACATGGAGAAGTAAAATAGTCATGATTGGTTAAGACTATGGGTGGAAAACTTTCTTAGAATTTTCTTTTTTTTTTTTTATAATAATAAAATTCCTAAAAGAGGGTTGGAAAACTGGTGTTGGGTTTTGAATTTGATATTTTGTGAATTATTATATGGTTGACTGAGGAAGCAAAATTCTTTTGTGTGAAGAGGATTTAATGATCATTGATCATGTACCACAGTATACAAGGGTGATTCCCTGAAGCCACAAACCTGTATTTTCCGGTTTTCAAATAAATATACAGTGTCAAAAAAAAAAAAAAAAAGGATGAGTTCATGCCCTTTGTAGGGACATGGATGAAGCTGGAAACCATCATTCTGAGCAGACTATCACAAGGGCAGAAAACCAAACACCGCATGTTCTCACTCGTAGGTGGGAATTGAACAATGAGATCACTTGGACACAGGGTGGGGAACATCACACATCAGGGCCTGTCATGGGGTGGGGGGAGCAGGGAGGGATAGCATTAGGAGAAATACCTAATGTAAATGATAAGTTAATGGGTGCAGCACACCAACACGGCACATGTATACATATGTAACAAACTTGCACGTTGTGCACATGTACCCTAGAACTTAATAAATATAAAAGTATATTAATAAAAATAAAAATAAAAATAATATTCATTAATAAAATAAAAGTAATACTATTAAAATAAAAAGTAATACTTTTAAATACTATTTAAATACTATTTAAAAGTAAATACTTTTAAATACTATTAAAATAAAAAAGTAATACTATTAAAATAAAAATAAAAGTAATACTATTAATAAAAATAAAAGTATAATAAAAATAATAAATAAAATAAATAAAAATATATATTTGTTAATATATTAACATCCAGAGAAAAACACTATTGTTTAAAATACCAATTTGTGGCATTTTTTATAATAATGTTTCAAGAAAATTATTTCATTATATTTTATATATTGGTTATTACCTATATAGTTCTTTAACATTTTTATTTTATCACATATCACTTATGATACCTTGTTTTATTGGCTGTGTAGTTTTCTGTCATTTGGATATACCCAAATAGATTTTAATAAGACCTTATGAGTGATTATTGAAGTTATTTAATTGCTTTGTATTTCAGTAATTTTTCAAATATATTACATTTCATAGATCTGACACAGAAATTGTCATTTTTAAGGTTTTTCATTATTTTCTATATTTTTCATTAGTGCCAAATTTGTAGTTTAAATAAAATTTTATTGTTATTAAAGTGGATTCTTTTTTTTAAAGAGACGGAGTTTCACTCTGTCAGCCAGGTTGGAGTGCAGCTACAGATGTGTGCCACTATACCCAGCTAATTAAAAAAAATTTTTTACAGGTAGGGTCTCACTATGTTGTCCAGGCCGATCTGGAACTCCTGGCCTCAAGCAGTCCTCCCACCTCTGCCTTTCAAAGTGTTGAAATTACAGACATGAGCCATGGCATCTGGGCTAAATTAACATTTTAAATGCTGTTGAGATTTAATCATGGTATTGAAATGATTATTTTAATTGAATGCTTTATTTGTGCAATTTTCTTATTTCTGTTTAATCATAGATAATATTACTATATCTTTGTGTACTCCAAAATAGTATTGGTTCTTGTCCAGTTACAAATATTTTTGATTAATGTATTTGCTTTTTAAAATGCTTTAAATTTCTCGCTGTTTAATGTTATATTTGATTAGACAAAAATGGCCATTTTATAACATATATACAAATCATTAAGCATAATGTAATGGCACACATAAATCCATCCCTCAACCAGGAAACTGGATTTTTATCAACCATTTTTTTCTACGTATGTTTTCCTCTTCTCTTCCACCTACCTTCCAACCCCACCAGAGATAATGTCTATCCTGAATTGTGCATTTCTCACTACCTTACTTTTTAATAATACAATACTTTCTAATAATATGATAGATATAGATGCAGAAATAATGTATTGTTTAGTTTTGCTTATTTTAAGCTTTATAACATATCAAACTGCATTTAGTGTTCTGGGACTTGCTTTTATCTTTCAATATTATATTTCTAAGCTTCATCTCTGCTGTTGCAATGGCTATAATTATTTAAGTTTTCGTTAAGTAAAATATATTATCTTGTATAAATAAATATTCCCAGTGAATTTGTCTATTATCCTGTCAATAGTTATTTGGATTTTTCATTACTATTGTCAAATGTTCTGCTATAAATATGTCTCTGGTGCAGATTCATGGGAGTTTACTACGGTCTATAGGTAGGAGTAGAATTAGCAGGTTCTGGGATGTGCATGTTTTCAACTTTACCAGATAGGATGAATTCTGCTAGCAATGTATATATATTTTCAAATATATGTATGAGGATATGACTCATATCCTCACTCATATTTTAAATATTCAGAGTTCTAAATTTTTGCCAATCAAGAGAGTATAAAGCTATATCTTTTTATCTTAATTTTCAGTTTCCTAAAGACTAATAAGTTTAGGCATTTCTCCATGTATTTAATGGTCATGCCTTTTGTTTTCTTCTGTGAAATATCTGTTCAACTCATTTGCCCATTTTGCTTATTTTTCTAAATATATATATTTAAAAAATATAATCTAGATACTAGTCCATAGTCATAATATATGTTGCTAATATATTCTTCACATTTGTGACTTTTCACTTTTTATAGAGTGTATTTTGAAGAATAGAAGTTCTTAATTTATCAAGTTTTCTTTAATTTTATCACACCTTGGTAGAAATTTGGTATGTCTAAAAATTAGTAGAAATTCTAATGTACACGTTGAAAAAAACACCTTAATCAGTATATTGAAAAAATAGAAATGGCAAATATCAATCATATTAGAATATATCTCTGTGTGTGTGTGTATCAACTACATTTTTAAGAGCTTTCATTAGACTTAAGAGTTATATGATATGAGCACAGCCATTAGAATGCCCCTCACACACATTTCAACTAAAAAGAAAAATGTTCATATAGAAAGAAATAGGAAACAGTAGCAGCACTAGGAACTGAGAAAGAGAAATATAAGGAAACCAAAATTTCTAGTTATGAGTATAGTATAGGCAAGACCACACTGAATGAAGACTTATGGTTAACTCACAATCCACTTTCAGAAAGAATATTGTTATCTTTTGTGAAAAGTGTATTCTCACTAAGCCATTGTGTACTGAAACTCAGAACTGGGAAGCCTTTTCTATTGTACTCTCTCTCCCTGTTTCTCTCTCTGTCTCTGTCTGTCTCTCTCTCTTTCTGTCTCTTCCTCTCTCCTTCTTTTTCTTTCTCTTTTTTCATCTTTTTCTTCCTCCTTATTGCTTCTCTTTGTCCCTTTGGCTCACTTGCTCTTCTTACTAACACACCCTCTCATCATCATCATATGCACAGAATTCACCATAAAGTTTCACGTTGAAAACTCATGGTTGCTTTAAAATTTTCTCCCTTCACATTGGTTTTCCATTTAAATTTTTATTGTCTGTTCCTCAAAATTTTGGCTTACAAGTAGATTTGGGTTAATATTAACTTCACTTGTTTTAAGTTGATTTTTTCACCTAGGATTTTTTAAAATCCATTTTACTTATTTCAAATTTTTAAGATGGGAATATGAGTAGCCAATGGTCATCTGAAGGACTGCCCTTTCTGAAGTGGTTGTCTACCTGTGATTCACATAGCTGTTGATTAGAGAAGGTGGACTAGCATATTACAATCATGGACGACTAGGTCTTCTCCTCCTGCAAGGCCTATTGTTGAATGTATTTAAAACATCTGAGGATATAAATACTCAAAAGTATTTAATGCTGTAGATTTTATTGAGTAGAAAATTATTATGTCAACCTTACAAGATGTTTTCAATTATTAAGTATATAAAACATCTCCTTCAAAAATGTGAGGTGGACTCCTCAGATACAGATTATTTTGAAACTGACTAGCCAAGGGACTTTCTTTCATTCTGCGTGCACAACAGCAAACCTTACCTTTTCTGTGGTTTATATTGGTGGGAATTGCATAGAAAGAAAAAATTCTTTCCCTTCTTTTAATTTTCACATTACAATGCAAAGCAAAACTATGCTGCAATGTGGTCTCTAGTTCCCTATCATGAAAAATTAAAGCTTCTCACTTCAAATTTTCTCATTTTTATTTTCTCTCTACTATAAGTTCTAATAACAACATTTAAACTAAATGATCATCATCCATCTCACCTACTTATATTATTTCTGCCTTCTAATCTTTGCCATCTCTAATGTATGTTTCTGTCTTTCTTGCAGATGGAACAGATTTGGAGTTGAGGCTGGTCAATGGAGACGGTCCCTGCTCTGGGACAGTGGAGGTGAAATTCCAGGGACAGTGGGGGACTGTGTGTGATGATGGGTGGAACACTACTGCCTCAACTGTCGTGTGCAAACAGCTTGGATGTCCATTTTCTTTCGCCATGTTTCGTTTTGGACAAGCCGTGACTAGACATGGAAAAATTTGGCTTGATGATGTTTCCTGTTATGGAAATGAGTCAGCTCTCTGGGAATGTCAACACCGGGAATGGGGAAGCCATAACTGTTATCATGGAGAAGATGTTGGTGTGAACTGTTATGGTAAGAGTCTAACTAGAGTAGGAAGGCAAGGTAAGACCTACCCTCAGGAATCATCTGCTGGAAGGTAGGGGTTTCTATTATGACTTTAATAGTGTCCCTCTGGGAGGTGTAGGAAATATTTTATATATTCTACCCTTCCCTTATTTCCAAAGTAATGTCTAATTGCTTTTCTTTTTATAACTATAACTGAGTTTAGAAAGAAATGGAGAGAGAAAGAGAGAGACAGAGAGAGAATGCATTACAGTTACCAATGTAATATCTTTATCATAACTATAATTGAGTTTAGAAAGAAATGAAGAAGTTTGGGAGCAGGGTTAGCTTTGATTTAAGTGCCTTTTTTCATGTACCAGGTACACTAACAGAACAAATATTTTCTGAAAAATGAGGTATAAAATTAAAGCAAAATGATAAAGAATATCATGCTAATGATTGATTTTTTCACCTAGGATTTTTTTTGTTTGTGTATTTGTGTTTAGAAAAAAGCCTCACATACCCCTCCTATAAGTATTTTCAGTTATTTTTTTTTAATTTTTGGTAACTTCATTCATAACAGGGCTGTCTTCTACGTATCCTTTTGATTTTATTTCAGGCTCAAAGTTGAATCAGTTTTTCATATGTCTGCTTGTCTTTCTCGTAGGTGAAGCCAATCTGGGTTTGAGGCTAGTGGATGGAAACAACTCCTGTTCAGGGAGAGTGGAGGTGAAATTCCAAGAAAGGTGGGGAACTATATGTGATGATGGGTGGAACTTGAATACTGCTGCCGTGGTGTGCAGGCAACTAGGATGTCCATCTTCTTTTATTTCTTCTGGAGTTGTTAATAGCCCTGCTGTATTGCGCCCCATTTGGCTGGATGACATTTTATGCCAGGGGAATGAGTTGGCACTCTGGAATTGCAGACATCGTGGATGGGGAAATCATGACTGCAGTCACAATGAGGATGTCACATTAACTTGTTATGGTAAGAACCCAAGACATCATGTAGAAGAAAGGAACAATTTGTTTAGAAACAGTATGTATGGAAAGAAAAAGGTCAATCATTCTCTGGAGAAGAATTTTCTCTGGTTATAACACATTTTTGTTACCCTGAAATTGCTCCATTCTGGAGTTTTCCTAAACACTCTTCCTAAAACTGCTCTTCCTAACAAATCTAAAGCACATTTTGAGTTTTAATATTTCTGATCACTCAGCAGTATTCCATAGGCCGATCAAATCTTTTTTCTAAAAACCTTTTTCAAATAACTTCTTGACACAATATCATATTTTTCCCTTCTTTCTCTGAGGTCACTCATTCTTAGTCTAGTTTCCCCACTTTACTAATTCTTTCCAGCTACCAAAACTTAGATTTCATCAGGACTAAGTCCCTAATCTCACGCTGCCCTCTTTCCTTTGGCAATTTACTTTCCTAGCTTCAACTAAAATTCCACACCAGACACCTCCTAAGAGCTCTAGATACATATATCCGTGTGCTACGAAGGGTCCAAAATGTACCCGAACCTTAATGTTTCCAAAAGTAAGCTTCTTATACCTGTTTACTCATCATCTAATCTTCCTAAGCTCAGTAAATAGCATTATTACCCACTTCATTATTCAAGTCAGAAATAAGGGATCACTTTTTTTTTTATACTTTAAGTTCTAGGGTACAAGTGCACAACATGCAGGTTTGTTACATAGGTATACATGTGCCATGTTGGTTTGCTGCACCCATCAACTCGTCATATGCATAGGTATTTCTCCTAATGTTATCCCTCCCCCAGCCCCCCACCCCCCAACGGGCCCTGGTGTGTGATGTTCCCTGCCCTGTGTCTATGCGTTCTCGTTGTTCAACTAGGGGATCACTTTTAAGTCCTTCATTTCTCTGTTAGCACACTATATTCATTACATCACCAGATGGAAATGATTATACTATTTAAATATTTTAAAATGTGCCTTCTTCATCTTTTTTTTTTGGATGGAGTCTCATTCTGTCACCCAGGCTGTTGCCCAGGCTGGAGTGTAGTGGCATGATCTCGGCTCACTGCAACCTCCACCTCCTGGGTTCGAGCTATTCTTCTGCCTCAGCTTCCTGAGTATCTGGAACTGCAGGCACCCGCAACCACGCCCGGCTACAGTATTTTTAATAGAGGTGGTGTTTCACCATATTGGCCAGGCTGGTCTTGATCTCCTGATCTTGTGATCTGCCCGCCTCAGCCTCCCAAAGTGCAGGGATTACAGCCGTGAGCCACCGCACCCGGCTGAAGAATGCGGCTTCTTTTCACCATTTCCATTACTATCAGTATAAACCAAGCAACAATCACTTACCACCTCTAAGAAGTCACTACGGAAAGCAACGACCTCTCCCCAGTGACCTCTCTGTAGTCATTTCAAACACCTTCAAATCCATTTTCCACAGTGCAGCTGAAGTGATGTTTTTTGCAGCACGTTTAGTTGACTTTATAGTAATATAGGAAATTTCTTATTATCTACGAGATGTTGCTACTCTCTCCTCTTTTCTGCTTGATCTCTGCTGCGTTCTTTCATGTACGTGATATTTTCCAACCCACCTCAGAACATTGAGACATTCTGTTCCTCTAGGTAGAAAAAAACTCTTCCTCCTTCATTTCTCTTGGCTAAATTTGGTTATCCATTAACATCATCTTAAAGAGCATTTCCTCAGGGAAGCCTTCCCCAAATATAAACATATCCTATTCATATGCTATGATGGCACTCTGTCCTCATTCTTCATGTGTTAATAACATTTTAGTTATTTAATTTCCCGCCTTCTCTCAAATATGCTAATACCAGAGGGATGGGAATTATTTTAAACTTATGTATTCCTAACAATTAGCACAGTTTTCAGCAATTTTAGGTGATCTATACATGTTTATGTTTTAACTGGTTAATTTATTAGAAACTCGGAGAGGTGGAAGAGGCATAGAAAATATGATAAATCTTTGTTCTTATTCTTAAAATCCAATTCCTATCATTTTTTTATGTTTGGAATTTCAGGAAGATACAAAGTTCTTTAATTTCTAAGTGATCTGTCTCTTACTGGCTGACAGAGTTCTTACAACAAGTGAATAATCTGAAAGAACTTAAAGTCTTGGAGTAGTTCAAAGTCAGGAAGAGTACTTAGAACCTTCTGTAAAGTCTTCTAATTTCTTCTATTTTTTCTTCTACAAACATCTACAGGTTTGTAAACTCCAATAAATGTTTTGAAATAAAGATACAAATTAGTATCAGATTATTTAATAGGATGACTCACTTAATGTAAGTCTTTAGAATTGGCTTTACTGAAATCTGAGGTGTTAAAAGCAGTTTTTCAATAAACAGTATTTCAAAAGGAGAAACCCAATTCTCCTGAAGTAAGAAAGGACTTGGTGGCCTCCAAGGGTAGAGAAAACACTGGAGTAGCTATAACTTAATGAGGAAGGTTGAGTGATAGTTGATGAAGCTGAGGGCTGGTACTCAGACTGGGGAGCTATGGCAAGAGTTTTAGACTTTATTTTAATAGGCAAGGGTATTCTTTGAAGGGTTTTATGCAGATAATTACCATGATAAAATTTGATTATTAAAATATCATGTGGACTAACTGAATGAAGAATAGCTTTTGAGAGCCAAGCTTGGATGCAGAGACAGAAGTTAAGAAGACCCTGAAGGAGGTCAGGTAAGACATGATAGTGGTTTGACTAGGGCTAAAATAGTTAAGATAGAGATAAGTGGATGGATTGGAGTTATATTTACACAGCAGCTTTGATAGTACCAAGAGAAGTGAAAAAAGAGGTGAGAAAGAAAGAAGGGTAAGAATTTTTCCCAAATTTCTTATGGGTACAGCCTTGTAGCTAGTAGTACCATTTAAAAGAAAGATGCTAAGAGTGTTGGAACATTTTTGAGGGACTTGGAAGATATGTAGGTGGATATTCCCACTGGAAATTCTCAGAAGAAATGTATGAATTAGAGATATAAATTTAGTATCAGCATATCAGTAGTGCTTGAGGCCTTTGCAATTGATAAAATCTTGGGAGATTTTAGAGGAATCTGGACGGATATGTTTTTGTGGTTTACAAATTTTCTATAAAGACAAATCCAAGGAAATTCTTAAAACATTTTTGATTATTTCCAGTAATGCCTACTGAGGTGGACATTTTATTTTTATTTTTAAATGTCATAATAGCCCCTAAGAATTCTATTATTTAACCTAAAATATGTTTTAATTGTTACATGGTTTGAAAAACTTTATGACGAAATGAGGAAGATAAAAGTATTCAGTTACAATTTCAAATTTGAGATAATACCCTTTATTTTACATAGTTTTTTCTTGTTTATTAAACTTTGCTACACATATCTTCTGATTATGTTCAACAATTTTGGCACATAACACAATATTGTATATATAATTACATTTTTAAAAGTCAGTTTTTGTAGAAGAAACTCGGATTAAATAATTTGTTATTTATATTTTTACTTTGGTATTGATGCCTATAGACTAGTTTGATTGGATTACTTAAATCTGCAAACATAATTTATTTATTTCTTCCAGCTACCTGGGATCTGTGAAAGGAACATCAGCAGCAGAATTAGCAAAAGTTAGTTTTATATTTTCACTATGTTTAAGTAACCACAAATGTCCCCAAAAGTGCAAAATAGAGTATCAAATTCTTGCCAAAATTACAGCCAGTTGAAAGCAAGTAGTAATGATGAGCATGGTTTATAGGTATAGAAACAAAAGAGAACAAAGGGAAGTCAAGTCTAGGTTTGATACAGTACAGCTGAATGGGAGAATGAAGAAGTGAGGAACGGGGCTTTAGTCCAGAAGCTGGTAAATCATATCAAAATACTGGCTTACAGTGGGAGAATACTACTCTGAGTGGAGAAAGGAACTAAAGAGATAAGTGATAAGTGACAAAGAGGTGATTTTTCTAGGGCTTTTTCTTGTTGTGTACTAGACACAATGACTGATTCTATGAAAAATAAGAAAAAAGTATGTGTTACATATTTTATCCTCAAGGAACTAGTAATCTACTGGGCAAACGATATGAATACATGCCATCTAAAGAACACTGAAAGTGAATGTATATTTCATACTAAATAGATTCCATTGACTTAAAAAAATTTTTTTTATCAGTACAATTGACTATGTTATGTAGCTAAATAAAATATATTCCCTAATTTTACTCCGTATTTTAGTTTCTGGATGATAGTTAAAACCATAAAGGGGATATCTTGGCAATCAAAACAGCTAGGATTTTATAGTTTTATTTAAAGTTGTTTGGCTTCAGTTACAGATTTTTCAGTTATAGAAACCCAGTTTTGCCAAGGGCAACCAGAAATTATCTGATTCAGCAGGATTTATCTGTTACTAAATTTATAATAGAATGACATATAAACAAAGCTTCAAATTATTGTTTTGCAATTAGCAATATAACTACCAAGTAGGCCAGAATGTTTTTGAAAATTGGTCAGAATATACACTCTTCATAGGAAATTTATTATATAATTGTATAATGTGTTTGATGAGACTTAACTAAGAGCAAAAGAAGCAAGGGAAGTAAGTTATAATTAATCATTGACCAGTACCATTAAATACAGACAATCTGAAACCTCTATAATTTGGAAGGATACCTACATGAGGGGAATGGATTGTTAGGTTCACTGAACAAGAATCACATTTGCAGGTATGACATTGTCAAATTCTTGCTATCTGACCTGCCTTTATCATTTTATTAAAGCCCTTAAATGAGTTTGTTGGACATGTAAAAAGCTGTACGTATTTAATATACACAACCTGATGAGTTTGAGAAAAACTGTAAACCCATGAGCCCATCGCCACCATCAAGGCCATAAGAATATGCATCACCTCCCAAAGTTTCTTCCCACTCATTTTATTATTAATTTTTTGATGGTAAGAACATTTAACATAGTATCTACCTTCGTAGCTGCTTTTAAGCATGCAATACAGTACCTGTAGGTCTTTTGAGGTAGAATGAACATTTTAACAATATTAATTATTTTAATCCATAAACATGGGATATCTTTCCATGATTTTTATCAATGACTTCTGGTTTTCAGAATCTACTGGGCAAACGATATGAAGACATGCCATCTAAAGAACATTGAAAGTGAATATATATTTGATGCCCTTTAAAAGAAGCTATATTCTGCTACTTTAGATGGAATGTTACATATATGTCTGTTAGGTTCCTTTAGTCTATAGTGTTGTTCAAGTCCGCTATTTCCTTATTGATTTTCTGTTTGAATTATCTGTCCATTTTTGAAAGTGGAGTATTAAAATCCCTACTATTACGTATTACTATTTCTCCCTTTCAATCTCTTAATATTCGCTTTATATGTTTAGGTGCTTTGACAGGGGCTCATATATATTTTTTCTTGTTATATCCTCTTGATGAATTAACCCCTTTATCATTATATAATGGACTTCTTTGTTTCTTTTTACAATTTTGGACTTAAATCTGTTTTGTCAGATATAAGCACAGGTGCTCTAGCTTACTTTTGGTTGCCATTTACATGAAATACATTTTTCCATCTCTATTTTCAGCCTATGTGTGTCCTAAAACTAAAGAAGTGAGTCCCTTGTAAGCAGCATATATTTGGACCATGTTTTTTCTTAATCCATTCAACCACTCTGTCTATTTATTTATTTTTTACTTTAGGTTCTGGTATACATGTACAGAACATGCAAGTTTGTTACATGGGTAGACATGTGCCAGGGCGGTTTGCTGCACCTATCAACCTGGTTTTGGGGGAACAGGTGGTATTTGGTTACATGAATAAGTTCTTTAGTAGTGATTTCTCAGATTTTGGTGCACCCATCACCTGAGCAGTGTACACTGTATCCAATGTGTAGTTTTTATCCCTTACCCACCTCCCACCCTTTCTCCCAAGTCCCCAAAGTCCTTTTTATTATTTATTTATTTATTTATTTTTACTTTAAGTTCTGGGATATATGTGCTGAACATGCAGATTTGTTACATAGATATACATGTGCCATGGTGATTGGCTGACCTATCAACCTGTCATCTAGGTTTTAAGCCCCACATGCATTAGGTATTCGTCCTAATGCTCTCCCTCCCCTTGCCCCCCATTCCCAGACATGCCCAAGTGTCTGATGTTCCCCTCTGTGCGTTCATCTGTTCTCATTGTTCAACTCCCACTTATGAGTGAGAACATGTGGTGTTTGATTTTCTGTTCTTGTGTTAATTTGCTGAGAATGATGGTTTCCAGCTTCATCCATGTCCCTGCAAAGAACATGAACTCATTCTTTTTTATGGCTGCATAGTATTCCATGGTGTATATGTGCCACGTTTCCTTTATCCAGTCTATCATTGATGGGCATTTGGGTTGGTTCCAAGTCTTTGCTTTTGTAAATAGTACTGCAATAAACATATGTGTGCATATGTTTTTATAATAGAATGATTTATAATCTTTGGGTATTTACCCAGTAATGGGATTGATGGGTCAAATGGTATTTCTAGTTCTAAACCCTTGAGGAATCACCACAGTCTTCCACAATGGTTGAACTAATTTACATCTCCACATCCTCGCCAGCATCTGTTGTTTCCAGAGTTTTTAATGATTGCCATTCTAACTGGTGTGAGATGTATCTCATTGTGGTTTTGGTTTGCATTTCTCTAATGACCAGTGATGATGAGCTTTTTTTCAAATGTTTGTTGAAGACATTTATGTGGCCAACATAATGTCTGTTCACATCCTTTGCCCACTTTTTGATGGGGTTGTTTTTTTTCTTGTAAACTTGCTTAAGTTCCTTATAGATTCTGGATATTAGCCCTTTGTCAGATGGACAGACTGCAAAAATTTTCTCCCATTCTGTAGGTTGCCTGTTCACTCTGTTCACTTCTTTTGCAGAGCAGAACCTCTGTAGTTTAATTAAATCCTATTTGTCAATTTTGGCTTTTGTTGCCATTGCTTTTGGTGTTTTAGTCATAAAGTCTTTGCCCGTGCCTATATCCTGAATGGTATTGCCTAGGTTTTCTTCTAGGGTTTGTATGATTTTAGGTTTTACATTTAAGTCTTTAATCCATCTTGAGTTAATTTTTGTATAAAGTGTAAGGAAGGGTTCCAGTTTCAGTTTTCTGCATATGGCTAGCCAGTTTTCCCAGCATCATTTGTTAAACAGGGAATCCTTTCCCCATTGCTTGTTTTTGTCATGTTTATCAAGGATCAGATGGTTGTAGATGTGTTGTGTTCTTTCTGAGGCCTCTGTTCTATTCCATTGGTCTATATTTCTGTTTTGGCACCAGTACCATGCTGGTTTGTTTACTACCTTGTAGTGTAGTTTTGAAGTTAGGTAGCATGATGCCTTCAGCTTTGTTCTTTTTGCTTAGAATTGTCTTGGCTATATGGGCTCTTTTTTGGTTCCATATGAATTTTAACGTAGTTTTTTCTAGTTCTGTAAAGAAAGTCAATGGTAGCTTGATAGGAATGGCATTGAATCTATAAATTACTTTGGGCAGTATGGCCATTTTCACAGTATTGAATCTTTTTATCCATGAGCATTGAATGTTTTTCCATTTGTTTGTGTCCTGTCTGATTTCTTTGAGCAGCAGTTTGTAGTTCTCCTTGAAGAGGTCCTTCATGTCCCTTGTAAGTTGTATTCCTAGGTATTTTATTATTTTTGTAGCAATTGTGCATGGGAGTTCACTCATGATTTGGCTCTCTGTTTGTCTATTATTGGTGTATAGGAATGCTTGTGATTTTTGCACATTGATTTTGTATGCTGAGACTGCTGAAGTTGCTTATCAGCTTAAGGAGTTTTTGGACTGATACGATGGGGTTTTCTAAATATACAATCATGTCATCTGCAAACAAAGACCATTTGACTTCCTCTCTTCCTATTTGAATACCCTTTATTTCTTTCTCTTGCCTGATTGCCCTGGCCAGAACTTCCAACACTATGTTGAATAGGAGTGGTGAGAGAGGGCATCCTTGTCTTGTGCTGGTTTTCAAAGGGGATGCTTCCAGCTTTTGCCCATTCAGTATGATATTGGCTATGGGTTTGTCATAAATAGCTCTTATTATTTTGAGATGTCTTCCATCAATACCTAGTTTATTGAGAGTTTTTTTTTTTTTTACCATGAAGGGATGTTGAATTTTATTGAAGACCTTTTCTGCATCTATTGAGATACTAATGTGGTTTCTGTCACTGGTTCTGTTTATGTGATGGATTACGTTTATTGATTTGTGTATGTTGAACCAGCCTGGCATCCCAGGGATGAAGCCGATTTGATCGTGGTGGATAAGCTTTGATGTGCTGCTGGATTCAGTTTGCCAGTATTTTATTGAGGATTTTTGCATTGATGTTCATCAGGGATATTGACCTGAAATTTCCTTTTTTGTCATGTCTCTCCCAGGTTTTGGAATCAGGATAAGGCTGGCCTCATAAAATTGAGTTCGGGAGGAGTCCCTTTTTTTCTATTGTTTGTAATAGTTTCAGAAGGAATGGTACCAAATCCTCTTTGTACCTCTGGCAGAGTTCGGCTGTGAATCCATCTGGTCCTGGGCTTTTTTGGGTTGGTAAGCTATTAATTAGGGCCTCATTTTCAGAACTTGTTATTGGTCTATTCAGGGATTCAACTTCTTCCTGGTTTAGTCTTGGGAGGGGGTATGTGTCCAGGAATTTATCCAAATATTTTAGGTTTTCTAGCTTATTTGTGTAGAGGTGGATATAGTGTTCTCTGACGGTAGTTTGTATTTCTGTGGGATCAGTGGTGATATCCCCTTTATCATTTTTTATTGTGTCTATATGATTCTTCTCTCTTTTCTTTCTTATTAGTCTGGCTAGTGGTTTATCTATATTGTTAATCTTTTCAAAAAACCAGCTCCTGGGTTGATTGTTTTTTTGAAGGTTTTTTTCTGTCTCTGTCTCTTTCAGTTTTGCTCTTATCTTAGTTATTTCTTGACTTTTGCTAGCTTCTAAATTTGTATGCTCTCCTTCTCTAGTTCTTTTAATTGTGATGTTAGGGTGTCAATTTTAGATCTTCCCTGCTTTCTGATGTGGGCATTTAATGCTATAAATTTCCCTCTTAGCACTGTGTTAGCTGTGTCCCAGAGATTCTGGTGCATTGTCTCTTTGTTCTCATTGGTTTCAAGGAACTTCATTATTTCTGCCTTAGTTTTGTTATTTACTTAGTAGTCATTCAGAAGCAAGTTGTTCAGTTTCCATGTAGTTGTGTGGTTTTGAGTGTGCTTCTTAATTCTGGGGTTCTAATTTGATTGCACAGTGGCCTGAGAGACTGTTTGTTATGATTTCTGTTCTTTTGCATTTGCTGAGGAGTGTTTATTTCCAATTATGAGGTCGAGCTTAGAATAAGTGCTATGTGGTGCTGAGAAAAATGTATATTCTGTTGATTTGCTGTGGAGAGTTTTGTAGATATCTATTAGGTTTGCTTGGTCCAGAGCTGAGTTGAACTCTTGAATATCCTTGTTAAATTTCTGTCTCGTTGATCTTTCTAATATTGGAAGTGGGGTGTTAAAGTCTCCCACTATTATTGTGTCAAAGTCCAAGTCTGTTTGTAGGTCTTAAAGAACTGGTTTTATGAATCTGGTGCTCCTGTATTGGGTGCACCTGTGTGTATATATATATATACACACACACACACACACACACATATGTATATATATTTATATATATTCATATACATATATACACATATATACATGTATATATATGAATATATATGAGATAGTTATGATATGAGATATATATGAATATATATGAGATATATATATGAAATAACCTTTTTTCATATATATATGAAAAGCATATTATGTTCTTCTCTAAACTGATTATTCTAGTTAGTAGTTCTTTAACCTTTTTTCAAGGTTCTTAGCTTCCTTGCATTGGGTTAGAACATGTTCCTTTAGCTCAGAGGAGTTTCTTATTACCCACCTTCTGAAGCCTCGTTCTGTCATTTCATCAAACTCATTCTCTCTAGTTTTGTGCCCTTGCTGGAGAGGAGTTGCAATCATTTGGAAGAAAAGAGATATTCCGGTTTTGGGAATTTTCAGCATTTATGCGCTGGTTTTTCCTCATCTTCGTGGGTTTATCTACCTTAGATCTTTGTGGCTGAAGACCTTTGCATGGGGTTTCTGTGTGGACATTCTTTTGTTGATGTTGATGTTATTGCTTTTTGTCTGTTAGTTTTTCTTCTATCAGTCATGCCCCTCTTCTCCAGGTCTGCTGCAGTTTGCTTGGGCTCCACTCCAGACCCTATTTGCCTAGTTATCACCAGCGGAGTGTGCAGAACGGCAAATATTGCTGCCTGCTCTTTCCTCTAGAAGCTTTGTCCCAGAGGGCACCGGCATGATGCCAGCCAGAGCTCTCCTGCATGAGGTGTCTGTCAATCCCTGTTAGGAGTTCTCTCCCAGTCAGGAGTCATGGAGTTCAGGGACCCACTTGAGGAGGCAGTTTTTCCCTTAGCAGAGCTCGAGCACTGTGGTAGTAGAACCCTCCTTGTCAGGATCTGCTGCTCTATTCTCCATTATATCATTCTTATGCCTTTGCATCTTCATAGCTTAGCTCCCACTTATGAGTGAGAACATATGGTGTTTGGTTTTCCATTCCTGAGTTACTTCACTTAGAAGAAAAAATATATATATATATATATATATATACACACACACATATATACATATATACGTATATGTATTTATGTACACATACATATATGTATATGTACATATGCACGTATATGTATATATGTACATATATGTATATGTGTACATATATGTATATATGTACATATATGTATATGTGTACATATATGTATATGTATATATGTACATGTATATATGTACATATATGTATATGTATATGTGTACGTATATGTATATATGTACATATATGTATATGTATATGTACATATATGTATATATGTACATATATGTATATATATGTATATATGTACATATATGTATATGTATATATGTACATATATGTATATATACATTTGGAAGATATATATACATATATATCTTCCAAATGTATATATACATATATACACATATATATACATTTGGAAGATATATATACATATATATCTTCCAAATGTATATATACATATATACACACATATATATATACACACATTTGGAAGATATATACATATATATCTTCCAAATGTATATATACATATATATACACATATATATACCCATATATATACATATATACACATATATATACATATATACATATATATACATTTATACACATATATACATATATACGTATATATACATTTTCTTCCAAATGTATATATACATATATATACGTATATATATACGTATATATACATATATACGTATATACATATATATACACGTATATATATATGTATATATATACACGTATATATATATATGTATATATATACCACAATTTCTTTACCCAGTCATTGATTGATGGGCATTTGGGCTGTTGCCATGTTTGTGCAATTGCAAATTGTGCTGCTATAAACATGCATGTGCAAATACCTTTTTCAGATAATGACTTCTTTTCCTCTCGGTAGAGACCCAGTAGTGGGATTGTTGGGTCTAATGATAGTTTTACTTTTAGTTCTTTAAGGAATTTCCACACTGTTTTTCGTAGAGGTTGTACTAGTTTATATTCTCACCAGCAGTGTAAAAGTTTTCCCTTTTCACCACATTGAAACCATCTATTACTTTTTGATTATGGCCATTCTTGCAGGAGTAAGATGGTATTGCATTGTGGCTTTTACTTGCATTTCTCTGATCATGAGTGATGTTGAGAGTTTTTTCATCTTTGTTGGTCATTTGTATTTTTTCTTTTGAGAATTGTCTATTTGTGTCCTTAGCCCACTTTTTGATAGTATTGTTTGTTTTTTTTCTTGCTAATTTGTTTGAGTTCCTTGTAGATCCTGTAAATTAGTCTTTTGTCGGATGTGTAGATTGTGAAGATTTTCTTCAACTCTGTGGGTTTTCTGTTTGCCCTACTGATTGTTTCTTTTGCTGTGCAGAAGCTTTTTTATTTAATTAAGTCTCATCTATTTATCTTTTTTTATGTTGCATCTGCTTTTGTGTTCTTGGTCATGAAGTCTTTGCCTAAGCCAACATCTAGAAGGGTTTTTCCGATGTTATCTTTTAGAATTTTTACGGTTTCGGGTCTTAGATTTAAGTCTTTGATCCATCTTGAATTGATTTTTGTATAGAGTGAGAGATGAGGATCCGTTTTCACTCTTTTACATGTGGCTTGCCAATTATCCCAGTACCATTTGTTGAATAGGGTGTCCTTTCCCCACTTTATGTTTTTGTTTACTTTGTTAAAGATCAGTTGGCTGTAAATATTTGGCTTTATTTCTGGGTACTCTTTTCCATTCCACTGATCTATGTGCCTATTTTTATACTAGTACCATGCTGTCTTGGTGACTATTGCCTTATAGTTTGAAGTGAAGTTATGTGATACCTCCAGATTTGTTCTTTTTGCTTAGTCTTGCTTTGGCTATACATGCTCTTTTTTGGTTCCATATGATTTCTAGGATTGTTTTTTCTAGTTCTGTGAAGAATGATGAAGATATTTTGGTGGGAATTTCATTGAATTTTTAGATTGCCTTTGGCAGTATAATAAATTTTTTTTTTGCAGCTATTGTAAAAACAGTTGAGTTCTTGATTTGATTCTCAACTTGGTCACTGCTGTTGTATGCAGAGCTACTGATTTGTATACATTAATTTTGTATCCTGTAACTTTGCTGAATTCTTTTATCAGTTCTAGGAGCTTTTTGTTGGAGGTCTTTAGGGTTTTCTAGGTATATGATCATATCAGCAAGCAACAACAGCTTGACTTTCTCTTTACTAATTTGGATGCTCTGTATTTCTTTCTCTTGTCTGATTTCTCTGGCTAAGGCTTTCAGTACTATGTTCAATAGAAGTGGTGAAAGTGGGCATCCTTGTCTTGTTCCAGTTCTCGGGGGAATGCTTTCAATGTTTCCCCAATTCAGTAGAATGTTGGCTGTGGGTTTGCCATAGATGGCTTTTATTACCTTAAGTTATATCCCTTCTATGCTGATTTTGCTGATGGTTTTAATCACAAAGTGATGCTGGATTTTGTTAAATGCTTTTTCTGCATCTGTTGATCATGTGATTTTCGCTTTTAATTCTGTTTATGTGGTGTACCACATTTATTGACTTGTGTTTGTTTAACCATCCCTCATCCCTGGTATGAAACCCACTTGATCATGGTGGATTATCTTTCTGATAATGTTGTTGGATTCAATTAGCTAGTGTTTTGTTAAGGATTTTTGCATCTAGATTTATCAGGCAATTTTCTTTTATTGTTATGTCCTTTCCTGGTTTTGGTATTAGGGTGATACTGGCTTCACAGGATGATTTACGGAGGATTCTCTCTGAATCTTGTGGAATAGTGTCAATAGGATTGGTATCAATTCTTCTTTGAATATCTGATAGATTTCAGCTGTGAATCCATCTGGTTCTGGACTTTTTTTGTTCTCATTTTTAAAAATTACCATTTCAATATCACTGCTTGCTATTGGTCTGTTCAGAGTTTCTATTTCTTCCTGGTTTAATCTAGAAGAATTGTATATTTCCAGAAATTTACCTATCTCCTATTGGTTTTCTAGTTTATGCATTTAAGGATGTTCATGGTAGCCTTGAATGATTGTTTGTATTTCTGTGATATTGGTTGTAATATTTCTTATTTTGTTTCTATTTGAGCTTATTTGGATCTTCTCTTTTATCTTGGTTAATCTCACTAATTGTTTATCAATTTTATTTATCTTTTCAAAGACCCAGCTTTTTGTTTCATTCATCTTTTTTGTTGTTGTTTTTCAATTTCATTTAGTTCTGCTCTGATCTTTGGTATAATTTTCTTCTGCAGGATTTGGGTTTGGTTTGTTATTGTTTCTCTAGTTCCTTTAGGTGTGCCCTTAGATTGTCTATTTATACTCTTTCAGACCTTCTGATGCAGGCATTTAAGGCTATGAACTTTGCTCTTAGCACCACCTTTGTTGTATTCCAGAGGTTTTTATAGGTTGTGTGACTATTATCATTCAGTTCAAAGAATTTTTAAATTTCCATCATGATTTCATTGTTGACCCAATGCTCATTCAGGAGCAGATTATGTAATTTCCATGTATTTGCATTGTTTTGAGGGTTTCTTTTGGGGTTGATTTCCAATTTTCTTCCATTGTGGTGTGAGAGTGTACTTGATATAATTTTGGTTTTCTTAAATGTGTGGAGACTCGTTTTGTGGCATAACATATAGTCTATTTTAGAGAATATTCCATGTGCTGATGAATAGAATGCATATTCTGCAGTTGTTGGGTAAAATTTTCTGTAAAAGTGTGTTAAGTCCATTTGTTCTGCCTCTTATTTGCCATTTTTACCTCTACACTCTGTTTTTTCATTAGAGAATTTAATCAATTTACATTTAAAGCAGTTATTGATAGGTAAGGACCTATTGATGCTATTTTGTTAATTATCTTACACTGTTTTGAGACACAATAACAACAAAAAACTGCAGGCCAATATCCCTGATGAACATCGATGTGAAAATCCTCAATAAAATACCGGCAAACTAAATCCAGCAGCACATCAAAAAGCTTGTCCACCAAGATCAAGTCGTCTTCATCCCTAGGATGCAAGGCTGATTCAACATATGCAAATCAATAAATGTAATCTATCACATTAACAGAACCAATGACAAAAACCACATGATTATCTCAATAGATGCAGAAAAGACCTTCAATAAAATTCAACATCCCTTCATGGTAAAAACTCTCAATAAACTAGGTATTGATGGAATGTATCTCAAAATAATAAGAGCTATTTATGACAAACCCATAGCCAATATCATACTGAATGGGCAAAAGCTGGAAACATCCCCTTTGAAAACCAGCACAAGACAAGGATGCCCTGTCTCATCACTCCTATTCAACATAATGTTGGAGGTTCTGGCCAGGGCAATCAGGCAAGAGAAAGAAATAAAGGTATTCAAATAGAAGGAGAGGAAGTCAAATAGTCTCTGCACATGACATGATTGTATAGTTAGAAAACCCCATCATCTCAGCCCAAAATCTCCTTAAGCTGATAAGCAACTTCAGCAAAGTCTCAGGATAGGAAATCAATGTGCAAAAATCACAAGCATTCCTGTACACCAATAATAGACAAACAGAGAGCCAAATCATGAGTGAACTCCCATTCACAATTGCTACTGAGAGAATAAAATACCTAGGAATACAACTTACAAGGGACATGAAGGACCTCTTCAAGGAGAACTACAAACCACTGCTCAAGGAAATAAGAGAGGACACAAACATGGAAAAACATTCCATGCTCATAAATAGGGAGGATCAATATCATGAAAATGGCCACACTGCCCAAAGTAATTTATAGATTCAATGCTATCCCCATCAAGCTACCATTGCCTTTCTTCACAGTACTAGAAAAAACTACTTCATATTGCATATGGAACCAAAAAAGAGCCTGTTTGGCCAAGACAGTCCTAAGCAAAAAGAACAAAGCTGGAGGCATCATGCTATCTGACTTTAAACTATACCTCAAGGCTACAGTAACTGAAACAGCATGGTACTCATACCAAAACAGATATATAGACCAATGGAACAGAACACAGGCCTCAGAAATAATGCCACACACCTACAACCATCTGATCCTTGACAAACCTGACAAAAACAAGCAATGGGGAAAGGATTCCTCATTTAGTAAATGGCATTGGGAAACTGGATAGCCATATGCAGAAAACTGAAACTGGAACCCTTCCTTACACCTTATACAAAAATTAATTCAAGATGGATTAAAGACTTAAACATAAGACCTAAAACCATAAAAACCCTAGAAGAAAACCTAGGCAATACCATTCAGGACAAAGGCATGGGCAAAGACTTCATGACTAAAACACCAAAAGCAATGGCAACAAAAGCCAAAATTGACAAATGGGATCTAATTAAACTAAGGAGCTTCTGCACAGCAAAAGAAAACTATCATCAGAGTGAATAGTCAACCTACAAAATGAGAGAAAATTTTTGCAACCTATCCTTCTGACAAAGGGCTAATATCCAGAATCTACAAGGAATTCAAGCAAATCAAAAGCAAACCAGCCCATCAAAAAGTGGGTGAAGGATATGAACAGACACTTCTCAAAAGAAGACATTTATGTGGCCAACAAACATATGAAAAAAAGCTCATCATCACTGGTCGTCTGAGAAATGCAAACCAAAACCACAATGAGATACATTTCACGCTAGTTAGAATGTTGATCATTAAAAAGTCAGGAAACAACAGATGCTGGAGGCAATGTGGAGAAATAGGAATGCTTTTACACTGTTGATGGGAGTGTAAATTAGTTCAACCATTGTGGAAGACAGTGTAGCATTTCCTCAAGGATCTAGAACCATAAATACCATTTTACCCAACAATCCCATTACTGGGTATATACCCAAAGGATTATAAATCATTCTACTATAAAGATACATGCACTTGCATGTTTATTGTGGCACTGTTCACAATAGCAAAGACTTGGAACCAACTTAAATGCCCATCAATGATAGACTGGATAAAGAAAACGTGGCACGTATACACCATGGAATACTATGTAGCCAAAAAACGGGTGAGTTTATGTCCTTTGCAGGGACGTGGATGAAGCTGGAAACCATCATTCTCAGCAAGCTAACACAATAACAGAAAACCAAACACTGCATGTTCTCACTTATAAGTTGGAGTCAAACAGTGAGAACACATGGACACTGGGAGGGAAACATCACACACCAGGGCCTGTTGGGGGTTGGGGGGGTAGGGGAGTGATAGCATTAGAAGAAATACTTTATGTAGATGACTGGTTGATGGGTGCCCCAAACCACCATGGCACATGTATTTCTGTGTAACAAACCTGCATGTTCTGCACATGTATCCCAGAACTTAAAGTATAATAAAAAATATTATTTTACACTGTTTTATAGTCTTTCTATTTTTCCCCCTCTTAAAGTCTTCTTTTGTGATGTGATTATTCTTTTGTAGTAGTATTCTTTGATTCCTTTCTCTTTATCTTTGGTGTGTCTACTAGTTTTTTCTTTTATGTTTACCACAAAGCTTACATGACGCATATTAGAGTTATAACTATTTTTAAGTTGATAACAACTTAACTCCCATGAAATGCAGATCTGTTATATTTTATTTTATTGATTATGTTGTTCATGTCAGAATATACATATCTTTATATTTTTTATCCAGTAACAAATTACTGTAACTGTAGTTGCTTAATGCTTTTAAGTTTTACAATTATGTTAAAAGTTGTTTACACATCATCATTACAGTGTTACAGTATTCTGAATTTGGCTATTTTTTACTAGCTTTATACTTGCATATTTTTCATGTTGCTAATTAGCAATCTTTTATTTCAATTGAAATTTCGTTATTTAGCACTTCTTTTAAGGAAGATGTGGTGATAAACTTTCTCAGTTTTTGTTTGTTTAGGAAGGTCTTTATCTCTCCATTTCTGAAATTAAGCTTTACCAAGTATAATGTTCTTGATTGGCAGGGTTCTTTTTTTGTTCCAGTACATTCACTATTTCATCCCACTCTCTCTTAGGTTGCAAGGTTCTGTTGAGAAAATTCATTGATAGCTCTATGGGAATTTCTTTGCATGTGGCTAGTTTTCTGTTGCTGCTTTCAACATTTTCTCTTTGTCATTGACTTTTGACAATTTGCTTATTATGTATAACAGTGAAGCTCTCTTTATGTTCAATCTATTTGGAGTTCCTTGGGATTATTGGTTTGGGATGCTCATTTTCCTACTAAGATTTGAGAAATTTTTAGTTATTAATTTTTAAATTTCTGTTGTTTTTCTTTTTCTCTTCTCTGTAATTTCTATAATGCATATATTGGTTAATTTGATAGTGTCATATAGGTCTTGTAGGCTGACTTCACTATTTCTCCTTCTTTTTGTTCTTCTGACTGATTAATTTCAAGTTATCTGTCTTTCAGTTCATTGGTTCTTTCTTCTGCTCAATCAGGTAATTTGCTGAAGCTCTGTATTGAATTTTTCAGGTGTCATTGTATTTTTTTTACTCCAAAATTTCTGTTTCATTGTTTTCAATTGTTTCTATCTCTTTACTGAACTTCTCATTTTGTTCATACATTATTTTCCTGATTTTATTTAGTTGCCTATCTATGTTCTCTTTAGTCCATTGAGTTTCTTTAAGAAGAGCATTCTTAATTCTTTGTCAGGCTGTTTTTAGATCTTACTTTCTTTGGGGTCAGCCACTGGAACTTTATTTTGTTCCTTTGGTAGTGCCATATTTCCTTCATTCATTGTGTTTTTTGAAGCCTTGGTGTTTCTGTTTTTCCATTTGAATAAGTCATTTCCTCTAGTCTTTACTGATGCTTTGGAAAAAATGAACCTTCACCACTCAGCCTGGCTAGAGATTCTAGGGGGTCTCTCAGACCTTTTTTATGGGTGTACTTAATCCACCCCTTTTGTTCCCTGCTAGTGTGGAAATCTGGGGACTGTGTATCTTCTCTCAATCCTGCAAAGCCAGGCTGAGTACTGAGAGATTTCCATTTATTTTTCTTAGGCAAGTGCCCAGAAGTGCTCAAGGTTGTACACCTCCTCTCTATTCAGCAGAATCAAGTCAGCTGCTGACATCTGTGTGCTGTCTGCAAAAGATACACACACCGTCTGAGGATCTTGCATGTGCTGCTTGCAGAGGCTCACATGCACCATCTGGGGAAGACCACACAAGTTATCTATGGAACCTCACACACATTCTGTGGGGAAATGTGGGGCACTGCCCAGGGGCGAGATGCATAGATTGATGGGGGTAAATATTAGCTAGCGGAGGGATCCACAGGTGAGGCATCCTACATGGCATGTGAGCAGGTTTCTTGGTAGAGATAATGAGCTGGTTGGTAGGATGTGTGTCTAATTACTAGCATCCGCTGGTTGCTGTAAGCCTCCACTCATTTTCTTTTCTCCTGATGGTCCCCAGATTATTCCGCTGTGCTAATCTTTTCAGTGTTCTAGGTGAGATGAGACAGAAATGGGCCTCTTGGGAAATGTTCCATAAGGCTAGGAAAGCCAGGCACTCACTTCATTTCCACCTTCTCCCATGGGAGAAATCATGTACTAAGGGAGTCTCTCTTGGCCATAGCTGTGCCACTTAGAAGAGTGATACAGGGAAAGTGAAACTGTCCTTCTTATCCTCTTTAATGTGTCTATTTTCATTTGTATTTTGCTCCACCAAGGTGCTTGAACCTCTTTTTTTTTTTTTTTTTTTTTTGAGATGGAGTCTCACTCTGTCGCTCAGGAGTACAGTGGCATGATCTCGGCTCACTGCAACCTCCACCCTCCAAGTTCAAGCGATTCTCCTGCCTCAGCCTCCCGAGTGGCTGGGATTATAGGCACCTGCCACCATGCCTGGCTAATTTTTTGTATTTTTAGTAGAGACGGGGTTTCACCATCTTGGCCAGGCTGATCTTGAACTCCTGACCTCGTGATCTACCCGCCTCGGCCTCCCAAAGTGCTTGGATTACAGGTGTGAGCCACTGCGCCCGGCCAGGTGCTTGGACTTCTTATGTGTACTTCTAGGATCCCATAAAAATATTTTCACTCATAAATGGTTGTTAAAATTCTTTCTGTGGGAGATATGAGGTCTTTCTGCCATCTGGCTTATGTTCTTTTGGCTTGCCTCTGTGTTGACATCTTACTGGTAATACACATTTTTTTTTTCCTGTGATCTTCCTCTTTTTATACTCTCCAGATAGTGTGCAATATTTTTTATCTATGATTTATCCTCTCCTTTAAGATTACAACCATATCATTGTGATTAGAATTTGCATGTTTCTAAAATGTTTTTATTATGCATATACAAATTGTCAACTTTTATTCCATGGAAATTTTATGTTCCATTTCAAATGGTTCTTTATGGGAAGATTGTTTCAATTCTATTTTTCTCTTTTGACCAGATTCTTTAATTGCTTATGTAATTTTGGTGTCCTGCGTAATACAGCATATGAGAGTGTCCCACAGATACATCTTCAAACCCATTTCCTGGGAGTCTATTTTACTCTAATAAACAACAAATCTTAAAAGTTTCAGCCAAAAGATTTATGTGACCTTAAGTGAGGGAATACATCATATATTGAATTCCTTTTGTTCTAGAAATGAACAATTGTTCCTAGTAAAATGAATTGTGAGGACAATATTTTAGCATTAAAGCCATGAGTCCGTTGATTCAAAAAGGAATGTCCTATAGAAATAAGTAGATAAATGATGTTTTCAAATCCAGGAAGACTTTTTCTCCTTGGTCTCACTTATGACCCAGACTTTTGTCTATTTTGAAGATAGGAAGGAATTGTTAAAGATAGTGAATGGAAGTAACCAATGTGAAGAAGTGGGAAATGTCAATGTCCAGGATCAGTGGGGAACTGTGTGTCATCAGAACTGGGATGCTAATAGTTGTTTGTAATTAACTGGGTTAACACTTTGTAGTCAACACAAATTTTCCTCCTAATGTTAGTGCTTAATCCAAGAATATATAGATGTTTCATACATCCTGCTTTGGAGATAAATCAGCTCTATGGGTATGCAAACACTATGGTTGGGGGATGTGTTAGTCCATTTGCATTGCTATGAAGGAATACCGGAGACTGGATAATTTATAAAGAAAAGTGGTTTGTTTGGTTCATGGTTCTGCAGGCTGTACATGAATCATGGAACCAGCAACTGCTTCTGGTGAGGGGCTCAGAAACCTTACAATCATGGCAGAAGGCCAAGGGGAAGTCAGCATATCACATGGAAAGAGGAAGCAAGAGAGAAGGGAGCAAGGTGGTGGGGGAGGTGCCAGGTGCCAGGTTCTCTAAACAACCAGCTCCCCTATGAACTCATTACTGCAGGGAGGGCACAAAGCCATTCATGAGAGATCCTCCTCCATGACCAAAACACCTCCCACAGGCCCCACCTTGAATACTGGGGAATCACATTTCAACCTCAGATTCGGAGGGGACAAAACATCCAAACCATATCAGGGGAATAATAATGGTAATCATAATTTGGGTACTGGAGTTATTTGTTTTAGTAAGACTTTGAACAAATGGAAATTTTAAAAAGAAAATCTATGTTCAAATTTTTCATAATTATTTATTCTTTAAAAAGGAAACGAGCAATATCATCTTTAAGCATTATCTCAGAATTTTAGGCTATTCTGTTTTCCTTTTAATGTCTGGAAGGTATTGTTCCATGTTTTATGACTTTCCCTTTTCTCTTGAAAAGGGAGAATTGTTGTTTTTATTTAATTTTCTCTGAAGGACATCCACCTTAGTCTCTGTGTGCTTTTAAAGTTTTGTTTTCTTTTTTCTCTCTTTAGTTTCCAGCTATTTTACCATTATGTGCTTAGATGTCATTTTCTTTGTGTTCCTGCACTTGTAGTTTATGGCAATGCTTGAATTTTGGCTATATTTGAAGAGTCTCAATTTTTGGCAAATTCTTAACTATTTTTTATTATATATATATATTTATATTTATATTTATTTTTTATTTTTTTGAGACAGAGTCTCGCTCTGTCGCCTAGGCTGGAGTGCAGTGGTGTGATCTCAGCTCACTGCAACCTCTGCCTCCTGGGTTCAAGCGATTCTCCTGCCTCAGCCTCCCGAGTAGCTGGGACTACAGGCACGTGCCATCATGCCCAGCTAATTTTTGTATTTTTAGTGGAGACGGGGTTTCACCGTATTAGCCAGGATGGTCTCGTCGCTCTCCTTTTTTTTTTTTTGGATATGGACTCTCGCTCTGTCACTCAGGCTGGAGTGCGGTGGTGTGATCTCAGCTCACTGCAACCTCTGCCTCCTGGATTCAAGCGATCCTCCTGCCTCAGCCTCCCGAGTAGCTGGGTTTAGGTGCACACCACCATGCCCAGCTGATGTTTGTATTTTTAATAGAGATAGGGTTTCACCATGTTGGCCAAGCTGGTCTCGAACTCCTGACCTCAACTGATCTGCCCGCCTTGGTCTCCCAAAGTGCTGAGATTACAGGCATGAGCCACTGTGCCTGGCCTTTAACTGTTATATTTTCAAATATTTCTTCTGCTGAATTCTCTATCTTTTTACTCTCTGGAACTCCAATTACACAAATATTTGTCT
The DNA here is from genome assembly GCF_000001405.40 of Homo sapiens. Classification (NCBI taxonomy): domain Eukaryota; kingdom Metazoa; phylum Chordata; class Mammalia; order Primates; family Hominidae; genus Homo; species Homo sapiens. The sequence goes on along the minus strand of NC_000012.12, from coordinate 7,410,237 downwards.
TCTTATTCCCTACTTTGTTCCTCTTGAAACCTTTTTTTCCTGCATTTCCTGTGATTTTGTCTTTTTATGCTTGTATTTTACAGTATGCTAATACTTTTTTCTTTGATGAATTTTGTTAATCTATTGTGTTATTAATTTAATTACTGTATTTTTCAGTTCTAGAACCTTCATTTGGTTTATTTTTATAGTTTTTATATTTATTTTTCTGCCAAAATTTTCAGTCTTGCCTTTTATTTTGTCGTACATATATTAAGGATGGTAATTTACAGTCTATTTCTGGTAATTCACACCTCCTGTTGATTGTGTCTTTTTTTCCTCTTGGCTTTTAATCATGTTATCTTCTCCATAGTTTTTTTATTTCTGAGAGAGTAAGATGCACAATTCATGAAAAATTATAAAGCCAATTGGAGGTGTAGTATAATCTTATGTTTTTGGCAGAAGGCAATCTCAGATAATCTTAATTCAGTCACAGTTAGAGATTAAATCTTGGCTTCAGTTTCTACAAAGGCTAGTCTGTTCTAGTCCTTATTTCTCGAAATGTACCCTTTACGACAGGGGTCTCCAACCCCCGGGCTGTAAACTGGTACCGGTCACGGTATGTTAGGAATTGGGCCACGCAGTGGGCGGTGAGAGGCGGGCAAGAGAGCATTACTGATAGAGCTCCACCTCCTCTCAGATCAGGGCTGGCATTAGATTCTCACAGGAGCGCAAACCCTATTGTGAACTGTGCATTTGGGGGATCTAGGTTGCTCACTCCCTATGAGAATCTAATGCCTGATTATCTGAGGCAGAACAGTTTCATCCTGAAACCATCGCTGTCCCCTCCATTCCCCCCGACCCCCGTGGAAAAATTTTTTTCCACAAAAGCAGTCTTCGGTGCCAAAAAGGTTGGGAAATGCTGTTATTGAGGGTCTCCTTTGGTGGGTTCTGAACTTTGTGTGCTACATTTAGGCAGATTTTACATAAATTAGTATACAAAAATAAAACTTACTTTATGAGGAGATTTTGAATACACTTAAATATATTTACAAATGACACATGGCTTCCTTTCTTATGCTTACTTAAAAAAACACATTTTGAATTAATATTCCTTATCTATTGACTGTCTCTTTTAAAATACATAACACTGTGATAATCTCTTCTTGGAAAAATGCTAATTCCATCTGTAGGTTTATAAACTTACTGTATGGCCTCAATGATCTCACCTTCCATAGAAGTCATATACACATGCAATAGCAATGAGAAGTATGATTCTTCTTTATTTCTTCTTTTTTTCCCTTGGATGACTGGTTGGATGTTGGGCACCAAGGAGAGAAAAAGGAAAACAAACCATGTTGGGCGTTGGCTATCTCCCTTTTTATCCTATGCTCTTTCCTAGACATGGTAGTCAAAAAAGTACAAGTACAAAACTGAAGCAGGGAAAGGCTTTTGCAAAGAACAGAATCTCAGCTCAAAATAACAAAAGCAGAGGCAGTGTTTTGACTCAAAGAGCTGGCGTGCCCAATTGTGAATCACTTGGAGTATGCCTAGATCCAAGGTTCCACATTATTTCTGGGAATCTATTTCCTGAATCAGTTATTAGATTAAGAAAAGAACATCTAAATAGTTAGAAGAGAAAATTTGGAGTGTTCTTGCCACAAATAAAATACACATTTTTGAGGTGATGGATATCCAAATTACTCTAATTTGAATATTTCACACTGTATATAGGTATCAGAATATCACATGTATCCCCAAAATACATACAACTGATATGTATCGATAAAAATACAAAAGTGGAAATAGTTTAAAAATATTGCTAATGTGACATTCTATTTCTTGAATCTAGCAATATATTAAAATAATAATACACTGTGACTAACTGTCTTTCAATGAGTGAATGGGGTAACAAAGTTCTATATTCTTACTGTGGTAATAGTTACACAAATTAATACCTGTATTACAACTCAAAGAACTGTACACACACAAATGCATACAAAACCAGTAATTTTACTTTGTTAATTTATTAAATAAAGGTAAATAATCTGTAAAAAAAATCTCATTCATTTAACTGAGAGATACGGGGACAAAACAAGCAATTGGAGAGAGAGAGACAGACAGACAATGTATTCTTGGATTCTTGGAAGACCTAGGCATATATATGATATATATATATATATATGTAGTGTTCAGTTTTGCTAAGTGTAAAAATATATATGTACACACACAGTTGGCCTTTAGAATCTGTGGGTTTCATATCCATGGAGTCAACCAACCGCTGATTAAAACTTTGCATTTAGTTGAATCTGTGGGTGTGAAACCAGCAGATTAGAAGGCCAACTAAGGGACTTGAGCATCTGCAGATTTTAATATCCATGGGAGTCTGGGAACCACACCCCTGTGGATAAGGTGAGGTGATTTTGTGTGTGTATGTGTGTGTGTGTGTGTGTCTGTGTGTGTGTGTGTGTGTGTGTGTATGGATGTGTGTGTGTATATATACACATATCTTCAAGTTCTCAGGCTTTCCTTATTTCCATATTTCTTTATATCACTTAGCAAAATTGATCACTATATATATGTGTGTGTATATATATATGTGTGTGTGTGTATATATATATCCAAATTCTCAGCTTTTCCTTATTTCCTTATTTCTTTATATCACTTAGTAAAATTGACCACTACATATGATACATATACGTAGTGGTCAATTTTGCTAAGTGATGTAAAGAAGTAAGGAAATAAGGAAAGGCTGAGACTTTGAATTAAATCAACAGAGCATTTTAATAATATAACAAGCCCATAATTTATGGCTGGTCACACTTGCTTTCACCTTTAGAAGTTTTATTTTTTCATTTGTTTCGTTTGTTCCATTTCATTCAAGAGTAAATTCCTGTAAGATGAATAATTGGAAGTTATATTGCAAGAAGTTGGAGTTAAATGTTCATTTAAAGGAAGAAAAATTTTTGAAATAGGAAAAAGAGGATGATCACAGTGATGACAATGATATCTTATTGCCACTGCTTATACACAGTTATTAAGTTCTAAAATGTTTGCTGGCTAGACTCAGAGCCAGCAAAGGCTCATGTTTTGACAATAAATTTACATGCATTATTGACCTTTGATTGATTTATTGTGATTCACAATCAGAAAGGGCATTTCTACTCTCTGTTGTGCTTTATTCCCCAAATGCCAGAGATTCTGGTGGATTGTCAACATCATAGTATGATCCTTTCCTGGGATAGATTCTATTACATTAAACTTGTACAAGAATTTTAAAAAGCAAGAGTTAGACATTCATTGAATCTCAATTTATTATATATTTGTGTTTATTTGGATAGCAGGATCTGGAATCTGAAGTTTCTGATCAAAACTTCACCTGGGCTTTGTGTTTATATCTCTGTTTCAGATAGTAGTGATCTTGAACTAAGGCTTGTAGGTGGAACTAACCGCTGTATGGGGAGAGTAGAGCTGAAAATCCAAGGAAGGTGGGGGACCGTATGCCACCATAAGTGGAACAATGCTGCAGCTGATGTCGTATGCAAGCAGTTGGGATGTGGAACCGCACTTCACTTCGCTGGCTTGCCTCATTTGCAGTCAGGGTCTGATGTTGTATGGCTTGATGGTGTCTCCTGCTCCGGTAATGAATCTTTTCTTTGGGACTGCAGACATTCCGGAACCGTCAATTTTGACTGTCTTCATCAAAACGATGTGTCTGTGATCTGCTCAGGTAAGACTTACATCCACATGATTACATCAGATAAAATTTCTTTTTTGGAGAACTAGGACCAAACCCTGAAAAAGTTACAACCAATTGTGATGTGTAAGAATTGTGAAGAAGTTACAACCAATTGTGATGTGTAAGAATTGACACTTTCAATGTTTCCTTAGGGAACATGTCTGCATTTTATGCAGCATATTACATTGTAAGCCTCATGGGAATAAGGTTTTTACCCACCCCCAACACACCATTTTACTTAATTCTAATTGGTGCAACAAAATGTCCAATCTAGTCAAAATTGCTGTTAATCTATACAAGTGCATGGCTTATATTAATATTCAGTATAATTTTAAAATGTGTAATCACTTTGCATATTCATAGACACAACTATATTTTTCTAGGTTATAACTGAGTTTGTTTTAGCACTTCCTTTCATTAAAATAAACTATTTCCAAAGAGTACCTATCTAAAAATTTATGACTTTGCTAATTACTTTGTACCTTATACTAGTAAAATTTTTGTCTGCAGCCATTTGTTTTCTAGTTTGCAACTTTCAACTACAAGCAAGTTACCCCTCGCTGTTTATTTATAGTTTTGTATATCAGGGATTAAAATATCCTTCATATTTCTCTCACAGTAGTATTTTATGTTCAAAGATGTAATGAAACCTGTTCACTCTCTTAATAAGATTAAACCCACACCTTCTAATATTCTTACGAAAGGAGAATCCCTAGATGTAGAGCCAACGATTTTCCTCTGAGAGTCAGTTTGTCTTGATGGAAGAGGCTTCTTTCGTAAATTATTACTGACCTTACGTTACCAGCCTTACACAGGATGCCTTAATCTTATTTCCTATAGAATTTGAGATCAGGTCACATCTTTTAAGAAGAGTTTTTCTTAAGTCTAGAGTATGCCGCAGGGAACGATATACATAGAAAAACATATGTAGACGAAGAGGTTTATGGGTTTAGCTGTACCTTAGCCACGGGATTTATGCCATCCTTATAGGACTTTTGGGAAAGATAATATATTCAGAACATCTTTTAATCCTTTTCTTTCTGTTTATACTAGTTTGCTTGCAAGTTTTATCTGGGGACCAACCACTTTCACCATTCAAAAGAGTTTCCCATAGTATATTTAATCAATCCATCATTTTATAAGAAAAATTTTTCTCCACATAACAGAAAAGAGAGGTAGACGAAAGTTAGGAGAGAAAAGAGGGAGACATGAGAAGATGAGAGAGATGAGAGAAGGGGGAAGGAAACAGAGAGAATCTTAATCATTTTGATAAATTTTCTTACAATGAAGTGAATTCATAACTGTGTACTTCTGACTTGATATAACATCCTTAACTGTCAGACCAGTTGCTATTCAAACTCTGGAACTTCTGGAACTATTTGCCTCTGGAAGAGTAAGGAAGGGCCATGAAGAATGATGCAGATGTGAAAATAAGGTTGGAAAACCGTCCCAACAGTGAAAACAGATGTGTATGGCCAACCCACAGGAAAATGGGTAGTTAGATACATTGGCCTTCTCTTCAGCCCTGTAGTCAGAGGATTTTTTTTTCCCAAACAAAAACAGTTCACAGTTTCACAGTTTAAAATCTGTCACTTGATAATTATGTGACCCTGTATAAATCAATCTCCAAGTTGCAGATTTCTTATATCATGACTAGGATAACAGCATTAAATAAAATAGTGCAGGGAAAATACCTAAAATGTGCCTGGCAACCAGGAAGTTCTCAACAGGTATAGGTTGAGAACTATCATTATGACCTACATTATTTATAGGAAAATAAACCTCCAAATCTCCGAAGACTAACCTATTCAATGTGAACCAGATTTCTCACTAGATAGCAAATTATATTTTTGTAATGATGTATGAAAAGCTTGAATAATGGGAGGAGATGAGACATAGAAATTATATCTCCTTTCCTCAATTATTTCAAGAAAAGTTCTCCACATTTTTACTTTCTTGGGGTTATTTAATATATTTATTTGTATGCATGAAAAAGCAGAGTCACAGGAACACAAAGAAGTAACGTGATGTATATGCTGATGGAGCAAAAACACACAGTTTCTTCAAAAATTACCACTGAACAAATTTCATTTCCTATGACAAATATGTTTAATAAGCAAAGGCTTGCTTCTTCGTAGAAAACAGTATGAGAAAGAACATATTTCTATTTAAATCCAAGAGAGACTTTTTGCTAATTGTGCATTCCTTTTGTCCCTTTTCTTTCTGAAGTTACTGAAATGCAAGTATTTCCCAACACTATTTTATTTTACGGTGTTAAAAATAACCACTCTAATATTTTGAAAATTAATGTAATTAATGATATATAGGTTTATATGGCTTTTTATTGCAATGTTTAGTTTCTTAAATTTTAGTAAGGCTAAAGCAAGGTTCTTAGGATTATAATTTCAATTTTCATATTTAAAAGAAGATTGTTTTCATAAAGACTGACAAGTCGTTATGAAACAATCTTTAAAATTTCAATCTTTAAAATCTTTAAAATTTCAATCTTTAAAATTTTAAAACAAAATGATTTCCAGTCTTTAGTCTTTACTTTTCTCAGTATGTGAAGGATACATCTAATCTTCACATTGGAGGGGTTGGAGGAGAGGGATGCTGATGATATTGTCCCAAACCCAATTCAGACGTTTCTCTGTGACTTCATCCTAGATGGAGCAGATTTGGAACTGCGACTAGCAGATGGAAGTAACAATTGTTCAGGGAGAGTAGAGGTGAGAATTCATGAACAGTGGTGGACAATATGTGACCAGAACTGGAAGAATGAACAAGCCCTTGTGGTTTGTAAGCAGCTAGGATGTCCGTTCAGCGTCTTTGGCAGTCGTCGTGCTAAACCTAGTAATGAAGCTAGAGACATTTGGATAAACAGCATATCTTGCACTGGGAATGAGTCAGCTCTCTGGGACTGCACATATGATGGAAAAGCAAAGCGAACATGCTTCCGAAGATCAGATGCTGGAGTAATTTGTTCTGGTAAGGTTCAAAGATCATGAGAGTGTACACATTTGAATTTTTAGAAATAATCTGTTGGGAGGTTAGAAACAATAGCTTGAAGAAAAGGTTTTCTGGACCTTAAAAAAAAACCCAAAATACTCTTAAGCTGCACAAAGAACTTTTCAAATGCACATTGTAAAAAGAGAGTTTCTTCTCACTAGCAGTCTCCCCTGAAATCAGATGCAGCTGCTACCACTGCATGAGTATAATCTGTATCTCTAAAATAACTGGGCAACCTCTCTTCATAGAAAACTAATGAGTTGTACTAATTTACAGTTTTCTTAACAGCTTTTCTGCTGCTTTTTAACTTTTTTTATTTAATAATATACATTGTTTATTTCTGATTATAAATTAAGGCTTATTATAGAGAATTAGGAATATATACAAATCCAAATAGCTGATATAGATATATTTATATGCATATGTTGATACGATGTATAATTCTGTAAGCATCTAGAATGTCATTAGTAGAATTGAAAACAAAGAAAATCTATGTGTATAATACTTATGAAATATTTTAAGTATAAAACATTTCCAAGAACTTTTAAACAGAAAAAACAGGTTAGATATTTAAAAAACAAAGCTAGGTGCAGTGGCTCACACCTGTAACCCCAACACTTTGGGAGACTACCACAGGAAGATCACTTGAGGCCAAGATTCACAATCAACTTGGGTAATATAGCAAGACTCCCTCTGCAAAAAATTTAAAAATTAGCTGGGTGTGGTGGTGCATACCTGTGGTCCTAGCTACTCAGTAGACTAAGGCGGGAGGATTGCTTGATCCCAGAAATTCGAGGCTGCAGTGAGCCGTGATTGGGTCACTGCACTCCAGCCTGGGCAACAGAGTGAGACCTCATCTTGTTAAAAAAAAAAAATGAAATAAATAAATAAAATCGAGACAGCATTATTCTCTGTGGCACTTTATGAAGGGAAAAAAAGGAATATCTAGAGAGTCCTAAGTGGGAGGGTGCACAGGTGTCTGGGGAGTATTGTGAGCCTACATAACCATTTCCAACGATGCTGTTTACATGAAGGTATACCTGATAGTCTTGTTATTTATTGATATCCTAAAAGCCTGATAGATGATAGATATAGGATAAATGAAGAATGATGTTCTTGTAAATGAAACACACACACACACACAAATACCTTATATGTGGATGGAAAGATAGAAATATAAATAATGCAACTCCTTATTTTGTATCTTGTTTCTCACTTGCTATAACATTTGCATTTTCCCACACCCTTAAACTAATTACTTAAAAATTAAAATTAAAAAACTTTATGTTATTCTATCATATGTGTACAGTAAATTTAGCCTGATCTCTATTCTTGGTGTTTAGGCTGTTGGATAATTTTTCACTATTAATATTATACTAACCTGACATTCTTGAATGTACACCTTACATATATCTTATATTCAAGAATGTCAGGTTAGTATAATATATAATGGTATCCAGAAATTGCAGAGTGGAATTTGTTTTATGAATCTATTTATCTATGTATTCTGTTCACATTTAGTGTGATCAATTTGGTAGACAAAGTTAACTATCAATTCTTTTGTACACTTTAATTTTATTTTACTTTTCTCTTTTTTATAGATTGATATAAAACATTATAAAAATTACTTTTTGCTTTTTGGAAACTACTTTTTCAAATTATAAACCCAGTGAAAAGGTCAAAATACAAAAAAAAAATAATTTTTTAAATCCACATGCAACGCTACCATTCATTCAAATCTTTTGTGATTTTTTTGTTGTTTATGTTTCTGGATTGTGTGTGTGTATGTGTGTACCCTTTGTGCTGAACAATATACCACAGACATATTCCACATGGCCATTACTAATCTATCTTAATGTTAAAGGCTACTTACTATATTGCATAAATGTACTATAATTTATTTAACTACCTCATAATGTTAAGTTTTAAAAGGTTTTCAAATTTTTGCTGTTAAAAATATGATTTTATTTGATATACTGAGAAATACATTTTTCACACTTGATTATATAGTTTGCCAAATACTTAAAAATGAAATTGTCATGTAAAACCATATGCATCTTTTTTTAAAGTCTTGGATACATATTAACAAATTATCATCTATAAATTGTGTTTTTTTCTTCTATTCAATTTCAGTTCCCTATTATTCCACTATATCATATTAACACTGAATATTTTCATATTTTAGAATAACTGAATCTGATTTTTAAAATATAATAATATTAATTAACATTTATTGAATATTTATGGTGTGCCAGGCAGTGTTCTATTAGTTTATGTATATGGGTTCATGGAATCTTCATGGAATCCCAAGAAGGGGGTTACTATTCTATCTCTATTTTACAGTGAGGAAATAGAGGTACTGAGAGAAAGTAACTCACCCAGGTCACTCACCTATCAGAGCAGTAGTGAAGCTGGAGTTCAGATATGAACTGATTTAACTCCAAAGTCAATGTTCAAAAATCTTACTTCCTTGATAACAAATGACAGCTTTTTCCTAATTCTTTATTAGCAACTTATTTGTATTTGTTTATGTGTTAGCATTTCTGCTTCTTTGGCCATTTTTCTGCTGTGTGATGTCTTTGTCTTCATAATGTGTAAGAACTCTGTGTATTTTATAGAGTCCCTTTATAAAATACATAATCCCCCTCTTCTATTTCTAGAACCATCACATTTTAACTACTGTAGCTTTCTATAGGCTAATACCTACTGAGATATATATTGCCTAAGTATTCTTATTTTTCATAAAATTCCTTGCTACTTTTTCCTTTTTGTTCTTCTAAATATGAATTGACATTGGAATTGTTTTTAAGGTAATATTAAACCTATGAATTGGTTGGGCATGGTGGCACATGCCTGTTGTCCCAGCAACTCAGGAGGCTGAGGCAGGAATATCACTTGAGCCCAGGAGATAGAGACTGTAAGGTGCTATGATTGCACCTGTAAATAGCCACTCCACTCCAGCCTGGGCAACATAGCAAAACCCAGTCTATTAAAATACAATATAAATATAAATTGGTTTGATTTGTGCAGAAATTATATCATTATACTATCCAGTTATCCTATACTAGAACAGGATACACTACTTCATTTATATATTTGTTTGCATCAGGAATTAAAAGTTTTTCTTTGCTTTGTTTCTATGAATTTTTATTTAGTATATCTGGAAATGATACATATTATATATACATGCGTCATATATCTGTTCATACCCCCACACATTTAACCTACATTGAATACATTGGTTTCCATTATATTGTGGAAGCACTTGGTGACATACTCAAAACTTTATGTGTAAGGATGTCCGTAGCAGTGTAATTTGTGAAAATGAAAAATTAACCATAACATAGGTAACCAAGAATTGTGTCTTGATTAAATAACTTACAGAATCTCTATATCTCTATATGATGGTATCCTATGCAATCATTAAATGTTATGTTTTAAAATACACACACACACATACTAGGTTGAATAGAATGTAAGATTATTATATACACATGGAAGAGTTGTCATACTGGATAGCAAGTAAAGAAATTGAACACTTTTAGAATTTTTAAAGTGACCCATTATAAAATATTATACCTTTCCTATATCATAATAGTACCTACATAGTAAAATATTTCTTGACTGGGCACGGTGGCTGACGCCTGTAACCCTGGTACTTTGGGAGGCTGAAAGGAGGTCAGGGGTTCTAGACCAGCCTGGGCAACATGGTGAAACCCTGTCTATACTAAAAATACAAAAAATAGCTGGCTGTGGTGGTGTGAGCCTGTAATCCCAGCTACTCGGGAGGCTGAGGTGGGAGGATCACTTAAACCCTGAAGGCAGAGGTTGTAGTGAACCAAGATTGTGCCACAGCACTCTAGCCTGGGTGACAGAGCAAGACCCTGGACAGAAAAGAAAGAAAGGAAAGAAAAAGAAAGAAAGAAAGAGAGAGAGAGAAGGAAAGAAAGGAAAGAAAGAAAGCAAGAAAGAAAGAAAGAAAGAGAAAGAAAGAGAGGGAGGGAGGGAGGGAAAGGGAGGAAGAGGAAGAAGAAGGAAGGAAGGAAAGAAGGGAAAGGGAGGAAGAGGAAGAGGAAGAAGAAGAATGGGGGAGGGGAAGGAAGGAAGGAAAAGAAAGAAAGAAAAAGAAAGAAGTCAGAGAAAGAAAGAGAAAGAAGAGAGAATGAAAGAAGAGAGAATGAAAGAAGAGAGAGAAGAAAGAAAAGAAAGAAAGGAGAGAAAGAAAAGGAAAGAAGAAAAAGGAAGAAAGAGAGGAAAGAAGAGAGAGAAAGAAGAATGAGAGAAGACAGAGAAAGGAAGAAAAAAAGAGAAAGAAGAAAAGGAAAAGAAAAGAGGGAGGGCGGAAGGAAGGAAAGAAGGAAGGAAGGAAGAAAGGAAGGAAATAAAATTCTCAAATTTTCTCAATATTTCTCAAGTGCTTTGAACAGTGGAAAAATTAAGAATTAAAAAGGAATTTATTTTATGAAAGGGCAGTTTCATATACATATGCCTCCCTTTATCTTATAAAACATGAGTGGACAAACTAAAATGACGACTATGAGGGGATAAGCTTTGGTGCTAATGCTGGACTCCACTGCAGAAACCTGCCAGTGCTATCTCCTGAATGTATCCATACCTCAAAGAACTTCTCTGCATGCTTCCACGTTGCTCATCTTATCCAAATCCGTCATTCTTGGAGGCTTCATAACATTCCCCAGGCTTTACTTCAGTAAATTTGCTGTCGTCGTTTCATGCTTTAGAGACACCTTCTCTCCAAAAATTGAATAAAAAATTGTCAAAAGAAAGAAAACCAAACTTTTCATTCAAAAGTGTGCCTAATATATCACCTGTTAGGCAAAGCCTTATAGTCGTGAATTTAGAGAGTCTTTTCAGTCTTCTGAAAAGACTCTCTCATTTGATCTCAAATATGTGGTTTTGTCTTGCTTGCAGATAAGGCAGATCTGGACCTAAGGCTTGTCGGGGCTCATAGCCCCTGTTATGGGAGATTGGAGGTGAAATACCAAGGAGAGTGGGGGACTGTGTGTCATGACAGATGGAGCACAAGGAATGCAGCTGTTGTTTGTAAACAATTGGGATGTGGAAAGCCTTTGCATGTGTTTGGTATGACCTATTTTAAAGAAGCATCAGGACCTATTTGGCTGGATGACGTTTCTTGCATTGGAAATGAGTCAAATATCTGGGACTGTGAACACAGTGGATGGGGAAAGCATAATTGTGTACACAGAGAGGATGTGATTGTAACCTGCTCAGGTAAGACTTGTTCTTGTTTATTATTTCCTGATAAGAGAAATAGTATTCCTCATAGGAAGGGCTTCTGGGTCTATAAACTGGCTTACATGTGGGAATTGATTGAGGGGCCATGACTCTTGTCTTTAAATTAGACTTCAGTTCACTTCACCTGGAACTCTTCCACTTATACAGGTAAAGTAAGAAATTAGTAGACAACCCTGACTATGATCCTTTGGATCCCTTCCCCTACCATATACAGAAGCAGTTTGGCCTTTTAACTTCATTAAGTGTAGGCCACCTTTGGATACATGTTTCACCCAACCAGTCCAACAAACTATTAGAGCCTTTCTAACCCTTAGCTGCATCATTAAATCTAGAATCTCTGCTTAGGGCTCATATCAGTAAATTCACCCTGACCCAACTTTATGTTCCTTCCAGCATTATCTCACATCCTTAATATTCATTCCCACATATATTCTGATTTCTGTCTGTGTAAATTGGAAAAATCATGGTTGTTTGTGTGCACTTCCACATAAGACACTTTGTACCTCACATTTTGGAGCCTGCTGGGACTTGAGTCTAGATGTAAAGAGGGCTGATGGGATGGGTGCTGAGGAGAATCAGGAGTGCCTTTCAAGGCAGTTATCTCAGGAGAGATTCAATTTCTTCAAGCAAAGTAGGATTAATATTCTCACACAGAGGTGGATGGTTGTCTCTACTGTTAAAGGAGAAACAGTAGAATTTAGGGTTTCAATGTTCCCAACCTCATCAGGTCTTCCCCTATGGCCCCATCCTAATTTTCAGAATTCTATTCCATCCCAATTAAATCCCTCACTTAGACAGCAGACATCTTGTGAGGTTGAGAATTCAGTACCTTACCAGGTGAAGGTTTTCAGTAATCTCAGTTCTGTGGCTATAAGAGACACGAGTTTCTTTCCGGGAAGACATCAAAACTTGCAGGTCATATTGCAGTTCAGCTGGGAATTTGAATCTCTAAGCTCATCCTTTTCTTTTCCCACTTTGTCCAGTGCAATGGGGAGCAGCCAGCCAATCTAATTATGCTTGTAAGTTTGACAAAAATGTCCTAGGTTATCAAATATATGTTCACTCAGAACTTTGCCTACTGTAAGTATTTGATTAGGAATATGTAATGATGAGATTTTGTATATATCTATTGCCACATCATGCCATGGATTATCAGTGCCCTCTTTACTACTGGATACAGAATCATTAGTGTCATTAAATTTTTATCAGATTAGAGAACCAATTCTAGAATCAATTTATGAATTACAGCATCAATTCATAAAACTCATCCTTAAGATTTTGTTCCTCTAGAACCACTATTAGTACCAAAATCTGCGTTATTCAGGGTTCTCCAGGAAAACAAAACCAATAGAACGTGAGCCTCTCTTCTCTCTCTCTCTCTCTGTGTGTGTGTGCATATGTATGTATGTAGAGAGAGAGACAGAGATTTATTTTAAGGAATTGGTTCATCAATTTTATAAGCAATTATCGGGGCTTGCAAGTCCAAAATCTGAAGAGGAGGCCAGCAGACTGCAGAGAAGAGCTGATGTTGCAGTCTTGAATCTCAAGAAAGTGCGGAGGTAGAATTCCTTCTTTCTTGGGGGACTTCAGTCTTTTCTTTTAAGGTCTTCAACTGATTGGATGAGGCCCACCCACGTTATGGAGGATAATTGGCTGTACTCAAAGTCTGCTAATTTAAAGGTTAATCACATCTGAAAAAATACCTTCACAGCACCATCTAGACTGGTGTTTGACCAAATAACTGGGTATCATAGTCCAGCCAAGTTGACATATAAAATAAACCATCACACCCATTAACTACTTGCTTCATTGTTCTTGGTGCAGGTGATGCAACATGGGGCCTGAGGCTGGTGGGCGGCAGCAACCGCTGCTCGGGAAGACTGGAGGTGTACTTTCAAGGACGGTGGGGCACAGTGTGTGATGACGGCTGGAACAGTAAAGCTGCAGCTGTGGTGTGTAGCCAGCTGGACTGCCCATCTTCTATCATTGGCATGGGTCTGGGAAACGCTTCTACAGGATATGGAAAAATTTGGCTCGATGATGTTTCCTGTGATGGAGATGAGTCAGATCTCTGGTCATGCAGGAACAGTGGGTGGGGAAATAATGACTGCAGTCACAGTGAAGATGTTGGAGTGATCTGTTCTGGTAAGATACCCAAACCAGGGCTTCCTTAAAAGAAACTGCCTGGGTTCTCTAACATACCTTCTTTCTTCTTAGTCAGTACATTTATGACCGAGTGCTCATTGCTCACTTTTTTAGAGCTAACCATACCTCATATTCTCATTCATTTTTAATATCTTTCTATGGGATCAAAACTGTTTTCTCAAGAAATGAAACTTCATTTTCTGATATCTACCCAAATTTTCCCAAAGTTAGTTTCATCAAACCACTAGTCAATACAATTCTACAAAAAGACATTATCCATAGTCAAATAGTTTAGGAAAAAATAATGAGAATTCAGTTATTTATTTAAATAAATAAACCCTTGTGTTGAATCACCCAGTCTCTCAAAAATTGGTACCCAAGATGACTCAAATACTCATTGTTACCTGAAAGACTTATTTATGTAAGATAAATCCAATAGCATTAGAACAAATAAACTTCATCCAGAGGTCTGGGTTTATGGTTTATATAATTTTTTTTATTATTATACTTTAAGTTCTAGGGTACATGTGCACAACATGCAGGTTTGTTACATAGGTATACATGTGCCATGTTGGTTTGCTGCACCCATCAACTTGTCATTTACATTAGGTATTTCTCCTAATGCTATCCCTCCCCCAGTCCCCCACCAACCGACAGGCCCCAGTGGGTGATGTTCCCCGCCCTGTGTCCAAGTGTTCTCATTGTTCACTTCCCACCTATGAGTGAGAACATGGGGTGTTTGGTTTTCTGTCCTTGTGACAGTTTGCTCAGAATGATGGTTTCCAGCTTCATGCATGTCCCTGCAAAGGACATGAACTCATCCTTTTTTATGGCTGCATAGTATTCCATGGTGTATATGTGCCACATTTTCTTAATCCAGTCTATCACTGATGGACATCTGGGTTGGTTCCAAGTCTTTGCTATTGTGAATAGTGCCGCAATAAACATATGTGTACATGTATCTTTATAGCAGCATGATTTATAATCCTTTGGGTATATACCCAGTAATGGGATTGCTGGGTCAAATGGTATTTCTAGTTCTAGGTCCTTGAGGATTTGCCACACTGTCTTCCACAATGGTTGAACTAATTTACACTCCCACCAACAGTGTAAAAACGTTCCTATTTCTCCACATCCTCTCCAGCATCCACTGTTTCCTGACTTTTTAATGATTGCCATTCTAACTGGCGTGAGATGGTATCTCACTGTGGTTTTGATTTGCATTTCTCGGATGGCCAGTGATGATGAGCATTTTCTCATGTGTCTGTTGGATGCATAGATGTCTTCTTTTGAGAAGTGTCTGTTCATATCCTTTGCCTACTTTTTGATGGGGTTGTTTGTTTTTTTCTTGTAAATTTGTTTAAGTTCTTTGTAGATTCTGGATATTAGCCCTTTGTCAGATGGGTAGATTGTAAAAATTTTCTCCCATTCTGTAGGTTGCCTGTTGACTCTGATGATAGTTTCTTTTGCTGTGCAGAAGCTCTTTAGTTTAATTAGATCCCATTTGTCAATTTTGGCTTTTGTTGCCATTGCTTTTGGTGTTTTAGTCATGAAGTCCTTGCCCATGCTTATGTCCTGAATGGTATTGCCTAGGTTTTCTTCTAGGGTTTTTATGCTTTTAGGTCTAACATTGAAGTCTTTAATTCATCTTGAATTAATTTTTGTGTAAGGTGTAAGGAAGGGATCCAGTTTCAGCTTTCTACATATGGCTAGCCAGTTTTCCCAGCACCATTTATTAAATAGGGAATCCTTTCCCCATTTCTTGTTTTTGTCAGGTTTGTCAAAGATCAGATAGTTGTAGCTATGTGGCATTATTTCTGAGGGCTCTGTTCTGTTCCATTTGTCTATATCTGTTTTGGTACCGGTACCATGCTGTTTTGGTTACTATAGCCTTGTAGTATAGTTTGAAGTCAGGTAGCATGATGCCTCTAGCTTTGTTCTTTTTACTTAGGATTGTCTTGGCTATGTGATTTTTTTTTTGTTTTTTTGTTTTTGTTTTTTTTTGGTTCCATACGAACTTTAAAGTAGTTTTTTCCAATTCGGTGAAGAAAGTCATTGGTAGCTTGATGGGGAAGGCACTGAATCTATAAATTACCTTGGGCAGTATGGCCATTTTCACGATATTGATTCTTCCTATCCATGAGCATGGAATGTTCTTCCATTTGTTTGTGTCCTCTTTTATTTCGTTGAGCAGTGGTTTGTAGTTCTCCTTGAAGAAGTCCTTCACATCCCTTGTAAGTTGGATTCCTAGGTATTTTATTCTCTTTGTAGCAAATGTGAATGGGAGTTCACTCATGATTTGGCTCTGTTTGTCTGTTATTTGTGTATAGGAATGCTTGTGGTTTTTGAACATTGATTTTGTATCCTGAGACTTTGCTGAAGTTGCTTATCAGTTTAAGGAGATTTTGGGCTGAGACAATGGGGTTTTCTAACTATACAATCATGTCATCTGCAAACAGGGACGATTTGACTTCTCTTTTCCTAACTGAATACCCTTTATTTCTTTCTCTTGCCTGATTGCCCTGGCCAGAACTTCCAACACTATGTTGAATAGGAGTGGTAAGAGAGGGCATTCTTGTCTTGTGCCAGTTTTCAAAGGGAATTCTTCCAGCTTTTGCCCATTCAGTATGATATTGGCTGTGGGTTTGTCATAAATAGCTCTTATTATTTTGAGATACGTTCCATCAATACCTAGTTTATTGAGAGTTTTTAGCATGAAGCAGTGTTAAATTTTGTCTAAGGCCTTTTCTGCATCTATTGAGATAATCATGTGGTTTTTGTCATTCGTTCTGTTTATGTGATGGATTATGTTTGTTGATTTGCACACGTTGAACCAGCCTGGCATCCCAGGGATGAAGCCAACTTGACCGTGGTGGATAGGCTTTTTGATGTGCTGCTGGATTCGGTTTGCCAGTATTTTATTGAGGATTTTTGCATCGATGTTCATTAGGGTTATTGGTTTAAAATTCCCTTTTTTTGTTTTGTCTCTGCCAAGCTTTGGTATCAGGATGATGTTGGCCTCATAAAATGAGTTAGGGAGGATTCCTTTTTTTTCTGTTGATTAGATTAGTTTCGGAAAGAATGGTACCAACCCCTCTTTTTACCTCTGGTAGAATTCGGCTCTGAATCCATCTGGTCCTGGACTTTTTTTGGTTGGTAGGCTATTAATTATTGGCTCAATTTCAGAGCCAGTTATTGGTCTATTCAGAGATTCAACTTCTTCCTGGTTTATGTCTTGGGAGGGTGTATGTGTCCAGGAATTTATCCACTTCTTCTCGATTTTCTAGTTTATTTGCGTAGAGGTGTTTATAGTGTTCTCTGATGGTAGTTTGTATTTCTTTGGGATTGGTGGTGATATTCCCTTTGTCATTTTCTATTGCATCTATTTGATTCTTCTCTCCTTCTTTATTAGTTTTGGTAGCGGTCTATCAATTTTGTTGATCTTTTTGAAAAACCAGCTTCTGGATTCATTGATTTTTTGAAGGTTTTTTTGTGTCTCTATCTCCTTCAGTTCTGCTCTGATCTTGGTTATTTCTTGCCTTCTGCTAGCTTTTGAATTTGTTTGCTCTTGCTTCTCTAGTTCTTTTAACTGTGATATTAGGGTGTTGATTTTAGATCTTTCCTGCTTTCTCTTGTGGGCATTTAGTGCTATAAATTTCCCTCTACACACTGCTTTAAATGTGTCCCAGAGATTCTGGCATATTGTGTTTTTGTTCTCGTTGGTTTCAAAGAACATCTTTATTTCTGCCTTCATTTCGTTATTTATCCAGTAATCATTCAGGAGCAGGTTGTTCAGTTTCCATGTAGTTGTGTGGTTTTGTGTGAGTTTCTTAATTCTGAGTTCTAATTTGATTGCGCTGTGGTCTGAGAGACTGTTTGTTGTGATTTCTGTTCTTTTACATTTGCTGAGGAGTGCTTTACTTCCAATTATGTGGTCAATTTTAGAATAAGTGTGATCTAATGCTGAGAAGAATATATATTCTGTTGATTTGCTGTGGAGAGTTCTGCAGATGTCTATTAGGTCCTCTTGGTGCAGAGTTGAGTTCAAGTCCTGGATATCCTTGTTAACTTTCTGTCTTATTGATCTGTCTAATATTCACAGTGGGGTGTTAAAGTCTCCCATTAATATTGTGTGGGAGTGTAAGTCTCTTTGTAGGTCTCTAAGGACTTGCTTTTTGAATCTGAGTGCTCCTGTATTGGGTGCATATATATTTAGGATAGTTAGCTCTTCTTGTTGAATTGATCCCTTTACCATTATGTAATGGCCTTCTTTGTCTCTTTTGATCTTCGTTGGTTTAAAGTCTGTTTTATCAGAGACTAGGATTACAACCCCTGCTCTTTTTTGCATTCCAGTTGTTTGGTAGATCTTCCTCCATCCCTTTATTTTGAGCCTATGTGTGTCTCTGAAGGTGATGGGTCTCCTGAATACAGCACACTGACGGGTCTTGAGTCTTTATCCAAGTCTTCAATCACTGATATCCTTTCTTCCACTTGATTGAATTGGCTAATGAAGCTTGTGCATGTATCACAAAGTTCTCATGCCATGGTTTTCGGCTCCATCAGGTTATTTAAGGTCTTCTCTGCCCTGTTTATTCTAGTTAGCCATTCGTCTAACCTTTTTTCAAGGTTTTTAAGCTTTCTTGCCATGGGTTAGAACATGCCCCTTTAGCTCGGAGAAGTTTGTTATTACAGACCTTCTGAAGCCTACTTCTGTCAGCTCATCAAAGTCATTCTCTGTCCAGCTTTGTTCCATTGCTGGTGGGGAGGTGCGATCCTTTGGAGGAGAAGAGGCACTCTGGTTTTTAGAGTTTTCTACTTTGCTGCTCTGGTTTCTCCCCATCTTTGCAGTTTTATCTACCTTTGGTCTTCGATGTTGGTGACCTACAGATGAGGTTTTGGTGTGGTTATCCTTTTTGTTGATGTTGATACTATTCCTTTCTGTTTGTTAGTTTTCCTTCTAACAGTCAGGTCCCTCAGCTGCAGGCCTGTTGGAGTTTGCTGGAGGTCCACTCCAGACCCTGTTTGCCTGGGTATCAACAGCGGAGGCTCAGTTGGAAATGCAGAAGTTACCTGTCTTCTGCGTTGATCACACTGGGAGCTGAAGACCGGAGCTGTTTCTATTTGGCCATCCTTTATATAATTTTAAAGATGTCAAGAACTGCCTTGTAGATTCCTTCTCTAAGACCAAAGTTTTTATTAGACAACTTTAAAATGGTGCAAAGAAAAATTTGATATACAACCACCCATGTAGTACAATTTTAAAAGAGTTGGACTCCCTGACTCAGATACATCATTGGTCTTTGGGCTTCCTTGTTTTCAACATATTTATTCCTTAGTCTATACATTCTTTTCTAAGATGAATGAATAAGATATTAAATTATATTTTAAAGAATCATTAAGCTCTGATATAGACTTGAAATTTTCCTTTTAAATTTTCATAATTCTATTCTCCCTTTTAATGTAGGTAGACGTAGAGTTATCATTTACAAATTATCACAATCTTTCTTCAGAGAAGATCTTCCAATTTGAATTTTACCTGTTGTTTTCTGGAAGCTTGTTCTTCCAATGCACTATTCTCTTATTATTTTTACTGATCTATAATATGTGTACGTATTTATGGGGTACATGTGACATTTTAACTCAAGCATGGAATGCTGCATGAGTGTAAATGATCAACTCAGGGTATTTAGGATATCCTTCTCCTCAAATATTTCTCATTTCTTTGTGTTGATAACATTTCAAATCTTCTCTTCTAGCTATTTAAAAATATACAATATATTGTTTTTTAACTATAGTCACCCTACTGTGCTATTGAACACTAGAATTTATTCCTTCTGTTTAACTGTATGTTTGTACCTATTAACCTACCTGTCTTCATCCTGTCCGCCCACCACACGCACACCCTTCCCAGCCTCTGGTAACTATCATTTACTCTCTGTCTCCATGAGATGACTTTTTTAGCTCCCGTATATGAGTGAGAACTTGTGATATTTGTCTTTCCATGCCTGGCTTATTCTGCATAACATAATGTCATCCAAGCCATCCCTGTTGCTGCAAATAGTAAGATTTCATTCTTTTTTAGGACTGAATAGTATTCCATTGTGTGTGTGCATATATATATATATATATATATAAATATATATATATAAAATGTTTAATTATTCATTCATCCTTTGATGGACACTTAGGTTGATTTCATATCATGGCTATTGTGAATAGTGCTGCAACAAACAAGGGGGTACATTTATTCCTTTGTTTTTTAATTTTTTAAATTATTTTTAAAAATGTCTGTGGGTACATGCTAGGTATAGATATTTATGGAGTACACGAGACATTCTGATACAGGTGTGCAATGTGAAATAAGCACACTGAGGAGAATGGGGTTTCCATCCCCTCAAGCATTTATCCTTTGTGTTACAAGCAATCCAATTACATTCTTTAACTTATTTAAAAATATACAATTAAGTTATTATTGACTATAGTCACCCTATTGTGCTATCAATAGTAGGTATTATTCATTTTTTCTGTTTTTTTTAAACATTCACCATTGCCACCTTCTCTCCAGCCCCCCATTACCCTTCCCAGCCTCTGATAAACATCCTTCTACTCTCTATGTCCATGAGTTCAATTGTTTTGATTTTTAGATCCCAGAAATAAGTGAGAGCATGCGATGTTTGCCTTCCTGTACCTGGCTTGTTTCACTTAACATAATAGGCATATGAAAAAGTGCTCAACATCATTGATCATCAGAGAAGTGCAAATCAAAAATACAATGAGATATCATATTACCCCAGTTAAATGGTTTGTGTCCAAAAGACAGGCAATAACAAATGTTGGTGAGGATGTGGAGAAAAGGGAACCCTTGAACACTGTTGGTGAGAATGTAAATTAGTACAACCACTGTGGGGAACAGTTTGGAGGTTCCTCACAAAACTAAAAATTGGGCTACCATGTGATTCAGCAATCCTATTGCTGGGTATATACCCCCAAAAAGGAAATCAATGTATCAAAGAGATATCTGCACTCCTATGTTTGTTGCAGCACTGTTTACAATTGCTAAGATTTGGAAGCAATCTAAGTGTCCATCAACAGATGAATGGTTAAGGAAAATGTGGTACATATACACAAAGGAGTACTATTCAGACAAAAAAGAATGAGATTCAATGATTTGCAACAACATGGAGGTATTCCTTTGGTGTACTGATTTCCTTTCCTTTGGATAAATAGGATTTCTGGGTCATATGATTAAGTTCTATTTTTAGTTTTTTGAGAAATCTCCATATTGTTATCTTATTTTGATACATGTCTATTCCTATCCTTTGCCCCCCCCACTTTGTTTTTTTTTTTTTTTGAAACTGGATCTCACTCTGTTGTCCAGGCTGGGGTGGAGTGGCACAATCTCAGCTCACTGCAGCCTCGACCTCCAGGGCTCAAGCAATCCTCCCACCTCAGTCCCCCAAGTAGCTAGGACCACTGGCATGCGCCATCACACCCTGCCAATTTTTGTAGTTTTTTGTAGAGATGGGGTTTCACCGTGTTGCCCAGGCTGGTCTCAATCTCCCGGGCTCAAGTGATCTGCCCTCCTTGGCCTCCCAAAATGCTGGGATTATAGGCTTGAGCCACCATGTCCAGCCTGCCCACTTTGTAATGGGGTTATTTGTTTTGTTTTCCTGTCGAGTTATTCAAGTTTTAAAATATTCTGGATATTAGCACTCTGTTAGATGAAGAGTTTGTTTGCAAATACTTTCTCCTATTCAACAGGATGTCTTTTCACTCTGTTAATTGTTCCCTTTGCTGTGTAGAAGCTTTTTAGTTTGTCTAAAAGTTTGTCTCCTTTTCGTTTTGATGCCTGTGTTTTTGAAATGTTAGCTATAAAATATTTGCCCACCAATGTCTTGGAGTATTTTCCCAATGTTTTCTTCTAGTAGTTTTATAGGTTGATGTGTTACATTTAAGTATTTAATCCATTTTCCTTTGATTTTTATGTATGGTGAGAGAGGGGTATGGTTTCATTCTTCATGTGGATATCCAGTCTTCCCAGCATCATTTGTTGAAGAGGGATCCTTCTCTCAATGTATGTTCTTGGTGCCTTTGTCAAAAATCAGTCAGCTACAAATACATGGACTTATTTCTAGGTTCTCTATTCTGTTTAATTTGTCCATGTGTCTGTTTCATACCAATAGCAGGCTGTTTTGGTTACTGTAGCTTTGTAGTGTATTTTGAAGGTAGATAGTATGATGTGCCTCAAGATTTATTCTTCTTGCTTGGGGTTGCTGTGGTTATTCAGGTTCTGGGTAGTGTCTTAGTACATTTGCATTGCTATAAAGGAATACTCGAGGCTGGGTAATTTATAAAGAAAAGAGGTTTATTTGGCTCACAGTCTGAATACTGAACAAGCATGGCATCAGCCTCTGCCTCTGGTGAGGTCCTCAGGTAG
The DNA here is from genome assembly GCF_000001405.40 of Homo sapiens. Lineage (NCBI taxonomy): Eukaryota > Metazoa > Chordata > Mammalia > Primates > Hominidae > Homo > Homo sapiens. The sequence continues at coordinate 7,387,657 of NC_000012.12, read as the reverse complement.
CATGGCAAAAGGGGAAGGGGAGCCAGCATCACATGATGAGAGAAGAGGAGGTACCAGGCTCTTTTTAACAGCCAGATATCAAGAGAACTAATAGAGCAACAACTCACTCATTATCAAAAGGATGGCCCCAAGTCAATTATGAGCAATCCACCACCAGGAGGCAAACACTGCCCATTAGACCTCACCTCTGACATTGAGAATCAAATTTCAACATGAGATTTGGAGGGGCAAACATCCAAACTATATCATGTAGTATGATCATTTTAATAATATTAATTCTTCCAATCAAAAAGCACGAGATGTCTCTTCATTTCATTTGTTTGTGTCTTCCTTAATTGCATTCATCAATGTTTTGTAATTTTCATCATAGAAGTCTTTCACCTCCTTGGTTAAATGTATTCCTAGATATTTTATTTTATTCTTTCTTGTGGCTCTTGCAAATGAGATTGCCTTCTTGGTGTCTTTCTCAGTAGTTTGTTATTGGTGTATAGAAATGCTACTCACTTTTGTATGTTGATTTTGTATGCTGTAACTTTGCTGAATTTGTTTATTAGTTCTAAGAGATTTTTATGGAGTCTTAAGGTTTTTCTAAATATTCAATTATGTCATCTGCAAAGATGGACAATTTGACTTTCTCTTTTCTGATTTGGATGACTTTTATTTCTTTGTCTTGTCTGATTGCTCTGGCTAGGACTTCCAGTACTATGTTAAATAACAGTGGTGAAAGTGGGCATCCTTGTCTTTTTCCAGTTCTTATAGGTAAGACTTTAAACTTTTCCCCATTCATTATATTGTTAGTTGTAGGCTTGTCCTATATGGCCTTTCTCATGTTGAGGTATGTTCCTTCTATGCCTAGTTTGTTGAGAGTTTTTATTATGAAGGGATGTTGAATTTTATCAAATGCTTTTTCTACATTTATTGAGGTGATCATATGGTTTTTGTCATTCATTCTGTTGATATAATGTATCACTTTTATTGATTTGCATATGTTCAATCATCCTTGCATGCCTGGACTAAATCCCACTTGACTATACTGTTTTTTTTTTTTTTTTTGATATGTTGACGGATTTGGCTTGCTGGTATTTTGTTGAGGGTTTTTATATCTATGTTCATCAAGGATATTGGCCTGTATTTTTCTCTTTCTGTTGCTTCCTTTTCTGGTTTTGGTATCAGGGTAATACTGGCCTCCTAGGATGAGTTAGGAAGAATGCCCTCCTCTTTGATTTTTTTGGAATAGTTTGAAAAGAATTGATGTTAGATTTTCTTTATTAGTTTGATAGAAGTCAGCAGTAAAGCCATCTAGTCCTGGGGTTTCCTTTGTCTGGAGACTTTTCATTATTGATTTAATCTAATTACTCATGATTGATCTGTTCAGGATTCCTATTTCTTCCTTGATTAATCTTGGGCAGATCGTATGTGTACAGGAATTTATCCTTTCTTCTAGATTTACCAGTTTGTGAGTGTATCGTTGCTCATATTTGGCTCTTATAATCTTTTGTATTTCTGTGTTATCAGTTGTAATGTTTCTCTTTTTGTTTGTGATTTTTATTTGAATCTTCACTCTTCTTTTAGCAAAAGTTTGATCTTTTCAAAAAGTCAACTTTTTGTTTCATTGATTGTACTGGCTTTTAGGCTCTATTTTGTTTAATTCTGCTCTGATCTATATTACTTCTTTCTTCCTACACATTTTGGGTTTGGTTTGGTCTTGCTTTTCTAGTGTGTTGTGATACATCATTAGATTGTTTATTTGAAATCTTTCTACTTTTTTGCTTTTTTTATTATAAATGCCTTCTTAACTGTGCTATTGGTGTATCCCATAGGCTTTGGTATGTTGTGTTTCTATTTTCATTTGTTTCAAGAAATATTTTCATTTCCTTCTTAATTTTTTAATTAACTCAATGATCATTCAGGAACATGTTTAATTCCCATGTATTTTTACAGTTTCCAAAATTTATCTTGTCGTTGATTTCCAATTTTATTCCACTGTGGTCTGATAAGATACTTTATATAATTGTAATTTTTAAAAATTTGTTGAGACTTGTTTTGTGGCCTTGAATATGGTCTATTCTGGAAAACGTTTTATGTGCTGATTTAAAGAATGTATATTCTACAGCTGTTGAGTGAAACAGTCTGTAAATGTCCATTAGGTATATTTGGTCTAAAGTCTAGTTTCTATCTGATGTTTCTTTATTGGTTTTCTGTCTAGATGATATGTTCAATATTGAGATGAATAGTTGAAGTGCCAACTATTATTGTAATTGAGTCACTCTCTCCCTTCAGGTCTAATAATATTTGCTTTATATGTCTGAGTGCTTCATTGTTGGGTGTATATGTATTTAGAATTGTTATAGCCTCTTAATAAATTGATCAATTTATCTTTATATGATGATTGTCTTTTTTTTTTTTTACAGTTTTTAACTTAAAGTTCACTTTATCTGATATAAATATAGCTATTTCTACTTTTCTACTTGCTGTTGGTTTTCATTTACATGGAATATCTTTTTCCATCCCTTCACTTTCAGTCTATGTCTGTTTTCACAGTTGAAGTCAGTTTCTTCTAGGAAGCATATATTTGGGTCATTGTTTTTTTTAATCCATTCAGCCAATCTATATCTTTTAAGTGGACAATTTAATTCATTTACATTCAAGGTTATTGTTGATAGGTGAGGACTTATTTCTGTCATTATATTCACTGTTTTTTGTTGTTTTATATATCCTTTATTTTCTTCTCTCATTATTTATTATTGCTGTTTTGTGGTTTTCTATGGTGGTAACATTTGGGTCCTTTTTTTCTCATTTGTCTGCTTAGTTTTATACTTTCATGTGCTTTCATGATGATATACACTTCCAGATATAGATTTCCTTAAGTGTTTCTTGTATGACCAATCTAGTGGTGATGAATTTCCTCATTTTTTGCTTATCTGGGAAAGACCTTATATCTCCTTCATTTTTGAAGGGTAACTTTGCTGGGTATTATATTTTAGGCTGGCATTTTTTTCTTTTAGCACTTTGAATACACCATACCTTTCTTTCCTGGCCTGTAAGATTTCTGCTGGGAAATCCCCATTCATCTGATCTGGGTTTCCTTGCACACATGAGTGGCCATCTTTTTCTTGTATTTAAAATTATTTTTTTATCTTGGGCTTTTCACAGTTTGAGTATAATGTGCCTTGGAGAATACATTTTGTGGGAGGAGGTGTATCAATTTGGAGATCTTTCAGCTTCTTGTATCTGGATATCTAAGTATCTTTTAAAACCTGGAAAGTTTCAGCTATTATTTTATTAAATAAGTTTTCTATGCCATTGTCCATCTCTTCTCCTTCTGGAACACCCAGAATCCAAGTATTTGGTCACCTTATGGTGTCCCATGTGTTGCAAAGGTTTTTTAATTGAAAAAAAATTTCTTTCTTTTTCTTTTACTAGGTTATTTCAAAGATTTATCTTCAAGTTCTGCAGTTCTTTCTTCTGCTTTATTTGATTTTTTTTATGTTTTTCATTGAATTATTTCATTCCATGATTTCTGTTTGTTTCTTTTTTATGATATTTCTTTGTTGAATTTCTCATTAACATCCTAAATTGTTTTTCTAATTTATTTGTATTATTTATCTGTGTTTTTTTGTGTGTTTCACTGAAATTCTTTAATAACATTATTTAAAATTATTTTCAGGCAGTTCATCCATTTTCTTTTTGCTGAAATGTGGTGCTGGAGAAATTATTGTGTTCCTTTGAAGGTGTCATGTTTCCTTGCCTTTTTATGTTTCTTGTGTCCTTACATTGATATCTGTGCATCTGGTATAAAATCGTTGCTTTCATATTTTGGGGTTGGCTTTCATAGAGGAAAACTTTTTGTTGTAGATATAGCTATAGTGTTGGTTGGGTAGGGCAGTTTATCTTTGATCCTGGGTGCATGCTATAGTGTAATCTCCATGATTTCTTCAGTGATAATCAGTGTGAAGAGTGTCTGGGATTTCCTCTTTGGCTTAGACTGTGGCTATTAGTTAAGGCTGTTGTGAAGCTTTGCTAGGAATAAGGACACCAGACAAGCCAGTCCTTGAGCCTCAGTGGTGGTGGTAGCAGCAGGCTGACCATGACTGTCCATGGGACCCTAGGTGGCATATGCAAGCACCAATGTGAGTTGATCTAGGTGGGTCAATTCTTGGGCTTCCAGGTGGCTTGCTTATCTACCAGCAGTGGCAGCATTGAGTTAGGCAGGTGGGAAAGTTCTCAGGCCCCTAGGTAACATGACTGGTGTCACCAATAGCAGTAGTGGTGTCAGGCCAACTGTCAGGTTCCCAGCCGGTATACACTGGTGCTAGCAGTGCTGGGCAGGCAATTCTCCAGGCCCCCAGGTGGCACATGTAGGTGGGTGCTGGAGGTAGTGGTGGCACCCAGCAGTGCAGGTCTGTCCTCAAGGCTACTGATGTTGCACACAGGGACAGACTATGGTGAGTGGAATAGGGCAATTTCCAGACCTTTGGGTGGCATGCTTAGGTGGTAGCAGGTGGGGCAAACCTCCATGTAGGTCCTTGTATGGCATCCTGGCAAGCCATTTTCAGGCTCACTGAAGGCTCATGAAAGTGCACAGTGTCCCTGCTGCTGCGAGGAAGTGGGGTTGCTATCAGTGATAGTGACCCCAGACAGGTGGCTCTCAGGCTCTGGGGAGATGCTTCAGCTCTCTTTATCATGGGGGAACACTCCTCTGTGAACTACCCATTTCCCAGTACATCAGACACTGTGTGGAATAGATGGCTGGGGACCTAGACACACTGCCAGTCCAGCCAGCATGGCACCACTGCAGCCCTCCAGATGGATAAGGGAGGTTATCAGTGGGGCTCTAGACATGTAGAGATGTAGGGCTTACTGGGGCCCAGGACAGGATGCAATCTTGTGGGAGCTGGACTCTCAAAATGGTGCCATGCTGGAGTTACCTGGGTCTTGGGGTTGGGGATTGGGATGTAGGACCCAGCACAAACTCCCCCTCTGGAACAACGCTATTGTGCAAACTCTAGGCAGCTCCCTGTACTAGTCTCAGAGCCCACAGAAGCTGAGGGGCTCTCCCATGGCTAGGATTGCAAGGGCCCACAGTGGGAATGTGGACTGCTAGGAATCTCTCATTTATTCTTTTTCTACAGTGGGGATCCATACCAGGCTTCCAGTCAATCCTAGCCAGACAATTGCTTCACTTCTTTCTCTCTCTGTGCCTCAGAAGGATCTGTTCCCTATCACTTCCCTGCTGGATTCCAGTGTTCTATCTTAGACACTATTCGTTGTGAAATTATCTACTTGCTGTTTTGATCGTTTTTGGTGGTGAGTGTTGGGTGCCTCTAGTAGCCGTCTTGAAGCCTCCCCCTTGAGCTATTCTCTTTTAAGGGAAAGTTCTTCTCTCCATAATCATGAATATCAATGTGTCTTTCAATAAGAGAGTTGAGGATTCCTGAACACGGGACCCAACTCCAATCCATAGAAACTACCCACACCTTTCTTCTCTGTCCTTGTATCTGTATTGTAAACTACAGACTTTCTTATTGGTAATAATTGTTTTACATATTGAGAATTATATATATATCTCTATGTGTGTATATATATATTTAAAATAATTATATATATAAAACAATTATATATAAACAATTCTATATAAAACCATTATATATAAATATATAATTATGTATATAAAACAATTACATATAAATATATATTTTTTTAATTCAGAAAAACCTAAAAGTCAATATGATGTCACCTTTTTATGCTGAATCACCTACAGCAACTGTTTTTCCACCTAAGACTCTCTCTCAGAGTGGAATATGTTGCTACAAAGCAGTGAAATATGTTTTTCCCTTATATTTAGAGTAGTTCATTTAATGAAGAAAGTTCATCTGTTTCTAGACACCTTTTCAGGGAATCTCAATTTTGATAGAGATTCCTACAAGATATATATGTTTATTCTCCCCACCCTCCCCACCACCACACACAAAATTATAGCTCTCTAAACGTCAGTATCTAAAATAAACCCCATTTAAAAAAATTTCTTTTTACTTTTATGGTAAAGTTGCTAAGACTGATCTACCACCCTCACATGATTATTGTTTTGAAACTCCTGCCAATTACAAACAGATCTTGACTCATGTTTCACAAACCCTGTCACTGAGCTCCAAAGACACAGAGTAACAAATAGGCTTAAAATGGAAATACATTACAACTCTATTTTTCTGCTGAATGGGAGTTTTATTTAGAGAATCATCTCATATCTACACAAGATTATATCAAAATAACCAATGTAGTAAAATTTCATTCAGCTGTTTTATAAGTGGCAGGAAGTGGGACTGAAGTGATAGGAAAGGACAGACTTTCCAGGTCCTCTAGACCACGTTAATTATATTTTTCTTCTTCTCAAGGCCAATAGGAAGTAACTTGGTCAGGTTTGATCTGGTCAAAGTCAGAGTTGATTTTCTGACATGTCAGATCTGTCAACATTAGGCAGTTAATAAACCTATTAATATAATTTAGTATATAAAGTAGAAAAATAGTATGATATCACATAGACATTTAATAATGTGAATTTTTATTTTTAACTAAAACAATAGAAAAGAAGCTGATACCATTTATAGTTTTTAATTAGATAAAGAAGTATTACATTGTTATATAATTAGATATATTCTCAAATTAGTAGGCAATATTATTTGTGTTTCACAGACTATGCCACAGCACACTCAAAGCTACCAAACTGCCCTAAAAAGATAAAGTAACCTTTCTAGAATGAGATTCATTTCATTTTATGTCAATACTGCTAAAAATTTCCTTCAAAAGCTGACTCTTTCAATTAGGCTCAGAATTAATTTCTGATTTAATTCTTCGTTTCCTCTTTTTTAAAAAGTTTTTTATTTCCATAGGTTTTTAGGGAACAGATGGTAATAGTTACATGAGTAAGTTCTTTAGTTTTGATTTGTGAGATTTTGATGCACTCATCACCCAAGCAGTATACACTGAACCCAATTTGTAGTCTTTTCTTCCTCAAACCCCTCGTACCCTTTCCCCTGAGTCCTCAAAGTCCATTGTATTATTCTTATGTCTTTGCATCGTCATAGCTTAGCCCCCCACTTATGAGTGAGAACATACAATATTTGGTTTTCCATTCCTGAGTTACTTCACTTAGAATAATAGTCTTCAATTCCATCCATGTTGCTGTGAATGCCATTAATTCATTCCTCTTTATGGCTGAGTAGTATTCCATCATGTGTATATATATACACACATACATGTGTGTATACGCATATACACACATACATGTATGTATACGCGTATACACACATACATGTATGTATACGTGTATACATACATATATGTATGTATATGTGTATACACACACACACACACACACACACACACCACAGTTTCTTTATCCACTTGTTGATTGATGGGCATTTGGGCTGGTTCCATATTTTTGCAATTGCGATTTATGCTGCTATAAACATGCGTGTGCAAGTATCTTTTTCAGATAATGACTTATTTTCCTCTGGGTAGATACCTAGTAGTGGGATTGCTGGATCAAATGGTAGCTCTGCTTTTAGTTCTTTAAAGAATCTCCACTGTTTTTCATAGCGGTTGTACTAGTTACATTCCCACCAGCAGTGTAGAAGTGTTCCCTTTCCACTGCATCCATGAAAACTCTATTCTTTTTTGATTTTTTGGTTATGGCCATTCTTGCAGGAGTAAAGTGGCATTGCATTGTGGTTTTGATTTGCATTTTCCTGATCATTAGTGATGATGAGCATTTTTCATTAAAAAAAAAAAAACTTACCTACTCCTCTTCTCACATACAGTGAATTTTGTGTTTTCTTTTCCCGAGCTCCAATTTCTTTTTAGAATTACTTCATTTGGCATCACTAATAGGCAAGTTTCTCCATTTTTCTGGATTTGGTAATATCACAGCCCTATGCAGTTTTTCCTTGACTTTTCATTAAATTATATCACCTCTTCCTAACATTCTCTTTAGTATCTAACATGTAATATGTAATTCTTCAAATATTCAGGCAAGAATTAGGGCCATTAAGTAACACTATTTTTTATCCTAAGTCTCTGATAAGATTTTGTAAGTAAAACTATATCCTTGCTTTGTAAGCCAGAAATGTTCATGGATTGAAACATACCTTGGTGTACTTTTGTTATTTTATTTTTTATCCAATAAAAAGGAAAATTAAGTTTGAAGGAAAGTAAAAAATAAAATTAAACACTGGTGAAGCCGGGACCTAAACAATCTCTCAACTTTTGGCCACTGGTCTATGTTAGTGTACAGGAATGGATAAGAATCTTTAATGTCTCACATAGAGTGCTTCTCTAAAATCATTGTGGTATTTGGTTTCAGATGCATCGGATATGGAGCTGAGGCTTGTGGGTGGAAGCAGCAGGTGTGCTGGAAAAGTTGAGGTGAATGTCCAGGGTGCCGTGGGAATTCTGTGTGCTAATGGCTGGGGAATGAACATTGCTGAAGTTGTTTGCAGGCAACTTGAATGTGGGTCTGCAATCAGGGTCTCCAGAGAGCCTCATTTCACAGAAAGAACATTACACATCTTAATGTCGAATTCTGGCTGCACTGGAGGGGAAGCCTCTCTCTGGGATTGTATACGATGGGAGTGGAAACAGACTGCGTGTCATTTAAATATGGAAGCAAGTTTGATCTGCTCAGGTAATTTCTGGACAAAGATAAACACATTTATTTAATTATTTATTTTTGCACTTATTTAATACGTGTTTATGAAGTGGCTATTTAACAGTATTAGGTCAAAAGTAAATGAACTAGATAAAAGTAATCCTACCCTCTATCTAGAAGACAGGTATATAATAAAAATATATAATTAAATAACTGTTTATTTAAAATTGCGTGAAGTAGAAGCACAAGATGAAATGAGAAGGCATAATTAGAAGATATTACCTATTTGCAGAGTCGGAGAATATTTCTGTGAAGTGATAGTTAAGGAAAGATGTGAAGGACAGGTAAGATTTAATCATATGAAGAAGTGTTGGGAAGATTAATTTAAACAGTAGTATTTTATTCGAGTAACACACCTGGGAATAAGCTTGTGTTATTCCAGGAACTAAAAGATGGTTGAAAGAAGAGGTATTAGATCCAAGTGAAGAAGGGGGAAAACTTATAATAAAGTCTTGATATGTAGGCAAGGGAAAGGTTATTTATGGAGTAGGAATTGTGAACTTTATTCTAAAGTGAATGATAAATCATTGAAGGTTGTAAGCATGATACAACTTGCATTTCAAAGACAGCACTCTGGCTGCAGTGTGGGGTGTGTGTGTGTGTTTATGTGTGTGTCTGTGTGTGCATTGGAGAGAGGAGGCTATTGGATGCCGGGAGTCATGCTGTTGAATAATTCTAGGGAAGATACGGAATTTTGATTAGGATGCTCACTGTGGAGCTGGTGAAAAGCTTCCAAATTTCAGAAATATTTAGTAGCTGAAACCAGCAGAACTGAATACACTGAATGTGGAAATAAAGATAAAGGTTTCTAGACTAAGCAGATGGGTGCACTGCAGTGTCATCATCTGGAAAGATAATCTTGGAAGAGGAGCAGTTTAGAGAGGGTGGGATGATGAGTCCAATTTTGTATGTGTGAAATATGAGGTAATAGTAAAGCAGTCATCAAATGAAGAGGGTTGGAGGAAATTGGATATGAGATTTAGATGATCAGAAGACTTGTATTGAATGGAGATATAACTATTAGAGTCCTACATATGTAGACGGAAACTAAATCTAGGAATAAAATGTAAATTGAGAATTTTTAAAGCCTAGATTCAAGAAAGAGGAGCTCTTAGCCCTGAGGAACAATAGTATTTAATAGTTTATTGACATAAAAGAAGTTGGAAAAGCATACTGAGGAACAGTGGTGGCAGAATGTCACATCGCTAAAGCCAAGGGAAGATGTTTCAAAAAGATGGGGACATCAATTCCAAAAAAGCCCTAAGAGGCCAATATAGATGAAACTGAACAATTTCCACTAAGCTTAGCTACAGAGAAGTCATGAATAAATTTAATAAAAGTAGTTATGTCACATTAGAAAAAGGAGATCATTTCAAGTTGAGAAGGAAATGGGAGGTAAAGATGTTGGGATAATAGGCATAGACTATTTCCAAAAAGCTGTATTTTAAGGGGAAGAAATAAATAAGGTGATGACTAAAAAGGAATATAATCTTCAGGGGAGTTACTCAATTTTTTTTATTGATAGGAGATTCTAGAGTAGTGCTGTTCAAAAGAACATCACTTTCTGTGATGAAGTAAAATATATGCTATTAGCTGATGTTAGAGGCTATAGGAAAAAATAGAACTAGAAAATAGAATCCAGAGTGTTTATGGGACAGAATGAAATTCCAAATAAAATGACTGGGGTAGGCCTTACTGAAAAGGTGAAACATAGACAAAGACTCGAAGGTCATGGGAGAGTCAGTTATATGCATATACGCAGAAGGAAAATACAAATAGAGATACAGCCAGTTCAAAAGCCTTGGGGCAAGATTATGCCTGATATGTTTGAAGAAGAGAAAGGAATCCAATGCAGCTGAAGAGCAGTAAGTAAAACATCAGGACCTGGCACCAAAAGGGGTAAATGAGCAGGGGAAGGTCACTCAGGGACAAGCAGGTCTTCGTAGGAGTTTAGATTTTTACTCTGAGTGAAATATGGAGTCATGGGAGGATTTGGGGCAGAATACTGATTTAACCTGATACATCATTTTAAATAACCTCTCTGGATTTTTATTTTTTTAAAAGATGAACTATAGAGGAATAATTATAGAAACAGGGAATCTGTAGGAATCTATTATAGTAACTCAGGCAAGTAATGATGGTGGCTCAATCAAGGCGCTAGGGTTGAAGGGGTGAGAAGTTTTGGGATTATGGGCATACTTTGAAAATACAGAAAACAAAACTTTCTGAAAGGCGAGATATAGTATGTAATGGAAGTCAAGAATTATTTCAAAATATTTGAATGTCTGGAATGATGGAGTTCCATCAATAGAAATATGGAAGTCTGCAGCCTTAGATAGATGTTTGAAAGGACTCCAAAGAATTCACATTGAGATATCTATAAGAAATCCAAATGGAAATGCTAAGTAGAAATTGGATAAATGAGTCAGGAGTTTGGAAAAATGCCTGGGTTGGAGACAGATAACATACATTACTAATATAAGTAGCTTTGCTGCAAAGAATAGAGTCAGAATAATGGGCAGTATTTTTTTGTTGTTTATAAATTACTCATTTAGATGGATTGCTGGGATCTAACCAGTAAGTAGAAGTCTTTCTATTCTTATATTACACCATCTTCTTAAGATGACTACAAATCTTCACGTGTTGTTTAATGCTGAGGTTACTTAGTATTTTTTTAATGTAAACAAATTGTGCAATTCATTTCCTTCTGATGAGTTCTAAATCTAGGATTGGTGGGTCACCAAGACATAGAAAATAGGTATGTAATCCAGATCTGTGAATTTAAGTCTGTACTGCTAATCTTGTCCTCTGAGCCCCTACGAATGGGATGTTCTAATGATGAATGGAGAAAAATTGCTCTGGGGTTAGATATGGAGACTGGAGACAGGGATAGATATTGGAAAACCCTAAAAACTAACCTTTGAAATATTATTTTATAGCCCACAGGCAGCCCAGGCTGGTTGGAGCTGATATGCCCTGCTCTGGACGTGTTGAAGTGAAACATGCAGACACATGGCGCTCTGTCTGTGATTCTGATTTCTCTCTTCATGCTGCCAATGTGCTGTGCAGAGAATTAAACTGTGGAGATGCCATATCTCTTTCTGTGGGAGATCACTTTGGAAAAGGGAATGGTCTAACTTGGGCCGAAAAGTTCCAGTGTGAAGGGAGTGAAACTCACCTTGCATTATGCCCCATTGTTCAACATCCGGAAGACACTTGTATCCACAGCAGAGAAGTTGGAGTTGTCTGTTCCCGTGAGATTTTTAAATAATCTTAATTGGCTGGGGCTAGAGATGGGGAGTTTGGGGCTGGAGCTGATAAGTCATGATGTCTCTTCTATGGCCTTGTCTCCTCCTAGGATATACAGATGTCCGACTTGTGAATGGCAAATCCCAGTGTGACGGGCAAGTGGAGATCAACGTGCTTGGACACTGGGGCTCACTGTGTGACACCCACTGGGACCCAGAAGATGCCCGTGTTCTATGCAGACAGCTCAGCTGTGGGACTGCTCTCTCAACCACAGGAGGAAAATATATTGGAGAAAGAAGTGTTCGTGTGTGGGGACACAGGTTTCATTGCTTAGGGAATGAGTCACTTCTGGATAACTGTCAAATGACAGTTCTTGGAGCACCTCCCTGTATCCATGGAAATACTGTCTCTGTGATCTGCACAGGTAAGAGAATAGTGCTTATGGTTAACTACTGTCAATATAGCCCAGACATGGTAGAGGGAGTTGGGATTAAAGGAAAGATGAGTAAGAAAATGGGGGTGCAGGTGGAGGGGGGATAGGCATGACAGTCAAAGAGTAACATGTAAGAAATAATGATAACTAGGACCATTCCTAAGGGGAAGTTAACACCTCTGTGTTTGGGATTTACGAGTAGACATCATTAATAAAAATGATTTCAATAGACGACAGGGTTTGAAAAGTCCTTATCACAATTGCAGATTCCATGTTGTTACAGAACTCTTCAACCTTTTCCATGTATTTTGGTCTTACTTTTGCCCCATTTCCTGCACCCTCCACCAGGAAGCCTGACCCAGCCACTGTTTCCATGCCTCGCAAATGTATCTGACCCATATTTGTCTGCAGTTCCAGAGGGCAGTGCTTTGATCTGCTTAGGTAAGCAGAATCAGTTTTAGGAAACACTGCAACTCTAAAGAATGTGACCTATTAACTGGACTTTCTCCTCTAAGAGGACAAACGGCTCCGCCTAGTGGATGGGGACAGCCGCTGTGCCGGGAGAGTAGAGATCTATCACGACGGCTTCTGGGGCACCATCTGTGATGACGGCTGGGACCTGAGCGATGCCCACGTGGTGTGTCAAAAGCTGGGCTGTGGAGTGGCCTTCAATGCCACGGTCTCTGCTCACTTTGGGGAGGGGTCAGGGCCCATCTGGCTGGATGACCTGAACTGCACAGGAATGGAGTCCCACTTGTGGCAGTGCCCTTCCCGCGGCTGGGGGCAGCACGACTGCAGGCACAAGGAGGACGCAGGGGTCATCTGCTCAGGTCTGTGCTGCTACCTTTTCACCCTCCTCTACACACACGTGCACACACTTGCACACACACAACACAATTGTAAAGTGTAGTGAAAAGTGTATGGCCTAGGAATACAAACAAAAAATCCACTTGGTTTTAATCCTATTCTCTTATACTGATTTCTTAATACCCTTGTCATATTACATTTGTCTGGGTATCATTCATAACTGAGAAGAATAAAAGATTGGTCTTACTGTCAGAGAATGTTAGACCCCAAGAAAGGGACCTTACATGACATCCACTCTGGCTCTGAGAACACACTGTCAACCGTGTCCAATCTGCCTTATTTTGTTGTTTTGTTTTGTTTTATTTTAGGCTTTTAGTAGCCTGAAGCCATGGTTATTAGTTTCTGTCTCTAGTGGTAAGAGGAAAGAGGGATGAGGAAGGGTCTTTACTAACCTGACCAGAAGCAGAAACTAAGAACCCATAACTGTATCCTCTCCCTTGGACACCCCTGCAAATGAGGTTAACCTCCTGATTATTTTCTGAATTGAATTTATGTTCGAGAGTAGAATGTAGAAGGTTGCATTTTAACTTAAGTTGATACAAATTTAAAGCTCAAATACTATTCTTGGGAAACCCACACTCATCCTGAAATCTTACAAGACCCTTAGTTTCCATCAGATTTATGCTGTTAATATGTTAGAGTGATTTATGAAATTGTATTGTGAGCCCTAATGTATTATTTCCATGGGAAAAATGGATTCCTTGGGGAGGGATTTTCCAACTCCAAAGGAAATATTTAATACTAAGTTTTGTATTTCTCTGTAGAATTCACAGCCTTGAGGCTCTACAGTGAAACTGAAACAGAGAGCTGTGCTGGGAGATTGGAAGTCTTCTATAACGGGACCTGGGGCAGCGTCGGCAGGAGGAACATCACCACAGCCATAGCAGGCATTGTGTGCAGGCAGCTGGGCTGTGGGGAGAATGGAGTTGTCAGCCTCGCCCCTTTATCTAAGACAGGCTCTGGTTTCATGTGGGTGGATGACATTCAGTGTCCTAAAACGCATATCTCCATATGGCAGTGCCTGTCTGCCCCATGGGAGCGAAGAATCTCCAGCCCAGCAGAAGAGACCTGGATCACATGTGAAGGTGGGTATCTTTCTAAACACCAGCTGTCACTGAAGCCCTGTGAAATATAACTTACCATAAATAGCAAATCTTTCCATTCAGGAGCACATGGCAGACTCACTGAAAAGTGCATGACAATAAGTGCTGATTTATCGCATCTGTTCTATATTGAAATTTTATTATTTTGGTTTAGTATTTTACAGGGTATTTAAAAATGTATATTGTCTCTTTTGATTCCTTTAAGCTCCTTGTGAGAAGCTGGATGAAAGCACATAAAAGGATAACAACACATAAAAAATTACAGTGTTTTAAAAAATGAAAAATATAATATGTATACTGTCTTAGAAATTCTAGAAAGCTCAGAACTTTTGAGGAAATGTGAATTAATTATGGAGATTAAGCAGCTCTATTTTTTCCTGCAGAACATTTTACTATGGGAAGTTAGTTGATTATTTATAAGACACTTGTAAATTGTCTTATTTGATTAAAATTTAATATGTTTATTGTAGAGATTTTAGAAATTGTACAATTATAAATAATAAAATGCATTCCACGTTTAATCTGATTATCAAAAATAACCATTACTAATATTCAGAAACATTAACTATTAGTCTTCCTTTTGTACAAAAACTTAAAGTTATGATTGTGTATATGAAATGTGTATATGAAATATAGATACTATATATGTATATGTATATATAGTATGATATATATGCATGTAATGTAGTGTTACACTATATTTAGGATATCTGTATCCTACTTTTATATGTAAAAGTATACTGTAAATATATTCTAATTTCAATGAATAGCCTTCAAATGGCATACAATATTTTATCATGTGAACATAAATAACCATGTGATTATTGGTATTAAGGCTATTTCTCAATGTCAAACTAGTATAAATAATGCCATTATAAGCATCCTTATTCATTTTCGGTGAATCTCTGATTATATCTGAAGGTTATATTTCTAGTCCCAAAATGAGTGGGTAAAATGAGTGAACATTTTTATGATTCTTTATATGTAGTAGTTAATTGCTCCAGCAGAAAGCCTATGTATTAGTTTTCATTCTTATCCCCAGTATATGAGAGCATTGATTTTATTTCACCCTTCCCACCAATGTTACACACAGAGAGAAACATATACACAGACATACACATACCTTCCCAAATTAAAATTTCACCTAAATCAACATAATTTGCATGGGTTTGGTTAGTAGTGGATATGGACATTATTTATGAATATTGTCTGTTTGTGGTTCATATTTTTAAGCATTTTGCTTCTTTTTACTATTGTAATTGTATCACAAAATAATATCATTCCCCAAACAAAAAATTTGAAAAAAACCCAGAAATCATGGAAAAAAACACAGATATCACCTATAATACCATGATCAGTTGATGATATATTAGCTGATATTACACTCTTGAGTATCATATGTGTGTATATATTTTATATATATTCATATATTTTATTGCAAAATGTTATGCTTGCATATTTGTGCTCCCTGCTCTTTTGATTTAGCAATATTTTCTCAAGCTAAAGCATATATATTTTTTACCATATGATATACTATAATCTTATGCACCAAATCCCTGTCATTGGCCATCTAGAAAATTCAAGTTATTTTTCCATTTTAAGTAACATCACATTAAATATCCTTAAATATATAGAAAATTATTTTAAGCATATTTCTCAATATTTTCTTCCCAAAATCTATTTTCCTATTTGATCAATTATATTACCTGAAATTTTGGATTTCAACTATCTTAAGTTTTAATTTATCAATATTTTATATTAAAAATTTGCATCTATATGTATATGAATGATACTATGCAGTAGATCTTATTTAGCGCTCTTTTTATATTTGTTGATATTAGCATTGGAGATTTGTTGAAATATAAACTAGGATGAATTCTGCCAGCTTTTATGATCTTTAATAGTATATGGAATAAAATCATTGTGTTTCAATATTTGAAAGAGAATAACTATAGCTATTTTGGGTAGTAATTTGTTAATACTTAAAAAGAATGTCCAGGACTATTGGCTTATTCTCATTTTCTTGAGTCAATTTTGTGAAAGGATGAAAGAATGTATTAGTCAGTTCTCATGCTGCTAATAAAGAAATACCAGAGACTGGGTAATTTATAAAGGAAGGAGGCTTAATGGACTCACAGTTCCATATGGCTAATGAGGCCTCACAATCATGGCTGAAGGCAAAGGAGGAGCAAAGTCACGTCTTACATGGTGGCAGGCAAAAGAGCATGTGCAGGGGAACTCCCATGTATAAAACCATCAGATCTTGTGAGACTTATTCACTATCACAAGAACAGCAC
The DNA here is from genome assembly GCF_000001405.40 of Homo sapiens. NCBI lineage: Eukaryota > Metazoa > Chordata > Mammalia > Primates > Hominidae > Homo > Homo sapiens. The sequence continues at coordinate 7,371,004 of NC_000012.12, read as the reverse complement.
AGGAAAGACCCACCCCTATGATTCAATTACCTCCCACCAGGTCCCCCCCACAACACGTGGGAATTATGGGAGCTACAGTTTGAGATTTGGGTGGGGATACAGCCAAACCATAGCAAAGAAGTAGGATTAAAAACCATACTCTGAATTTATTATTATATAGGCCATTCAATGATGCACTCTGTATTGGTAGGAGGTAGAAGCTAGTCTAAAAGTATTTATTAATGAGCAGGAGATTTACAAAAATGACGAGAAAAAATAAACTCAAGATGTTTGGCTATGAGAGAGAGAAAAGAGTTAACACGGTAACTGGAGAGGGGCTCTTATGACAAGGAGAAAGGAAATTTTTTAAAGGGTGCATGTGAAAGTTATCAGGTTTGAGGACTTGGGGATGACTTATCAGACCGGGGGATGAGACGTTTAGATCAAAAAAACCCTTTTGAATAGAAGCCAAATTACCTAAAAGTTAATTATCTACTGAAACTGTAACTTTTCCTATACTATTACGGGAACTAAAATCCAATAGAGAAATCCCGAGATTCTCTTTTGGTCTTCATGTGGTTGGTGGGCAGAGGTAAGGCAGAGGCTTAGAATATGAAAAAACATTTAACAAAATAATAAAGAATGAAACATAAAAATGATAAGATCATTCTAAAATATTGAGGATCCTGCAGACTTTTTTGGCAGCAAGTTTAAAATGACCCCGGTTATAATTATCTGCAGTGAAACTCAGTATTTCAGGAACCGGCTTAAAGGAGGTAGAGAGTTGGGCTTATCCTGCATTTGTACACAGCCATGTGACGAGAGGTCACTAGTGCCAAAGCATTGTTCATTTGGGAAAGAGAGTGTTTGTAGTTATGATCTTAGTATACATACTTACAGGGAGTAAAGTGAAGGCAAGAAAGGACTGATAATTGGAGGGCACAGAAGCAGCAATGGTCTTATATAGATCAAACTTGAGCCAAATGAACATTAGTTATATTTGGAGAAATTGTGAAAATGAGAGGGGCAAGATAGGATGTTTGGGTCAGATAGGACACTGAAATTTGGAAAATGAAATCAATATGTTTTGTTTTCAAACATCTAGAGTAGAAAATGAATATCTGGTTTGGCCTCGCTGGAGATGTTTCACCCCTTGAGTGTGACTAGGACAAACCACAGTCATGTATAGGGGTTTATTCACTTCACAGGTTCTTGTCTAATCTATGTAACATTGAAATTCTGCCTTCCTTACCACACCCATATTCATCAAGCACATTTGCTACTTTCAAGTTTTTCTACCTCAGCATTCTCCCACAACCTCCTTCAGGAGTAAAGACAGCCATGTTTTGTGCCTTTGTAGATAGAATAAGAGTGCGTGGAGGAGACACCGAGTGCTCTGGGAGAGTGGAGATCTGGCACGCAGGCTCCTGGGGCACAGTGTGTGATGACTCCTGGGACCTGGCCGAGGCGGAAGTGGTGTGTCAGCAGCTGGGCTGTGGCTCTGCTCTGGCTGCCCTGAGGGACGCTTCGTTTGGCCAGGGAACTGGAACCATCTGGTTGGATGACATGCGGTGCAAAGGAAATGAGTCATTTCTATGGGACTGTCACGCCAAACCCTGGGGACAGAGTGACTGTGGACACAAGGAAGATGCTGGCGTGAGGTGCTCTGGTAAGTGTGAAAAGGCTGCACTTAAACTGAGCCTCCCACTAATGGTAGAGAACACTGGGAAACAGGCTCACTCAGAGAGTTGAGCTGAAGATACTAGGATTTCTTGTTGAAGAATGAAAGGCTATGTTAAACTAACGTTTTTCCACAACTAAATAAGATAATGTTCCACTGTTATCTAAAATAGCCCCCATAATTTTGAGGGAAGAAAGGTGGATTTGGCCTTAGACTTTGAAGCAAGAGGATTCTGACTGATATTTTAAATGACATCCAGTATTCACAGGAGATGTTAAAAGGATATTTAAATGACATCCGATAATCGCAGGAGATGTAAAAAGAAATACCCAGTTCCTTTTCGTTCATTTACGTCTCTCTCTCTCTCTCTCTCTCTCAGGACAGTCGCTGAAATCACTGAATGCCTCCTCAGGTATAGTCTTCTGCCTATCAGTGCTGACACAAATACCTAAGGCTACATGGAAGGTCAAGGGAGGGCAGAAACTGCTATGATAATCAAAGAAGACTGGGGACTGCAGAAATATGAGTCTGTGGGTCGCAGCCAGTGGTATCAATAGCTCTGTGACTGCTTTGCTATGCAGTCCTTCTCTCTAGAAAAATCCTTTTTACATGCAGAGAAGGATAAGACTCTCATGGTACCCTCATAGATAATCTTTCTAGATTCTCAAATATTCTTTATGAGACTGGCAGAAACAGCTCAAGCTTCAGGAGAATCACTTAAACCCAGGAAGCAGAGATTGCAGTGAGCCGAGATCGTGCCAGTACACTCAGCCTGGGTGACAGAATGAGACTCCATCTCAAAAAAAAAAAAAAAAGAAAGAAACAGCTCAGCTCAAGCCCTAGTATTTTCTGATTCTGGTGTTTTAGTAGTGAATGCAATGCAAGAGGAAAGGTTTAGTTATCAAATCTCTTGTATAAAATTGGAAGTAATTTAGGGCAATAGAATTATGGAAAGATTTGGATTCAGTTGTTCCAAGATAGTTTTCATCTAAAATAGCTCTCAAAGATTACGTACTGTTCATGAATATGTTGAAATGTATAGCCATTATTCTTCTCAGCAACTAGGGAACCAGTTTTTTTTACAATGTATAAACCCACAATTGATATCTACTAGTTTAATACTTATCAATGCTTAATTTCTATACAGGTCATTTAGCACTTATTTTATCCAGTATCTTTGGGCTCCTTCTCCTGGTTCTGTTTATTCTATTTCTCACGTGGTGCCGAGTTCAGAAACAAAAACATCTGCCCCTCAGAGGTGAGAGCCCCACTAGGATTGTATAAAATGTGAGTTACCTGCCACCAAGGGCACACAGGATGGGGGATTCTTGCAGAATGGAAGAAATGCACTTGCCACTTTGAGTGAGATGGATTGGAAAGTGCCAGGCCAAATGCAGAAACATGTGGAATGATCAAGAATCAGCCAATCCACAATTTCCATTTACACAAATGTAATCTTTTAGAAGCTGTAGCTTGCCATACAGACGATGAGTCAGATAGGCAAATATCTTAGCTGATAGAAGGAAGGTAATTGTATGTTTTGGTTCAGAATCTAGACTGCAGAAATAGCCAATAGAAAATGTAGAAGCATGGTGGAGGATTAAGAACAAGAGTTTCCTGGGTTTGAACACCACTTATATAACTTACTAGCTGTGTGGCCTTTGGCTAGAAACTACCTTTCCAAACTCCAATTTCCTAATTTGTAAAGATAATAATAGTCTTACCTCATCAGGTTAAGATAGTTAAATAAATTAATCATCTGTATGAAAAATGGCCAGCACATAGTAAATACTATGTAAAGAACTTGGTAATAAAAGTGGAAGAATATCAAGGGAGAAAAAGGAGGATAAATTTTAAAAATGTAAAAAATTCACTAGCAGGGGTAGGTGCTGAAAGAGCCATTGGATTTTAGCTCAGAGGGATTAATATGTGTCAAACCTTAGCATTAAGTGTCCTAATATAAGGGATAGGCCATTTGAATTTGAATCCTAACCATGAAGCATCCATTCTCAGTTTCAACCAGAAGGAGGGGTTCTCTCGAGGAGAATTTATTCCATGAGATGGAGACCTGCCTCAAGAGAGAGGACCCACATGGGACAAGAACCTCAGGTCTGTGCAACTCCAGGGGCCGCACTCCATGGAGAGGGTGGGAATATGAGGAAATACCGCTGATATTTAGGAACTCCCACTCGATGGAGATGTGTCTCAGCCTCTTATACAAAATACGCGAAAGGGAAACAAACGGGGAATAGATAAAATAAAATATGACTCAAAATTAAGAAAACTGGAATATACATTCTCACTTATTTCATCCTCAGTGTCATATTTAGTTCATGGCAGAGGCACCAAGCAAAGAAGACTAAAATAAAAAGTATTGTTTCTTCTAATAATCAGTCAAATACCTGGTCCACAGTTTCATTACAAACCCAATAAACAATAATTGTTTTCCAATTTCATTACATTCTATTTTAATATGGTGGCTAAGTTCCTTGAATCTTATCTATATTTGTACATTTATAATTATTTTTAAAATAATTTTATTATGATATACAGTGTGGACAAAACAGTGCATAAAACTCAATCTGTTTTGGAAATAACTTATAATGGAATTACTGTGACAATACAATGAACACCATCTGGCAAAGTGACTTTCCAATAGCTATAACAAATTTTACTCCTCTGAGTTATAAATGAGAATGTATTTTACTGAATAATCACTGATACTAAATAGTTTCATCTTTTATAATGTTGCTAATTTAGTATTTGATAAGTGGCATCTCATTGTTATTTTAATTAACATTGTTTTTAAACTTTGTTTTTGTATTGATGTACATAGTTTCTAGGTACATGTGATAATTTAGTACATTCATATAATTTGTAAAGATCAAATTAGTAAAATTGGGATATCTGTCACTTCAAATATTTGTCTTTTTATTATACCAGAAACATCTGAATTATTCTCTTCTAGCTATTTTGAAATATGTATAGATTATTGTAAATTATAGTCACCTTATTGATTTATCAAACACTAGGTTTTATTTCTTACAATTGTATATTTGTACTCAATCAACCTCTCTTTATCCTCCCTTTCCCCTACCCTTTCCGGCCTCTGATAACCACCAATCTACACTCTATCTTAATGGTATCAACATTTTTAGCTCCCACATATGAATGAGAACATGGATATTTGTCTTTCTGTGCTTGGCTTATTTCACTTAACATAATGACCTCTAGTTCCACCATGTTACTACATATAACATGATTTCATTTTTTATGGCTAAAAATGTGTGCGTATATATACCACATATTCTTACCCATTCATTCATCAAGGGACACTTAGGCTGCTTCCATATTTTGGCTATTATAAATAGTGCTGCAATAAACATGGTGCAGCTATCACTTTGATATATAATTTTCTTTCTTTTGGATATATACCCAGAAGTGGAATTGCTGAATTGTATAGTAATACTATCTTTAGTTTTTTGAGGCAAATCCATACAGTTTTCCATAATGACTATCCTAATTTATATTCCTGTCAATGGTGTATGAGGGTTCTCCTTTCTTCATATCCTTGCCAGCATCCATTATTTCCTGTCTTTTTGATAAAAGCCATTCTGCCTGAGGTATGATGATATCTCATTTTCTTTTTGAGTTATGTTTCTCTGATTATTAGTGTTGTTGAGCATTTATTTACATATTGGCCATTTGTATGTCTTCTTTTGAGAAATGTCTATTCAGTTCTTTCACCCATTTTTTAAAATCAGATTAGTTGGTTTTTTTCTATTGAGTTGTCTGAGCTCTATATATTTAGATTATTAACCCGTTATTAGTTGGATAGTTTAAAAATATTTCTCCCACTCTGTGGGTTGTCTCTTCACTTTGTTGATTGTTTCCTTTGCTGGCAGAAGATTTTTGATTGATATAATCCCATTTGTCTATATTTTTGCTTTGGTGGCCTGTGCTTTTGAGGTCTTACCCAAAAATCTTTGCCCAGACCAATATCCTGGAGTGTTTCCCAGTGTTTTCTTCTAATTGTTTCATAGTTTCAGGTCTTACATTTAGTTATTCAATCTGTTTTTATTTGGTGTTTTATATGGTATGAGATAGAGTCTAGTTTCATTCTTGTGCATGTGGTTATCCAGTTTTCCCAGTGCCATTTATTGAAGAGACTGTCTTTTCCCAATGTATGTCCTTGGTGTATTTGCAGAGAGTGGCTTGGCTATAAATGCATGGATTTATATCTGGGTTCTCTATTCTGTTCCACTGGTTTATGTGTCTGTTTTAGTACCATGCTGATTTGGTTACTATAATTTTGTAGTATATTTTGAAGTCAGGTAATGCGATGCCTCCAACTATGTTCTTTTGCTCAGAATAGCTTTGGCTATTGGGGGCCCTCTGTTGTTCCATCTAAAATTTATGATTGTTATCTCTATTTCTGTGAAAAATGTCATTAGTGTTTTCAAAGAGATTGCGTTGAATCCGTAAATTGCTTTGGGTATTTAACAATATTAATTCTTTCCATCTATGAGCATGAAATATACTTCTTTTTTTTTGTCCTCTTCTATTTCTTTCATCAGTGTTTTATAGTTTTCTTTGTATACATCTTTCACTTCTTGGTTAAATTGATTCCTAAGTATTTTATATTCTTTATAGCTATTGCAAATTGGATTGCTTTTTGATTTCTTTTTCAGGTTATTTGCTATTGGGTTATATAAATGCTACTGATTTTTATATGTTGATTTTGTATTCTGTAACTTTACTGAATGTATTTATTAGTTCTCACAGTTTTCTGGTGGAGTCTTTAGATTTTTCTAACTATAAAACCATATTGTCTGCAAAGAAGGCTAACTTGACCTCTTTCTTTCCAACTAGGATGCCCCATATGTCTTTCTCTTGCCTAATTGCTCTGGCTGGGACTTCCAGTATTATGTTGAATAAATGTGAAGAAAATGGACATCTTTGCCTTGTTGCACATTTTGCAGGAAATGTTTTCTATTTTTCCCCATTTAGTATCATATTAGCTGTGGATTTGTCATACATAGCCTTTATTATGTTGAAGTATGATCCTTCTATACCCAGTATGTTGAGGCTTTTCATTATAAAACGATGTTGAATTTTATGAATGATTTTTTAGCATCTATTGGCATGATCATATGGGTTTTGTTCTTGATTCTGTTAATGTGATATATCACTTTTTTATTGATTTGCTCATGTTGAACAATCTTTGCATCCCTGGAATGAATTTCACTTGATTGTGGTGAAAAATCTTTTAATCTGTTGTTGAATTTAGTCTGCTAGTATTTTGGTGAGGATTTTTACATTTTTGTTCATCAGTGACATTGGCCTGGAGTCTTCTTTCTTTGTTGTTTCATTGTCTGGTTTTGGTATCAGGGTAATGCTGGCCCTATAAAATGAGTTTAGAAGTGTTCTCTCCTCTTCAATTTCATTAAGAGTTTGAATAAAATTAGCATTAGTTCTTCTTTAAATGGTTGGTAGAACTCAGCAGTGAAGCATCAGGTCCTGGGGTTTTCTTTAGTGAGAGGTTTTTTTTTTTCTTATTATTATTATGGCTTTGATCTCATGACTTGTTATTGATTTGTTGAACTTTTCTATTTTTTCATGGCACGGTGTTGGTAGGTTTGTATATGACTAGAAATATATCAGTTTCTTCTAAGTTTTCCAAATTGTTGGTCTATAGTTGTTCATAATATTTTTAAATGATTCTTTGTATTTCTGTGGTCTCAATTGTTATGTCTACCTTTTCATTTCTGATTTTATTTATTTGAGTTTTCTCTCTTTTTACTTAGTCCAGCTAAAGGTTTATCAATTTGGTTTATCTTTCCAAAAAATCAACTTTTTAATCTTGTTGCTCCTTTGTAGATTTTAAGTCTCAATTTAATTTATTTCTCTGATTATTATTATTATTTCTTTTTATCTACTAATTTGGGGTTTGGTTTGTTCTTTCTTTTTTTGTTCCTTGAGGTGCACCATTAGCCTCTTTATTTGTAGTCTTTCTACTTGTTTTTTTTCCTTTTTAAGATGGAGTCTCACTCTGTCACCCATGCTAGAGTGCAGGGGTACAATCTCGGCTAACTGCGACCTCCGCCTCCTGGGTTCAAGCAAATCTCCTGCCTCAAACTCCAGAGCAGCTAGGATTACAGGCACATGACACCATGCCTGGCTAATATTTTTTTGTATTTTTAGTAGACATGGGGTTTCACTATGTTGGTCGGGCTGGTCTCTATCTACTTTTTGATATGGGTGTTTACTGCTATAAACGTCCCTCTTAGTACTGTTATTTCGTGTATATTTTTGTTTTTTGCTGTATCCCATATATTTCAGTATGTTGTGTTTTCATTTCCATTTTTTTAAAAAATCTCTTAATTTTCTTAATTTCTTTATTTCCTTTTCATGGCTGAGTAGTATTCCATGGCATATATATACCACATTTTCTTTATCCACTTGTTGATTGGGCTGGTTTTGCAATTGCAAATTGTGCTGTTATAAAAATGCATGTGCAAATGTCTTTTTCATAAAATGACTTCTTTTCCTCTGGGTAGACACCCAGTAGGAGGATTGCTGGATCAAATGGTAGATCTACTTTTACCATTATGTTATATATTATTATATATTAATATTATATGTTATAGTATAATTATATTAATATAAATCATATATTATATTAGAATTATATAATTTTATATTATATATATTTATATTTATACTATATTATAATAAGCTATAAATTTATATTATATTAATATGATATGCTATAAATTACATGATATTAATATAATATATTATATATTTATACATAGTTATGTAATAACTATTAATTTAATATATTAATTAATATATACTATCTTACAGAATAAATTATTAGAATAATGTAATAACACATAATTATATATGGTATATGATATAAATAACATACTATATAATTATCTATAATTGTAATTATATGTTATATAATATATATTTAATATATTTATATTATAATATATTTCATATTTTATTTTATATAATTTAATATAATTATATAGTATAATTACTATATAATCTATAATATATAAGTAATATATTAAATACATAATCTATAACATAAGTAATATATAATATAAAAATAATACATATGATATATTATATATGTTATATATGTATAATTTATATAAGTAATATATAATATATAAAAATAATATATAGTATATATAATATACAAGTGTACCTTATATATATAAATATTCCATTTTACATGTATGTGTATATATACAATGGAATGTAGATGAACTTTAGGGATATTATGCTAAGTGAAATAAGTCAGCCGGAAAAAGATAAATACTACATGATTCACTTTATAAGAGGTACATAGAGCAATCAAATTCATATAAACAGAAAGTAGAATGGTAGTTTCCAGGGGCTGGAGGAGGGAGAATGGGGAGTTATTCTTTAATTAGTATAGAGTTTCATTTTGCAAGATAAAAAGAATTTTGGAGATAGATGGTGGTAACGGTTGCACAAAAAACTGAATGTATTTCATTTCACCAAATCGTACACTTAAAAAAAATCTTGGGACTCTGAAAAGTAAATAACACATTGAAAAGAAATGTCAAACTGAGGAAAGACTATTGTGATCGTGATGGTAAATTTTCTGTTTGTTTGTGTTTTTTTCTTCCTGGACTCCTAAAAAAGCCCATCTTTCTGGCCAGAGGACAGGGGAAGGGAAATCCAGGGAATACGGGGAATCTTCCTATTTTTTAGTTTGCTGTCTTCACCCTAGCCCTAGTCCAGTTTCAAAAGCATATCTGCCCTGCTACAGCCAATGTGGCACAGGCAACTAAGTTTGAGAGAAGACTTACTTCTCTGAATAGCAGAGCATGAAAGAATGACCCCTGTTATGCAAATAGTTTGGGGAAAATCCTCATTCTCTTTTCTCTTATTACTTCCTAGTCATGTGAACCTTTACTGCAGTATGAGAAAATAAAACTGTGAGATAACCCATTTATTTTCTTGCCAGAGAAAATAGAAAAAGAAGCCACTGGAAGCTAGAGAACATAGAGGAAATCACATAGAGGGAGGATCTGGAGAAGAGGTCTTGAAGTAATACAAGTACCAGGTTTACCTTTTAGCTGCAATTATGCAGAACATACACAATGAAGCATAGCAAAGTCTTTGAGAAATGAATGAAAATATATATATACTACTCAAATCCCAGAACAACTCATATTGGTACATACAAAAAGCATACCCAAACAGAATAGCAAAGTCTTTGAGAACTGAATTGACACTAAATAAACCACCAGAGATGGTAAGACAGAACTTGCAATCTGAACCTAACTGGGTTGATCACTTGCTAAATCAAGACAAAACAAAACAAAACAAAGCAAAACCAAAACCAAAAACCCACTTTCTCCAAAGTGTTTTAACAAAACTTTTGTAAGACTCAGAAGTCTTACAACAAAATATTCAAAATATCCAACATACGAACCAAAATTATCCAACATACAAACAACCAGGAGTATCTAATCAATTCTCATGGAATAGACAACCAGCAGTTGCCAATCTACATTAAACAGAGGTTGGATTATCATACAAAGACTGTAACAGCATGAAAGCTATTATAGCCATATTCTATGAGGCAAAGGCAAACTTTCCAGAAACTAATGGAGAAATCTTTTCAGGAAAGAAGCAATCCCATGGAAATTCAAAAATTAAAAATATCAGTATCTGAAAATTTTTCAAAAAATCACTGGATTGCCTCAACAACAGAAAGGAGATAACAGAAAAAAATCAGTGAACTTCAAGATAGACCAGTGGAAATTATTCAATAAAATAGAGAGGAAAAAGATACCTTAAAAATGGGAAGAGAGGAATCCATGGGAATATATCAAAAGATATACATACTGGTGGTGTGTGGTGGCTCATGCCTGTAATCCCAGCACTTTGGGAAGCCGAGGTGGGTGGATCACCTGAGGTCAGGTGTTTGAGACCAGCCTGGCTAACATGGTGAAACCTCATCTCTACTAAAAATACAAAAATTAGATGGGTGTGTTAGTGGGCACCTGTAATCCCACTTACTTGGGAGGCTGAGGCAGGAGAATTGCTTGAACTTGGAAGGCAGAGTCTGCAGTGAGCCGAAATCGCACCATTGCACTCCAGCCTGGGTGACAAGAGCGAAACTCCATCTGAAAAGAAAAAAAAAAGATGTACATATCATTGGAGTGTTAGGAAAGAAGAGAAGTTAGACATGGTGCAGGAATTTTTTTTAAAGAAATATTGGCTGAAAACTTCACAAATTTGTTGAAAGACATGAATTCCTAGATTTAAGAAGCTTAGCAAACACCAAACTAAATATATACATTCCCAGACACATCATGCTCAAATTACTGAAAATCAAACACAAAGGAAAAATATCAAAAGCAAGGAGACAAAAGTGACACATTGTGTTTAGAGGAACAACAATTAAAATGAATACAGATTTCTAAAGGGGTCAGGAAACAATTAAACAAAGTCTTTAAAGTGCTAAATGAAAAGAACTGTCAATCCAGAATTCTATATCCAGAAAAAATAACTTTCAGGAATGAAGATGAGCAAATTTATCTGTTAGATCAAATAAGAGTAAAAATTTTTTAAAGAGTTTTATTTTACCTGTATTTATTTCTTCTCTAATGCTTCCCTTTTCTTTTCGTAGATCAGAGCTTCTGAACTATATCATTTTCTTTCTTTCTGAAGAATTTCTTGTATAATTTTTTGCAAGGTGACTGTAATGGCAACAAATAACCTCAATTTTTATTTGTCTGAGAAAATCTTTTATTTCTCATTCACTTTTGAAGGATACTTTCCCCTGAATACAGAATTCTAAGTTGATGGTTCTTTTTTTCACACTAAATATTATACTCCCTCTTTTTGCTAGCATATCTTTTGAAGAGAAGTTCAATGTAATTCTTACCTTGCTCCTCTATAGACAATTTTTTTCCTCTGGCTTCTTTTAATATTTTTTATTTGTCTTTGATTTTCTGCAGTTGGAATATGAATGCCTAAATTCCGGGGTTTTTTGTTTGTTTGTTTTGTTTTTTTGGCATTTATTCTGCTTGGTGTTCTTTGTGCTGCCTGGATAAGTGCTTTGGTTTCTGTCATTAGTTGTGAGAAATCCTGTCATTATTGCTTCAAATATTTTTCTGCTTGTTTCTCACCTTTTTCTCCTTCTAGCATTCCTATTGTATGTCTGTTACATCTTTTGTAGTTCTTTCACAATTTTTGGATATTCTGTTCTGTCTTTTTTATTCTTTTCTCTTTGCATTTAAGTTTTTGAAGTTTCCATTAATGTTTCTTCAAGCTCACTGATTTTTTTTTCCTCAGCTGTGTCCAGTCCATTGATGAGCCCTTAAAAGACATGCTTCGTTTCTATTACAGTGTTGTTGATGTCTTGCATTTTTAATTCTTTCTTTGAACTTCCATCTCTGTGCCTACATTGCTCATATGTTCTTGCAGGTTGTCCTCTTTTTCCTTTAGATCCCATAACACATTAATCCTAGTTGTTTTAAAGTTCTGGTGTGATCATTTCAACATCTCTCTCACATCTGAGTCTGGTCTGATGCTTGCTGTCTCTTCAGACTCTGTTTTTTGTCTTTCAGTGTGCCTTGTAATTATTTTGTAGAAAGTCAGACATGATATATAGTGGACACAAAGAATTGAGGTAAAGAGAGTGTTGGTGTAAGGTTTTATATTTATCTGGCGAGGGATTAAGCTGTATTTATTGTTTGCTGTAGCTGTAGGTGTCAGAGGCTAATATTTCTTCTGGTGCCCTTGTTTTAGTCTCCCCTGTTGTCATTGGGGCTCCCTAGTGAGTTCTTAAATAAGATCTTTGGTGTGCAATTTTAACCATTGTATTCCCTGGTATTTTATAGGAACCCTACTGAAGTGTTCTTCATTAAGAAGAACACAATATTTTATATGTACTTCAAAATGACTACTTTCCCCTCCTCCTGATAGAAAGCACAGAATGATTTTGCTCCAGTCTTCACTGTGATAACTTGGTAGGGCTTCTAAAGGTAAAACAAAAATGTAGGTCCACTGGAGTTTTTAACACTGAAACTTTTCCACTCTGAGCCTACAGCAATTTGTCAATTACAGTTTAGATTTCCCTACCCCATTACTGATTTCCACAGTGGTTTCTGCTCTATAAGTTGCAATTCTCTGTCTCTGCCTGTCTGTCTCTCCAATTTTGGTGGTAGTGGTTTGCCCTATGACATCAGTTCTTTGATGGACCTAAGAAGAGTTGTTGATTTTCAGTTTATTCACCTTTTTTCTTGTTATGCGATTGGGAGTAATGACTCCCAAGCTTCTTACAGGCTTCATGGGAAACTAGAAGTTCAAATAATTACTCTTAAAAGATGCAGTCATATTCAACCTTCTTGAAATTTAGTTATCTACATTTCTCTATCCACAGACAACAATTCTTTATTTCTCTCAATCCTGCCAAAAATGGAACAATTCCCTAAATATAATTTTTAGTACTCTCCTATCTTTAGACAATGATGCTTACCATTGAGTTTTACTTGTCCCATTTTTAAAATCAAAATATAAATATCACAATTCTAGGCTTTTAAGATACTGGAAGCAAATCTGATAATCTGATAAAAAGTTGTATTATTTGTTTTGGTAACACTTAATGGTTTATCCTTTTAAATATGATAATTATTTTACTTCAAAACGATAACTAAGCGTGCTCTTAATTTATGTAATAGTCACCTCTTGCTCTATTATACTTTCCCAGCTGATCAAACACTGCACTTAACAGCTCTTCCCTCTGCAGAGAGGTTTTCTACTATTCAATAATACAGATTTTGCCTTTCTTTCAGATGACACCCCCAACCATGGTTGTGAAGATGCTAGCGACACATCGCTGTTGGGAGTTCTTCCTGCCTCTGAAGCCACAAAATGACTTTAGACTTCCAGGGCTCACCAGGTAAGTTGAGAAGTATTGTTCCTACTAAAACTAGTAATTTAATCTCCCACTGTCGCAGAATTAAATACATTTTTTCCAATATTTATATTACCATATATTATGTCACTGGTTCATATCCCCAGTATTTCAAATATTCTATGTTAACCTCTGGAAAAGAGAGAGGTTGATGAGAAAGTTGTTCCTATAGAAAATTTACAGAGTTTATCAGAATTGGTTTTGAGCATTGGCTGATGCTGCAGATAGTCTGTCACTAAGGAAGAGGTTGATTACATCTCAGCTTCACATACTGCTCATTGATAACCTCCATTCCTAGGATTTCTGTTCATTTTTGTTACACAGAGTAGGATGTTCACATTTATTCTCTTAAGTACAGACTAGATTCCGTGCATTAATATCACTCCTTATTGCTTTAATCGCCAGTGCCTGACAGATGATACATGCTTTATATTTATTAAACGTAGGTGGCTTTGTCTGATGAGAAAACATTAACGTAATAGCAGTGAAATCATTCTCTAAAGGTTTAGAAAAACAAGCACTCGTTATATAATAATGTTGCATTGAGGCAGTTCTAAAACACTTACTGGTGCCAGGACAAATAACTAAAATCAAAGTCAACTAGAAAATCCAGCACAAAAGGAACAGTGCTTTCTCTCAGTTAGAGTGGATGGTCCAAATATGATGGAGAGAAAAATTGAACTCAATGAAGTCAAAGGACTAGAAAGCACTGTGCTTTCTAAATAATGTTGAAAACACTTTTTAATTCCTAGCATGAATGAGCTAGCAATTCTGAAAACAGCATTTCTGCGTAGCCCAAAGATAATTCTAAATTTTTTATGGGAATAAATGCCAGGGAGCAAAGATAAGTCATATCTCCTGATTTTTATTATGGAATATCTAGACATCACCAACACAAAACTATTTCAAATTTGACCCAGTGATCCAAGTGAATGGGCTTGAGTTTCTCCGTTTTTTCTCAAAAATATATTATTACCATAATAACAAAAAAAGTTAGAAAAACCAGAGGCAAAGTACACAAAAACCATTTAGATAATAACTAGCTCCAACATAATTTAATGGTAACTCTTCTAATACCAAGACTTATATTTATGATTGAAGCCTTTTTCCTCTTTATATGCTATTGATAATTTCTCTATTTGGAAAAGTTCATTGAAAAACTTAAATTAAAATGTATCCTAAAGTGTATCTTATGTGTTTTCATCTGCATGATATAAGGAACAAATGATTGAGTCTGTATTATTCTAAACCAATTTTAATAAATACTAATTTATATTAGCACAATTTTTGTTTGCCAATGAATACTATGTGTTGTTTTTAAAGTACTTGAAATTAGGGTTCTATATTAGAAAAGATTTTCCCTCAGCAGTTATTATTGTGCTTAGTGTATTAGTTTTCTAGGGCTGCCAAAAGAAAATACCACAGACTGGGCAGCTTAAACAATGGAAATTTGTTTTCTCACAATTCTGGATGCCAGAAGTCCATGATCAAGATATTGGGAGGTTTGATTTCTTCTGAGGCCTCCTTCCTTCCCTTGCAGGCAGTCATCTTCTTGTTATGCCCTCAGATGGTCATCCCTTGGTCTGTGTTGTCTGTGATCTAATTTCTTCTTGTAAGGACACCAGTCATACTGGATTAGGGCTCACCCATGTGACCTCATTTTACCTTAATTACCTCTTTGAAGGTCCAATCTTCAAATACAATCACATCCTGAGGAACTAGGGGTTAAGACTTGAACATATGAATTTGGGGGGACCCAATTCAGCTCATAACACTGAGCAAGTCTATTATTCTATGATACAAAAAAACCTACTTTTGTTCTGTCTAAACCTCATTAATCATCAATTCTGACTTAGCAGAATCCATACTAAAAACTTTTGAAAGATTAATTTCCAGAGGTGTTCCAAAAACCAAAACCATATGTAATCATACCTTCCTTTTTAATTTTGGTGTTATTTAACACTCTTTTTCTTTGATAAGTAAATTATTACATTCTGAGACTCAGAATTCTAGACTATGGGAGCAGAAAGAAAATTGCATAATATCTGCATATGCACAAAAAAGAAATATTAATACATAGCACCTACTAAATCTGTCCTAATTGATCAATTCTTTGTGGGTTGTGTGTGTGTTTGTGTGTGCACACACACACGTGTCTTAACTTTAACCTCATGTAGGCTAGCATTCTTATTTAGAAGAATAGTAACTTGTTGCCTCTTGTTTTATAATTTCAGATCAACCTCTAAATATCTTTGAAGGAGACAACAACTTTTAAATGAATAAAGAGGAAGTCAAGTTGCCCTATGGAAAACTTGTCCAAATAACATTTCTTGAACAATAGGAGAACAGCTAAATTGATAAAGACTGGTGATAATAAAAATTGAATTATGTATATCACTGTTAAATGGACTGAATGTTTGTGTTTTCCTTTGCCCCTCGCAAAAAAAAATTTGTATGTTGAAATCCTAACTGCCAATGTAATGGTATTAGGAAGTGGAGTTTTGGGGAGGTAATCATGTCGTGAGGGTGAAGCCCTCATGAATGGGATTAGTGCCCGTAATAATGGAACCTCAGAGGCTCTGTCACTGTCCTTCCCTTATGTGAGTGTACAGTGGGAAGTCAGCAGTCTACAACTTGGCAGGGAGCCCTCATCAGATCTGAATCATGCTGGCACCCTGATCTCAGGTTTATAACTTCCCAAACTGTGAGGGAAAAAAATTCTGTTGTTTATATGCCACCCAGTTTATAGTATTCTCTTACAGCAGCCCAAACTCAGACAATCACTAACTGAAAAACCACTCCATACGTATCCTACTCCTACTTCTGCTGAACAATGAAAAACATTATTTGAGGCTGACTTATGGCTGTTCTTGTAGTTCAAATTAGTGTAATTCCATAGATATTTGAATGTAGAAAGCATTTTCAAAATTGAATGTCAGAATAGTTGTCTTCATTTTTATCCCTGATAGATTTATTCATGACAGCTTTGCTCAATTGCCCTTGCTTCTAACTTGGCTTCCTCAGATTTTGAACATATTGTTGTTCCTATAGGAATTATAACACATATAGTAACAAGTATCTACCACAATAGTAAAATAATTTTTTTAAAAATCAGTAGGCTTCATGGAGCTGTTACAAGAGATGTAAAACAAACAAAAAAAAGAAGCCTAGGTGATTAGAAAAGACATTTTTAAATCTTTAAGACCCTAAATAAGCTTTATTCATTTAGGGTCTCTGCTCTCAAAGAGTTGGAAATCCTAAAAATCAGGAGACTTTAGTTCACAAATCTGGTAAGAAAGGATAATTAGTCCCATGCCAAGAAAAGCTTGTTTTGAAGGCTTCTTCTCAAGAGTTAGCAAGATTTTAGATTGTACTTCAAATATTGGGGCCTCTCTTTGCAATATGTTTGCAGTATATATTATGAGGAAATGTAGTAGAGAGTTTAACGATTAAAATTTAATCCTAGCCAATTAATATATATTTCATTAATATTGCTGTACTGCAGTAAAATTATTACAGATACCTACACTAAAATAAAGAGCCATCCCTATTTCTATGTTTAGAAAGTTTAAGTTTTTATTATAACATAAATACATGTTAAAAAATATTGAAAGAACAATAATAAATATGAAAAAGTCTATCATTCTGAAATAAGCACTGTTAACATTTTGGAATGTTTCTGTCACTCTTTTGTCTGTCCTCTCTCTTGTGTATACATGCATGAAATTATTCACCTACATAAAATAAAGATTATTCATTCTTATTACATTATTTTTTAAACTTCCATTAAATGCAACATTAATCATATTGTTGTTTTCTTGTACGTGATGAATCATTTTTCTCTTACTGCTTCCAAGATTTTCTCCTTGTCCCTGTCTTTCAACAGCTTGATGGTATCTAGATAAGGATTTCTTTGTGTTTGTCTTCCTTAAGTTTCATTGGATTATTTGGATTTTCAAATTAATATGCAAATCTGAGACATTTTCAACTGTTATTTTTTTCAAATATTTTTCTACCTCTTTCTCTATTCTTCTGTGCCTCATGCTGATATACAAGCTCTGTTACTTTTTCTGCAGTATTTTTTTCCAAGTTCTTAAGACGGATCATTTATATTAAACTACAAATTTACCGATTTTTTTCTCTTCTGGAATTTTAAAGTTACTATTTAGCCTTTTTATAAACTTATCATTTCATTTATTTCATGTTACGACTCAAGAATTCCTATTGATTTCTTTTTACAGATTTTATTTCTTCTTCTTTGTTAAGCCATTGTCGTTAGATTTTTCTTTAATTCTTTAAATATGATTTTCTTTAGTTTTTCAAACTTATTTAAATAGCTGCTTTGAAGTCTTTCTCTATTCAGTCCAGTACCTGGACCTCCTCAGAGCTAGATTTCATTGATTGCTTTTGGTTTTTTTTGGTATGTATAGATCACTTCCCTGTTTCTTTCTTATCTCTTTTTTGTTTGTTTAGAGCTGTACATTTTAGATAATATACTGCAGTAATTCTGGTTTCTAATCTCTCTTCCCCAGGGCAGTTGTTGTTGCTGTTTGTTTTTTGATCTACTTGTCTGTTAACTTGCCTGGACTACATCTATGGACTCTTAAGTCCTCCATACTATGCAGCCTCTGATGTCTCTGCTGAGTTTTTTATTCTTGTTTTTATTTTCAAACCTGGTTTTAAAACAGGTCATCCCTCTATCTGTCTAGCTTAGTGATCAGCCAATAATTGGTTAAATATTGCACCCGAACACACTGAACCAGTAAAGCTTCATCCTCTGCCAATAGATCTCTGTGTGTCAGGGAACATATTCTAAGTTCAAGTACTTTTGAAGTCTGCCCTTGTTTCAAATTTCTCTATAGAGTCTCTTTTGTCTCTTCTTCTGCATGTGTGTGTGGTCTTCAGTCAGTCAGGGCTGTGTGGAATCCTATCTGGCTCATCTATTGCTGTCTCATTTACCAGATTTCCCTGTTAATATCTTCCTAGTCCACTGGTTGTTTCTATTTTTGGAGATGTGGGGAGATGAGAGCAACCCCAGCACTAAAGCCAAAGATTTCCACTGTTCTTACTCTAAGTTGGGTCATTTTTCATGAATAAATAGTTCTCAAACTATTTTTTGCCTTTGGTCAGTTTCCAGAGTTCTAAAATGGTCAGTTTTGACTGTTTTGTTTAGTTTTATAGTTCCTTTAGGGAGACAGGATTTGTCAATCTGTTCATTCTGTCATCTCTCACTTACCAGAGTTAACATTCATATACCATCAATTGCTAATATGATGATTGCCAAAAGTTATTTTTAAATCCATTCATGATTTTTACTTTATTTGTTGAAATTCTACTGTCAGTAAGAGCTTTTTCTTCTTCCCTATTTACTTTATTTCCTTTATTCAATATAAATTAACAAATTCTTATTTCATTGAATGATTATAGCCTATTGCTAACATTATTTATGTTGATGCATAAGCCATCTCATATTTGGCCAGCATATTAGTTCCTCACATTAGTTCCTGTGTCCTTTAGACCCATTTACATCATTCTTGACTTCCTTAACTTATGGGACAATTACAGTTTTCAGGCTTACCTTGTACTTTCTCTTCCCCAGCCCTAGAATCAGGCACCTTTCCAAGGAGCCCTGGTTTATTTTAGAGAGAAATAAAATTTAGAAAGCAATATCTGAATTCTAAGTGATCTAATTGTTTCTGAAGTGTTGTTTGTAGTCTGATATATATTAAATTTGTCCCTCTAAAATTCATATGTTGAATCCCTAACCTCTGCTGTGGCTATATTTGGAGATAGGGCCTTAAGGAGGTAATGTAGGTTAAATGGGATCATAGGGTGGGAATCCCTAATCTGACAGGGCTGCTGCCTAATAAGAAGAGGAAGAGACATCAGAGTGCTCTCTCTTCACCACGTGAGACCACAGTGAAAAGATGGCTGTCTGCAAGCCAGAAAGAAAGCCCTTACCAGAAACCAAATCAGCTGGCACCTTGATCTTGGACTTTCCAACCTCTAGAACTGTGAGAAATAAATTCCTGTGGTTTAAGCTACCAGTCTGTGGTATTTTGTTATGGATGCTCAAGCTAAGACGTACTCATCTCAGCAGAAAGATGGAAAAATAGACATACATACACATGCATGCACACACACATATTACACACATATTTATATGCATTATCTATATATATATCTATATGTATTGATGTATATCTATCCATCTATATATCCATTTATCTATAATATTCTAAATTCATTAGATCAAAGAAGACTTTATAAAGAGACATGACAATTAAGTTCAATGCATGATCCTTGACTGAATCCTGGATAAGAAGAAAAAGTCATTACAAATAATATTATTGAAACAATTGGCAATATTTGAATGTGAACTTTGCATAATATTATATTTTTGTTTGATAATTGTACTAGGTTACATAAAATGATCTTTTTGTTCTTATAAAATACATATTGATGAATTTCAGGTAAAGGGTATGATAATCTGCAGCTCAGGAGAAAGGGGTAAAGGGAATGGAGTAAATGCTAAATGGATAAAGAGGAAGAGTAGTTCTTTTGATATTTTGGCAATTTTTGGTACCTTTAAAATTATGTCAAAATTAAAATGAACAAACATCATTTCTAACATCTGTTTGGGTAATTATCAAAACATCTAGAATTGACTGGAAATAAAAACAGCTGAAAAGCTTATAATAGTAACTTCACAACATCTGATTGTTATCTCCCAGGAAGTAGTTTTCACACCTAAGTATGTATTACTAATAGAGTAACTGTACTATGATATAAATTGACATTTATAAGTTGAGGAAAGAGGACAGAAAGAGACAGGAACAGAAAAGCAGAGACACGAAGATGTGGTAAATGGATGGATAGATGAATATCACAAGTAAGTTAAAGGAAATAACCAACCACGTAACTGTAAGAACTGGCAACCCCAGAATTCCTTAGCTATTTGCACATTGCATTTGGGACTAGAAAAGTCACACACTAAAGATGCTCTCTAAAGTTACATTGTTTCCTGGGATTCACAGAGCTCCAGTTCATGAAAAGTAGCTTTAGATGTGAGGGGTGATTTAAGATTCACATCTTAGGTCTAGGAAATCTCTGTGACTCCAGCTTGGCACCTGGAGCTGCTAATATTCTCTGACTACAACCCAGCTTCTGGAACTGCTTCTGCAACAAAGGTACATGTTTTAGCAAATGAAGATAGCTAAATTTAGGACCATACATTTATTTGCTCAAGAAATGAGTCTGCACACCTCTCTAGTGACTTTCTCCGTAGCTCCTCATATTTTGGCATAAACTCTGCTTCTGGGAGCTCAGAGAAGAGAAGGGAAATATTTAGTTTATTCCCGGGTCCTGCATTTTTTGCATCAGGAGAGAATGTTAGCAATAAAGGCAAAGGGAAGAGGGGGTATGGGTAATTGTTCCCAAGCTATGTCAGTTTCATGTATAAGATATTTTGAAGAGTATGAGATATACTATCACTCCTCAATGAGATCAATGAGATACTTTCTGTGAGAAAGTCTAGGACATCCTAACTACTTTGAAAACATCCTGTCTTCCCCCAGCTTAGTGTATTGTTCCCATTACTCCAGAAAAACATTTCTGAAAAATAATTTATTCAGTCAACATTTGTAGAGTAATTAAAATGCCCAAAGCATAGTACAAGTGGCTGAGGATACACTTACAAAGAAATGTATCTGCCCGCTCGCTCCACATGAGTCAGATCGTTTGGTGTGGCCACGACAATTGTAGGATATGACCCTTATACATCTTTTCATTCTCCCACCTTTCCCTGTGGTTTGTTATTCCAGTCATGTTTTATTACTTGCAATTCCTGAAAGAAATAATTTTTTGCTTAACCATTGACCATTACTAGGATAATTTAACTTCATCTTTCAAAAACAATCTTTTTATTGAGAAATTACTAACTACTATGCATTAAGTCATCCAAATCTCCCAGCAAGCATCCAAGAAGGTTTCCATTAGTTATTTATATTTCCTAGTTGAGGAAAGTATAACTCAATTTGAGAATTTGAAATGTGAGTAATTTCAAAAGAGTGTCAATCACATCTGAACTACTGCAATATTTAACAGACAACCTAGGATATAATTTAAAAATCAATATATAATTAAGGGTTTAGTAAATGTCATTTGATTAAAGATAAGAAAGTAATTTCTGATGTGCTCTACCTGCCATTTCTGGATTTCCACAAGCTTATCAGTCTCTAAACATATTTCCGTAGAGACATTCATGCTTGAATTCTCCACAATTTCTCAACTCAGAATCAAGTCCATCCCAGTTTAGCTAACCAGTGTGGTTTGGACAGAAATCCAGATTCACCGTCTACCTCATTGTAATTTTTCCCCTTAAGTCTCAGAGGAGGGAGCTCACAACCTTGAGCTTGACCTCCCAAAGTGCTGAGATTATAGAGGTAAGCCATCGCACCTGGCCATACTATTTTTCAACTCTTTTGTAAATCTAAAAGTATTCCAAAGTACTCAGTTTTTGAAAAACATTTATTTTGAAAAAAAAAAAAAACATAACAAGGACTTATTACTGCTTTGTGAGGGCCTTCCAGCTTTCCTCTAACCTAAGTAATGAATATTTATTAACTATGTACTATATGTAAAGCCTTGTTTTAAGTGCTTAATGTATTTTACTTCACATGAAAGCCCAATAACTCTGTGAAGTAAGTACTATTAAGATTCTCATTTTTTTTCAGTTAATAAAGTAAAAACTGAGGCTCAGAAAGGTAACTTGCTGAAGGTAACAAAGCTTATAAATGAAGAGCCTGGATTCAAACCCAGGCAGTTTGACTCAATAGCTATATACTAAATGGCATGCTATGTTCTAACCATAGGATCATCCACTAATGGATGGGCTGGAATAGACACATGGACTAAGAAATCTACTGTCACCCATTCTCCTCTTCCTTATTAATAGGGTCATAAGTGGTAAACCATATTCCATTCTCTTCTTACAATCAATAAGATTTTTAGCTAGGTCTGTGCATTAGCTATATTTCTCAACATTCATTACAACTAGTTATGATCATGTGACTGGGTCTCACCAATGAACAGTTGTGATGTGTGCCACTTCCCTGAACAATCCATGCTCTTTCCCCTTGCACAGAGTGGTTGCAGATGATTGACACTCCCTAATGAATGGTAGAGCCTGCTTATGTGGAACTCTGCTCAATATTTTTATTAATTTTAGTATAGCCTATTTACACCTCCTGGTATTATAGACAAATATAAGAAAAAAACAAATTTCTAATAGTCATGAGTGAAGGGGATACTTTAAAAACTACAAATATTTGCCTTTTTTTAACAATGAGGTTTGAAAATGTGTTAATTTAATGATGCAAAGTAGTAAATATTTAAAGAAGAAAAATGTGGGTTTGTGGACATTTGAATGACATGTGAAGCTCATGTGGAAACTCAATAATAGTTCAATGCAACCAGTTTTTAATTTTATATTTGTTATTATTTTATCAAGGGAATGGCAATTGAGAAGTTTCTGGTTGTTTTATTCCATGGCATCCTTAGCATAAGAGACCATTTCTTTTTCTTTTTTTTTTTGAGACGGAGTCTCGCTCTGTCACCCAGGCTGGAGTGCAGTGGCGCGTGAACTTGGTTCACTGCAAGCTCCGCCTCCCAGGTTCACGCCATTCTCCTGCCTCAGCCTCTCCGAGTAGCTGGGACTACAGGCGCCCGCCACCACACCAGGCTAATTTTTTTGTATTTTCAGTAGAGACGGGGTTTCAACGTGGTCTCGATCTCCTGACCTCGTGATCCACCTGCCTCGGCCTCCCAAAGTGCTGGGATTACAAGCGTGAGCCACCGCGCCCGGCCGAGACCATTCCTTTTTACCTTAGAAATTAACCAAGATAAACTGGTTATAAAGATATAAGGAAAGTAACCACCCATTGTCAATGAAGAAAACTATTAGGCTAACTTTTAACATCCCAGAGATTGGGTTACAAAGAATATTTTTAAATAAATACATCAGGTATTCATTAGCCCAAGAGGATCTTTGAAGAGCAATGATTTCCTGGTAAGGAAATTAAAATGTTGGTGCCCCACAAACAAAGATATGTAAACTTAAGTAAACACAATTTTAGAGAAATGAACTGAAAGCTATTGCAATTGTAGACAACAGAGAGAAAAATTTCTGCACTTACAATTAATTTCTTTAAAAATAGAATCTTGATATGTGGGTGATGTTAAGCCCTCCTGACCCAGCAAGTTGAAAACTCACCATGAAGAGCAGCGGTCAAAGGAACTAGGGAAATCCTACAGTGTGATCAGTTTTTCTGCTGCAGGTAAGCAGAGAGCATCCCTTTGCACTGAATAGGCCACTGAGCCGCATTACTGCTTATTAATTCCTCATCATTCCTGCCTCCTTTTATGTTCTCCCTAAATGACTAGGTTTGCGGGGCCAGGAACTTTATTTCCCACAATCCCTAACAGGAAGAATCTGGGCTCGCTTCCACCAGAGAGACTTGTTCATGGAAGATACGGTTTCGCAAGGATCTTTGTACTTGTCCTGAAAACTGCTAGCCTAGATATTACAGCATGGTGCCCTTTAGCAGTGGTTTCCTGGGGGTTTTAAAACTTCCTGATGAGGGTTTTGTAAGCATAATTATTCCCTGTAGTAAACCACTTCCTGCTTAAAATACCTAGGTGTCTCTTTGTTTGTTGTCTGATTTTAGAGCTCTTGGTCTCCTTGAATTTGTTTAACACTGGAAAGAATTACATTTTGGTGAATGGAACAATAGAGCCTTAAGAGTTGCAGTCTCTCATTCCAAATAGTGAAACACAAAGAATGAAACAACATTGGCAGGAAATGTATTGGGCAGACAGAGAAAAAAAAGAGTAAAAGAAATTATACTCAGTAAGAAGTAACCCAAGACTTAAGAAACAAGCAGTAATAGGAAAGACACACACAAGCCAAAAGATAAAGAAAGTAGGAAAAATGATTTTAAAATGTTTTAGAGAATCAGAGTAATAAAAAGAATCAATACAAATTAATAAAAAACATAGAAAAGGGGAGAAATAAAAAATAAAATGGAATAAAAAAGAATAAATGTGGCCCCCAGCAATTTTGGGGGCATCTACAAAAATAAAAGATGATGATGATCTAAAATCACACGAAGTAATACACACCCCAAGGAAACCCATGCAGACATAAGAGACTAACATCCCATGGCTATATTGAATATCTTCTTAATATACATACAGTTTTACAAATATCAGAGTAAATTGGTCATATGGTTTGGATATTTGTTCCACCCAAATCTTATGTTAAAATGTAGGCCCCGAAGTTGGAGATTGGGCCTAGTGGGAGGTATTTGGGTCATAGGCACAGATCCTTCATGTCTTGGTGCCGTCCTTGTAATAGTGAACGAGTTCTCCCAATATATGGTTCTTTAAAAGTGTGGCACGTCCCTGCTCTCTCTTTCACTCCTGCCCTTGCCATGTGATAAGCCACTCTACCCCCTTTGCCTTCCACCATGGTTGTAAGCTTCCTGAGGCGTCATCAGAAGGCATCCAAACAGATGCCAGCACCATGCTGCCTGTACAGTCTGCAAAACTGTGAGTCAATTAAACTTATTTTCTTTATAAATTACCCAGCCTCTGTATTTCATTGTAGCAACACAAGAACAGCCTAACACAGAAAATTGGTGCTGTGGAGTGGGGCATTGCTATAAAGGTGCTTGAAATTATGGAAACAACTTTAGAACTTGGTAATAGGCAGAGGCTGGAAGAGTTGGGAGGACTCAGAAGAAGATAGGAAGATGTGGGAAAGTTTGCAACTTCTTAGAGACTGGTTAAATGGTTGTGACCAAAGTGCTGATAGTGATATGAACAGAGAAGTCCAGGCTGGGGAAGTCTCAAATGAAATTGAGGAACTTAATGGAAACTGGAGTAAAGGTTACTCACATTATGCCTTAGCAAAGAGCTTGGCTGCTTTCTGTTCATGCCCTAGGGATCTATGGAAGTTTCAACTTAAGTGATGACTTAAGGCATCTGGTGGAAGAAATTTCTAAGCAGTGAAGCATTCAAGATGTGGCCTGGCTGCTTCTACCAGCCTATATTCAGCTACAGGAGCAAAGAAATGACTTAATGTTGTAATTTATATTTAAAAGAGAAGCAAAGCATAAAAGTTCAGATAATTTGTAGCCTAGCCATGTGGTGGAGCAAAAAAAAAAAAAAAGCATTATCAGTAGAGAAATTCAAATGGGCTGTGGAGCAACCACTTTCTAGAGATACTTGCATAACAAGAAGGGAGTCAAGTGCTGATAGCCAAGACAGTGAAAAAGAGGCCCTGAAGGCATTTCAGAGATCTAAGAAGCAGCCCCTCCCATCACAAGCCCAGAAACCTAAGAGGAAAGAATGGTTTCAGGGGCCAGGCCCAGGGCCTACTGCCCTGTGCAGCCTGGGGACACTGCTCCTCACATCTGCTCCAGCTGCAGCCTCAGTTCAAAGGGACCCAGATACAGTTGTAGCAGCAGCTTCAGAGAGCACAAGCCATTTGCCTTGGTGCCTTCCATGTGGTTTTAAGCATGTGAGTACACAGAATCCAAGAGTGAAGAAGGATTGGCAGCCTCAGCCTAGATTTCAGAGTATTTATGAGAAAGCCTGGGTGCCCAGGCAGAAACCTGCTGCAAGGGTGGAACACTCACAGAGAACTCTAGGGCAATACCAAGGGGAAATGTGGGATTGGATGTCCCACACAGACTCCCCATTGGGGCACTGCTGAGTGCAGTTGTGGGAAGGGGGCTATCACCTTCCAGACCCAAGAATGGTAGATCCACCAGCAGTTTTCAATCTCAGCATGAAAAAGCCAAAGGGGCAGAGCTGCCCAAGGCCTTGGAAGCCTACCCCTTGTACCAGTGTGCCCAGGATGTGGTACATGAAGTTAAAGCAGATTATTTTGGACATTTAAGGTTTAATGACTGAGCTAGGTATGGTGGCTCATGCCTGTAATTCCTGCACTTTGGGAGGCCGAAGCAGGCAGATTGCATGTAGTTGAGAGAGGTGAACAAAGAGGAGGAGTTAGAGACCAGCCTGGGCAACATCTGTGCAAAAAAATAAAAAATTAGCCAAGTGAGGTGACACATGTCTGTAGTCCCAGCTCCTAGGGAGGCTGAGGTAAGAGGATCACTTGACTCCAGGAGGTCAAGGCTGCAGTGAGCCACGATAACCCACTGCACTACAGCCCAAGTGACAGAACAAGACCCTGTCTCAAAAAAAACAAACAAAAAAAAAGGCTTAGTGATTGCCCTGCTGGGGTTTCAGACTTGCTAGGGGCCTGTTGCTCCTTTCTTTTGGACCATTTCTCCCTTTGGAATGGGAATGTTTACCCACTGTGTACCCCATTGCATCTTGGAAGTAAATAAAGTGAGTTTGATTTCATAGGTTCATATGTAGAAGTAACTTATCTCCAGATGAGACTTTGAAGTTGGACTTGGGACTTTTGAGTTAATATTGGAGTGAGTTAAGACTCTAGAGGACTATTGGGAGGGCATGAGCAAATCTGGCAATGTGAGGACATAAGATTTGGGGGGCAAGAGGTGAAATGATATGGTTTGGATATTTGTCCCACCCAAGTATCATATTGGAATGTAATCCCCAATATTGAAGTTGGGGCCTGGTGGGAGGTGTTTGGGTCATGGGGATATATCCCTCATGGCTTGCTGCTATCCTCAGGATAGTGAGTTCTCACAAGATCTGGTTGTTTAAAAGTTTGTGGCACCTCCCTGCTCTCTCTTTTGCTTTTGCTTTTGCTTTCTCTGTATGATATGCTGGCTCTCCCTTTGCCTTCCACCATGATTATAAGCTTCCTGAGGCCTCATCAGAAGCCAATAAGATGCCCAGCACTATGCTTCCTGTACATCCTGCAGAACCATGAGGTAATTAAATCTCTTTTCTTTATAAATTACCCAACCTCAGGTATTTCTTTGTAGCAATGTAAGAATGGCATTGAGATTGAGATTTCAACCATTCTTTGTCACAAATTGTTATAATTATGAGACAGTGAAGAGACTTTCGCAAATCGTTTTAACTTCCCATTCCATCCTGAAATTCCTCCCATAACTGTTCTGACAGGTAGCACCAGACTTTAACATTTCTACTGACAAGAGTTCCTTTCATCTCAAAACAACCTATTCCATAACTCCAGTTCAGATATTTCTCTCCTCCTCTTTCTTTCTGTCTCCTTCTCTCTCTCTCTCTTCCTCCACCTCTCTCTTTCCCCATCCCTAATATCCTCTAATGTATCTAACTAGAGGTTTCCACTTGGCTGTCTTATTGACCCATAATGACAAAAGATATTGCGTGTAGTTGAGAGAGGTGAACAAAGAGGAAGAGCAGGTAAACAGGTATAAATTGGTGAAGATAAGAGAGATTATGGGATGAGATTTACGTGAAAAGAAAACCTGATGTGGGAGAGGAAAGAGAAGAAGTACTTTCATTTGACACTAAATAAATAATATTTTGGAGTCCATGAAGCTTTGGGTAGAAAATAAAAACTGTAGCAATTTCTTCCCCATGCATCTTTCTCCACTTGCCTGTAGTCCCAGCTACTTGAAAGGCAGAGACAGGGGGATTGCTTGAGCTGGGGAGGTCCAGGCTGCAGTGAGCCGTGATCGTGCCACTGCACCACTGTTTCCTTGGGTAAGTGTCATGCTCCTCTCCAAGGCTGGAGGAAAATGCAACCTGTATAGAACATTTTTGCTGAGACCAGCTCGGTTGGGGAGACCCTAACCCAGTGGTGCTAGAGGAATTAAAGACACACACAAGAAATATAGAGGTGTGGAGTGGGAAATCAGGGGTCTCACAGCCTTCAGAGCTGAGAGCCTCGAACAGAGATTTGCCCACGTATTTATTAACAGCAAGCCTGTGATAAGCATTGTTTCTATAGATTATAGATTAACTAAAAGTATTCCTTATGGGAAACAAAGGGATGGGCCAAAATAAAGGGATGGGTTTGGCTAGTTATCTGCAGCAGGAGCATGTCCTTAAGGCACAGATGTTCATGCTATTGTTTGTGGTTTAAGAATGCCTTTAAGTGGTTTTCCACCCTGGGTGGGTCAGCTGTTCCCTGCCCTCATTCCAGCAAACCCACAACCTTCCAGTGTGGGTGTCATGGCCATCATGAACATGTCACAGTGCTGCAGAGATTTTGTTTATGGCCAGTTGTGGGGCCAGTTTATGGCCAGATTTTGGGGGGCCTGTTCCCAACACATTTTAGAATGTCTGGGTGATATTTCTGTGTGACCATCTTGAGTGGGGAGAGAGGAAGGACTCAGCTGTGGCCTGGGATTCAGAGTTTGCTGAGTCATATAGTGTGAGATTTGAACTGACTAAAATCAGTTGTGTGGAAGAAGTTAGAAGTTCAACAAATTTCTTGGTAACACTGAACTTTTCTGAGAGTCTCAAAATATTTATTACCATTTTTTCAATATAAACATCGATAATAAGGGTCTCAGAATTTCTCATCTCTCTGGAATGTAATGTCACAGGTAATTCCATATAGGCTAAATGACTCTCAAACTGAAGGCCCAGGGGTATAGATTTCAGCCTCAGAATCCCTGGGTTCTTTTGTCACTTTCACAAATAGTAATGGGTCGTTTCCCATCCCATTTTTCTTCCCTCCCAGAACTCCTCTCCTTGGTGACTCCAGAGGACAGCCTGAAACAACAAGAAAATTGCTTGGTTATATCTGTGACCTAGCAGAATGGCTGCACACATTTTAGACAGCAGAAACAATGCAAGAGATACAGATTGTAAAAATTTCTGTACATCATAAAACACTTAGAGCTATCATGTTAGGACAGGACTATGTAACTCTTGACCCATAGTCTGGAAAATATTTGTTACAAGAGATTATTATTTCTCAAGCTGAATACACAAAAAAATGGAAAAGAGGAAACCACAGTTCCAGAACATTTGTTCCTCAGTGACAGGTCAACTCTTTCTTTGCAATTATGTCCTGATTCCCATATCTATGCAGATAATCCCAACCTGTATAGATTGTCCATAAATGAATGTTACCTGAACTCTGAAAGTCGTCAAATGTCCCACAACTTTTATCTTACATAACAAACAGAAAATAAATAGATATTTTCTACATCAGCTCTACTGCTTCTAGAGCTAATGTTCTGTGACTTTATTTTTAAAATCTGGACTAATGTTCTTCTCATCCAACCCAAGAAACTTAAGTAAAGAAAATTAATCTATTATACTAGGAGCAATGGTCACCATAAGGTAGGAAAATGTCAAAAATATGTCCATATTTTAGCAACTTCCCACACTTTGGACACATACAGAATTAGCACAAAAGTCATTTGATGGTCCAAAGAACTAACATTTGAATTTGGAAAATGTGGTCATAATAGCATAATTTGTATGCATCAGTGAATGGGAATGGGGTTGTGGGAGGCATATTCAGATTCTGAGTAGGCTTCTGTCTCATACACCAACTTGCAGAAAAGTGGAAGTTGACGTATAAGAGAGATATGAGCCGATTCAGATTCTGAACTCTCTGAAATGCTCTTGGTCATTTACAAGAAGCCCTTGATAATAAGCCTGGGTCTCTCTGCCCTTCCATGGGGGAGATACTCCTCTCACTCATTGCTGGAATGGAAAGCTTCAGACAAAGCCACCCATTTGAGAGCCCTTTGAAATCATCTCTTGGAGTATTGTTCCTCTGCCTATGGGTTCTAAGGGCAAACAACAGTCTCAGGAACAATAGCAGGTGAGGAAGTGGTACATGAATTGAAGTGAGGAATTAAAGACATTTGTACAAACAACTGGGAGTTACAGTGACTTCATGTGAACTTTGCGGTAATACACTTTTCCAACTATAAGTATTAAATTATATATTCTCACTATAAATTATATATTCTAATTTATGTAATTGCAGTGTTTGGAGAGACATTCTGATGGTCTACAATTGAAATCATCATATACTTTTATTATGGTGGGGAGGCGACAACCCAAAAATGTGGTACCATTCTTCCCTTGAGTTAATAAGCAAAAATGTTCCCAAATCCAAATATGTACTCAGACAGAAATGTATTTTCACCCTGTTTTACTTATCTCAAAGCAACACAAGAACCTTTTACAGACTAGGCATTTTCATTTTGTATGAGGGAAACCTCTTCAGGGTATCTATAGGACATATCCATAAAAAGTTGTGCAGCAGTGGGCACAAAGAACCCTGGAATTTAGCGTGTTCCCTCTCTGTGATCTTATGAGGGAGCCAAAAAGACAGCAGAAAAGGAACTTAGAGCTGACCTTGACTGGAGAGGCAGGTTCCATAATATACACAACCTGCAGGAATTATGATTAACACATGGTCGTAATGTCACCCAAAAAAGTGGACTTTCAGTCTCCTCAGGCTGTTTGTATGATGATCTCATACCTACAAAGTCCCTCTGCCCTTATCCTATCACAAAAGCAAATTTATAACCACTTCCTGGAGACAAGCCACCTTTCTTTTCATTGTCTAGCATGAAAAAATGATATCTAAGTCACTGAGTCACATAAGAGGCAACCTCCCTAGTAGGAAGAGAAATATCACAAGTATAAATGGCAAAAGAAACTTTTCAACCAGCAAGAGTTAAGGGGGCTCAGAATCAAACCTCTGCCTGAAAAATATTCTCTCTAGAGAGAAGTCTCAGTGGTCTTAGTCTAAGCTTAGAGGAAGAGAGGTCATGCACACACTTTGAAGAGACTGTTTCACTGAGACCAGAACTGAGCATGGGGTTAGCTATCTGGCACATAGACTGTGGAACTGACTAGAGTTGCCAGCTTATGGCCAAAATAACCCAGAGGTGAAGGGCAAAGAATACTTACCTGGCCTTTCTAGATGGTCCATCTTTATCTCACTGTTTTTTTTGTCCTTATGCACAGTGTTATGCAGAGAATACCTGCATCTGATCAAGACTAAGACAAAGCATACTGCATCAGAGACTATCATCTGAAAACTCTCTCAAATATCCCCAGATTCCAAACAGTGTCCCATATCTTTATAGTGGGTATTACTATTGGTTCAGTCAGGGCCCAAGATACTTTCTTATGCTCCACAAGGATACTAGGAATGGACTTCTTAGTCTAGTTTTGTTCTGTGTCCTCCAAGTATTTAAATTGTATATAAGATTATAATTTCTAAGAACTCTAAGTCCAGGGTCATTGAGCCTTGGAGACCAGAGAAGAGCAAGCATTATTTTCTTGTTTCTCACATTATAATAGGTATCTTGCCCTCTCTTCATACATTTATTATCTCACTATATTTCCCTGTGCCCTCAGGCCCACCATGACACTTACATTTCTTTATGTGCTGGTCTATCTCAAGTAAAAAGGGAGATAACATGGCAAAAAGAAAAAATACAAAAAGCACAGCAAACACAGCATAGAGCCAAGGAACACCATTTGGGAATAAACTGGCTCCTGGTTCAACCACCACCATTAGGATGTGAGAGAGGACATGGAATTCTCTGCCCAGCTCTGCCATCTCCTAGGTGATTAAAGTGATGAAATCACAACTTCAGACACAATGGGAGTGCTGAAGATCTGGGTGGAAATTGGCTAAGCCTCATCCCATATGTGCCATATAGGAATGATAAATCTCAGGCAGTTTCCCTTCCACCACAGGTCTATTGAGCCTAAAACACTAGATCAGCGGGGTAGACCAGGAGGAAGGTAGGTTACTAGACAGATATTCAGAGTAAGCATCTCACTGCAAAAGAACCACATCTGTGTACAAAGGGAAGGGCCTGTTTCCCTAGACTTCTCAGCCCTAGAGCCAATCTTACTCAGCAAAGTGTTATCTAAGTTGAAGCACCAAGGAAAGCATATTTTCCTGAATAAAGACTTCAAGTTTTTTTCCCTAAAATTCCTGGCATTCCCTGTCTTAACATGCTTATTCATGTCAGGAATATCTCCTGTGTATCATGAAATCTCCCCAAAACATGTGTCAACATGAAGGGAACAATTTATTTTTCTTTTTATTTATTTATTTTTAAAAATTATACTTTAAGTTCTGGGATACGTGTGCAGAATGTGCAGGTTTGTTACATAGGTATACATGTGCCATGGTGGTTTGCTACACCCATCATCCATCATCTACATTCAGTGTTTCTTCTAATGCTATTCCTCCCCTTGCCCTTCTTCCTCCGACAAGCCCCAGTGTGTGACATTCCCCTCCCTGTGTCCATGTGTTCTCATTGTTCAGCTCCCAGTTGTGAGTGAGAACATGCGGTGTTCAGTTTTCTGTTCCTGTGTTAGTTCGCTGAGAATGAGGGTTTCCAGCTTCATCCATGTCCCTGCAAAGCACATGAACTCATTCTTTTTTATGGCTGCATACTATTCCATGGTGTATATGTGCCACGTTTTCTTTATCCAGTCTATCATTGATGGACATTTGGGTTGGCTCCAAGTCTTTGCTATTGTATAGTGCTGCAATAAACATACGTGTGTATGTGACTTTATAGTAGAATGATTTATAATCCTTTGGGTATACACCCAATAATGGGATTGCTGGATCAAATGGTATTTCTGGTTCTAGATCCTTGAGGAATCGCCACACTGTCTTCTACAGTGGTTGAACTAATTTACACTACTAATAACAGTGTAAAAGCGTTCCTATTTCTCCACATCCACTCCAGCATCTCTTGTTTCTTGACTTTTTAATGATCACCATTCTAACTGGCGTGGGATGGTATCTCATTGTGGTTTTGATTTGCATTTCTCTAATGACCAGTGATGATCTTTTTTTGGTATGTTTGTTGGCTGCATAAATGTCTTGTTTTGAGAAGTGTCTGCTAATATCCTTTGCCCACTTTTTGATGGGATTGTTTGTGTTTCTCTCATAAACTTGTTTAAGTTCCTTGTAGATTCTGGATATTGGCCCTTTGTCAGATGGATAGATTGCAAAAATTTTCTCCCATTCTGTAGGTTGCCTGTTCACTCTGATGGTAGTTTCTTTTGCTGTGCAAAAGCTCTTTAGTTTAACTAGATCCCATTTGTCAATTTTGGCTTTTGTTGCCATTGCTTTTGGTGTTTTAGTCATGAAGTCTTTGCCCGTGCTTATGTCCTGAATGGTATTGCCTAGGTTTCCTTCTAGGGTTTTTATGGTTTTAGGTCTTACATTTAAGTCTTTAATCCATCTTGAGATAATTTTTGTTTAAGGTGTAAGGAAGGGGTCCAGTTTTTGTTTCTGCATATGGCTAGCCAGTTTTCCCAACATCATTATTAAATAGTGAATCCTTTCCCCATTACTTGTTTTTGTCAGGTTTGTGGAAGATCAGATGGTTCTCGATGTGTGGTGTTATTTCTGAGGCCTCTCTCCTGTTCCATTGGTCTATGTATCTGTTTTGGTACCATTACCATGCTATTTTGGTTACTGTAGCCTTGTAGCATAGTTTGAAGTCAGGTAGCATGATGCCTCCAGCTTTGCTCTTTTTGCTTAGGGTTGTCTTGGCTATACGGGCCCTCTTTTGGATCCATATGAACTTTAAAGTAGTTTTTTTCTAATTCTGTGAAGAAAGTCAATAGTAGCTTGATGGGAATAGCATTACTTTACAAGGTATGGCCATTTTCACGATATTGATTCTTCCTATGCATGAGCATGGAATGTTTTTCCATTTGTTTGTGTCCTCTTTTTCTTTTTTAATTATTATTATTATACTTTAAGTTTTAGGGTACCTGTGCACAATGTGCAGGTTAGTTACATATGTATACATGTGCCACATTGGTGTGCTGCACCCATTAACTTGTCATTTAGCATTAGGTCTATCTCCTAATGCTGTCTCTCCCTGCTCCCCTCACCCCACAACAGTCCCCAGTGTGTGATGTTCCCCTTCCTGTGTCCATGTGTTCTCATTGTTCAATTCCCAACTATGAGTGAGAACATGTGGTGTTTGGTTTTTTGTCCTCGCAATAGTTTGCTGAGAATGATGGCTTCCAGCTTCATCCATGTCCCTACAAAGGACATGAACTCATCATTTTTTATGGCTGCATAGTATTCCATGGTGTATATGTGCCACATTTTCTTAATCCAGTCTATCATTGTTGGACATTTGTGTTGGTTCCAAGTCTTTGCTATTGTGAATAGTGCCGCAATAAACATACGTGTGCATGTGTCTTTATAGCAGCATGATTTATAATCCTTTGGGTATATACCCAGTAATGGGATGGCTGGGTCAAATGGTATTTCTAGTTCTAGATCCCTGAGGAATCGCCACACCGACTTCCACAATGGTTGAACTAGTTTACAGTCCCACCAACAGTGTAAAAGTGTTCCTATTTCTCCACATCCTCTCCAGCACCTGTTGTTTCCTGACTTTTTAATGATTGCCATTCTAACTGGTGTGAGATGGTATCTCATTGTGGTTTTGATTTGCATTTCTCTGATGGCCAGTGATGATGAGCATTTTTTCATGTGTTTTTTGGCTGCATAAATGTCTTCTTTTGAGAAGTGTCTGTTCATATCCTTTGCCCACTTTTTGATGGGGTTGTTTGTTTTTTCTTGTAAATTTGTTTGAGTTCATTGTTGATTCTGGATATTAGCCCTTTGTCAGATGAGTAGGTTGCAAAAATTTTCTCCCATTCTATAGGTTGCCTGTTCACTCTGATGGTAG
The DNA here is from genome assembly GCF_000001405.40 of Homo sapiens. Classification (NCBI taxonomy): domain Eukaryota; kingdom Metazoa; phylum Chordata; class Mammalia; order Primates; family Hominidae; genus Homo; species Homo sapiens. The sequence goes on along the minus strand of NC_000012.12, from coordinate 7,335,699 downwards.
TTTCTTTTGCTGTGCAGAAGCTCTTTAGTTTAATTAGATCCCATTTGTCAATTTTGCCTTTTGTTGCCATTGCTTTTGGTGTTTTAAACATGAAGTCCTTGCCCATGCCTATGTCCTGAATGGTATTGCCTAGGTTTTCTTCTAGGGTTTAGGTTTTTATGGTTTTTATGGTTTTAGGTCTAACATGTAAGTATTTAATCCATCTTGAATTAATTTTTGTATAAGCTGTAAGGAAGGGATCCAGTTTCAACTTTCTACATATGGCTAGCCAGTTTTTCCCAGCACCATTTATTAAATAGGGAATCCTTTCCCCATTGCTTGTTTTTGTCAGGTTTGTCAAAGATCAGATAGTTGTAGATATGTGGCATTATTTCTGAGGTCTCTGTTCTGTTCCATTGGTCTATATATCTGTTTTGGTACCAGTACCATGCTGTTTTGGTTACTGCAGCTTTGTAGTATAGTTTGAAGTCAGGTAGTGTGATGCCTCCAGCTTTGTTCTTTTGGCTTAGGATTGACTTGGTGATGCAGGCTCTTTTTTGGTTCCATATGAACTTTAAAGTAGTTTTTTCCAATTCCGTGAAGAAAGTCATTGGTAGCTTGATGGGGATGGCATTGAATCTATAAATTACCTTGGGCAGTATGGCCATTTTCATGATATTGATTCTTCCTACCCATGAGCATGGAATGTTCTTCCATTTGTTTGTATCCTCTTTTATTTCATTGAGCAGTGGTTTGTAGTTCTCCTTGAATAGGTCCTTCACATCCCTTGTAAATTGGATTCCTAGGTATTTTATTCTCTTTGAAGCAATTGTGAATGGGAGTTCACTCATGATTTGGCTCTCTGTTTGTCTGTTATTGGTGTATAAGAATGCTTGTGATTTTTGCATATTGATTTTGTATCCTGATACTTTGCTGAAGTTGCTTATCAGCTTAAGGAGATTTTGGGCTGAGACAATGGGGTTTTCTAGATACACAATCATGTCATCTGCAAACAGGGACGATTTGACTTCCTCTTTTCCTAATTGAATGCCCTTTATTTCCTTCTCCTGCCTGATTGCCCTGGCTGGAACTTCCAACACTATGTTGAATAGGAGTGGTGAGAGAAGGCATCCCTGTCTTGTGCCAGTTTTCAAAGGGAATGCTTCCGGTTTTTGCCCATTCAGTATGATATTGACTGTGGGTTTGTCATAGATAGCTCTTATTATTTTGAGATACATCCCATCAGTACCTAATTTACTGAGAGTTTTTAGCATGAAGGGTTGTTGAATTTTGTCAAGGGCCTTTTCTGCATCTATTGAGATAATCATGTGGTTTTTGTCTTTGGTTCTGTTTATATGCTGGATTATGTTTATTGATTTTCGTATGTTGAACCAGCCTTGCATCCCAGGGATGAAGCCGACTTGATCATGGTGGATAAGCTTTTTGATGTGTTGCTGGATTCAGTTTGCCAGTATTTTATTGAGGATTTTTGCATCAATGTTCATCAAGGATATTGGTCTAAAATTCTCTTTTTTGGTTGTGTCTCTGCCAGGCTTTGGTATCAGGATGATGCTGGCCTCATAAAATGAGTTAGGGAGGATTCCCTCTTTTTCTATTGATTGGAATAGTTTCAGAAGGAATGGTACCAGCTCCTCCTTGTACCTCTGGTAGAATTCGGCTGTGAATCCATCTGGTCCTGGACTTTTTTTGGTTGGTAAGCTATTAATTATTGCCTCAATTTCAGAGCCTGTTATTGGTCTATTCAGAGATTCAACTTCTTCCTGGTTTAGTCTTGGGAGGGTGTATGTGTCCAGGAATTTATCCATTTCTTCTAGATTTTCTAGTTTATTTGTGTAGAGGTGTTTATAGTATTCTCTGATGGTAGTTTGTATTTCTGTGGGATTGGTGGTGATATCCCCTTTGTCATTTTTTATGGTGTCTATTTGATTCTTCTCTGTTTTCTTCTTTATTAGTCTTGCTAGTGGTCTATCAATTTTGTTGATCTTTTCAAAAAACCAGCTCCTGGATTCACTGATTTTTTAAGGGTTTTTTGAGTCTCTATCTCCTTCAGTTCTGCTCTGATCTTAGTTATTTCTTGCCTTCTGCTAGCTTTTGAATGTGTTTGCTCTTGCTTTTCTAGTTCTTTTAATTGTCATGTTAGGGTGTCAATTTTAGATCTTTCCTGCTTTCTCTTGTGGGCATTTAGTGCTATAAATTTCCCTCTACACACTGCTTTAAATGTGTCCCAGAGATTCTGGTATGTTGTGTCTTTGTTCTCATTGGTTTCAAAGAACATCTTTATTTCTGCCTTCATTTCGTTATGTACCCAGTAGTCATTCAGGAGCAGGTTGTTCAGTTTCCATGTGGTTGAGTGGTTTTGAGTGAGTTTCTTAATCCTGAGTTCTAGTTTGATTGCACTGTGGTCTGAGAGACAGTTTGTTATAATTTTTGTTCTTTTACATTTGCTGAGGAGTGCTTTACTTCCAACTATGCGGTCAATTTTGGAACAGGTGTGGTGTGGTGCTGAAAAGAACGTATATTCTGTTGATTTGGGGTGGAGAGTTCTGTAGATGTCTATTAGGTCCGCTTGGTGCAGAGCTGAGTTCAATTCCTGGGTATCTTTGTTAACTTTCTGTTAACAGGTGAGATGTGTTTCCTGGTGAGATGGGTTTCAGGTGAGATGGGTTTCCTGAATACAGCACACTGATGGGTCATGACTCTTTATCCAATTTGCCAGTCTGTGTCTTTTAACTGGAGCATTTAGCCCATTTACATTTAAGGTTAGTATTGTTATGTGTGAATTTGATCCTGTCATTATGATGTTAGCTGGTTATTTTGCTCATTAGTTGATGCAGTTTCTTCCTAGCATCAATGGTCTTTACAATTTGGCATGTTTTTGCAGTGGCTAGTACTGGTTGTTCCTTTCCATGTTTAGTGCTTCCTTCAGGAGCTCTTTTAGGGCAGGTCTGGTGGTGACAAAATCTCTCAGCACTTGCTTGTCTGTGAAGTATTTTATTTCTCCTTCACTTATGAAGCTTAGTTTGGCTGGATATGAAATTCTGGGTTGAAAATTCTTTTCTTTAAGAATGTTGAATATTGGCCCCCACTCTCTTCTGGTTTGTAGAGTTTCTGCTGAGAGATCAGCTGTTAGTCTGATGGGCTTCCCTTTGTGGGTAACCTGACCTTTCTCCCTGGCTGCCCTTAACATTTTTTCCCTCATTTCAACTTTGGTGAATCTGACAATTATGTGTCTTGGAGTTGCTCTTCTCGAGGAGTATCTTTGTGGCGTTCTCTGTATTTCCTGAATTTGAATGTTGGCCTGCCTTGCTAGATTGGGGAAGTTCTCCTGGATAATATCCTGCAGAGTGTTTTCCAACTTGGTTCCATTCTCCCCGTCACTTTCAGGTACACCAATCAGATGTAGATTTGGTCTTTTCACATAGTCCCATATTTCTTGGAGGCTTTGTTCATTTCTTTTTATTCTTTTTTCTCTAAACTTCTCTTCTCGCTTCATTTCATTCATTTCGTCTTCCATTGCTGATACCCTTTCTTCCAGTTGATTGTATTGGCTACTGAGGCTTGTGCATTCGTCACATAGTTCTCATGCCGTGGTTTTCAGCTCCATCAGGTCCTTTAAGGACTTCTCTGCATTGGTTATTCTAGTTATCCATTCATCTAATTTTTTTTCAAGGTTTTTAACTTCTTTGCCATTGGTTCGAACTTCCTCCTTTAGCTCAGAGTAGTTTGATCTTCTGAAGCGTTCTTCTCTCAACTTGTCAAAGTCATTCTCCCTCCAGCTTTGTTCTGTTGCTGGTGAGGAGCTGCGTTCCTTTGGAGGAGGAGAGGCGCTCTGATTTTTAGATTTTCCGGTTTTTCTGCTCTGTTTTTTCCCCATCTTTGTGGTTTTATCTACCTTTGGTCTTTGACGATGGTGACATACAGATGGGTTTTTGGTGTGGATGTCCTTTCTGTTTGTTAGTTTTCCTTCTAACAGTCAGGACCCTCAGCTGCAGGTCTGTTGGAATTTGCTGGAGGTCCATTCCAGACCCTGTTTGCCTAGGTATCAGCAGCGGTGGCTGCAGAACAGCGGATATTGGTGAACCGCAAATGCTGCTGCCTGATCGTTCCTCTGGAAGTTTGGTCTCAGGGGAGTACCCGGACGTGTGAGGTGTCAGTCCGCCCCTACTGGGGGGTGCCTCCCAGTTAGGCTACTCAGGGGTCAGGGACCCACTTGAGGAGGCAGTCTGCCTGTTCTCAGATCTCAAGCTGCATGCTGGGAGAACCACTGCTCTCTTCAAAGCTGTCAGACAGGGATTTAAGTCTGCAGAGGTTATTGCTGCCTTTTGTTTGTCTGTGCCCTGCCCCCAGAGGTGGAGCCTACAGAGGCAGGCAGGCTTCCTGGAGCTGTGGTGGGCTCCACCCAGTTTGAGCTTCCTGGCCACTTTGTTTACCTACTCAAGCCTGGGCAATGGCAGGCGCCCCTCCTCCAGCCTCGCTGCCATCTTGCAGTTTGATCTCAGACTGCTGTGCTAGCAATGAGCGAGGCTCTGTGGGCGTAGGACCCTCTGAGCCAGGTGTGGGATATAATCTCCTGGTGTGCCATTTGTTAAGCCCATTGGAAAAGTGCAGTATTATGGTGGGAGTGACCCAATTTTCTAGGTGCCATCCGTCACCCCTTTCTTTCACTAGGAAAGAGACTTCCCTGACCCCTTTTGCTTCCTGGGTGAGGCGATGCCTCGCCCTGCTTCAGCTCGTGCACGGTGCACTGTACCCACTGTCCTGCACCCACTGTCCAGCACTCCCTAGTGAGATGAACCTGGTACCTCAGTTGGAAATGCAGAAATCATCCGTCTTCTGCGTCACTCATGCTGGGAGCTGTAGACTCGAGTCTTAGTTCTAAAAGGAAACTGACCTGCCACCTTGCCAGAGGAACTCTTGAAATGTTTTTGTAGCCACTTGGACTTCAGCATGAAGGGTACAACTCTCAAATCTTGCTATATAACCCACCTGGAGGAACCACAAAACCAAATTAAATAGCATTTTCTCTCCTTTTCCCAGTGCTAGTGTATGACTGGATGAGGAACCCTTTCTCTAAATTTGCTCAGCCTGAAATTTTATCTCTGAAGGAAGAGAGTGAACTCAGCCCTAGTTAGACAGTTCTAGGTTTCTGTGAAATAGGAGTATTCTTCAACTTAATCCTAACACTCACTTACCATGAGGGTTCCCTGCAGGGGTTCCCTGAATTTGAAAGCTTTTTCAAGGACTGTTCCTGGGTAAAACAATTGAAAAAGGCTAGAAGAGACAGACACCAACAAAGTCTGTGAAGTAAACTGTCTAGATTAAGAATATTGAGGGGCTGTAAAGTTAGCTTACGGAAATGGACTTATTATTAAGTTTTGAAAAGTAGTAAAAATGTTAGGCTTCCCACACAGGTGGCTATGTTTATTTAATGGCTAGTGAACATAGGAATATATTTTTAGCCTCCTAGCTAGTGTTTTTGCTTGGTAAACCAGACTAGAAGGATTTGAGAGGGGCAAAGAGAATAGGCAGGACCTTCCTTCCATAGCTTTAGATATTTAGAATGTTAACTCTTACTGATGTTGAAGTTACCTTGAAAGGATTGATAAGAGGATTATTAAAATCACTTAGGTGAATAGGGAGGATAGGATTTTGGTGCCTTCTTCAGTAGACTTGCTCCAAGACAAAGATTCTTTTGATAGTATAAGACCAAAGGACTCAGAATAAAATTAGCCATATGCCTACAGAACATACAGCTCCGTGGAACTGAGTTGTTTTCACTTTGTGAAAGCTGCTGCAGAAAGATTTTGATTTGATAGTTTGTTTTTATTAGGCTTTTATATTTATTTGTATTTGGTAAGCCTCGGTTGTTATACAAGCTCTTCTTTCCCAGCTATAAAATCCTGTGTTGGGTTATAACCTGAACTCATTAAAAAATTTGTTTTCAGGTTTATCAACTATTTATTTTTACTGACATTTGAGCATGTTACTTGATAAGTGATGAGATTCCAGGGTAAGAATTGAGTGCTTTCTTTTCCCCCTTTAGGTTTTTCTTTTAAAAAATTATGTCAGTTAAAAAAAACACAAACAAACAAAAAAAACAACTGCAGTCTTGTGGTTTAGAAAATTTGCTTAGCTTTATAGAGGAAAGAATGTTAAGCTTTGTATTTTAATATATGTTTCTCTAAGGTTAAAAATGGTTTTCAAATGTTATTTTTACTTGTATTTTGCTTTTGGTATGGCCAAATATCAAGCTTCTTTTTCATAGTTCCTGATATTTTTAGAAAAATAAAACTAACCTGCACAATGTGCACATGTACCCTAAAACTTAAAGTATAATAATAAAAGAAAAAAAAGAAAAAAAAATTAAATATGGTACTGAAGCAAATAAACCACTAATAGCTGAAAAAAAAAAAAGAAAAAGAAAATAAAAAATAAAAGTAAATTTGTTCCCTAAAGATTGGTATTCTGTACTTTTTCTTTCTTTTGGCCTCTTAGTAAATCTCTTGCTTTATGTGTATATATATACATATACACTTTCAGATGTATATATATGTATATGTATATAGATGTATATATGTGTATATATAGATACATATGTGTATATATACATTCAGATATATATATTTATATACAGATATATACATATGTATATATACAGATACATCAGTATTGCAGAGTTAATACAGATATATCTATATATACATATGTGTATATACACATATGTATATATGTATCTAGATATACAGTATATATACATATATACACATATGTGTATATATACAGATATATATACATATATACAGATGTATACATTCAGATATTTTACAGTTAGTTTGCTTCAAAATGAGGCACAATAATACAGTACTTAATTTCATTAAACTCGCTAATTTTTGAATTATTTATACTCCTTACTTTAATGTCTTGAAGTTTGGTCTCATAAAGATGTTAAGCAGAAGAAATTGTCTTGAACATTTCTCTTAGGATATATGTTTATTTTGAATCAATCAGGCACAAGGTAAATGAAATACAGATTCAATGTGCACTTTCTTGTTCTAAGCAATCATTTTATTCCTGCTATTTTAAACACTACAAATCATCATCATTACCTTTGTCAGTTTGGTCATTATAACAATTTTCATCCATACGTTTTTGAGGCTTTTATTTACTTTTAAACTTTTTAGCTAAGTAAAAACCAAAAAATCAACAGTTGAGTTTTCAAGCAGGAAAGATCTTAAACATTTTAAGAGAGTAGTCGCTGAATTATCGGAACAAATACTAAAAGAAAGCAACCATATTACTGCTTAACCCTTCAGCTTTGTTATCAAACTATCTTCCTCTCCATTCTTGGTCTCTTAAAACGTTGCGTTTGATTTTCCCAGTGATTGTCTTTGGGAGTTCTTGAACAAATTCCACCTAATTGACAGAAAAAAACGTGATGAGACACTTGATTCCATCCTTCCAATTGTCCGTGCGATAGGAAGGAGCTTGCATGGAACTCAGACTGAATTTTAAAGTCGAGATTATCTTAGCCTAAGCTCATTGAATTTCATGGACACCAGAAACGTCTGTTTATGTAGGAAGGGTGATAGTGTAGCTCCATCTTACGGGTTTTTAGTGCAAATTCACTGAAATGCTTTGCCAGAAGAAAGTAATAATCCCTTTACCCCATTGCTTTCCCCTAGTTCAAACTAGTCCTAGGCTTCTACTGTTCCCGAGAAATGGAGATTACAGCTAAATACAAAAAGAACAGTTCTTGTCTTTTCAGAGCTGGATGCTGGAGGTTTTGAGGAAGATTTTTAGGGATAATTTGGAGTATATACAGTTTTCCCTTCTGCCCTGACTTGACCACAAAAATCCTCTTTTTGTTCTCTTCTCTCAAAATAAGACTACTGTATTTTAAAATGCCCTCAGATAGCCTTTCTGAAAGTCAACAGTCACTGATTTAGTGACTTTAGTCAATGATTTAGTGAATTTAATGGAGAAAATGTGAGTAGTTTTTAGGTTTAACTACTTTTTGACTGAAACAGTGCTAAACAGAAATCTCATGCAGAGGATCAGTAATTATCACCCAGTTCCATGGTTAGAAGGAAACTACAGGGCCATCTTCATGTATTTACGTAGTATTGTTCTTAAATCCTTCTTTGAAGAAGGTTTCAGGAAAGATTCCATAGTTTCTTTGGATATCATCTTCTTCTGAACACTAAATGAGGTCACTTGATACTTCAAGGCATGTACTTTGAATTTATAGGGGTATTAGGGATAAGAGTACTGAGATAGGTGAATCAAGCACTGTCCCTAAAAACAAGGCACTTGGCAATTCTTTGCCACTGTGTTTTTCTCATACAGAATGGGACTAGTTAGTCCTAGAAAGACTCTTAGTAGTGATTCAGTATTGCAGAGTTGATTAAAGGTTCTGGTTTATAATTCACTTATACCGTTCTAATATAAAACATTTTAAAGCAAAATTCTTAGGGTTAAACAAATTGAAAAGTGTCTTCTACCTATATAATGAGCTACTATAAAATCAAAATCCAGTAAAATCTAATTCTAGCTTAGACCCTAGTTTGGTAACATCCAAACTTAACTTTTGGGCAAAGCACTTGCCTTTCTTGGATATTTGTAAGGTGCAGTTGATTTTTTCACATGATCCTGAAGTTCAAGAGTTAATTTCTCTGGGTTGTAGGACTTAAAGGGTGCAGCTAAGACAACAAAAGCTTTCACCACCTGCAACAGAAAAGTTAATTTATCTTGCTCATTTGTTTTTCAGACACATCAAGGATTTGCAACAAATGCTGAACACAGGTGCTTACTATTTATTAATAACAGTTTGTGTGATGACTGCAAATGCCAGAGGTTACCTCTGAACAAAGCTTGGATACAATTACAAAGTGAGGTTTTTCAGAATATTTTCAGGTAAGTGGTTTATGAGTGTGAGGAGTGCAGCAGTTCAAGAAAGCTAAGTTCTATTTATAGATACATATATATTTAACATTTCAATCAGACTGATCCTATTTATTACACAGACAGTCCTTGGTTTATGGATGACCACTTACTCCATTAAACCTATACCATTAGAAGCATGTAGCAGGGGAACAAATGGAGTTCCTAGAGAATATGTGGTTTCAAAGCAGTTTGGAGGGTCTCAACGGAGGAAGGACTGTGTATCCTGGGAGATCAAATCTCAGGAAAGGGCTGAGCATGGTGGCTTACACCTATAACCCCAAGACTTTGGGAGGCCAAGGTAGAAGGATAACTTCAGCCCCGGAGTTTGAAACCAGCCTGGTCAACATGGTGAGACCCCATCTCTACAAAGACTTAAAAAGAAAATTAACCAGGGTGCAGTTGTGCACACCTGTAGTACTAGCAACTTGAGAGCCTGAGGCAGGAGGATCGACTGAGCCCAGCAGTTTGAGAGGTTACAGTGAGCTATAACTGCACCACGGCACTCCACCCTGGGTGACAGAGCAAGTCTCCATCTCAAAAAAACAAAACAAAGCCAAAAGCCAAAAACCTCTCAGGAAGGATTGATCTATGTGAGGTCTTTTTTGCCTCATATTGTTTGCTTCTCTTTGAAATGCTGTTTCAAACCCACCAGTTAGACAATTACTGAGGTTAGTAAGCATAATTTATATTATTTATTGTTCATACATTGATTCTAATTGTTGGTTACTTCTGTTCAGCTGAAATCATTTATATTGAGAGAATAAGAACATGGTGGCAGGAAGAAACTATTTTTGAGAATGGAATAGATGGAGAGTAGAGTGAGTACAGGAGGTAAGAGTATGGGATCCACAGTGTCACTACAGAGGCTCACTGGTGTGTGAGAGGGAGGTACAGATGTGGAACGATGCTGACAAATTGTTTTGAAATTTTGTCACTTGTTGTGTCTGTAGAAACTTCCATAAGGAAAAGCAATTATGAAAATAGGGCTTCCTCCTAGAATTAAGGCTATTATTGTCATTGCCAGAGTTCCCTTTCCTTAGATCCTAAATAGGCTCATGAGACTTGTTTGGGAACCTGGCCACAGTTTTGTTTCTTTCTTGCTTTTTCTTTGAGACAGAGTCTGTCTCTGTTGTCCAGGCTGGAGTACAGTGGTGCAATCTTGGCTCACTCCAACCATTGCCTCCCAGGTTCAAGCAGTTCTCCTGCCTCAGCCTCCTAAGTAGCTGAGATTACAGGTGCCCGCCACCATGCCAGGCTAATTTTTGTATTTTTAGTAGAGACAGGGTTTCACCATGTTGGCCAGGCTGGTCTCGAACTCCTGACCTCAAGTGATCCACCCACCTCGGCCTCCCAAAGTGCCGGGATTACAGGCGTGAGCCACCGTGCCCAGCCCACCATTTTCTATTTGTCTTGTTTCTGTGAGAAAAGATATTCTGAATTCCATGACAGTTTTCCATTCAGTGAAATCTGTGGCTTTTGCCTATGCAGTATCTGTTCCTCCTTTTTAGTAACTAATTTTCCTATGGAGTATTACCCTAACTTCTCTCTGGTGGGACTGACACCAACACCTACTTCCAAGGATAGACGTATGATCCAAGTCTGACCGATCAGCATGTACCAGTCTCTGAACCACATTGGTTAGAGATGTGATCTAAGGTAGGCAAATGAAGTCTTGAGAGTTACTTGAAACAACTGAAAACAGAGCTGTATCCTTCCCTGAAGGGGTGGAGGGTTGCTAAGGTGTATACACCTGGAGTTGGTTGCTATCAAGTAGGAAGAATCTGATCAACTGGAGCCATAACAAAGAATAGCAGAGCCAAAAGTGAAGAGGGGCTAAATCTTGCCAACCTCACATGAACCTTTGGATGTGGCTGTACTTAAGTACTTGTCACTTATATGAGCCAAATGCTTTTTTTTTTTTTTTAACTTAAGGCAGTTGGAATTGTGTTTCTGCCACTTGCCATCAAAAGAATTCTAATACCACCCCTTTGGGACACAACTTATTGTAAAGTTGGTTGCCTGATTTATATTTTGGCCAAATGCATGCTTCATAACGAGAATTAATAGATTGACCTCTCTTGGTTCAGCCTTTACAGTGGTCAAATGGACAGAACTTGAAAATATGATGTTGCTTCTTTAATAAATGACATTCATCTACCTCTCCGCGGATTTGATCTGGACTACTGACAACAGCCGATTCAACAACTGCTGGATGCTCAATGAGTGCACTCTCCACTTCAAATGGCCCAATACGGTACCTGAAGAGGAAAAGAAGTTTTTGACCACCACATCCTCCAAGTTAGAGATCTCCCTCCCTGTCGAATTGTTACCTCTTCAGAGTGGCAAATATACAAACCCAGAGGATATAATGACATCATCAGCTCTGCCGACAAACCAGAAATACCCATCACTGTCCATCACTCCTCTGTCTCCAGTGACATAAAAATCTCCTCTTATCGTGGCAGCAGTTTTCTGTGGATTGTCCTGGGAACCAAGGATGACATTTGGGGATTAGTCTGGTCAGAACAGAGATGGGTATGGCACTCATTAAGTGACTAGTACATTACACATCCTACTTATATAGGAAATTTTTTTTTTTTTGAGACAGAGTCTCTCTCTGTTGCCTAGACTGGAGCCTGCAGCCTCGACCTCCTGGGCTCTAGTGATCCTCTCACCTCAGCCTCCTGAGTAGCTGGGACCACAGACATGTGCCACAACACCTGACTAACCGTATTATGTTTTTGTAGAGATGGGTTCTCACTATGTTGCCCAGGCTGGTCTTGAACTCTTGGGCTCAAGCCACCCTCCCACCTCGGCCTCCTAAAGTGCTGAAATTATAGCCGTGAGCCACTGTGCCTGGCTGGAAATTAAATTTTTTTAAAAGATAGTTTGTAATATAAAATACAAAAGGTCATAAAGAGTATAATAAAAAGCCCCTCTTCTACCTCTAGCACCCCCCAACTGCACCCTCATTCCAGCCTGTCCGGTTTTCCTTTCTGAGGATAACCACTGCAACTGGTTTCTTACATTTGGAATTTCATCTTTACAGTACTCTTGGGTGACAGATGATAGTCTCCCCATTTTACAGTTGTGAAAGATTTTGTTGCTTGCCCAAGATTACATAGCAAGACACGGTGGAAATGAAATTTGAACCCAAGTCTGTATTAAGCATGACCAGCACTTTCTATCCTCATACCACATATTTAGAGAAGAAACAGAAGGGCCGTGTAGGTTTGAGTCTGAGGGCAATTTCCCCTTCTTTGCCAGGTGGTAGAACATTGCCATTTTCATCTATAATCTGGAATGAAAGAAATAATTGATGGTCTTAAAATTTTCTTTTCACAAAAATGAAAGCAGCTTATGAATAGTTGTGCAATGAATAGCAGAAAAGGAAAACGTTCTCTCTCCTTTACTGAACCAGTCAGATATTTTCTCAACCTACCTGGACATCATAGGGCAGCATTCCTTTCCCCATTGAACCTGGTTTAATTTCTTGGCCTTTCTGATTGGCACAAATCATTCCCTATTGAGAGGACAAGCTTTGTATAAGTATACAAAAGTTTATATTCTGAAACTATATCATGGCAATGAAAATTAAGATTTGATTTTGACTGATTTTCCTGGTATGCAGGCGCACCTTCTGAAATATATTATTTGAAACCAGTAGTTCTCAAACTTCGGTGTGCAGTAGAATCAAATTTGAAATTCTGGAACATTGTTGAAACACAGATTGATGGGCCTTATCCCAGAGTTTCTGATTCATTAGGTGTGGAATGGGGTCTAAGAATTTGGTATTTCTACCAAATCTACCTAGATGATGTTGATGTTGCTTGGTTTGAGGGCCACACTTTGAAAACCACTCCTTGGACTCCGTTAAATGCACCTTGGACTCAATTTCCCATGGACGCTCTCAGAGGATTATTCCCAGCACAGTGGAAAGATGAGCTGCTCAGTTCTGAACCTCACCCACCCGCTAACGCCTCTGAGATTTATCCTGCATAAGGGGGAGGCAGGAATGATGGAATAATCATCATTCTCCTTCATCAAAACCTAACTGAGCAATCTGCAAGTTTTGGTAACTACTGGCAAGGTGAGGTATCCCGGGAAACTCTATAAAAATTTACAGTGGGATGGGGGCACTTCAGGGGCTCAGTTGAAAAACCTGGGGCAGAAAGGCCCCCACATATACTAAACATAAATGCCCTTTAGATATACCACTTCCGTCTGTCCATAGCCCTCATATAGCTCCAGCCCAGTTTGCACCCTCCACTGCTCCAGCACTTCTGGGTTGAGTGGCTCCCCTCCGGTCAAGCAGTGCCGCAGACTCTTGAATTTATATCTGGAGAGACAGAGTTGCATGGGTCTTTTCAAGAGGAACCTGAGTGCTTTCACTGCAAGACAATTAGGACATTCAAGCAGTAAGCATAGCAGCTAGGAGAGGCAAGTCTTAGCAAAGTTCATTCAACAAATACTTGTTGAACACCTGCTATATTGCCAGACATTGTTCTAGGCATATGGGGGCACATTAGTGATTATAACGAAAATTCCTGACAGCTTTCATTTTAGCAGGTGGAGGAGAACTTAGCTATTAAAGATGTAAAAAGGCAGGAGAAGATGCTATTAATGATACTAAGTGCTTTTGATGAGCCACATGATATAACAGCTAATATTGATTGATCAGTCGCTATGTTGTAAGGGCTTTAGAAGCATTCTTAGAATCTTCTCAACCCCTATTTACACATGAGGACATTGAGGTTCAGAGAGGTTAAAGAACTTGCCGAAAGCCTTCCATGTAATAAAGGACTGAGTTGATACTCATGAAACTCTGTACCAGGCACCTCCCACTTGTCAGGGTGATCTCACCAAGCATGTCACTTACATTAAATTCTCACCACAACCTTATGAGGGGGCTCTTAATCCTCTCTTCTAGATGGAGTTGATGCTTAGCAAGGTTATCTTGAGTGTCCAAGGCCACGTGATTAGTAAGTAGCAGGGCCCTGCCTGTTTGACTTTGGAGCTTAGCTTTTAACCACTAGCCTTACTGGACACAGGTGAGAAAGCCTGGAACAGCCTGCTTCTCATACACTGAGGCCCCAAATGGGCCAGAGGGTGTGGGTAGAATACAAATCATGTGTATTCAAAATAATCATTGAATAGTCCCTGAATTACTCTTGAAATGTGAACAAGATGCTGATGTTTCAAAGGCCGTGACATAGGAGCAAAGGAGTTGACACTGACTAGGAAAAGAGAAGATCCATGTTTGCTTTATTCTGTCTCGCATAGCACTTTCCCTCTTGGGCAACCACACTTTGGTGGCAAAAGAGGATGGACAAGCCTATGCTACTTAATTTGCTCCTCTATTCCTTTCTCTCCTCATGTATTGAGTTTGAATTAAACAAATATACATTGCAACTCTACTGGATGTTCATATGGTTTGGCTAAATTGAATATGACCTTCAAGTCATAAATTTTGTTAGCTTTTCTTCAAAGCAGTATAAATGTGCTTTTCTTTCTTTCTTTTTTGAGTTCTAAATGACAGTGTTTTTAAAAGAATAGAACTAGAGGACAATTTTTTTTTGAGTGGGAGTTCTGGGACTACAGAGGTCTGGTTGTCCCTGGAAAAATGTCCAGTTGTCCTAGAGGATATTCCAGTGGTTCTTAGACTAGGGAACAGTTTTGCCCCCCAGAAGACATTCGGCAGTGTCTAGGGACATTTTTGATTTTCACAAATGGGGAGGAGGAGGTGCTACTGGCGTCTAATAGAGTCTTGAGATGCTGCTCAACATTCTGTAATGCATACGACCGTCCTCCGACGATAGAATTATTCGGTTCAAAATGTCAGTGGTGGTAAGACTGAGAAAGCCTGAGCTATCCTATGCTGAAAAAGAGAGATCTGTGATCCTGGATGGTAGCTATTGTTTGTGGTTCAAATGGAGATTTCTGCCCAAGTACCTCTTAAGGTCTTTTTGCACGAGCATCCGGTACACAGTGGGAGGACTGCACAGGGTCGTGATGGGATAAGTAGTAAGTGTCTGGATGATGGAGAAAGACACAGATGTCAGAAGTGGTCATTCAAAGGCCATGACTAGAGCTGATATCTACACCCTGTTATTTTCTTCCATTAATATGTGCCCATCCCGTGGTCACTACTAGGAATAAGAAAACAATATTTATTACTTGTCACTAGTGACTGTATATCTGTTGGGAATTTCCAATTACTGAAAAGAATGTATATATATTAATATTACAGTAACAGACATACACAATCTAATTCAACAAGTGAATTGCTTAATTTGAGAACAACCCAAAGTATGAACTGGTTTATTCTTCCTCAGGGCTACAACTTACCTCTTATAGTGTAATCTTGTAACCTCCTGCCAATATATTCATGGATAGTATTGACTATGGATGTATAAGCTAACCTACTGGGACCTTTCCAGCTCCATTCCTATAAAATACATTAGTCTTTTTCAGTAAGTTGAATAAATGTAGAAATAAGCATTTTTTTTGGCCTTTTCTTAATTTTTAAAAATTTGCTGAGTTCATTATGTCTCTGGTTTCTTAAATAAGATATGGCCTAGGCATCTTAAATCTAGAGAAATACTAATGTTTTAGAGCTCCTCCTTCTGGAGAAGTTCCACTATGTCCCTTAATGTATTGACAATTTGTATTAAACTTAAGTATTTGGGAGAAGGCTCTCAAAATGTATGTCTGGGCTGCCTGGATTGTCACAGATAAAGTATGATGTTTGATCGGTAAGTAAGCATTTCTACCATGTGTATCTGCTCCGCAGAGTCTAATTATTTTTAGAAAGTGTAATGTATACACCTAAAAATAGCATAAATCTATAAAGGTTTTTATAGCACTTAAAATACACACATGATTTTTGTAAAATAAAAGTATTCTTATTTTACAAATGTAGGTTTTGAAACTGCAAAGTTAACTTACCAACTTTAGGGCACTTTGTAAACCTGATGTAGAGATCTCAGTTCTTAGGTTAGTGTACATTTATGTTAAGTAAGACCTTTTAACCAGGGATCCCCAACCCAAAGGACAGACTGGTTTCTGTTTGTGGCCTATTAGGAACTGGGCCACACAGCAGGAGGTGAGTGGCGGGGCAAGGTGAGCGAAGCTTCATCTGTATTTTTTTCTTTTTTTTTTTTTTTTGAGACGGAGTCTTGCTCTGTCACCCAGGCTGGAGTGCAGTAGTGTGATCTCGGCTCACTGCAACCTCTGCCTCCCAGATTCAAGCAATTCTCTGCCTCAGCCTCCCAAGTAGCTGGGATTACAGGCACCCACCACCATGCCTGGCTAATTATTTGTATTTTTAGTAGAGACGAGGTTTCACCATCTTGGCCAGGCTGGTCTTGAACTCCTGACCTCGTGATCCACCTGCTTCAGCCTCCCAAAGTGCTGGGATTATGCCTGCTTTATCTGTATTTATAGCCACTCCCCATTGCCCGCATTACCACCTGAGCTCCGCCTCCTGTCAGGTCAATGGTGGCATTAGATTCTCATAGGAGCCTGAACCCTATTGTGAACTGTGCATGTGAGGGATCTAGGTTGTGTGCTCCTTAAGAGAATCTAATGCCTGATGATCTGTCACTATCTCCCATCACCCCCAGATGGGACTGTCTAGTTGCAGGAAAACAATCTCAGGGCTTCCACTGATTCTACATTATGGTGACTTGTATAATTATTTCGTTATACATTATAATTTAATAATAATAGAAATAAAGTACACAATAAATGTAATGTACTTGAATCATCCTGAAATTATCTCCCCGCTCCCCCTAGTCCATGGGAAAATTGTCTTCCACGAATCCAGTCCCTGGTACCAAAAAGGTTGCAGACTGCTGCCTTAAACCATCTTGTCAGACCATTTAGCAAAATAACAGGTGAAGAGCTTTTATTCACACACAGGTATGGTTTGTATGTAATAATATGTATTTTGTTAAACTTAATAAATTTGCCATGGTTGAAAAATAATTGGCCTGAATCACATTTTTCTAAAGTCTAAAGAAATTGGAGTTATCTGATATCTCAATCTAGCTGTCCCTGGTTGAGAAGACAGGGCATGCATGCCCGATTTCCAGAAGAGTATCGGGTTCTGAGAATTAACAAAGTGAGAAGTATAGGCTGGGGGAGAATAAGAGGAGCTGCTCTGGGAGAAAGGCACCCCCACCTTTAATGTCCACTCCACACAAGAGTTCTGGTTTATCAGCTATTATCTTTATTTCATTGAATTAGAAATGAAGTATTTGTTTAGACTTCAGACTCCTAATCTGTTATTTAGAACCAGTTTCTTAAGTAGCTACAGATTTAGCAACACTAGCAAATCCTGAGCTATTTGAAGCAGAAGTCTGGATTTCCTGCCTCAGAGTGTTGCAGTTGTTCCCCCTCCATTCTGTCAAATACGTTTCAAAAGCTGAGGCCCTTGAGACTTTGCTTTGTATAAAGAAATGATTTCCAAAAGCCCAAGAAGCCTTGTATTCTAAGGAATAATTTCTTTGTGATTTTATGGGAAACAAGGAAGAACTCTAAAGATCTATCTAGCTGGAGGACATGACTTACGTCTAGGAAGGTGTCAGTGTCAAACTGTGCCATTCGATGCACAAAAACACAGGCTCCACACAGCCAGGAAGAAAACACACTGCCAATGGCGGCCTTGACCCAGCCCGTGTCAGACATATTCCATATGATATCTGAGGACTTCAAGTCCAGCCAATACCTAAATGATATGAAAAAGCAACAAAACAGACCAAAAATAAACAAACAAAAATTACAAACTGGTATCTTTCAGGGGTGACTTTGCCCCTATATCTTAAGGGCTACAGAGAAGGGTCAAAAGAAGCCCCAGGCAAGGTGATAGATTCAACTTCTACTCTTCTTAAGGGCATTTTCAGAATCCCAGGCGGTCTGAGAGTACAGTGGGAGGCTGGGTGTGGCATGATTTTTTGAGTTTGTCCATTGATGCAACAAATACTTGTTAAGCCGAAATGTGCTAGGCGTTGTTCTACAGCAGTGAGCAAGGTAGACCAAATCTCTGCTCTTATTTTAGGGTGACAGATAGTGAATAAATATACAATAAAGTGAGTTAAGTACATTAATAAATGTAATTATTTCAAGTAGTATAAATGCCATGAGGAAAATAAAATAGGATAATGTGACAATGGTCGGATAGCCTCTCTTTTAGGAAGGCCTTTCTGGGTAGGCCTTCCTGGCAATGAGAAAAGGGAGCCAGACATGCTGTTAAGGGATTAATTAAGGTTGATTCTTAAGCTTTTGCTTAATCAGCTGGTTAGATGCTGCCATTTACTGAGCTAGGTTGGGCGGGGCCAGCAAGAGTTCTGTTTTGTAGCTATTATAATTGCCAATATCTTATAGCAATTCAAGGAGAAGTATCAGTTAGTTGGATACGCATATTCGCAGCTTTGGGGGAGTTCACCAAAAACAAACTGAATTTTCTTCCCTACCTTCCGCAGAGGGTGAACCCAATGCCGAGGCTGCTCTGAGAGTGCTGGGCCATTTTAGGAAAGCCTGTGGTCCCACTGGTGAAATAAATGGTCATTGGTTCTTGACTTCCTGTTTCCACACAGCTGTGCTCTTCAGAGGCGAATCTGCAAAATATGGACCCCAAGATGGCGGTGGAAGATGGCAGACCAGTTTGACTCTGATATTTCCTCTGCTCAACTACTTATGCCCTCTTGCTACCAGAAGATAGTTAACAGAACTGAACCTAATCCAAAGCTTTCCTGAGAGGAATTCCTCAAGAAATCTTAGCGGGACTTTGAAGGTCAGTGCTAAGATTTAACAGCCCAGTTCTTCTTTTTTTAAGCTTCATCTCCCTATAGGGTAAAGAAATAGCCAAGATAACTTTCAATATTAATAACAAAAGACATGCATTTTATGTATTGTAACATTTTTTTTCCAAGTGTGTTTTAAGAAAAAGTCTGTGAGTTTTTGAAAATCAGCATTGAATCTTCATACATTGCTATTAATGTTTCAGGAGTTTTTATTATTTAAAGGAAGATCGTTTGGCATTTGATTCAAACTTTTAAATAATTTTTGTTCAGTATCTTCAATATCTGCGGCAGACGCAGCTGGTTGCTTACCAAATAGCTGTCTCCTTCTTCCTTGCACTCATAGAACTGATTTTGTTCAAGTATCAGGCAATCAAGTGCTTCAGGGGAGACTGTCCCTGTATAGCTGCTGGGGCAAATCTTGATTAATCTAAGCCAGTCACAGTCATTCCTTTGGTTTAAGATTGGGCACATGATGCAGTTATGGACAACGAGATGTAAGGCTTTAATGGAATATATTTTCTTGTTCTAAAAAGAGTCATGAGGAAGAGATGCAGCCTTCTTCCCCTGCCCATCCTGTTTTATGGCCTTTAAGTATTGTTGTGCAAGTACAGGATGTCTGGGGCTACCCTGGCCATCTTGGATGTATACTGAGGGTGGCATGATAGGAAGATGAATGAATCTGGGTCCATGTTAATTTCATTGACCCAATGAATTCACTGAACTGATGACAATCTCTGTGTAAGATTGTCTGCAAAGATAGCTCCATGATTCCTTCCATCCCTGTACAAAAATTCTTAGATATTGTATTAGTTATCCATCACTGAGTAACAAATCATCCTTGTATGCCATTCCCTCATTATAGGGCAGACTTATGTCCTCTCTCTTTGAATCTGGGGTGATCTCATGACTTGTTTTCATTAATACACTGTGGCACAAGTTCTGGGACTTCTCAGCCTAGGCCTCAAGAAACTTCATAGTTTTCATTTTCCCTGCGGGGTAACTTAGCCACCATATAAAGATGTTTAGACTGTCCTACTGGAGGGAGAGGCTATGTGCAGGAAAACTGAGGTGCTTCAGCTGGCAGCCAGCCTGACTTAAAGGTGAACCCACCTTGGATACTTGAGCCCCAGTCAGGCTGATGTGGAGCAGAGACTGCTGCCTCTGCTGAGCCCTGTGCGAATTTCTGACCCATGGACTCATGAGCAAATAAAATAACTACTGTTTACACCACTAAGTGCTGGGATGGTTTGTTACTCAATGATGAATAACCGGTACAGTATCTGAGAATTTTTGAGACTGGTGTATCATATTTTTATTTTTATTTATTTTTTTATTTTTTGCAATGGAGTCTCACTCTGTCGCCCAGGCTGGAGTGCAGTGTCATGATCACGCCTCCCTACAACCTCTACCTCCCAGATTCAAGCAATTCTCCTGCCTCAGCCTCCCAAGTAGCTGAGACTACAGACAATGCACCACGACACCCGGCTAATTTTTATATTTTTAGTACAGATGGGGTGCTACCATGTTGGCGAGGCTGGTCTCGACCTCCTGATCTCAGGTGATCCACCCGCCTCAGCCTCTCAAAGTGCTGGGATTACAGGCGTAAGCCACCACACCTGGCTGGTGTATCATATTTTTAATTTCTCTGGTTGAAGGGAACAGGGTTAAGGATGCTGTTTTAATTAATCTTGATGGTGAATGAGTGACATTGTCATTGAAATGGTAAAAACAGTGAGGATTTTTTTTTTTTTTTTTGAGACGGAGTTTTACTCTGCCATGCAAGCTGGAGTGCAGTGGCATAATCTCGGCTCACTGCAACCTCCACCTCCCAGGTTCAAGCAATCCTCCCACCTCAGCCTCCCTAGTAGCTGAGACTACAGGCATGTGCCCCCATGCCCAGCTAATTTTTGTATTTTTAGTAGAGATGAGGTTTCACCATGTCAGCCAGACTGGTCTTGAACTCCTGATCTTATGTGATCTGCCTGCCTTGGGATCCCAAAGTACTGGGATTACAGGCATGAGCCACCATCTCCAGCCAACAGTGAGG
The DNA here is from genome assembly GCF_000001405.40 of Homo sapiens. Classification (NCBI taxonomy): domain Eukaryota; kingdom Metazoa; phylum Chordata; class Mammalia; order Primates; family Hominidae; genus Homo; species Homo sapiens. The sequence goes on along the minus strand of NC_000012.12, from coordinate 7,314,903 downwards.
ATTATTTAAAAATAGTTTCATAAAATATTAACATGGTTTTCTTGGTAACTTGCTTCCTCCCCTTAAAATAGAAAAAGATCATTCATTCAACTATATTGATTTTCTTTTCAGTGTATGTATACAGTGAAGTTGATATGTGTTGGGCTACAGAGGGGTATTTCTTCACAGAATCTAATACCTGTGGGGAGACCTCTTATGTTTAAACATTTCTCAATCCAGTATGGAAACCTTTTGATAGAAGGCATCTATCTCTCTATCTATCATCTATCTATCTGTCTATCTATCTATCTATCTATCATCTATCTACCTACCTATCTTTCATCTATCTATTCATCCATCCACCTATCTACCTATCTACCTACCTACCTACTTATCAATCTTTCATCTGTCCATCTATCTGTCTATCTAAAAGAAAAAGCATCACAATCTGTGAGTGACAGGAAGATTTTCAAGCAGTGATTCCATTATCTGACTTCCTTTCCTTGAATACCTGAGTTCCGAGTTATGCCTTTCTAGATTTCAGAGCTAATTATATACTAATAACTTCTTGCTTTGTATCTTTGCCTCTTGTCCCTGAGACTCATGTACCTACTACCTGCTAGACATTTGAATGTTCACAGACCCTTCAATCTTGTATGTCCAACTCTAAACTTATTATGTTAACCTCATCTACTGGCTCTTTCTCCAACTGATGGTACCCACCTACCAATCACCTAAGTCAAAAGCAGCTCAGCCTTGACTCCTTCTTCCTTCATCTTCTACATCCAATACTCTCCAAGTCCTGCTAGTTGTTTAGTTTGTTTTCTTTCCTCCGTCCTATTCATCAGAGCTCAGATTTAGTTTTTTATTATCTCTGCCCTAGATGAGGCTCAAAAATGGCCTCTCTGATTCCAGTTTGTTCTTCTCAAACTAATCCTCTACATATTTGCCAGATAAATCTATTTAAAATCCAAACCTGACCTTGGCACTTCCCTTCTTAAAACCCATCAATGGCTTCCCTTGCTTACAGGGTCAATTTTAAGATTTAGCATGGCATGTGAGATCTCCCATACCCTGGCCTCTGTTTGCTCTTCCAGGCTTCACTCTGACTCCATAATTTTATTCTCTAGCTAAACCAAACTGCCTGTAGTCCATTCCCTGCACACCTTAGGGTATTTTTTTTCCTTCCTTATCTTTGGTCATGCTGTTCCCGTGCTTGGAACACCATCTTGAACCCCTCATGATCAGAATCCAGAGTCCTGGACCCCACAGGACACGGTCCTTTGTACTAGGACAGAAAAAGAGAAATATCAGTCTGGCTTATAATTTTGACCTTTTCCATTATCCTATTATGAATATTCTGGAAAGTGTTAATGGACTTCTATACTTGGGAGGCAGAAGGAGGGCAAGAAGCCTTAAAATGAACTTATTGAATAAAAGATCAACTCTAACAATGTAAAATTAGCCCACATTATTGCTGTGTGTAGTCTTCCGAAAAACTAGCCAACTGTTGGCAATGAGACGGCTATCCCTTCCCTAGTTTTTAGAGAAACAGTCCATGGCCTTTTTGGAGTTATGACACTCCAAAGTCATTTGTTTAAATAAGGATTTTTTCCATCTTGAAAACCACTCCCAAAGTGTGCAAATTTCAATTTGAAATCCATATGAATTTAAAGTCCTTTATCCGTTGTAAATTTTGTGGTATCTTTACAGTTTCTTGGGGACTCAATAGATTATTGCAAAGTTGTTTAGGACAGGAGTCTCTGAAGTGGAAGTGCTTGCTGCTCAGGGAGTGTGCAAGGCAACTAGGGTAGAGAAGAAAAAAGAAGAATTGCAAATTACATGTTTTTTGTTTTTTAGACAGGGTCTCTGTCACTCAGGCTAGAGTGCAGTGGCACAATTGTATCGTTTTACTTATCCTCTAAAATTTTTATTTTTGGTATTTGTATAATGCACAAAAGTACATGTATATAATTTACAAATAAATGCATGTATTGGGGGTATGTTAAAAAGTATGTTACTAGTGGAGATGCATATTCAAATAATATAAATACCATTAACTTAGGAATCACTACACTATTGAATGACTTTGTTAACTTGAAAATAATAATGATAGCAGTTATAATTACTAGATATTTATGGAGTAATTACTCTGTGCCAGGCATTAAGCTAAGAATTGTACATGTTTTATCACATTTGATACTTCTGCAACCCCATGAGGTAGATACTATCATCATCTCCATCTTATGGATAAGATAAAGAGTTTCAGCAATGTTACCTCACTTATCCAAGGTTACACAGCTTATAAAAGACACAAGCAGTATTCACTGGTGTGGCCCTTGGGATTGGCCAGTAGTATTTGGTTTATATTAATTAGTAGGATAAAATTTCATTCTCACAAGTAAAACTACCCTATTATTCAGCAGGGTTTGCATGTCTTCTCTTTCTATAAACTTCTCTGGAAGAATTTTTTTTTTAAACATAAGCTATTCAACACCTCTTTGAAAGATAATGCCATTAATTAACACTTCACTCATTTTTTCACAGCTTGAAAAACACTTTCTCACATATTCATTTAATTTACCCTCAAAACAACACTTGAGATAAGTACAGTATAATTATTCCCATTTTACTTATGAGGAAAACTGCAGTTGTGATCTCTTTTGTTCATTCATTTATAAATATTAAGCACCATTTATGTGTTAGGAACTGGAGACAGGAAGATCAACCAAACAAAGTCTCTGCTTTCTTAGAACTTATGGTTTAGGGCAGGGGTTGCCAAACTTTTTCTGTAAAGGGGCAGATAGCAAGTAGCTTAGGCTTTGTGGGCCATACAGTTTCTGTTGTAACTACTCCACTCTGCTGTTGTTACATAGACAACATGTGAAAAATGAGCATGGATGCATTCCAATAAAACTTTATTTACAAAAACAGAGCTGAGCATAGTGGCTCATGCCTGTAATCCCAGCACTTTGGGAGGCTGAGGTTGGCGGATCACTTTGAGGTCAGGAGTTCGAGACCAGTCTAACCAACATGGTGTAACTCCCTTTCTACTAAAAATACAAAAATGAGCCAGGGGTGGTGGCAGGTGCCTGTAATCCCAGCTACTCAGGAGGCTCAGGTGGGAGGATCACTTTAACCCGGAGGTGGAGGTTGCAGTGAGCTGAGATCACACCACTGTACTCTAGCCTGGGTGACAAAGTGAGACCCTGTCTCAGAAAAAAAACAACAACAACAACAACAAAAAAGGTGGCAGGCCAGATTTGGCCTGTGGGCCTGAATTTGCCAAACCCTACTCTAGAGGAGAAAAAGGACTCTACATAAGGGAATGGATGAATGGGCATGATAATTCAGGTGGTGACGAGTGATATGAAGAAAACAGGAGGACGTTGTAATAGAGTGGCTTGTAGTTCTATTCTAGGTAGTGTGGTCAAGGAAAACTTCTTAGGATAAAATACTGAGTCAAAATATGACAAGAAGGAGCCACTCGTGAAAAGGAATAAGAAGAGCACTCCAGGCAGAAGAAATAACAGGAGCGGAGGTAGGGCATGTTTGAGGAAGAAAAGGGAGAGTGGTGGGAGATGTGGTCCAGGTTTAAGCAAGGGCCAGACCACACAGGATACTCATCATAGGCCACAGTAGAGAGCAGGAGAGGGGAGGCAGAGCTACGTGCCTTTCTTCTGCCCTTAAATTCATTTATTAGGTAATACTTTTCTTTTTCTTTTCTTTTATTTTATTTATTTATTTATTTATTTTTTTGAGACAAAGTTTCACTCTGCCACCTAGACTGGAGTGCAGTGGTATAAACTCGGCTCACTGCAACTTCTGCCTCCCAAGTTCAAGCAATTCTCCTGCCTCAGCCTCCTGAGTAATTAGGATTACAGGCAGGCATCACCACGCCCAGCTAATTTTTGTATTTTTAGTAGAGACGGGGTTTCACTACGTTGGCCAGGCTGGTCTCAAACTCCTGACCTCAAGTGATCCACCCACCTCAGCCTCCCAAAGTGCTGGGATTACAGGTGTGAGCCAGCGCACCCAGCTATTAGGTAATTCTTTTCTGAGTAAGAGCCCAGATCAACTGACAGTGTTCCTGAGTCCTTGGAGGCAAAGAGATTCCAAGATATAGCTATAATTTGTGTTGTTGCCAGCAGTGTAGATTGGCTGGGAAAAATACTCACTGAAATAACTCCTGGAAGCTGAGCCACCCATTCCAGCTTTGTGGAGACACCAGGAGTTTTGTCTTAAGGTCAGGACACTCCAATACAATGGACTCCACCGCTGGGGCCACCTCCTCACTGGCCACAATGCACTTGGCCTTGGATGCTCGCAGCCGGTAGAGGATGTCTTTTGCTGTCAGCTGGATTGTTCCCGGCATGAAGATGATCCCTGGGAAGGACAGAGGGCCCTGCACTGAACAGAACTGCTGTCCATTGTGGAAGACTTGGGCTTTGTGCCTCGGTGAGGAGAAGCATCACAATCCATTCTTCAGCTACCTCAGCTACCTCTGCCTTGATGCCCAAGGATATTGCACAGGACCCTGATCCCTGAGAGATCCCTTGGAGCACTAGCTTCAGAGTTTGACAGACCATGGGTCTAATCCTGCCCTTGCAATTTACAAGCTTTATGACCTTGATCTCTCTGTGCCTTTCTTTCCTTATCTGTAAAATGGGAATAACAACAGTAAGTGTCTGAGCAGACATTATAATGGTGGGCCATTACTATGTAACATTTTAATGTCACGTTTGAATCATTATTGTGTACTACTTAAATAGCACTTTACAGCTTATAACACATTTCATGAGCACTGTCTCATTCAATTCTCTAAACCAATGGTCTCCTGCCAGGCGCGGTGGCTTGGGCCTGTAATCCCAGCACTTTGGGAGGCGAGGCCAGTAGATTACTTAATCAAGCCCAGGAGTTCGAGACCACCCCGAGCAACATGGCGAAACCCTGTCTGTACTAAAAATACAAAAATTAGCCAGGTGTGGTGGCGCACGCCTATAGTCCCAGCTACTCAGGAGGCCTAGGCAGGAGAATCACTTGAACCCTGGAGATGGAAGCTGCAGTGAGCCAAGATCATACCACTGTATTCTAGCCTTGGTGACAGAGTGAGACTCTGTCTCAAACAAACAAACAAGAGAAAAAAACCAGTGGCCTCCAAAGTGAGTTTTTCAACAATCCATTGGGACTAAGAAATGAAAATAGAAATTCGAAAAATTATTGGTTGGGCATGGTGGCTCACACCTGTAATCCCAGTGCATTCGGTGGCCAAGGCAGGAGGGTCACTTGAGCCCAGGAGTTTGAGACCAGCCTGGGCAACATAGTGAGATTCCGTCCCTGTTTAATTTTTAAAATAATATTAAAAATTTTAAAGAACTAGAAATTATTGAGAAACTACAATTCTTTTAATGCTTTTATCTCATTTTTGTATGTTTCATAATATGCATACTGTATTAGTGCAGTAGAAGCACATAAGTAGCTATACCCAGATGGGAAGATGTGTATCCTAAATATTTTTATTGATAGATTATACAGTCAAAAATGCCTAGAGACTACTGTTTTAAGCAACCCTGGTAGGTCCATGTGGTTGTGCCCATTGACGGAATGTGAGATTTGGTCAGAGCTGGTGAGTGGCAGAGCCAGCCCTCTTCTCTATGGATTCCAGTGGTCTGGCATCATCAAGGTTTGCCTAGACTACTTTGGCAATGCTTAGTTTATCTCACCTCCTCATTTCATCCTAAACACTGGCTGGAGATGTCTGATTTTAAAGTACCAGTTCATTCTGGGAAGAACATACATGGCCGAATTAGATTAAAGAGAGAAGTTTGTACTTTCTAAAGTGAATTATTGGGAACAAGAAGTGAAGTGTATATAAAGTGATACAGATAATCACTACTGTTTATTGAGCACTTATTACGTGCCTGGTATCTCACTTAAAATTAATCCCAGTATATAAATAATAACTTGCCCAAGGGTCACAAAGTCAATAAGTGGCAAAGGATAGAAAAGATTCAAAGATACATTTCCCACACTTCCAAGACCTGTGCTATAAGCCAAACTACTCATTTCTTGGTGAGTTCCCTGAAGTTTGCTAAATACAAAAATGTGGAGTTGAATTGCTAGGAAGGAGATTTTATTTTATGAATATATTTTAAAAGCTTTTAAATATCATCCCTTCTTGAGAAAGTGAATAAATGCATAAGGATAAGGAAGTTGATTAAGAAAACATCTTAGAGTATTCGCTCAATATAAAAATTTAAGATTATTTATTTTACAAACCACTTGTTCTTAATGACTTACAAATAATTAGCTCCCTTGGTAGATTGGTGATATGAATGTACTCAATGGGTAGACCTCTAAATTCAGGGTTAGGAGAAGTTTTCTTCTAGTGGATTTCAGATAGCATATATCTCAGGCTTTACTGCATACACTTTACAGCAAGAAAACAAAATATTTTGCTATGTGATATAGTACAAACAATTTCAATATTCTCATTGAAGATTTAATAATTCTGAGTTAGAAAATATAATCTCACCTCCTTGCTTTACATTTAATTTAGTGTTTTATGTTAGCCTTTCAGCTTGTCCAGTTTTCACTATTATTTTATACATTTCATAACATGTTAAGCAATATTACATATTTTTTATAACAAATCACCTTTAATCTACTCTCAATCCACAACTGGTTTAACATTTGCAAGTTGTTTTTAGTGAATGCAAAAAGAATTTTATATAAACGAATTTTATATAATGCTGTTTTTATTCAATATTGGCAGAAAGATCATCTTCAACAGCATTATGAAATCCTTGTAATTATCATTTTAGTGGTATTTCAAGTTGAATTACCATAATTTTAATCACTTATACACACACACCTCAACTAAGCTTAGTCTCACCTATTATAATTCAGTCATTTCTATTTAGTTGTTTCCAAATTTCTATTACTATTAATAACATTGCAACAAACATCTTCGTGATTTTTACCATATTCTATCCTTTGATATTATTTATTCTTAATTGACTTATAAACATTTATGCCATGTTTTAGAGCAGGAATTGGAAAACTTTTCAATAAAGGCCCAGATAGCAAATATTTTAGGCTTTGCAGGCCATAGTATCTCCATCTCAATGAGGATTTCTGCTGTTGTGAAACAAAGGGAGCCATAGACGGTGTATAAATAAATGAGCATGGCTGTATTCCATTAAAATTACTTATGTAAATAGATGCCCAACCAACAGACCATGGCTTGCTAACTCCTGTCCTAGAGTGGAACAAAATCCTGTTGGAATTTTTATTTGGGGTAAATTATAAATTACTACTTGGGGAGAAAGTGTGTCATTGAATATACTAGTTAGTCTGAAATAAAGGTAGAGATTTTTCAACTGGGATGTGCCAATCATATTCTTATAAGTCCTGATGTATAAATACTTTTTCTTCTTGTTGTATCTTTTTTTTGTTAGGGAGAATCCAAATATATTCAGAGAAGTTATCTGGATCATCTGGATGAACATGTCCTAGATAATCTAGCACTGCAAAGAGATGTTGGTACCCAAATTTGCTTTTATAGAGCTTTGTTTTTAAATCCCAATTGCATAGCTTTCTAGCTGTGACTGAATAGAATAGCTTTCTAATTGTGATTTTTGGCAAGCTTTTGTTTGTTTGTTTGTTTTTGAGACAGAGTCCTGCACTGTTGCCCAGGCTGGAGTGCAATGGCAAGATCTCAGCTCACTGAAACCTCCACCTCCCGGGTTCACGCGATTCTCCTGCCTCAGCCTCCCGAGTAGCTGGGATTACAGGCACACACCACCACAACTGGGTAATTTTTTGTGTTTTTAGTAGAGACGGGGTTTCAGTATGTTGGCCAGACTGGTCTGGAACTCCTGACTTCGTGATCCACCTGCTTCGTTCTCCCAAAGTACTGGGCTTACAGGCGTGAGCCACCACGCCCGGCAAGCTTCTTAACCTGAGCCTTGGTTTCCTCTTCTGCAAAATGGTTATCACACTAATACCTCCCTCTTGGTGTTATTGTTATTATTATATCATGATTGCCTTAACTCTTCTTTTTTTTTTTTTTTTTGTCTTCTGTATGCATACTTTTAATCAGAGCTAACAATTCAGAAAACCATTGAGTTTCAGTCTCTCTGTGTTTGTGTGATTTAGAATGCTAATATTGGCACTGACCTGTTCGTATGCAAGCTACATTGACCAGCCACCACTCAGGGATTCTGGGCAGAATCACGGCCAAACGGTCTCCTCTCTGCAGGCCACAGGGCTTGGTGAGCACGTTGGCAGCTTTTCGGGACAAGGAGCCCAGTTCTCTGAAGCTCCATTTTACCTCATCCCCTTTGCCATTCACCCACCACAGGGCTGGGTTAGCTGGTCTCTCCCCTGTCTGACCAGGGACACATGGAAAAGAGAGGGGTAGGTTTACATGACTGATTACTCTTACATGCGGCATCTGCTGTTTTCCCCCTTTGGCACTGGTTCTGGTGCATTCTGCTAACAGCGCCCTGAGTTCGTCTTTGAGGGAACTGCCCCTCTCCTATTGAACACAGCCTTGAAAAGAGAATCCCTCAGGTTGCTTTTACCCTTCCCCGAGCAGTAGGTGGGCATTTGACCAAAGTTGGGCCAATCAGACCTTCTCTCTCTGGACTTTTTGGTTTTCTGAGAGAAATCAAAAGATAGAAAATGGTTGGTACAAAACTTGTCTATGGGTTATTCGTGCTTACGCATGCTCAGAGAGCTGTCCTGATTCCTGTCCTCATTGAGATGGACTCTCCAGCTTCCAGCCCAATTTTGTGAGCTCTCCCATATTCCTTGAATAAATTTCTTTCTTGCTTAAATTAGATTCTTTCCCATCCAAATAACCTGAATGGATCTGCTAAGTTTGACTGGGAAGCAGACATCTCTTTGTACCCTAAGGCTGAGGTGTGGTTTTCACAAGTCACAAGGAGCAGGGTCGAGGGAGGCATCAATTTATTGACTTCTAGAGGTAACTTCTTCCCCATCATTCTATAAAGTGAGTCATCTGTACTGCAAAACCTCTTTGCCTTATGTATTACCTGGAAAAAAATTACTCTCCCTTCTTTCCCCTATCTGGAATGCTTCTTTTATCTTCTCTGGCTGGCAAATACTTTAAAGCCCTGTTGACATGTCAGTTCGTCTGTGAGCTTTTCTTAGACTTCTCTTTGTTTCTCCACTAACTTCTCTGTGTTCCTTCATCGTTGTGCTCATACTCCAGATGACTCCAATTTATTATATGACAGATGTGTCTCTTCCCTGTGGATGTAACCTCTGTAAAGATCAGGGACTGGGTTTATGTTCTGTTGGACCTGTGTGGCCTTGGATAAGTAGCTTAGCTTCTATGAGGTCAAGTTCCTCATCTGCAAACCTCCCAGGTTGTTATGGGGATTTGGTGAAATAATATAGGTCAGTATTTCTCAATCTTTAGTCATTTAAGTCTCATTGTTTCTGTCAGCTCTGCCTGCACCTGCACTATTCTTCTTTATTTTGTATACTTCGCTACATGGACTCACTTTTTACTTTTTACGTGTATACATTTACTTAAGAAGGAATATATATTTAATCAGCACCATTATTGGACAATTATTACCACTTGCCAAAAAATAGGTTATTGAAAAATAAATATGCTGAAAACAAAACTATGCCATTAAATTTTATCTAGAGATGATTAGCTTCTACCTGTGGTCTTTATTCAAGAGAGTGTTTAGCAAATGATAGGTGCTAAAGACACAATGGCTTTCAAGGAAGGCTTTCCCCCTGTATTTAACAGGAAGAATTGATTCAATGTTATTTAATACCTTGTCTGTCTAGTACCTAACATCATGTTCCCATCCATGGTCCTGCAGTGCATTTTGATAAGCACTGCTTGGTTAAGTGTTTAGCTCAGTGCCTGGCATGGGGTGAGGATCAGTACACAGAGACCTCATCCTGAGGCTGCACTGTAAACATTGCATAAGGGCCGCTTGCTTTATTCTTGTCAACCTCCAATTCTCTCCTCATTACTCCAATGATAACTGTATTCATAAAATCAAAACTCAATTTGCTACTTTTTCGATAAGCCTGTGACCAACTTGAAAACAAAGCACTGTTGCATGGGGCTTGGAGAAAAGAGAAGGAAAAGAGGCAGAACTCTGTGAGGAACGACCATGGGGATGGGAGATAGAGAAGGCTCCAGAGCCGCCCAGCCATTTGTGGCTGAGGATCTAAGATCTTCCCTGGGGAGAGGGGAGGGCAATTGGAAAACAAACAAAGGAAACCAAGAGGGTGAGAGAGTGCATTGGAATTAAGTGGTAGACCACAGAACAAGGAAATGGAAGACTGAGAGATAAGGGGACACCAAGCATCTACTGGAAGCCCATCGTCATATACCTTCTCCTTTTGGGACCACTGGTCCAGCACATCTGCAGCAAAGTTAAAGTTTTTAGGCAATGGCCTGTTACAGCGATTTATGGCTTCAAAGTCAGCAAGAGTCAGAGGCGTCCAAAGCTGGTGATCTTTGTGTAAGCGCCGGCCAGGTGGCTTGGTGAGCCAGATGAATCTAAATGTCTGGTAGCGGAAAAAAATCTTCATGGTTCCCAAAGGACTTTGTCTACTGCTATGGACACAGAAGTACTACAGCCTGTAGGGAGAGATGGATAGAGAGTATCAGTTTCTTGATGCTCTGTGGTGAGACTGGGAGGTGGATTTGTGGCTGTGTGTCCCTGGCAAGTTGGGGAACACCTGAAAAACACCTCATCCTTCCTCAGAGCTGCTGCCTTAGCCACTGACTGGTCTCCCTGCCACTGGACCCTTCCTCTTCATTCTGTCTGTGACCAGATGAGTCTAAAAAAACCCCTTAACTACAGAATTGTCAGACTCCTGTCTTCTGTTCCTGTCTTCTCCCCAACCAAACAACAGACAAATAGAAACTTCGCTGTCTGGACTGGCATTCAGAGCCTCCTTTCGCCTGCTTTATACACTGTTCTGTGTCTGCTAACTCCTCTACTTGAATTTCCTCTTCCAGTAAAGGAGGCCCGTTAACTTGCCATGAATGCCCCACTAAGAGTTGGCCTGTCATTTCCCTGGCTCCTGCTTACCCTGTTCTCCTCTCCCCTTCAACTTCCCATTGTGATTGCTTGGAAACCTGGGTTTAAGTCCTGGTTCAGCCACTTTCCGGCTGTAGGACTTTGGACAAGTTACTTATCTTCCTGCACCTCAATTTTCTCATCTGTAAAATAGGGGAAAATATAGTACCTCCCTCCTACAGTTATTGTGAGGATTTAATAAGATAATGTGTATAAAATGCCTAGCTCGTAAAAGGTGACTTCAAAGTGTTAATTACTACTGTTGTTTTTTTGTTTTTCTGTTTGTTTGTTGTTTATTAAGAAACAAGGTCTTGCTCTTTCACCCAGGTTGGCGCAATCACAGCTTACTGAAGCCTCAAACTCCTAGGCTTAAGCAATCCCCCTGACTAAGCATCCTGAGCATCTAGGACTACAGGGGCCACACCACCATGCCTTGCTAATTTTTTTTTTTTTTTTTTTGTAGAGATATGGCCTCACTATGTCACCCAGGCTGGCTTGCCTCCAACTCCTAGCCTCAAGTAATCTTCCTGCCTTGGCCTCCCAAAGTGCTGGGATTGTAGGTATGAGCCACTGCACCCAGGCAACCACTGCTGTTGTTAAGATTATTTTCCTTAATATTATTGTGGCATAGTTTTATTTTAAAAAATCCTACCATATGAACCAGAAGACTTGGATTTTATTTCTTTTTCAAAAACTGCTTTTAATATTGGTAAAATTGCCTGCTCTTTCTGGACTACCATCTGTAATCTAATTAATTTTTTAAATAATTTTGTGTTTATTTCTTCCCTGGGTTTTCCGTAACATGCATTTATGCTATTCATGTGACAGTTGTCTACTTTGTATTATCAATGATAGTTTTTCATATATGTGCCCTGTCTCCCTACCCAGCCGGTATGGGTTGAGGCTATGTAATGTGTTCTTAGCACTAAGCATGACTCACAGAAGATCTGCAATAATAAAAGGCAGTTTTTAGGTTCTTGATGTAGGCAGGCACTTTGCATTTCTGATGTCATTCAATATTCATGACAAGCTTGTGAGGTTGGTGCTATTATTATCTCTATCTTACAGATGAAGACACTGAGGTTTAAGTACACTTAAGGATCTTATCCAAGGTCATTCAGCTCGAGACAAACCATGTCTTGCCTCTGCCACCATGAGCTCAATGACGCAACCAGAGGCAAGGTTTGAACCTCTCTGGTCTGACTTCAGAACTTAACCTACTCAGCTTCTCTGCTATTTATTCTCCCTTGTGCTGCCTTCTTCGATAAAGGTTTCTTGTTGATGGTGAATGCCTTCACCCTTTTTGCCCTTCAGGCTTGTGTAGTTGTTTTGAATGGAGTGGAAGAATCTGCAAATGTAAAGAGTACCTGAGTCTGCAGCATGGTGATAACAAACAATAGAAAGGAGGGTGCAGGGTGTGCCATCCTTCATTGTTGTTGCCAAGTCCTCTGTGCTGCTCAGAGTGACTTCTGGATAAGTGGCAGGTCCATTTGGTGCAAACACAATTTGCTGTATTTCAAAAATAGCTATTGCTGGCAATACCGTTGGTGTTAAACTCTCTGTTATGCCAAGGTAAAAAAAGAAGAGGGATAGCGCCTTAACTGGGCAATTATCAAGAGTAAAGAAAAGGGAGAAAAGAGAAGCAGAGTGGACCACATTCATGGTTTAGCATTCTGCCAAAAGTGAGACTCTCATCCCTCTCCTAAAACACAGACGTGCACACACACATGCACACACACACACATACCACTTGCACCACACTTGCATCCAAACTTGCTTCTCTGGATGACCTTTGTCAAGTTGCTTAACATCTCCAAGTCTCATTTGCATCTGTGCAATGAGAGTAATAATACCTTCTTCACTAGGTAGTTGCAAGGTTTTAGTGAGTACGTTAGCACAGTGCATGGTTTGTGGCTAGGAATGAATAAATGCTGCATATTAAAAATAAAACCTCAGAAGCATTTGTGACAGAAGACTTCAGCTCTTGATATATAAAGAAACCTAGAAAAGCTGTTGGTTTGGAAGGCCAGATGTAGTGGCTCACACCTATAATCCCAGCATTTTGGGAGGCCGAGGTGGCCAGATCACTTGAGGTCAGGAGTTCGAGACCAGCCTGGCCAACATGGTGAAACCCCATTTCTACTAAAAGTACAAAAATTAGCTGGGCGTGGTGCTGCGTTCCTGTAATCCCAGCTACTCAGAAAGCTGAGGCAGGAGACTTCGCTTGAACGTGGGAGGCAGAGGTTGCAGTGAAACAAGATTGCACCAGTGCACCCCAGCCGGGGTGACAGAGTGAGACTCCGTCTCAAACAACAACAGCAAAGAAAAGCTATTGGATTGGAGCTGCTAAGTTATCTTGTTTCTGCCTCTTATAATGTCCTGTCACTGTGCTCCAAGCTCTTGGGGCTGACCTGAGCCTCCATCAGTCTGAAGCAGTTTAGCTTTCACTTCCATTATCTTGTCCTTTCTTGGTCTCAGTTTAATGATGAAGTGGAAAAACTTCCAAGATGGGGGAACCTGGAACATTCTTGCTTCCTAAGAAAAATAGTGCAGAGAATATAGTGGATAGTTTTTAATGCAAATCTCCTCTCCATCCCCTCTGAATTGAAAAATGATTTTTTATGAATTGCTCTTTTATTCCTTGCTTCCATGGACAAATTTTCTAAATCATAATAAAACACCCAATTAACATACCAACAAATCTAAAACTAAATGTAAACAGATCAGATCTGAATATACATTTCAGCATTTCCTGTGTTGTATATATAAACAGAGTGAAAGATATTGCATATGCAAACCTAATGATTAGTTAGTAATAAAATATAAATTCAGATATTATAAAGTAGAATTTTTCAATTAAACTTTAAGATCTTTTTGCCAACAAAATATAAATTAAGATATTATAAAGTATAATTTTTCAATTAAACTTTAAAATCTGTTTGCCAACATTACTTCTTTTTTATCTCTTTGATCTGCTTTTGATTTCCAGATTGGATTTGGTGTGAATAGATCTTTAAGGAGATCACAAAACTCTGAAAAGCTGCCATTTTGCATTGAACAGAACCATTTCCTGATGTAGGGTTTTGTGGAAAGCTCATGATTCCAGGGTCAAATCTGACAATCACTGACTATTTTAAATCAAAACATTATCTTTGTTGAAATTTGTATATAAATTAATGTAACAAAATGTCTCCAGAAAATATCTGTAAAATTAAGGGTCAAACCAGATGATTTAAAAAATTTTAGTGATTTCTAGAGTGTTAAGGGAAACCTTAACAGTGAAAAACAATGATTGACCAATTGGTGTGTGGTCATGTTAAATACTTCCATATAATATATGTCAACAGTGCTAGGAAGCAGGCATTTTATTTTCTGTATATACGATTTATTGTTTCATGCATAAGGTCACTGAGGTACAGAGAGGTAAGCAACTTATCAAAAAGCCATCCATCTAGCAAGCAGCAGAAATTCCAGCCCACCTTCGTTGTCTCCAAAGCTATACAAGGAAATGCTACCAGGTTTTTGCTACATTTCTATCAACCTTAATAAAGTAAGAGAACATTTTATTTTCCTATCAGAGGACAGTTTGCTAGGGTTGGGTCTGCAGTTATCCAATTACAGCAAGATAATGCGCCTCTTTCTTTCTCTCTCTCTCTCTTTTTTTTTTTTTTTTTTTTGGTGGGGGAACAGCATCTCACTCTGTCACCCAGGCTGGAGTGCAGTGATGATCGTAGCTCACTGGAGCCTGGACCTCCCAGGTTCAAGTGGTCCTCTCGCCTCCACCTCCTGAATAGCTGCGACCACAGGCATGTGCCATCATGCCTGGCTAATTTGTTAATTTTTTGTCTCACTATGTTGCCCAGGCTGGTCTCAAGCTCCTGAGCTCAAGCAGTCCTCCCACCTCAGCCTCCCAAAGTGCTGGGATTACAGGCGTGAGCCAGTGCCCCCGGCCAACGTGCCTTTTCTCTTACTACTGTGGTACTTTCCCAACTTCTCATTTACTAGAGTCACCTCCATGTTACCAGATGCATTGTTTCCTTACCAGAGAATGGTATTATTGATCCAGAAAGGCCGTTAACTCCTTCACAGAGACTCAGTTCTGTATCTGCCAGAAAGTCAGTTCCTTTCTTCTTTTCTTTTGGAAGCATCTATGCCATGGTAGCCCTAAGTCTCTGGTGTGCAGGTGGAAGGATCATAATCCTCTGGGAGGAGAGTTTTTGTTTCTCTGGACAACCTGTGGTTAAGGTGACAGCAGCTTATAAGACACAGCTGGGAGGAGAGAAAGGCAGTGCAGGGGCAACCTCCTCTCATAGGTCAGTGCCAAACAATGGCTAAGCCCCAGTGCATTAACAGATTATTTTCATTTATAGAGCTGAAGATAAAGAGATCTACCCTGGTGCAGTGGTCTTTATCAGAGCCTCTCAACATTGTTGTCGGGCAGCCCAAGACATTGGCATGCTTGATTATTGTGATATAACTGGATCTGGCCTGGCAAACCTACCAAAGTAGTATAACCAAAAAGCATATCAGAACCCTCAACTCACTGATTAATGAAGATTATGAGAAAACCTCCAAACTCCTGGCTTTTATTGAGCATCTACTGTGTGCCTGGCTGCTCCTGGATATCTGTTCTGATGCTATCTCATTTGGAAATTATCTTAAGACAATGTTGCTGAAGGGTTTGAACATAAACATTGCCTGTCTATGCCCTTGTGGATGTTAGTTGCTGGCAACAGGAATTGGGTTTCACAAAGTTTATGCCCAAATGTTGCTTGTTGGTGACAGTGATGGTGGCAGTGGTCAGACAGTGGCATTTTTCACTTTAAGAGTTCATTGGTAGCCCGTATAACACCCAAAGGACAGTATCTCTTATGGGCTTATATATGAAGAGAGCTTCCTGGTCTTTTAACAAATGAAGGCTAAGCCCAGGGTGCCAGACTGAATAGACGCTCTCCCTGCTAAAGATATCTACATACTAAACTTTAGAACCTGTGACTACGTTTCTTTAAATAGGAAAAAGGACATTACAGATTTGATTACCTTAAGGACCTTGAAATAGGGTGATTATCCTAGAACATCTGAGTGGGTCTAATAGAATCACAAGGGTCTTTATAAGAGAAAGGCAGGAAGGTTAGTCAGTGAAGGTGACATGATGACTCTGCTGCTGATTTGAAGGTGCAGGGAAAGGCCACCAGCCAAGGTATGCAGATGACTTCTAGACGTTTGAAAAGGCAAGGAAATACATTCTCTTCTTGGGGCTTCAGAATAAATACAAGCTTGCTGGCACCTTGATTTTAGCTTAGTGAAACCGATGGCAGGATCCTGACCTTCAGAACTGTAAGATGATAAACTCATGTGGTTTTAAGCGATTAAGTTTGTGGTAATTTATTACAGCAGCAATAGAAAACTAATACCCTCAGAGACTGTACACATCCTGACCACTGCTGGATGTCTGCCATGCACACAGTAGAAGCTCAACAGCTATTAAAGTAATGGCCTGTTTAAAAGTAGGTATTCCCTCTTCCCAGGTATGAAACCTGCAGACTGTTAGATTGTTGAGGCTGGATGAGTCTTTGAAAGTACACAGACCAATCTTTTCATTTTACTAATAAGAAGGCCCCAAGAGGAGAGGTGATTTGATGGGATACACAGCAGGTTGCTGGCGGAACTGGAACCCAGGTCTTTTGACTCCAGATCTGTGGAAGGAAAACAAAAACTTGGGACCTCAATTCATTATGCCAAAAGGAAAAAAATTAAGCTGAAGGCTGAGTCATACAAGAAGCTGACTTTCTTTTTCTTCCTACTGATAAAATGTTACCTATCTGCATAGGCAGCTACTTAGGTAAAGTGCCGATTTACTGAGCATGAGATGAATATATAATTGACTATTCACCTACCTGCTCCTTTTCTCTTGCAACATGTGGATTCTGTAATGTGACCATACCCTCTCCTTTCCCCCTCCAGCCTGCTTTTCCCCTTTAAATATTGAAGCCCTCAAAATTATCTTTGGACAAAGGCACAGACCACAGACTGTTTCTGTGATTCTGTGCTTTTTTTCTCCTAGGCATTGCCCTTAACCTTGGCAAAATAAACTTCTAAATTGATTGAGACCTGTCTCAGATATTTTTTGGTTTACAAATTGGCAACCAGTGGAAGGGAATCTAAGTGGAGGTGATCCTAACCGACAAATGTCCTATTGGTGCTTGGTACCAGCTTGAACGATCTTTATTGCTCAAACTAATAGGACAATCTGCTCAGGTCTAGGGAGCTCCCCACTGCAGAAAATCGATGATCTCCCAAAATTTGGTTGATATCTAAGGTTTCTTTGGCTGTACAACTCCTTTTCTGGGGTTTTACTCACTTCCAACAAGGCAGGTGAGTTTTCCTGCTTCCGTAATGATGGAAAGCAGGTGATTCTTTTCAGGAGTTTCAGCTCACTTCCAACAGGGAAGGCAAGTTTAAGGTTTTTTCCTGCGTTTAAAATGGCGGAGGGCAATCTTCAGCCTGGGCCCCATTCCTAGGTAAGTAGCCGAATTGGGATTTTGTCTTGGAAATTCTCCTGAATTACTAAAAGTTAAGATTAACACCCAGCCGGTCTGAATTTCTCCTTACCATTAGAGCGCTCAGTAATTGTATAAATTGACCAGTTGTTTGTTTGTTTGCTTAAGTGTTTTTTTGTTTGTTTCTGGGTTTGTTGTTTTTGGTGGTGGTGGTTGTTTTTGTTGTTTTGGTCTTTTTCCCATTGGGTTTGACCAACTGGTAGATTTCCTTTGGTCGAATTTGAAGGAAAGTTCCAAATTATGGGGAACAATGCCTCTGAATTGGCTAAATTCCCACAGCTGAACAACAACAAAAGAGACGAAAGAAGAAAACACAGCCAGCAAAAGGGGAAAAAAAAAAAAAGAAAAGAAAATTTTTGACTACCTGAGGGTCTTTATTTACAAAACAAGGCCACCTTTTGCTAGCCCGCCAAACTGAGAGAGCAATAGTGGTCACCCCATGCTGTGGTTCAGTAGCTAAGATTCTGCCCTTTTTTCACCACGGCAGCCTGGTTTTGATTCCTAAATCAAATCCTTTCTGGTTTGATATTTGTGTTACTTTTGAAATACTGGCAGTTCGTCCCAGCTAAAATATGGTAATCAGATTTAAAAGGATTTTTTAAGAGCTCTATGGTTAAAAGTCAGCTTAATTAAAAGCAAATATCCAAGGGGTGTGTGTGTGTGTGTGTGTGTGTGTGTGTGTGTGTGTGTTTGTGTGTATGTGTGGTGTGTATCTTTTATGCTTTTTCTCCTAGAATTTGTTTTTTGAGAAAAAGTTTCTTTTTCTTCTCAGTCAGCTGAATTTTATTTTCTCCATTTGCTTCTGCCTTTCTCTCCTTTCTCTTGCAACCCTCTGCTGCCTGACGGACCTAAAATAATGTCTAACAGCTCAGTATTTCTTAAACAAAACAGAGAAGGCACCAGACCCTTTTTTTGGAGAGAAACCTCTGTTTTTTCTTACAGAACTCCAAGAACGTAAAGTTCTTCTGACATCTTGTACTGCTTGCTTTTGTATTGTGTTTATTTATTTATTTATTTATTTTTGATTAAAATGTTATTACAACAGAGACTATTCTTGGGGGTTTAAGACAAGAAAGGGTATGGTTTAGACACAGAAAAATATCTTTGTAATGCTGATTAAAAGAATCAAACTCTGTAAAATATTTGAAGAGATTTATTCTGTGCCAAATATGAATGACCAATGGCCCATGACACAGCCCTCAGGAGGTCCTGAGAACATATGCCCAAGGTAGTAGGGCCACGGTGTGGTTTTATACATTTTAGGGAGACATAAGACATCAGTCAATACATGTAAGATGTACATTGATTAGGTCCAGAAAGGCAGGATGACTGAAAGCAGGGGGCTTCCAGGTCACAAGTAGATTCAAACATTTTCCAATTGGCAATTGGGTGAAAGAGTTATGTTACTGTTTAAAGACTTAGATGCAATAGAAAGTAATGTCTGGGTTAAGATAAAGGTTGTGGAAAGCAATGTTTTATCATGCAAATGAAGCTTCCAGGTAGCAGGCTTCAGAGAGAATAGATTGCAAATGTTTCTTATCAGACTTGAGTTTGTTCTATCAGTAATTCCAAAAGGGAGTAGGGTATAATGAGATATGTCCAGCTCCCCCTTCTCTTCATGACCTGAACTAGTCTTTCTGGTTAACTTTGGAAAGCCCTTGATCAAAAGGAAGGGCCCATTCAGATGATTGAGGGACTTAGAATTTTATTTTTGTTTTACATTCTTCCAGAATGTAGAACGGATGTTGCCAGAAGCAACATCAATGGCCACCAAACTTTTATTTTGTCCCAAAGCATTGCTGGGTGGCATGGCTGCCTGCCCTGGATCCATCCTGTCCCTCGGTAGAACCCCTATAGCCAAGAGCCTTAGAGCCAAAAGACTTATGGCCAATTTAAATGTTGTAAGCTAGATGCCAGTGGATATGAGCAGGCATTCATTAACCTTTAAACATTTTTTATGTAATATAAAAACCAACAAACAAAAAGCCAAAGGTGAGGTTCAAAATTAACTTATCTTTAACTTCTATGTGCTGAGCTACTGTAATTTTGGTTTTATAACAGACTTATAGCGATTAGCTATATAAAACATAAGCATGGTTAAATCCTTTTAAGCTAAGAAATTTGGAGATTTTGTCATAATGCTTTTTGTGGTCTTTTAGTAATTTGTTTTAAGGTGGCTGACAATTTTTTTAAAATACCTCTATCTACATAAATCTCATAACTGGGAGTATTATACCCAGGAGGCTTTGTCACAAGGTATCTTTATATCCTCTGAGTAATAATTTTCTTTTAATTCTATAGGAAGCAGTAAATTTTTTATGGTTGGGATGGGTGAGAAGCTGCTACATAATAGTACTGAAGGCAAAGTCCCTTGTTTTACCAGCTGTTTAGACATCTGTGTACCCATTCTTGATTCAGAGGGTCTGAACTAATTCTGTCCCTCAACACTGTTCCTTACAATCTCACATGCCCACCTCTTCTGTGATAGTCACTGGGCTTTGAGGGAGAATGCTTGTAAAGCTTTAGCAGCAGGGAATTGGCAGTGAAAAATACATCGGGCCCAGTGGAATTCCAAATGACGGAGATTCGCAGGCTTTGTCAAATAATCTCTAGTCTTCAGAATACCACAATTCTGGTTTTCTCAGAAGAAGTAATAAAACAAGAGATAAATAATATTAATAATTTGAAAATTAAAAGAGAATATGTGTGTCAGAACAGACAACGAAATCTATTCCATTAGAATGCTAACTAAAAACATGAAGAAAAATTATAACCTTTTGTCTTTAGGGGATTATTGTAGCTAAGGAATAATTCATGATTCAACCTGCACTCAAAAGCAAAGTCAAGGCTAGAAACTAGTAACAGGTGTTACAGTTTTCCTTTGAAACAATTTCTCTCTCTCTCTAGCCCTTCTTTCTACTAAAGAAAATTACAGTAAGACCAACTTGTGTTTAAAATAAGTTTTATGCTTATTATACTTGGCCTGATTATTCACATAAAGTGTAGCAATAATATATTAGCCATATAGGCTATTTTCAAGTTGGCTTTGTTGGAACTTTACCTAAAAATATGTTATTTTAGTCCAAGCCTTGGTAAAATAACCAATGTCTCCAATCTTCCTGTTTTAAAAAAAGATTCTTACTAAATTTATGCAGATAACTATATTTTCATGAAATCACAAATAGTTTTTAAATTTTGGAGAACTCAGAGAGAAAGGTAAATTTGCTGACAAAAACATACTTTCTCCAATGGTGCTAAACAATAAATAACTCAGAAGTAAAATATTTCCTTGACTCTTCTTTAACCAGAACAGTAGCCTTCCAAAGAAGATGTTGTTTGTTCACTTTGGAACTGCCATTCTCAAGCCAAGCTGCTCTTGTCAGATAAGAGCTGTCTATCAGGCACTGTAGGATCTGGCAGCTCCTCAAATAGAGTTAGTCCTAGGGAAAAAAAAAAAAAGAGACTCCCTGCTCATAAGTACCTCCTCCTTGCATCACCACATAGCAGGATTCTATATAAACCACTTTTATTTTATCATAGAACTGTTTTGGGCATCATTATTTCCATTAGCATACGAGTAGCTTTAGTTAACATTCCATAGCAAGGCAGTAAATGCCCCTCAAGTGGAAATTCTCCAGTCCAAAGTCCTATGTGCTCATACGTTTTTTGCTATAAGCCCTAATAAATGCTCCACAAAGAGCTATCAAGTGGAGGTTTTATGCTTATTATAAAGTGCTAGTCCTGACTAGTGCTCCAGCTTCTACCCTATATTCTGTGGACTCAGGCAATCTTACTATTAATAGTTCCCATTTAGTGTGTCCAATTAATATTTCTTAAAGGGTCGATTTACATGCCTTCAGTTTTATAGTACTAGGTAGGGGAAACATCCCCCAGTTACATACAATACCCGTTTTCATAAGACATTTGCATAAAGATATCACAACTACCTTACATAAAGTCTGTTTAAACATCTCAAATTTCATAATCCTATCAACCTTTACATTTTTATGTTCTGGTCTCAGGAACTTGTCTTCTTTACCCCTAGACCATTTTACCTTTTCCGGTGAAAAAGGATTTAGGTTTCCAGCAGGGAGTTGAGCGAAGTTACTCAGACCCTTTTGTAAATCTTTATCTTAATTTGCCTCAGCGTTACCCAAGGCAATGTCAGCTTTCTCATTATAACCTTTGCCTTTTGATTTTTCTTAAATTTCTCCAGTCTGAGGCAAATGCAGAACACTGGTTTGTGACCCTTTAAAGCTGGGGACCAGCAGACATTCTCTTGGTCCACTCAACATTTGACAGTGTTGTAAAGACCTTTGTTTTAATTCCATCCATTTTCATTTTATTTATTTCATTTCTTAATAACCATCTAAAGATTTACACCACCCTTCTGGGATGAGTCCTTTGACTTTCTTTTGCCTTTCCCATTTTTGTTTTATTTTGTTAATTACTCTAATGTTTTACTAGCATCTGTAAGACCTATGAGGACGGAAAATTTGATGAGTCTTCTCAAACAATTCTTTGATTCTGTAGGAGTAATGTCACCTGGGGTGCCCATGGAGAAGGGCCCCCTTAACCACAGCATTTACTATAATCTGGGTCATAAGCATTGTCAATGGGAGAGTATCTTGGTCTTCCTAAAGCCAGTCCCACATGACTTGCATATGAAGCATATCAGCTGCTTCATCTGGGGTGCTTCACTTGGCAATTTATAGGGAGAGTTGGGAAGTCTTCTGATATGGTTTGTTGAATTATAATCCCCAGTTTGGAAGAGGGGCCTGGTGGGAGGTGATTGGATCATGGGGACGGACTTGCCACTTGTTTTTCTCATGATAGTGAGTTCTCAAAATATCTGGTTGTTTAAAAGTGTATTGCACTTCCTCCTTCTCACTCCTTCTCCTACTCTGGTCATGTAAGACGTGCCTGTTTTCCTCTCTGACATCCACCATGATTGTAAGTTTCCTGAGGCCTCCACAGCTGTGCTTCCTATACAACCTGCAGAACCAATTAAACCTCTTTTTTTATAAATAACCTAGTCTCAGGTGGTTCTTCATAGCAATGCAATAATGGACTAATACACCTTTTCAGGGTAAACAGACCTTACAGTGGCATTTATCCAGTCCACTAGGCTGGCTATTCTCTCAGGAATAACCTCCTGTGCATCTGAATCACATATACTCATCAGTGATTGTTTAATAGTGAGTTGTGGGTCCTGCATCAACCCAAACATGCCTTTTCATTCTGCGGCATTTAAAATGAAAGATTCTGTCCTTAAAGTAGTTATGATCCGTTATAGTAAAGGTTTCTCAAGAAGCTGATGGAATCTACAAAATGGAACATTTCCTTTACATTATACCCTCTGGTTTTAATGGTTACTTGGTTTTGCCCTTCCCCTACACAACTATCTTGTTGGTAACCACAGGACTCAGAGGTAACTTTTGTTTTCGCTGGTTGAATTTTTCCTTTTGTGGTACCTTTGAGGCTACTGGCCTGAGCTGAGACAGATCCATATTTGAGCTTGGCCCAGCCTTAATGCCCAACCTAGCATTCCTTTTTACTTTCATTTTAGCTATTACATATAACAATAACTAATGTATTGAATATTTTATCTTTTCCTTATTAGTTTGCATTTTCTTATGCATTCAGTGAACTCCCTGTGAGAATGAGTGTGATCCAACTCTAAATTCCACTGGTAATTTTTACCTTTAGTAATTGAATGCAGCCCAGCTACAGCTTCTTAAGATGGGTGACCACGTGGCTGCCCAAGAGTCAAGGTTTCTCATTCCCCACCTTTTTATTTTCTCTTTATACATTTAGTTTTATCAATTTTTATGTATTATAAGCAACTCTTAAATAGTGTGTGAACTAGAAAAATTCATTTTTTTTT
Source organism: Homo sapiens (assembly GCF_000001405.40). Taxonomy (NCBI): domain Eukaryota; kingdom Metazoa; phylum Chordata; class Mammalia; order Primates; family Hominidae; genus Homo; species Homo sapiens. Next base: position 7,291,390 of record NC_000012.12, on the reverse strand, counting down.
GGCAAAAACCACATGCTTGTGTTTTTATAAACTTCACCAAAACCACCTTTGACTCTCCTACTATTTTAACTCTTAGTGATATGGTTTGGCTATGTCCCCACCTAAATCTCATCTTGAATTATAACTCCCACAATTCCCACACATCATGGAGGAATCCAGTAGGAGGCGATTGAATTATGGGGGCAGGTCTTTCCGGCACTGTTCTTCTGATAGGGAACGAGTCTCATGAGATCTGATGGTTTTAAAAATGGGAGTTTTGGCCGGGCACAGTGGCTCATGCCTGTAATCTCAGCACTTTGGGAGGCTTAGGCAGATGGATCACCTGAGGTCAGGAGTTTGAGACCAGCCTGGCAAACATGGTGAAACCCAGTCTCTACTAAAACTACAAAAATTAGTGGGGCATGGTGGTGGGCATCTGTAATCCCAGCTACTCAGGAGGCTGAGGCAGGAGAATCACTTGAAGCCAGGAGGCAGAGTTTGCAGTGAGCCCAGATGGTGCCACTGCACTCCAGCCTTGGCAACAGAGTGAGACTATGACTCAAAAACTAAAACAAAAACAGAAAACACCAGAGTTTCTCTGCACAAGCTCTCCCTTTGCCTGCTGCCATCCATGTAAGATGTGACTTGCTCCTCCTTGCCTTCTGCCATGATTGTGAGGCCTCCCCAGCCACGTGGAAATGTGAGTCTAATTAAACCTCTTTCTTTTGTAAATTGCCCAGTCTCAAGTATGTCTTTATAGGCAGCATGAAAATGAACTAATATGCTTAGTAACCCAAATTCCCAATTAATTTAACAACATGACTTTAAGATTTTTAACTATTGGAGAGAATTTTGATTAAATTTACCAAATTAGTCTTACCAAGTATTACTAAAGTCATGTGAGCTAAAAGGCATCAGAGAGCTAGCTTTTATTAGCCTGGTAAGCACTTTTCTTTAAGCCAATTGATTACAGCTCTTTCATATAGTCGTGGCATATTCTTTCCACATGACACACATAAACATATAGACATACAGACAAAGGCAGATGCAAAATGCTTTTTTATTTACCTATTTTTTAAAAGTTCTCTCCCTTAATTTAGACTATTAATAAAAAAAAAATTTATAGGAGCCAATAAACATTGAAAGAGAGAGTTACCATCCCAGGCCTTCTCAAACGGAAAAGAGCTGAAGCAGCAGGGTACAGCAGAAATTGAACTTCTGAGATATCAATCTAAGAATTGAAAAAACAAAGATTATATAATTTAAAAATAAATTTCTTGCATTAAGAGTAAGTCAATTTTAATAAAATTTTGTCCTAACCAGTTATTTAGTTTTGTATTAGTGTATTTTTAATATCAAAGACCAATTTCTAAAAAGACTATTATAATTTCCTTTTAAGGATAGCCAATTTGATCATATAACTTTTAAAATACTCTTTTGCTAACCTTCTTACAACTTACACAGACCATTCACAACACGCTTAGACTTTCTCTTTTGTCCTTAATATACATCTCTTTTTTGAACAATCGTTTTATTTTAGGACAGAAATTTACCATATAAGATCCTCTCTCATATAAAGTCATTTTTCTTTTATCCTGTATTTACCAAAAAGCACCTCTTTATGTCTCTTATTTCCTGGTTTATTTACCTTGCTTTATATATAATCTTTAAATAGACTTTGAATTAAACACAAAAATTTACCCTTTAATAAGAATACATTTTTTAGAAAAAATGTTTTTCTGCAGTATAATTTTTTAAATTGGAAATTAGACGTTTAATGAATATCTATTATTTAATTTGATATAACTTTAGATTCTAAATTATATGACAAGTTTGTTTACAAGCATTTATTTGATTACATTTGCCCAATTATTTCATTTTTAATAATTTACCTAGTATTCATAAAAACTGTGATAGTCATCATTTAAAATTACTTTTTCTGTTAGCTACTTTTATAGCCTATGAATTTCAGGTGTTTAAGAAACAATGTTAACTCTTTGGATATTACCAATAACTCAGGATTTAGCTGTTTTTATTAAACTAACAATATTAAATGTCTTATTTATCAAAATTAAACTACCAAAGATCATTCTCTTTGGGGCTGAGTTTATAGTTTTATAGCCAAATTTTGACACCTTATAGTTTTTGGCAGGATAAGTGTGAAATCACTTGATCAATAAATGCAAACAAAATGCTGAAAATTCTTAAGAAATCTCTAATATTACTTTACCAATAATTTTAAAGCCAGCTTATTTATCAAAGATTTTACTTAAAGTAAACTTGAAAAGCATTTGGGCTTATTATTAATTTATGAGTATGCCTTAACTGTAAGCCAATTTGGTACCTTTTAACCAAAATATATAACAAAATATGTGTCCATAGGCATAAACACCTGTATACACACTCATACAAAGATCCTATAGCTTTTACATTAGACCTTCAGCCATGACATATTAATACAATCTTACTGGTTTACAAAAATAAAAAACAGCACACAAAAAACATGCATGTATCCAAACAGTAGTATTTATCTCAGTAGAAAAATAACAGCAAATTTAAAGCAGGCAGAAAACCAAATAGAGAAATACAGAATTTAGGAACTAAATGGTTGCAGGTTAACCTTTGGGCTCTGAATTTTTTCTTGATGTAATTTGCCCATCAGTTTAAAATGTGCACAACAGGCCATAATATGGAACCAGCTGGAATACAAGAAAAGCTGGCATGTCTGCAAACTTTTCCATTTTACACAAATGCTTGCAAGTAGAGGAGGCATGAAACCACAGGGTGCTTGAAAAAGGGTTATTCTCCTTATCTTTTTTTAAATTTTATTTATTTATTTATTTTTTTTGTTTTTTTTAAAAATTTTTTGTATTATACTTTAAGTTCTGGGATACATGTGCAGAATACGCAGGTTTGTTACAAAGGTCTACACATGCCGTGGTGGTTTGCTGCACCCATCAAACCATCAGCTATATTAGGTATTTCTCCTAATACTATCTCTCCCCTGGCCCTCTACCTTCCAACAGGCCCTGGTGTGTGATATTCACCTCCCTGTGTCCATGTGTTCTCATTGTTCGACTCCCACTTATGAGTGAGAACATGTGGTGTTTGGTTTTCTGTTCTTGTGTTAGTTTGCTGAGAATGATGGTTTCCAGCTTCATCCATGTCCCTGCAAAGAACATGAACTCATCATTTTTTATGGCTGCATAGTATTTTATGGTATATATGTGCCACATTTTCTTTACCCAGTCTATCATTGATGGGCATTTGGGTTGGTTCCAAGTCTTTGCTATTCTGAACAGTGCCATAATAAACATACGTGTGCATGTGTCTATAGTAGAATGATTTATGCTCCTTTGGGTGTATACCCAGTAATGGGATTGCTAGGTCAAATGGTATTCTGGTTCTAGATCCTTAAGGAATTGCCACACTGTCTTCCACAATGGTTGAACTAATTTACCCTCCCACCAACAGTGTAAAAGCATTTTTATTTCTCCACATCCTTCCAGCAGCTGCTGTTTCCTGACTTTTTAATGAACACCATTCTAACTGGCATGAGATGGTATCTCATTGTGGTTTTGATTTGCATTTCTCTAATGACCAGTGATGATGAGCTTTTTTTCATATGTTTGTTGGCTGCAAAAACGTCTTCTTTTGAGGAGTGTTTGTTCATATACTTCGCCCACTTTTTGATGGGGTTGTTTTTTTTCCAATACTATGTCAGCAGTGGTGAGAGAGGGCATCTTTGTCTTGTGCCATTCTCAAAGGGAATGCTTCCAGCTTTTGCCCATTCAGTATGATATTGGCTGTGAGTTTGTCATAAATAACTCTTATTTTGAAATATGTTCCATCAATACCTAGTTTATTAGGTTTTTAGCATGAATTTTATTGAAGGCATTTTCTGCATCTATTGAGACAATCGTGTGGTTTTTGTCATTGGTTCTGTTCACATGATGGATTACATTTATTGATTTGCATATGTTGAAACAGCCTTGCATTCCAGGGACAAAGTCAACATGATCATGGTGGATAAGCTTTCTGATATGCTGCTGGATTTGATTTGCCAGTATTTTATTGTATTATTTTTTTTTTATTATTGTATTATTTTATTCATCAGGGATATTGGCCTGAAATTTTCCTTTTTTGTTGTGTCTCTGCCAGGTTTTGGTATCAGGATAATGCTGGCCTCATAAAATGAGTTAGGGAGGATTCCCTCTTTTTCTATTTTTTGGAATAGTTTCAGAAGGAATGGTACAAGCTCCTATTTATACCTCTGATAGAATTTGACTGTGAATCTGTCTGGTCCTGGGCTTTTTTTTGGTTGGTATGCTATTAATTTCTGTCTCAATTTTAAAACTTGTTATTGCTCTATTCAGGGATTCCACTTCTTCCTGGTTTACACTTGGGAGGGTGTATGTCCAGGAATTTACCCATTTCTTATAGATTTTCTAGTTTATTTGCACAGAGGTGTTTATAGTATTCTCTGATGGTAGTTTGTATTTCTGTGATATCAGTGGTGATATTGCCTTTATCATTTTGTATTGCATCTATTTGATTCTCCTCTCTTTTCTTCTATATTAGTCTGGCTAGTGGTCTATTATTGGGTTGATCTTTTCAAAAAACCAGCTCCTGGACTCATTGATTTTTTTAAAGGGATTTTCGTGTCTTTATCTCCTTCAGTTCTGCTCTGATCTTACTTATTTCTTGCCTTCTGCTAGCTTTTGAATTTATTTGCTTTTGCGTCTGTACTTCTTTTAATTGTGATGTTAGGGCATCATTTTTGGATCTTTCCTGCTTTCTCTTGTGGGGATTTTTGTGCTATTAATTTACCTGTAAACACTGCTTTAGCTGTGTCCCAGAGATTCTGGTATGTTGTGTCTTTGTTCTCTTTGGTTTCAAAGAACTAGTTTATTTCTGCCTTAATTTTGTTGTTTACCCAGTAGTCATTCAGGAGCAGGTTGTTCAGTTTCCTTGTAGTTGTGTGGTTTTGAGTGAGTTTCTTAATCCTAATTTCTAATTTGATTGCACTGTGGTCTGAGAGACAGTTTGTTATTATTTCTGTTGTTTTGTATTTGCTGAGGGATGTTTGACTTCCAATTATGTGGTTGATATTAGAATAAGTGCTATTTGGTGCTGAGAAGAATGTATATTCTGTTCATTTGGGGTGGAGAGTTCTGTAGATGTCTATTAGGTCCACTTGGTCCAGAGCTGAGTTCAAGTCCTGAATATCCTTGTTAATTTTCTGTCTCGTTGGTCTGTCTAATATTGACAGTGGGGTGTTAAAGTCTCCCACTATTATTATGTTGGCATCTAGGTCTCTTTTTTGGTCTCTAAGAACTTGCTTTATGAATCTGGGTGCTCCTGTATTGGGTGCATTTATATTTAGGATAGTTAGCTCTTCTTGTTGCATTGATCCCTTTACCATTATGTTATGCCCTTCTTTGTCTTTTTGATTTTTGTTGGCTTAAAGTCTGTTTTATCAGAGATTAGGATCACAACCCCTGTTTTTTGCTTGTGTGTTTGTTTTGCTTTCCATTTGCTTCGTAAATATTCCTCTATCCCTTTATTTTGAGCCTATGTGTGTCTTTGCACATGAGATGGGTCTCCTGAACACAGCACACTGATGAGTCTTGACTCTTTATCCAATTTGCCAGTCTGTGTCTTTTAATTGGGGCATTTAGCCCATTTACATTTAAGGTTAATATTGTTATGTGTGAATTTGATCCTGTCATTATGATGCTAGCTGGTTATTATGCACGTTAGTTGATGCAGTTTCTTCATAGTGTCAATGGTCTTTACAATTTGGCATGTTGTTGCAGTTGCTAGTACTGGCTGTTTCTTTCCATGTTTAGTGCTTCCTTCAGGAGTTCTTGTAAGGCAGGCCTGGTGGTGACAAAATCTCTCAGCATTTGCTTGTCTGTAAAGGATTTTTTTTCTCCTTCATTTATGATGCTTAGTTTGGCTGGATATGAAATTCTGGGTTGAAAATTCTTCTGTTTAAGAATGTTGAATTTTGGCCCCAACTCTCCTCTGGCTTGTAGAGTTTCTGCAGAGCGATCCACTGTTAGTCTGATGGGCTTCCTTTTGTGGGAAACCCAACCTTTCTCTCTGGCTGCCCTTAACAGTTTTTTCCTTCATTTCAACCTTGGTGAATCTGATGATTATGTGTCTTGGTGTTGCTCTTCTCAAGGCATATCTTTGTGGTGTTCTCATATTTCCTGAATTTGAATGTTGGCCTGCCTTGCTAGGTTGGGGAAGTTCTTCTGGATAATATCCTGAAGAGTGTTTTCCAACTTGGTTGCATTCTCCCTGTCACTTACATGTATACCAATCAAACATCGGTTTGGTCTTTTCACATAGTCCTGTATTCCTTGGAGGCTTATTTCATTCCTTTTCATTCTTTTTTCTCTAATCTTGTCTTCACACTTTATTTCATTAAGTTGATCTTCAATCTCTGATATCCTTTCATCTGCTTGATCAATTCATCTATTGAAACTTGTGTATGCTTCACTAAGTTCTCGTGCTATGTTTTTCAGCTCTGTCAGGTCATTTATGTTCTTCTCTAAATTGGTTATTCTAGTTAGCAGTTCCTACAATCTTTATCAAGGTTCTTAGCTTCCTTGCATTGGGTTAGAACATGCTCCTTTAGCTCAGAGGCATGTGTTATTACTTACCTTCTGAAACCTACTTCTGTCAATTCGTCAAACTCATTCTCTGTCCAGTTTTGTTTCCTTGCTGGCTAGGAGTTGTGATCCTTTGGAGGAGAAGAGGCTTTCTGGTTTTTGCAATTTTCAGCCTCTTTGTGCTGATTTCTCTTCATCTTCATGGATTTATCTACCTTTGGTCTTTGATTTTGGTGACCTTCGGATGGGGTTTTGGTGTGGATGTCCTTTTTGTTGATGTCAACGTTATTCCTTTCTGTTTGTTAGTTTTCCTTCTAACAATCAGGCCCCTCTGCTGCAGGTCTGCTGAAGTTTGCTGGAGGTCCACTCCAGACCCTGTTTGCCTGGATATCACCACGAAAGGCTGCAGAACAGCAAAGTTTGCTGCCTGTTCCTTCCTCTGGAAGCTTCTTCCCAGAGGGGAACCTGACAGATACCAGCCGGATCTCTCCTGTATGAGACATCTGTCAACCCCTGCTGGGAAGTGTCTCCCAGCCAGGAGGCACAGGGGTCAGGGACCCACTTGAGGAGGCAGTCTGTCCCTTAGCATTGCTCAAATGCTGTGCTGGGAGATCTGCTGCTCTCTTCAGAGCTGCAGGCAGTAATGTTTAAGTCTGCTGAAGCTGCGCCCACAGACGCCCCTTCCCCCAGGTGCTCTGTCCCAGGTAGATGGGACTTTTATCCCTAAGCCCCTGACTGGGGCTGCTGCCTTTCTTTCAGAGATGCCCTACCCAGAGAGGAGGAATCTAGAGAAGCAGTCTGGCTACAGTGGTTTTGCCAAGATGCGGTGGCCTCTGCTCAGTTCGAACTTCCCCGTGGCTTTGTTTATGCTGTGAGGGGAAAACCGCCTACTCAAGCCTCAGTAATGGCGGAAGCCTTTTTCCCCATCAAGCTGGAGCATCCCAGGTTGACTTCAGACTGCTGTGCTGGCAACGACAATTTCAAGCCAGTGGATCTTAGCTTGCTGGGCTCCATGGTGGTGGGATCCACTGAGCTAGACCACTTGCCTCCCTGGCCTCAGCCCCCTTTCCAGGGGGGTGAACGGTTCTGTCTCATTGGCTTTCCAGGTGCCACTGGGGTATGAAAAGGAATTCCTATAGTTAGCTCGGTGTCTGCCCAAACGGCCGCCCAGTTTTGTGCTTGAAACCTAGGACCCTGGTGTCATAGGCACCGGAGGGAATCTCTTGGTCTGCAGGTAGTGAAGACCGTGGGAAAAGCATAGTATTTGGGCTGGAATGCACCGTTCCTCGTGGCACAGTCCCTCATGGCTTCCCTTGGCTAGGGGAGGGAGTTCCTTGACCCCTTGTGCTTCCTGGGTGAGGTAACACCCCACCCTGCTTCTGCTTGCCCTCTGCGGGCTGCGCCCACTATCTAACCAGTCCCAGTGAGATGAGCCAGGTACCTCAGCTGGAAATGCAGAAATCACTCGCCTTCTGTGTTCATCTCGCTGGGAGCTGCAGACTGGAGCTGTTTCTATTCAACCATTTTGCCATGCCCCATTCTCCTTATCCTTTGTTCTTAATAATTCTTAAATAATTTGTTTCCTGCCTTTCTATTTTCTTTCTTTTTTTCTTTTTTTATATTAAAAGGAGGAACTAAGATGTAGCCTAGGGTTTAGTGTGGTGGACTGATGTGTGCTGATTGTGGGCAGGACTCTACAGTCGTTCACCACTGAATCATTTCCACCCTCTTACATGTTTCAGTTTCTCTCTCTGTTGATTTTTCACCTCTCAGAGGGCTCAGAATGCGCAGTGGTCAGCTCTTATATATGTTTCCTGGATGAGCCCTTTAAAACTAATTTTGTTGGGGGGTTCCCTCTAGGGCCACTGCATGTCACAGAGGGTAAACCCCACAGGCACTCTCACTTGGCCTCTGGTCACCCAGGGGCACCTTTCAGCTGGGAGAAACAAAATGCCCTTTCTCTTCAGAGCTAAGGAGCTTAGTCTCCCATTTTATCTATGAAAAGGGCAATTCAGTTTCTCATGCAAATATGCAGACAAACCAGTTGAGCTTCATATTGGGGAAAAAACAATGGAGAAGACACTTTAGAATGCACTCCCATACTAGAAACCAAATGGGGTACTTGAAAGGGGGTTGTTCTTCTTGTCTTTAGAAAAGGAAAATGGAGAGGACTCTTTATAATGCACCTCTGAACTAGCATTAGGATCCTAAATAACATCCTAGGAGAAAAAAAACCCACCTTAGAATAAATCAAGAACCATCAACCTAGCTCTGAGTTCAGGCAACTCCTTCATGTTCTGAGTCTTCTCAGAGGGCCCACATGTTTGGGTGCCAAGTTATTGACAAATAGAGTCATACTCTGTAAAACATATGAAGAGATTTATTCTGAGCCAAATATGAATGACCAATTGCCCATGATACAGCCCTCAGAAGAGCCTGAGAACATGTGTCCAAGGTGGTCAGGCCACACATGGTTTTATACATTTCAGGAAGACATAAGACATCAATCAATACATGTAAGATGTACATCGGTTTTGTCCAGAAAGGCAGAACAACTGCAAGCAGGGGTTTCCAGGTCATAGGTAGATTCAAAGATTTTCTGATTGGCAGTTGAAAGATTTAAGTTATTGTGTAAAGATTTAGAATCAATAGAAATGTCTGCGTTAAGATAAAGGGTTGTGAGACCAGGCACCGTGGCTCATGCCTGTAATCCCAGGACTTTGGGAGGCTGAGGTGGGCAGATCACTTGAGGCCAGGAGTTGGAGACCAGCCTGGCCAACATGGCAAAACCCATGTCTACTAAAAATACAAAAATTAGCCAGGCATGGTGGCACATGCCTGTAATCCCAGCCAGTCAGGAGGCTGAGGCATGAGAATCACTTGAACCCGGGAGGCAGAGGTTGCAGTGAGCCCAGATTGCACCACTGCACTTCAGACTGGGTGACAGAGCAAGACAGCTGTCTCAATAAAAAGATAAGGGGTTGTGGAAACCAACGTTTTATTATGCAGATGAAGCCTCCAGGTAGCAGACTTCAGAGAGAATAGATTGTAAATGTTTCTTATCAGACTTAAAAAGGTGGTAGACTCTTAGTTAATTCTCTCCTGGATCAGGAAAAAAAAACAAAAACAAAAAAAAACCTTGAAAGGAATGAGGATTATCTACAGAATGTAGATTTTTTTCCCCCACAAGAGACAGCTTTGCAGGGCCGTTTAAAAATATATCAAATAAATATATTTTAGGGTAAAACACTTGGATTTGTCACCTCTCAGAGGATTCAAAATGCAGAGTGGTTAGCTCTTACATGTGTTTTCTGGATGAGCCTTTTAAAACTTATAGACCTGATATCTGTCATGTAATGCTATATTAGAGTCAGGCTGGAATTTCGTGTCTTATTTCTACAAAAAGTCTGTTTTGTCAGTCTTAAGATCTCTGTTTTAATAGCAGTGCTGGTCAGTTGTGCCTGAATTCCAAAGGGTGGAGAGTATGAGACATGTGTCACCCCCACTTCCCATTATGGCCTGAACTAGTTTTTAAGATTAACTTTGTAATGCTCTTGGCTAAGAAGAAGGGTCCATTCAATTTATTGAGGGGACTTAGAATTTTATTTTTGGTTTACACCCTGTGAACTGAAGCTAGACAACTTAAACTTTAGGAGAAAATAATGGCAACCTATTTGTATACAAAAATTATTTTCATCTCTATCTACTGATATATGGACTTCAGAATAATATGGCCTATGTCGGTTTTCCAGGATTGTTCTTCCTTTTTTGTTTATTTGTTGTTTTCTTTCTCTCTTTCTCATCCTATTTTTTTCTTCATAGAACATGAGGCTTCACAACCTGCTAAAATAATAGTTTCTAACAATGTGGGACCTATTTATCTGGGAATAAACCATCCTGGTCACAAGAGATCCGACAAAACCTAAGACCAGAGACTCATTTTTCTCTAAAATTCTTTCTCTGAAAAATTTTAAAAAGAAAAAGGGGGAACAGAAGTGAAAGGAATATAAAAACTTAGGACCCCAGTTCACTATGCCAAAAGGAAAAAAAATAAGCTGAAAGCTGAATCATGCAGGAAGCTGCCTTTCCTTTTATTCCTAAGCAGAGAGATACAGATAAAAGGTGAAATATCTCCCCTAGTTAGCTAATCTGTGTTGACTTTATCTTATGTAAAGTGCCAGTTTACTAAACATGAGATGAATACGTAATTGACTATTCCCATACCTGCACCTTTTCTATTGCAACATGTGGATTTAGTAATGTGACTGTTTTTCCCCTTCAAATATTGAAGCCCTCAAAATTATCTTTGGAGAAACGTACAGAACACAAACTGTTTCTGTGATTCTGTGCTTTTTTTCTCCTGGGCATCGGCCTTAACCTTGGCAAAATAAACTTCTAAATTGATGGAGACCTGTCTCAGATACTTTTTGGTTTGTAAGGCCCATGAAGATCTTACTGCCCCATGACTCTGCACCACTTTTCTGACCACATGTGATTTTTCCCTACTTTGACAAACAAATTGAGAAGTTATTAAAATCATAACTTATCCTTCTTCTATGTTTTCTCAGCACTACGCACATTTATGATTATGTTGTTTAAAAAAATAACAATTTGTAGGCCGGGCGCGGTGGCTCACGCCTGTAATCCCAGCACTTTGGGAGGCCGAGGCGGGCGGATCACGAGGTCAGGAGATCGAGACCATCCCGGCTAAAAACGGTGAAACCCCGTCTCTACTAAAAATACAAAAAATTAGCCGGGCGTAGTGGCGGGCGCCTGTAGTCCCAGCTACTTGGGAGGCTGAGGCAGGAGAATGGCGTGAACCCGGGAGGCGGAGCTTGCAGTGAGCCGAGATCCCGCCACTGCACTCCAGCCTGGGCGACAGAGCGAGACTCCGTCTCAAAAAAAAAAAAAAAAAAAAAAAATAACAATTTGTGAGGAAAAGGAAGAGGACCAGGTGCCACCTGCCTGCATTCTTCCTGGATGCTGGAGGCAGTGAGGCAGTGAGGCAGTGAGGGGGCAGCAGTGTGAGGTGACTTTAGGGTGACCTTGCCTTCTGGCTGTGCCTCCTCCTAGAGCCCAAGAAGCCTTGAGACTGTGGCATCCAGTGCTGAAAGGAGGAGACAGCAGCCCAGCCAAGGGTAAATGAGTTTCTGATGGATCATGGCAGACAGGAGGCAGAACTAGATTGCAGCTCCGACTAGGATGTACAGAGCAGCATGCGGAGGCTCACATAATAAATTTTTGCTCCAGAATGACTGCAGGAATAAATCAGGAAAATGGAGAGGACCCACAGACCCTCTGAAGGAAGCAGATTGCTCCTGCAGGACCCAGGAGACACCCCAAATACTATGCTGGTATCCACAGCTGAGAGAGCCACAGACAGTTCACATCACAGGACTCTGCAGACATCCCAAGTACCATCCTGGAGCCTGGTAGACATGCTGGGTGGCTAGATCCAGAAGAGATAAAAATACCACAGCTCGGCTCTCAGGAAGCCACATCCCTAGGAAGAGGAGGATGGTACTACATGAAGGGGAACACACTTAGGGACAATAGTTCTGAGCAGCCTTCAGCCCTAGACCTTCCCTCTGACAGAGTCTACGCAAATGAGAAGGAACCAAAAAACAACTCTGGTAATACGACAAAGCAAGGTTCTTTAACACCCCCTAAAAAATCACACTAGCTCACCAGTAATGAATCCAAACCAAGAAGAAATCTTTGATTTACTTGAAAAAGATTCAGGAGGTTAGTTATTAAGTTAATCAGGAGGCACCAAAGAAAGGTGAAGCCCAATGTAAGGAAATCAAAATAATGATACAGGAAGTGAAGGGAGAAATATTCAATGAAATAGCATAAACAAAAAACAATCAAAACTTCAGGAAACAATAGACACACTTATAGAAATGCAAAACACTCTGGAAAGTCTTAGCCATAGAATCAAAGAAGTAGAAGAAGGAAATTCAGAGATCAAAGACAAGGTCTTTGAATTAACCCAATAAAACAAAGACAAAGAAAAAAGAAAAAGAAAATATGAACAAAGCTTTCAAGAAGTCTGGGATTATTTTAAATGACCAAACCTAAGAATAATAGGTGTTCCTGAGGAAGAAGAGAAATCTAAAGTTTGAAAAACATATTTGGGGGAATAATCGAGGAAAACTTCTCTGGCCTTGCTAGAGACCTAGACATCCAAATAAAAGAAGCAAAAAGAACACCTGGAAAATTCATCATAAAAAGATCATCTCCCAGGCACATTGTTGTCAGGTTATCTAAAGTTAAGATGAAGGAAAGAATCTTAAGAGCTGTGGTACAGAAGCACCAGGTAACCTATAAAGGAAAAGCTATCATATTAACAGCAGATTTCTCAGCAGAAACCCTACAAGCTAGAAGGGTTTGGGGCCCTATCTTCAGCCTCCTCAAACAAAACAATTATCAGTCAAGAATTTTGTATCCAGTGAAACTAAGCTTCACATGTGAAGGAAAGATACAGTCTTTTTCAGACAAACAAATGCTGAGAGAATTCACCACTATCAAGAAACCACTACAAGAACCGCTAAAAGGAGCTCTAAATCTTGAAACAAATCCTGGAAACACATCAAAACAGAAGCTCTTTAAAGCATAAATCTCACAGGACCTATAAAACAAAGAATACAATTTAAAAAGCAAAAACAAAAAAACCTAGGTATACAGGCAACAAATAGCACAGTGAATGGAGTGGTACATCACATCTCAATACTAACATTGGATGTAAATGGACTAAATGCTCCACTTAAAAGATACAGAATTGCAGAATGGATAAGAATTCACCACCCAACTATCTGCTGCCTTCAAGAGACTCAGCTAGCACATAAGTACTCATATAATCTTAAAGTAAAGGAGTGGAAAAAAGACATTTCATGCAAATGGACACCAAAAGTGAGCAGTAATAGCTATTCTTATATCAGACGGAACAAACTTTAAAGCAACAGCAGTTAAAAAAGCTAAGAGGGTCATTATATAATTAAAAAAGGCCTTGTCCAACCAGAAAATATCACAATCCTAAACATATGTGCACCTAACACTGGAGCTCCCAAATTTATAAAACAATTACTAATAAACTTAAGAAATGAGATAGACAGAAACACAGTAATAGTGGGGGGCTTCAGTACTCCACTGACAGCACTAGACAGGTCATCAAGACAGAAAGTCAACAAAGAAACAATGTAGGCCAGGTGCGGTGGCTCACACCTGTAATCCCAGCCCTTTGGGATGCCAAGGAGGGTGGATCATGAGGCCAGGATATCAAGACCATCCTGGCCAACATGGTGAAACCCCATCTCTACTAAAAATACAAAAATTAGCCAGGTGTTGTGGTGCACACCTGTAGTCCCAGCTACTCGGGAGGCTGAGGCAGGAGAATCGCTTGAACCCAGGAGGCAGAGCTTGCAGTGAGCCAAGACCACACCGCTGCACTCTAGCCTGGTGACAAAGCAAGACTCCATCTCAAAAAAAAAAAAAAAAGAAAAACAGAAGCAATGTATTTAAACTATATCCTGGAACAAATGGACTTAACAGATATATACAAAACATTCCATCCAAAAACCAGAGAATATATATTGTATTCAAGAGTGCAAGGAACCTTCTCCAAGATACACCATATGGTAAGCCACAAAATAAGCCTCAATAAATTTAAGAAAATTGAAATTATATCAATCACTTCCTCGGACCACAGTGGAATAAAACTGGAAATCAACTCTAAAAGGAACCTTCAAAACCATGCAAATACATGGCAATTAAACAGCCTGCTCCTGAATGATCATTGGGTCAAAAATGAAATCAAGATGGAAATTAAAAAATTCTTTGAACTGAACAAAAATAGTGACATAACCTATCAAAACCTCTGGGATACAGTAAAGACAGTTGCAAGAGGAAAGTTCATAGCCCTAAACACCTATGTCAAAAAGTCTGAAAGAGCACAAACAACCTAAGTTCACACCTCAAGGAACTAGAGAAACAAGAACAAACCAAACCCAAACCCAACAGAAGAAAGGAAATAACCAAGATCAGAGCAAAACGAAATGACATTAAAACAAACAAACAAACAAAAAAGATAAATGAAACAAAAAGCTGGTTCTTTGAAAAGATAAATAAAATCGATAGATCATTAGCAAGATTAACCAAGAAAAGAATAGAGAAAATCCAAATAAACTCAATAATAAATGAAACAGGAGATATTAAAACTGACACCACAGAAATACAAAAGACTATTCAAGTCTACTAAGAACAACTTTACATGCATAAAGTAGAAAACTTAGAAGAGATGGATAAATTTCTGGAAAGATACAATCCTCCCAGCTTAAATCAGGAAGAATTACATACCCTGAACAGACCGATTAACAAGCAGCAAGACTGAAATGGTAATTCAACAACAACAAAAAAGTCCAGGACCAGATGGGTTCACAGCAGAATTCTACCAGACATTCAAAGAAGAATTGATACCAATCCTATTGACACTATTCCACAAGATAGAGAAAGAGGGAACCTTCCCTAAATCATTCTATGAAGCCAGTATCACCCTAATAAAAAAATCAGGAAAGGATGTAACCAAAAAAGAAAACCACAGACCAATATCTCTGATGAACATAGATGCTAAAATCCTTAACAAAATACTAGCTAACCAAATCCAACAACATATCAAAAAGATAATCCACCATGATCAAGTGGGTTTTGTACCCAGGGTGGTTTAACATAACCAAGTCAATAAATGTGATACACCACACAAACAGAATTTAAAACAAAAACCACATGATCATCTCAATAGATACAGAAAAAGCATTTGACAAAATCCAGCATCTCTTTATGATTAAAACTCTCAGCAAAATCGGCATACAAGGGACATATCTCAATGTAATAAAAGCTATCTATGACAAACCCACAGCCAACATAATACTGAATGAGGAAAAGTTTAAAGCATTCCCTCTGAGAACTGGAACAAGACAAGTATGCCCACTCTCACCAATTTTTTTCAACATAGTACTGGAAGTCCTAGCCAGAGCAATCAGACAAGAGAAAGAAATAAAGGGCATCCAAGTCATTAAAGAAGTCAAACTGTCACTGTTTGCTGATGATATGATCATTTACCTAGAAAACCCTAGACTCCTCCAGAGAGTTCCTAGAACTGATGAAAGAATTCAGCAAAGTTTCCAGATACAAAATTAATGTACACAAATCAGTAGCTCTTCTATACACCAACAGTGACCAAGCTGAGAATCAAATCAAGAACTCAACCCCTTTTACAATGAGTGCAATAAAATAAAATAAAATACCTAGGAATATACCTAACCAAGGAGGTGAAAGACCTCCACAAGGAAAACTACAAAACAGCTGAAAGAAATCATAGGTGACACAAACAAATAGAAACACATCTCATGCTCATGGGTGGGTATAATCAAGATTGTGAAAATGACTATACTACCAAAAGTAATCTACAAATTCAATACAATTTCCATCAAAATACCACCATCCTTCTTCACAAATTTAGAAAAAATTTCTAAATTTCATATGAAATCAAAAAAGAGCCCACACTGCCACAGCAAGACTAAGCAAAAAGAACAAATCTGGAGGCATTACATTACATGATTTAAAACTATAATATAAGGCCATAGTCCCCAAAACAGCATGGTACTGGTATGAAAATAGGCACATAGACCAATGGAACAGAATAGAGAACCCAAAAAATAAACTCAAATACTTACAGCCAATTGATCTTCAACAAAGCAAACAAAAACATAAAGTGGGGAAAGGACACCCTTATCCCCAGGTGCTGGAATAATTGGCTAGCCACATGTAGGGGAATGAAACTAGATCCTCATCTATCACCTTATACCAAAATCAACTCAAGATGGTTTAAGAAGTTAAATCTAAGATCTGAAACTATAAAAATTCTAGAAGATAACATTGGAAAAACCCTTCTAGACATTGGGTTAGGCAAGGATTTCATGATCAAGAACCCAAAAGCAAATGCAATAAAAACAAAGATAAATAGCTGGGACTTAATTAAACTAAAGAGCTTTTGCATGGCAAAAGGAGAAGCCAGCAGACTAAACAGACAACCCACAGAGTAGGAGAAAATTTTCACAATCTATACACCTGACAAAGGTCAAATATCCAGAATCTCCAAAGAACTCAGACAAATGAGCAAGAAAAAAACTATCCCATCAAAAAGTGGGCTAAGGACATGCATAGACAATTCTCAAAAGAAGATATACCAAATGGCCAAGAAACATATGAAAAAATGCTCAACATCACTAATGATCAGGGGAATGCAAATCAAAACCACAATGTGATACCACCTTACTCCTGCAAGAATGGCCATAATCAAAAAATCAAAAAATAGTAGGTATTGGTGTGGATGCAGGGAATACTTCTACACTGCTGGCGGGAATGTAAACTAGTACAGCCACTATGGAAAACAGTGTGGAGATTCCTTAAAGAACTAAAAGGAGAACTACCATTTGATCCAGCAGTCCCCCTACTGGGTATCTACCCAGAGGAAAACAAGTCATTATTCGAAAAAGATACTTTCACACAAGTGTTTATAGCAGCACAATTCGCAATTGCAAAAATGTGGAACCAACCCACATGCTCATCAATCAATGAGTGGACAAGGAAAATGTGATTATATATACATATATGATGGAATACTACTCAGCCATAAAAAGGTTTGAATTAATGGCATTTGCAGCAACCTGGATGAGATAGGAGAATATTATTCTAAGTGAAGTAACTCAGGAATGGAAAACCAAACATTGTATGTTCTCACTGATAAGTGGGAGCTAAACTGTAAGGATGCAAAGGCATAAGAATAACACAATGGACTTTGGGGACTCAGGGGCAAAGGGTGGGAAGGAGGTGAGGATAAAAGACTACAAATAGGGTGCATGGTGATCTCACAAACCACCACTAAAGAACTTACTTACATAACCAAACACCACCTGTTTCCCAATAACCTATGGCAATAAAGTAATAATAATAATAATAATAATAATAATAAAACAACTTGTGGTGTATTGTATTAATTTATGTAAACCCTCTCTTTGTAGATTCTAAACCCTTAGAGGACAGGGCCTTGACTCTTTCTTGTCCTCTTTTCTTTTGTCTTCTGATTTTTAAAGCTGTATATACTTATTATAGAAAAGTTAGAAAAACCATAACTTTGTAAATAAAATAAAATTGTAATTCCAACCAGATTTTAGGAAATAGTTATTCTATTTTGAACTATTTCCCATTAGTCCTTCTGGTGTGTTTAAGCATTTATATACCCATCCACACCTAATGCCCCCATGTGTATATAGTCATACTTATTATTATATATGTATTCATGTATAAAATAAGGGTATAGAGTTATGGTTTCATATATATATATGTGTGTGTGTGCCCAATGAGAGGGGACACAAAGAGGCACAGGCACATCACCATCCCTGACCCTGAGGAGTGCCCAGTCCAGCAGGAAGGGCAGGGGCACAAATGACAAGGCCACAGCAGTGAAGGGCCTTACAGGGCTGGGGATCTATTGGTTCTGATGGAAATAATATTTCACTAGAAAAAAAACACATGGCTTTTGGAATCAGACTGACCTGGTCTTGAGTCCTGCTCACTAGTTCTGTGATTCTAGGCAAGTCACATTGGGTCTCAGAGAAAAAACTGAGCCACCTCATGAGGATGGCTGTGATGAAGTTACATGGAATAAGTCCAGTGTCTGGCACAGCACCTGGCAACTGGCACAGGCTTGACCAGTGATAGTTGTGCCATCTCCTCCTTTGTATTTCCACCCCCTTATAGGGCCTCTGAAACAGTGGAGCTCACTGCAGGATGAGCTAGTTGAGGGCTTCTTGGAGCCGGTGAAATCTTAATTGCCTTTAGAGGATGGCAAGACTATGAGTAGGTGGAAAGGAGAGCTATTAGGCATCTTAGAAAGGGACCACCATATAAATAAAGACAAGAAGGTACTTACTAATGAGCAGGCTCAGTCAGGGATGGTAAATTGACACATCTCTGGAATTAAGTTCTGTGTTGGGGAATGGTGGACAATGAAGTTGAAAAGACAGGCTATGGAAGACCTCACAAGCCAAGCCAAGAAGTTTTGACTTTATTTTGTGGTTAATGGGGAGACATTGACAGTTTAAAGCATTTAAGTAGTAGCAGCAACAGCCACAATTGATTATTATTTTATTTCTAGTCTATTGTCACAAAACACACAAGGTGAAACCTAACGAAATTAAACTTAATAGGTTAGGAAAATCAGTATATAAAATTTCACGTATACTCTTGAGCTAGACTGGACCCGACGCAGTTTTACAATGGATGACAATAACAACTCAGGGCTAAAGTGACTTTCATTTTGTTTTATCACAGAATCAGGGAACAAGCCATGTGAAGACTATACTAAGATCAGGGACACACAGAGATGCATTACAGCGAGACTTAGGGATAAAGTGATAGTGGAGGACATGTGAGCACTTAAGGGAAATGGTGTGTTCGTAAATGTTTAACAATTGGCCCTCTGGCAAAAAAAAAAAAAAAAAAAAAACCCTGATTTATGTTATTTGTCAATTTCCATGCTGTAAATATTCCCATTATGGCTGATTTTGTGGCTGATTCATACCTATCTGTGTGATGTCACTGAACACAGAGCTGGGAAGAGAGGCACACAACTGGCTCATGTGAACTGGTCAGAGCCAGCTCCAGCACACCACTGCCAAGTCTTTCTTCTTATCATAAACAGAAATTCTTGACATGCTGTAATACCTATCCCTATGTTTTATGTATTGCTGTGACATTAGGCCTCCCTAAGTTTTCATGCAATAATGTTGCCCTTGCCCTGATGCAATATGATTCCAATTATATAAAACAATACACAGATGAAATTTTAAAAACATGGAGGAAAATACACTAAAATATTAACAATGATATGTATACATAGTTGAATTATGGGTGACTTTCATTTTATTTCTTATATTTTCTAAAATTGTACATGTTTTCTACCATGGGCATACATTACTGCTTTTTTTTATAATCAGAAAAAATTATAAATTATTTCTATGGTCATGAAATATACAGTTACATACTCAGATATGTGAAAAATAC
Organism: Homo sapiens; assembly: GCF_000001405.40. Lineage (NCBI taxonomy): Eukaryota > Metazoa > Chordata > Mammalia > Primates > Hominidae > Homo > Homo sapiens. The sequence goes on along the minus strand of NC_000012.12, from coordinate 7,271,666 downwards.
AATTTTATCTCTCTGTAGCAATACTGTAACTTTTATTCTTCTATTCCCATTTTGCTTAAGATCAGAACACTTGATGCAGCCACTGCTGGAGAGACTCCATCACTTTAGTATTTAAATTTGGTCAGTTCAAAGTTTAAACTCTGTCAGCTTTCTGATTCTTCCTCTTCTTCTTCTTATCTCTGTGAGAATCGTGTATATTTCAGAGGGCTGGTGTGTTGTCCTAGAATCAGGGAACAGAATCTGGTCCATAGTCACCAACATCCATCCATGGTATCTTCCACTGAGCTGTGCAATCCTCGCTGATCTTTGATCCCTGCATCTTCCTGCTGTGTCCACAGCGAAGGAGTTCCATGATTCTTTGCTCTGCGGTCACCATGGTCAAGTGGCCCTCTTAATATTCTTAACTGCAGTGTAGCCCTAGTCCTCCAACCTCCTTTCAGCCAATTCTGCACCCCTTTTGGCACACGTTCAGATGGGCTCCTGAGTCACACTGGAGTGGCAGGAATGTCTTAGGTCTTCTCTTCACATTCTCATTTACTTTTTACTGTGGCGGCTGCAGGTTGGCATTGTATGTGTGTTTGGGGTGGGGGAAGTGGCATCTAGCCCTGGGATATGTAGGCATAGAGTTTCTTTGTAGGCAATCACCCTGAAATAAGCTCTAGTTTTAGCTCATTCAATCACCTCCCCCCACCCCATTTAACCTTTATCTTCTTTGGGGCAGAATAAGTGTTTTTATATATTCCAGCCATCTTCCCTCATCCTATTCCCTGCATTATTCAGAGCCTTTGGTTCTTGATATTCATAGTCAAGCTTCTGGACACACACACAGACACACACACACACCCCCCACAAAGACACATAATGTTTTATAACAATCCTGGCTTTTCAATTGGAAACCTTCTTTTCTTTTCTTTTTTTTGTTTGTTTGTTTATTGTTGTGGTTGTTGTTTTGAGAAGTCTTGCTCTTTCGCCCAGGGTGGAGTGCAGTAGCATGACCTCGACTCTGCAACCTCCACCTCCTGGATTCAAGAGATTCTCCTGCCTCAGTCTCCAGAGTAGCTGGAATTACAGGCACCTGCCACCATGCCAGGCAAAGTTTTGTATTTTTAGTAGAGATGAGGTTTCACCATGTTGGTCAGGCTGGTCTTGAACTCCTGACCTCAAGTGATCTGCCTGCTTCGGCCTCCCAAAATGCTGGGATTACAGGCATGAGCCACTTGCTGTAAACCTTATTTTCAATTGATGCTGGTAAGTGTTTCAAGAACACGTTTTGGTACACCTACTATGTACCCCAAATGATTGAAATAAAATAAAAAATTTAAACGACAAAGAAGACAGTTTGAAGTGCTTCAGTCAATATCTCCAAGTATTATTCCACTCAGTCCTTAAAAAGTTGCTGAGGAGGCTGGGTGCGGTGGCTCACGCCTGTAATCCCAGCACTTTGGGAAGCTGAGGTGGGTGGATCACAAGGTCAGAAGATTGAGACCATTCTGGCCAACATGGTGAAACCCCGTCTCTACTAAATATACAAAAATTAGCTGGGCATGGTGGCATGTGCCTGTAATCCCAGCTACTCAGGAGGCAGGGGCAGGAGAATTGCTTGAACCAGGGAGTTGGAGGTTGCAGTGAGCTGAGATCGCACCACTGCACTCCAGCCTGGCGAAAGAGCAAGACTCTCCGTCTCAAAAAAAAAACAAAAACAAAGAAGCAAACAAACAAAAACTTGCTGAGGAAAAATGAAATAAGTCCATTCTGATCTAAATAAATGATTTAATCAATAAATGAATGATTCTTAATAATTTATGTAGGTAGCCTCTGAAGGAGGTATAACTTAACTTCTCGACTCCTGAGAGCGGACTATGCTTAGTAACATGCTTTTAAAGAGTGACGTATGAAAAGGCAGGGGAGAAAATAACTTTACAGTGGAGAAACTTGGGACACAGGACCTCAGCCTAGCAATCAAGGTTTTAACACAGCATAAGTGTCAGTGATAAGTTAATAGCATGCGCCCTTGATATAATGTGATGAGATTATCACTTCATCTCTGTGATCTTCTTCTCAAACATGAGCGATCCCAGTCTAACCATGAAAAAATTATCAGACACATCCAAATCGAAGGACATTCTACAAATGCCCAATCAGCACTCCTCAAAATTGTCAAGGTCATCAGAAACAAGGAATGTCTAAGAAATTTTCAGAAATGAAGTCAGGACATATGACTAAATGTAATGTGGTTTCCTGGATGGGATCCCAGAACAGAAAAAGGACATTAGGTAAAAGCTAGTGAAATCTGAGGAGAGTGTGGAGTTTTGTTAATAGTAACGTACCAATGTTGGTGTCTTAGTTGTGATAAATGTGCCGTGGTAATTAATGTAAGATGTCAACAATGGGGAAAACTGGGCGAGAGGTATACGGGAACTGTCTGTATTGTCTTTGCAACTTTTCTGTAAATCTAAAACTATTCTAAAATTTAAAAATTATTATTAAAGTTGTATTCAGGAAAATATAATAAAGAATGGATTAAATCTCTTTTTAAAAAAAAATACTCCATGAGAATCAATGTGGAAGAGGAAATGATGGTGGCCTTGTCCGATCTGAGTCCAAGATTTGAGAAGTTGCTGTGTAACCTACAGGTGGACACCTTACCATCAATTAGTAATTGTAGTTACTGAGGGATGGAATAAAAGTAATTTTATTTAATAAAAAAGAGATAGAAATGATGCAGGCAAATAAAAAATGGAGTAGGAAATAAGAATAACACCCAGTGTGAGAAAGTACACAAAATAAATGCCACAAAGACCTATCCATTCACTGGAAGCATGCCAGAAATTTGGCTAGAGCTTTCTCCCATCCAGCCAAAAGAAGGAAACATAATCAGATATGTGTGGTGTCCTCAAGACAAACATGTAGACTAGTGGCCTAGAAAAAAATCTCACCTTTTCCTAATATTGACAGCAGTGGGAAATGTTTCTCCTGTGTCTTATGGTGTACATCGTCTTCACTATCATTTCTACACTAAATTTACCAGCGAATTTCTTTTTAGTTTATTTCTGTATGTGAGCCAATAGCATTTGAAAACCAGGCAATTTGATTAAAGCAAATTCTATGAAGGTTTAGGAGCAGAGAAGTATCTGGAACACAGCTGTTAAATCCAAATGCTCTGCTGAGGTGAGGTTTGGATTGATATCCTCTTCAGAAAGTTGAGGTAGACCTGATAAAGACCATACTAACTCCACATACAGACAGGCCAGAAGAATAAATAATTACTAGAAACCTACAGTATTTCAGGCCATGCACTAGTAACTGGGGCATCACAGATAAATAAGATGTGTTGCCTGTCCTGGGCCGTTTTCCATTCTGGCTGGGGAGAGATATGTAAAGAAGTTAGCACACTAAAGTGTTGTATGTATTATGATAAACATGTGAATAGGTTTATGAAGGGAGTAGTGGATTATACATTGATGGTGGTGAGGAAAGAGATGTGGAAGCAAGGAAATGTTTTATAAAGAAGAGGTATTTTAGGCTGGGCACAGTGGCTGATGGCTGTAATCGCAGTGCTTTGGGAGGCCGAAGCAGGAGGATTGCTTGTGTCTGGGAGTTTGAGACCAGCCTGAGCAACATAGGGAGGCCCCATCTCTACAAAAAATTAGCCAGATGTGGCGGTATGAGTCTGTAGTCCCAGCTACTTAGGAGGCCAAGGTGGGAGGATTGCTTGAGCCCAGGAGGCTGAGGCTGTAGTAAGCCATGATCATACCAGTGCACTCAGCCTGGGTGACAGAGTAAGAACCCGTCTCAAAAAAAAAGAAGAGATATTTTAGGATGGTCACTCTGGCAATGATCTGGAGCATGTGTAGTAAATGAAGATTCCAGAGGCAGAGCAGAGTTGGGCGATGATCCATAGAAAGGTCAGTTGGCTACTGAATTCTGTTTCTATCCCAACGTGAAAGTGCAAGGAACCAATACTGTATTGGTCAGGACCTTTTTGGTTGTAGTGACAGAATTCCAATCAATATAACTTGTGGAGAATTGGGAGGGAATTTATTGGCTTGCTGAATCAAGAATGTATTGATCAGTCAAACCATATGAAGAACAAGGTACAGCTGGACCTTAGAAAAATGAGGGACTCAAACATCATCAGGAGTCTGTCTTTCCATTTCTTGTCTGTTTGTCTGTATGGGTTGATTGCATTTCTTTTTCCTAAAATTGGCTTTCTCTACATGGAGGTAAACATGGGACTTTGTCAATTCTTATATTTTTCATCCTAAGCAGGCTGCCACTCCAGAGATTGGCTATTTTATTTATACTTTGAGAAATTCTGGAGAAGAGCTTTGGATAGGGTTAAGTGCCAACCACAGGACCAATCCACAGAAGCCAGGATGAGGATGGGGTCAAGAAATAGCATGGGAGCTGTCATGCTGGCCATACAGTTGAGAGGATTGGCTTTTCCAAGAAACTGACTGCTGGGCATACAATCCTAGCTATCTGCCTCACTAGGTTAATGCTGATTTTATATCATGTTCTGCTCAAGGAGCTGGGGATGTGAGGCAGTGCCCCATCTTCTTTAAGATGTCATGAAAAAAAACAATCACTAATTCCTGGACAACTTTCTCCTGAATTCAACTTCTCAGTTGCTTTTATCTAGTATTTGGGGCTGAAGTCATTCGACCCTTTCATTTGGGATCCATTTGGCTCTTTGAGCATCTCTGAAGTTTTTGAATGCTGCAAATGGATTGCAAGAGCTGGAGTCTCCCTTCTACAAGGAGCAGGAAGTATTTCATGCTTGCTTTCTTGGTTATACAGGCTTCCTGTGGGACTCACTTGCTTAAATGAGGAAGGCAAGGTAACAAGTCACCATTGGATTGCCACCAGCCCTTTAATGATTCTTTTGGAAGGACTAAGTTTTCTTCCAGTTATAATAAGCACCAGGGACCATATGAACATGCAGCTTGATCATCAGCTGGGCCTTTAGGGAGCATACTCCATCCCTGGCAAGTGAGGAACTAAAGTAATTATAGCCCAGTATGGATTTCAAAGGGAAAATGGCAAATCATACAGAATAGAGAATATACCCCTTAGGTAAGCTCCTTGAACAAGAGGCTGAGAATGTTGAATTACTCCTCAAGGTCTTATAATCACATCAATCCAAAACCAGGTGCCTATAAATCATCAGAGATCTGTTTCACTTGAAAACTGTCCACATAATAATTGCAGGTATTCTTTACATGCATATAGTACATTGTAATTGCTGGGATCTCATGTGTTATTATTTTATCTAATCCTCACAAAAATCCTGTGAACTAGGCACTACCAGTACTATTATTTTATAAATGAGGAAACAAGCTCTGAGAGGTTAAGTAAATTGCCTAGGACCAAGCCTTATTTTCATGCTTGATTCTTTGTCTTTATTATTATTACCAACTTTCAGCATAACAGGTTGGTACCCTACCAACTTGCAGTGGTGACTAATGAGTTTTTAAAGTATGATTGTGAACTCATAAATATGCAATTATATATATTTATATACATATGCATACATATGTAGTCATTTTTTTTAATGCTCAAATTTTTGTCCCAAAGTGACTCAGGAGGGAGCCCCTTCAGGCTGGTTTCTGTGTCCCTTTTTTGACATGACTCAGTTGTCTTTGGAAGCTTTCTTATTTTCTGGCACAAATAAGATGTCCCAGGTTCATCTTGTACATTTCCTGTCACAGTTCTGAAGTCAGCCATTTCGCTAAAGAGTTCTGGTTTCCTTTAGTGAGAAATAGTATTTGACAATCAGTAAATCAACCATTATTTGCTGTTGAGCTTTACTAATATAAGAATGACTAACCACATTAGGCCTTGTATAGTCTTAGACTAGTAACTAACATTGTTGGCCCACAGTGCACAGTACCAGAAAGGAGCCGTGAGGCAAGACAGGAAGCTGAACAGACCTCCCTCCTTTGTGACTTAACATTATGTGTCTGGATCAATCTATATTTGGTTGAAACCCAGGATTATTTACTACTCAAATATTTACTAATTAATGTACTTTGTATCACACTCAGTGAAGAGTTTAGAGGTACACAAGGTACAGATACATAACAGCACACAGTTATTGGAATAAAGGAAATGGGAAAGTGTTGGAGGCCAAAAGAATGAGGGTCATGACCAACTCAGTATACCACTGGAGGCTATATGAGCAAATAGCAAACTGTTCTCATGAAAGCGGGAGTTGGCAAACTGGCAAACTGCATCTGCTGCCAGAAGGAATGCTGAGGCAGTCACGCCCCAAGCGCAGTGTTCCTTGTGGTTATCTATAGGAATATCTGAAGCCTGTAGTATAAAAAAAGCAATTAGGTGAACCTGTGATAAATCAAGCAGCTGACCAACCATTACCTTTCCTCCCTGTTGATTCTACGTAATAAATACAAAGGGCTGTAGAAGCTCAGGGCCCTTGCTCACTAGAAACAAGGAGCCCCCCACCCCTTCTTTTAAAACAGATCTTTTGTCTTTGTCTTCATTTCTGCATTCGTCCTCCTTCGTTCAGTCCCATAGTAACCGTCACAGGAAGGGGCTGTCACTCTGTCTTTGTCCCCTTAGGAGCTGATGGCACATACATTAGACAATAGCTAAACATGAGTTGCAGTATTTTCTATGCAGACAGACCAGTGAGTCAAAGATGGTGCTACCATAGACTCCAACCTCTACCTCCTGAGACTTCTGGCCTGAGAGGATAATTGCCTTAGGGAGTCTGCTCTTAAACAGTACTCAGATCTTCAGAGGTTTTCAAGAAGATGAAGGGATTCAGATGCCAGATGTGGTGATCAAAACATGAATTCCATTTCTTCCTCTAGGCCAGTGGGCAGAACCCCAGGTGCAGCCAGAAGAAGAAAGAGCTGTTGTTTCCTATGAATGGAAATCAGAAACCAGTATTTAAGGGTTTAATCCAAATTAATGATCTGCATTTCAGGGCCCCAGATGGTGTAGGTTGGATTACCCCATATATTGCTTCAGACTTTACCCTGTCAGTAAGTGGGGGGTGATGGGCTTGTCACATTTCTTATTTATTCAGCTGGATGAACAGATCATGAGAAATGGGGAAAGTCTATACTGGAACAATTAAATGTTTTTAGAGCCATGTCATTATCTTCCCTCACGCCATTGGAATATAAACTCTATAAAAAGGGAGATTTTTGTCTGTTCTGTTCACTATTCTATTTTTTGCACTTTGGACAATGCCTGGAACATAGTAGCTTTTTTATTTGTTAAATAAATTAATATATTTCTCCCAGAGCAACATCAACATGTGTGGGCTCTTCTTTAGGGACCTTCCTTTTGCCCTTGCTTGGCCCACATATGCATCTTTCTCCAAGGGAGGTATTTGTGGTCTGGATGTGGCTATTCTGGAGTTTCTCATTCATTAATTACCTTGTCAGATTGAACAACTGACATCCTTTGTACTGAAGAAATATCTACAGGAATGTTTTCTGCTGATGGACTTAGAGTTTTCCACTTTTAATAGATTTATTAGCAACAAAATAAAGCACATACACAACACACACACACACTTTTGGGCATGTGTGATGCATAAGTAGAGCTGGTAATTTGTCATCTCTAGACAAACTCAGAGAGGAAGGATGCAGTTTGTATCAGTCAGGATGAACTACGCTATGCTACATAATAAAGAATCCCCCAAATCTCCGTGGTCTATAACATCACAATCTTTTGCTCTCACTACTTGTTCAGCATGGGTTGGCTGAGAGATCTTCTGTGACCTGGCTGATAGAACAACCATTATCTGAAGGATCGCCCATCATAAGTGTGGGAAAGGAAGCAATTATGTGCTCCAGCCTAGACATGGTATACATCATTCCAGCTCATAATTCATTGGCCAGAGCTTGTCACAAGGCCCAAGTGGAAATTGTAGTACTATCTGGGGGGTTGATATGCTTTGGATCTGTGTCCCCACCAAATCTCATGTTGAATTATAATTCTCAGTGTTGGAAATGGGGCCTGGTGGGAGGTGATTGGATCATGGGGGCAGATTGGATCATGGGTGCTGATAGCCAGTGAGTTATCATGAGATCTGGTTATTTAAAAGTGTGTAAAGTATGTAGCACCTTCTCCCATCTCTCTTCCTCCTGCTCCGGCTATGTGAAGTGCTGGCTGCCCCTTTGCCTTCTGTCATGATTGTAAGTTTCCTGAGGTCCCCCAGGCAGCAGAAGCTGCTATGCTTCCTGTACAGCCTGCAGAACCATGAGCCAATTAAACCTCTTTTCTGTATAAATTACCCAGTTACCCAGTCTCAGATATTTATTTTTCTTTCTTTTTTTTCAGGTATTTCTTTATAACAATAAGAGAATGGACTAATACAGGGGTGGATAGCTGGGTAATAACTACCACAGTTGTTTTACCACAGTGTTCTAGATTGATTTTATTTCTGGAAGTTTCTTTCTTTCTCTTTCTTTCTTTCTTTCTTTCAACTTTGTTTCTTTCCTCCTTTTTTTCTTTGCCAATCTCTGGGAAATCATTTTTTCTCTGAGACAGTTTTTCACACTATTGCCCAGGCTGGAGTGTAATGGTGCCATTGTGGTTCACTGCAGCCTCAACCTCCAGAGCTCAGGTGATCCTCTCACACCGGCCTCCTGAGTGTCTGGGACTAAGGACATGTGCCTCCATGGCCGGCTGGTGGTAGTTTTTCATAACAGAACCCAAGAGCACTTTCCTAGAGAGCAGTAGTTTAAATATTAGACTGGCCATTTTGTAACCTCAGCAAACTAGGTCTTACAGCAGCAATGATCATAGACTTCGAATCAGAGAGACGCACCTCTGCTACTTAATAGTTGTGTGGCATTACATAAGACACTAAATCTCTCCAAGATGAGTACTGTCATCTCTAAATTGGGTCTTACTCACAGATAAGATGAAATTGTTATGAAGATACTAGACCATCTAGTGAATTGCTTAGTATACAATATCTGGTACATATTACCAATTCAATACATGTTAGTTAGCTTGGAAGATAGAAAGTCTTACATTTTATTAGTTGGTGTTTCTTGAGCCAAGTTTTCTTGGCAGGTAAAGCTTTTATGTTCTCAGGAGGTCTGGCAATTAAGATTGCTCAAATTTCTCTGTGGGGGAATGTTATTTGAAATGATTCTTCTGTTTACCAGGTTCAACTTACATTAATTCTCTGCTTCCACACACAGTCTTTCACCTATATTCTCTTTACTACAGAATATCTGGAAGTCTCTTCTTTTTAAAAAATTTTCTGAAATATATATATGTGTATATTTGTGTGTATATATACCTCTTTTCTGTATAAAGTACCCAGTTACCCAGTCTCAGGTATTTATTTTTCTTTCTTTTTTTTCAGGTATTTCTTTTTTTTTTTTTTTTTTTTTTTTTTTTGAGACAGAGTCTCGCTCTGTTGCCCAGGCTGGAGTGCAGTGGCAGAATCTCAGCTCACTGCAACCTCCACCTCCCCGGTTCAAGCAATTTTCATTCCTCAGCCTCCTGAATAGCTGGGATTGCAGGTGCGCCCCATCATGCCTGGCTAATTTTTATATTTTTAGTAGAGATAGGGTTCCACCATGTTGGCCAGACTGGTCTCGAACTCCTGGCCTCAAGTGATGTGCCTGCCATGACCTCCCAAAGTGCTAGAAGTCTCAATATTAGTCTCAACCTTGGATATCCATCAGAATCCCCAGGGCATTTTTCAAAAGATCTATGCCTGAGCCCCACCTCAGACCAATTAAATCAGTTTCTCTGGGAGTGGGGACCCAGTCATCCATATTTTTAAAGCTCCTCTGGGGATTCTGGTGAGCAGCGAGGACTGAGAACTGCTGCTCTACATGTCTGGTTTTTGCCCATGTCTCTAGCCTCATCTCCTGCCACTGTCCTCCCTGTGCTCATCACGCTTTTTTTTTTGCTGTTCATTGAACATGCCAAGGTGGCTCCTACTCCAGAACCTTGACATTCACTGTTCCCTCAGCCTAAGTGTGTTGCTTCAGATTTCCATATAACTGATTCTTGTTCATGAGGTCTCAACTCAAATGTCATGTCTTCAGAATTTCACTCCACTACCCATTCTAAAGTAGCACTCCTCATCTGGTTTTACTTGAGCTATTTGCTGATTAATCTGCTATTTTCCTGCCTGTCTTCTCATTAGAACGTAGACTCCAAAAAAGTAGAGCTCTTGTCTGATTTATTCACTATTATATGTCCAGGGTTTAGAGCACTATCTGGCACATAGTAGATACTCAATAAATATTTGTTGAATAAATTATTCTTGTCTGCCATAAACTAATATAATTACAAAATGTTGTTTTAATGATCAATTCTTACGATATATTTACAAAACAATCATTTCCTTAGAAGCGAGCCTTGCAGTTTCTATTTTCTCATGCCCCTTTACATAGTTTATATTGTTTAACTATTTGTTATAGGGAGAAAAAAGAGATAACGCTATAGATAAATACCCATTTTTATTACGATTATTGTACCTACAGCCTTTGCTCTATCCTGTTTTCCTGTCCATTTTATTCTTTTCTCTCAGTGGTTACCATCATTCTGAAGGTTTCTTGGGTTTGAAGGCATTGATGTTTCTTTTCCTTAAATTTCTCTCTCTAGTGATCATTAAGAAAGACTAGGGGACTTGAGTGAAATGTCTGGGTTTGAATTCTGACCCTGCAAATTTCCAAGGGCAGGTCATTTAACCTCTTTGAACCTCAGTTTCCTCATTAATGAAGTGAGGACACTAATAGTTTCTCAAAAAACTATTTTTTGAGTTCCTGTCTCAAAAAACTGTCATAAAAGAAAGTGAGAAAATATAGGTAAAATTACCTCCTCCTTGCAGAAGCCATCAGCAACAACTTCCTCAACTTGGAGTCTTTCCCTTTCACTCATTTTTTCTCTTCTACATCCCACCTTCCCTGCGTCCAGGGTCAGGAGGAGGGTGTTCTGGATCCCTCCTCTTTGTCTCTACAGTGGCCTCACCCATTTTTCCTTCTCTTTTCTCTTCCAGCTTCTCTGTTACTGACCCTTTCTCACAAGCAGTCAAACACGCTGACATTGTTCCTCTATTTTAAAAGCCAATACCTCACTCTTGGTCTCCTGTTGCTTATATTAATATTTCTCTCCAGATAAAGTTTTTTGTTGTTGTTGTTGTTTTTGTTTGTTTGTTTGTTTGAGATAGGGTCTTTCTCTGTCACCTAGGCTGGAGTGCAGTAGCCCGATCACAGCTCACTTTAGCATTAAACTCCGGAGCTCAAACAATCCTACTGCCTTGGCCTCCAGAGTAGCTGGAACACAGGTGCGTGTCACCATGCCTGGCTAATTTTTTATTTTTTGTAAAGATGATGTATCGCTATGTTGCCCATGCTGGCAGGTTAAGTTCTCAACAGAAAAGTTCACTTTAATTGAGGCTTTTACAGACTTTTCTTCTAGACACCCCTCCACATACTACATTGGCCTCCTGCCCCAACTTCTCTCCTGAAGCTGCCTTTGCCATAATCATAGGGACCCTCTGGGTGCCACATTCAGTTGTTCATTATACATATTGATCTCTTAACAGCATTTGAAACTACTAACCATTCCTTCTTATAACTTTCTCTTTCCTTGGTTTTTATCATATCATTCTCTTCTGCCATTCCTTTTACCTGTCTAACTGTTCCTGCTTCATCTCTTTCTTGGACTCTTCTTCTTAAATATTGGCATTGCAAGGGCTTCACCTTTAGCCTGCTGTTCTTCTGGAACTATATTCTGTGCCTGAGTGACCTCATTCATGTTCATAAATTCAATCACCATTTATACACTGAAGATTTCCCAAGTTCATCTCTCATTTAAACAACTCTTTTGAGAATTAAACCCATTTCTCCAACTATTTCCTGGTATTTCCTGGACATCTTCACCCAAATGTTCAATGAGCGCCTCAAAAAATCAAGAACATAACAATTCTTGAACATATTCCCCTGTTCCCAGAATATAAGTTCAGGAAAATAGGAACTCTTACCAATATTTTTTATTGCTATATCCCTAGAGCTTATAATATTGTCAGACACATATTAAGTGCTCAGTTAATATTGGTTAAATGAATGGAAATTTTCCCCACCAACCTGTTCTTCCCTCTGTATAGCATTAATATTTGCTCAATTATAGCAACATGGTTTCTTGTCATCTCTTTTTTCCTTAATCCTTATATCCCATTGGTTTTCTATGTTCTGTGTATTCAACCTGCTCAATCTAAAGTCCATTTCTTCTCCTACATTCTCACTGATATTTTTCAGGCATTTATAATCTCTCCTTTTGTATCCTCACTGTTCTTATTCATATGATGGGGATAATAATAGGACTTTTCTCATAGGACAGTCATAAGCTTCAGTGAAGTAATATACCCAAACTCTTAGTATGGTGCTGGGATGACTCAGTAAATTTGGCGAGACAGCTGTATTTCTTATGTATCTATATGGATCTCTACAAATACATCTACATGTAGTAAGAGGACAGTCTAGTTAACCTCCATATTTTAGTGTAAGTCCTAACCCAGGAGAGAATGTATTGAACAGATAAATAAATTTGCTTTGTAATGTCAATCAAGTCATGTCCTTGTTGGCCTTCAGATTATTCATTTATTAATTCAGTTAACTAGACTAGCTAGGATCATTTTATAGCATTTTCATATTACAAAGCACGTTCATAGCCATTAACTCATCTTATTTCCATGGCTATTATTCATCTTATTTCCATAGCATTTATTATCATTAGCACCCCAATTTTCAGGTGAAATAACTGAGGCTTAGGATATTAGTTGTCCATAACCCGTCCACTACTTGTTAAAAGCAGAATCAGGATTTGAACCCAGTCTTCTAATGCTAAGTCCTATTGTTCTAAATATTCAGGTGAAAATATATGCATTTTATTTTCGTGTTTCAGGAAGTTGTTTGTGGTCTCTTATTGCACTGTTTTTTCTTGAGTCAGTTGGTGTTGAAGGATGGAACTTAGTGGTAGAAGCCACTCTAGAGCCCTAGTTCCTTTAGCTTACAGAAGAAAAAGAAACAATAAAAATCCATTTCCTTTAGAGGTTGTGAAATCAGAGGAAAAAGCCACCTCATCCCACACCCCAGTTGTAGTCAAGAGCCAGACTTTGCTGAGGCATTTTGGCAGATTGAACCCTTTGTCTGTGTTGACATAGATGCTGAGGGGAGCTTTCTTTATTATGAGATAAAGAGACAGGATCTGAGATTATAAAAGCTTTCACATGTCAGAAAAAGAACCAGTGGGAACAAGTTCATTCATGAAGCTGCCTTAAGGAACTGCAGGTGTTGAGGCACTGGGAGAGACATACACAAATGGATAGATTTCAGGTTTCCAGGACCTCCACCCAGTCACCATCATAAGTACTCATTTGGGGAATCCAGATTGTTCATTGCCTAGCCCAGTGGTTTTTCAAGTATGTTTTGTGGACCTTCAGAGTCAGAAGAATTTGGGGTATTTTCACTTGTTGCCCTATTTACATGATTTTTCTAAATCATTTGAAAGTAAGTTGCAGACATTATTTTCTTTTTTAAATTCTTCAGCATTCATCTTTAAAACATGAGGACATTCTCCCATATAGCCATAATAGGAGAATATTATGACCATCGAAGACATTCATAATTCCTAAATATCATTTATAACCATTCCACACTAAAAATTCCTCAATGGTCCCAAAATGTCTTTTATAGCTTTTTTAAAAGTCCAGGATTCAAGCACGTCTCCTGTAATGTAGAAGAATTCTCTTGCTTTTTTTACCCATGACATTGTCTTGAGAAGAATCCAGATCAGTTGTTGTCTTGATGAATATCTCACATACTGCCTGTGTATTTTTGTGTCCTTGTGGTCTCAATTAACTTGTTCAGGGAAACTGGCAGTCTACTACGCTGCTGAGAGTATAAATTGAGGTCATCTTCCTGGAGGGAAATGGGTAATATATTTTAAAACTTTCACAGACTTTAAATTAAGCTGGAGCCCGATTAGATTCAGGATAAACACTTCTAGCAGGACATTTCATAAATAATCCATGTATAACGCACTGCATCATCTTACTAGGCACATGATGTCAGATTGTCCCACTATTGATGATGTTAAATTTGTTCACTTGGTTCAGATGGTGTCAGCCACACTTTGCAAGTGTAACTTTCACCTAGAGGACATAGCATCCAGTTATGATCCTTATCTAAATCAATCATTGGAGATTGCAAAATGTTGATTTCCAAATTCTGTTATTCTTTCTACTTTTACTAACCAGAGTTTTCCTCAAAAAGGAATTTTTCTCCCTCCACCCTTTCATCCCCCAACCCACCCTGAGCATCATGGTAGACTCGGAATTTTAAAGATTCTATGGTTTTTTTTTAACCATTGCCTTGATTATATTCCTTTTTCTTTCTTTTTTTTAATTATACTTTAAGTTTCAGGGTACATGTGCACATGGTGCAGGTTAGTTACATACGTATACATGTGCCATGCTGGTGCGCTGCACCCACTAACTCGTCATCTAGCATTAGGTATATCTCCCAATGCTATCCCTCCCCGTTCCCCCAACCCCACCACAGTCCCCAGAGTGTGATATTCCCCATCCTGTGTCCATGTGATCTCATTGTTCAATTCCCACCTATAAGTGAGAATATGCGGTGTTTGGTTTTTTGTTCTTGCTATAGTTTACGGAGAATGATGATTTCCAATTTCATCCATGTCCCTACAAAGGACATGAACTTATCATTTTTTATGGCTGCATAGTATTCCATGGTGTATATGTGCCACATTTTCTTAATCCAGTCTATCGTTGTTGGACATTTGGGTTGGTTGCAAGTCTTTGCTATTGTGAATAGTGCCGCAATAAACTTACGTGTGCATGTGTCTTTATAGCAGCATGATTTATAGTCCTTTGGGAATATACCCAGTAATGGGATGGCTGGGTCAAATGGTATTTCTAGTTCTAGATCCCTGAGGAATCGCCACACTGACTTCCACAATGGCTGAACTAGTTTACAGTCCCACCAACAGTGTAAAAGTGTTCCTATTTCTCCACATTCTCTCCAGCACCTGTTGCTTCCTGACTTTTTAATGATTGCCATTCTAACTGGTGTGAGATGGTATCTCATTGTGGTTTTGATTTGCATTCTCTGATGGCCAGTGATGATGAGCATTTTTTCATGTGTCTTTTGGCTGCATAAATATCCTCTTTTGAGAAGTGTCTGTTCATATCCTTTGCCCACTTTTTGATGGGTTTTTTTTTTCTTGTAAATTTGTTTGAGTTCATTCTAGATTCTGGATATTGGCCCTTTGTCAGATGAGTAGGTTGCGAAAATTTTCTCCCATTTTGTAGGTTGCATGTTCACTCTGATGGTAGTTTCTTTTGCTGTGCAGAAGCTGTTTAATTTAATTAGATCCCATTTGTCAATTTTGTCTTTAGTTGCCATTGCTTTTGGTGTTTTAGACATGAAGTCCTTGCCCATACCTATGTCCTGAATGGTAATGCCTAGGTTTTCTTTTAGAGTTTTTATGGGTTTAGGTCTAACGTTTAAGTCTTTAATCCATCTTGAATTAATTTTTGTATAAGGTGTAAGGAAGGGATCCAGTTTCAGCTTTCTACATATGGCTAGCCAGTTTTTCCAGCACCATTTATTAAATAGGGAATCCTTTCCCCATTGCTTGTTTTTCTCAGGTTTGTCAAAGATCAGATGGTTGTAGATATGCAGCGTTATTTCTGAGGGCTCTGTTCTATTCCATTGATGTATATCTCTGTTTTGGTACCAGTACCATGCTGTTTTGGTTACCGTAGCCTTGTAGTATAGTTTGAAGTCAGGTAGCGTGATGCCTCCAGCTTTGTTCTTTTGGCTTAGGATTGACTTGGCGATGTGGGCTCTTTTTTGGTTCCATATGAACTTTAAAGTATTTTTTTCCAATTCTGTGAAGAAAGTCATTGGTAGCTTGAGGAGGATGGCATTGAATCTATAAATTACCTTGGGCAGTATGGCCATTTTCACAATATTGATTCTTCCTACCCATGAGCATGGAATGTTCTTCCATTTGTTTGTATCCTCTTTTATTACACTGAGCAGTGGTTTGTAGTTCTCCCTGAAGAGGTCCTTCACATCCCTTGTAAGTTGGATTCCTAGGTATTTTATTCTCTTTGAAGCAATTGTGAATGGGAGTTCACTCATGATTTGGCTCTCTGTTTGTCTGTTATTGGTGTATAAGAATGCTTGTGATTTTTATACATTGATTTTGTATCCTGAGACTTTGCTGAAGTTGCTTATCAGCTTAAGGAGATTTTGGGCTGAGACAGTGGGGTTTTCTAGATATATAATCATGTCGTCTGCAAACAGGAACAATTTGACTTCCTCTTTTCCTAATTGAATACCCTTTATTTCCTTCTCCTGCCTAATTGCCCTGGCCAGAACTTCCAACACTACGTTGAATAGGAGTGGTGAGAGAGGGCATCCCTGTCTTCTGCCAGTTTTCAAAGGGAATGCTTCCAGTTTTTGCCCATTCAGTATGATATTGGCTGTGGGTTTGTCATAGATAGCTCTTATTATTTTGAGATACGTCCCATCAATACCGAATTTATTGAGAGTTTTTAGCATGAAGGGTTGTTGAATTTTGTCAAAGGCCTTTTCTGCATCTATTGAGATAATCATGTGGTTTTTGTCTTTGGTTCTGTTTATATGCTGGATTACATTTATTGATTTGCGTATATTGAACCAGCCTTGCATCCCAGGGATGAAGCCCACTTGATCGTGGTGGATAAGCTTTTTGATGTGCTGCTGGATTCGTTTTGCCAGTATTTTATTGAGGATTTTTGCATCAATGTTCATCAAGGATATTGGTCTAAAATTCTCTTTTTTGGTTGTGTCTCTGCCAGGCTTTGGTATCAGGATGATGCTGGCCTCATAAAATGCGTTAGGGAGGATTTCCTCTTTTTCTATTGATTGGAATAGTTTCAGAAGGAATGGTACCAGTTCCTCCTTGTACCTCCGGTAGAATTCGGCTGTGAATCCATCTGGTCCTGGACTCTTTTTGGTTGGTAAGCTGTCGATTATTGCCACAATTTCAGATCCTGTTATTGGTCTATTCAGATATTCAACTTCTTCCTGGTTTAGTCTTGGGTGGATGTATGTGTCGAGGAATTTATCCATTTCTTTTAGATTTTCTAGTTTATTTGCGTAGAGGTGTTTGTAGTATTCTCTGACGGTAGTTTGTATTTCTGTGGGATTGGTGGTGATATCCCCGTTATCATTTTTTATTGCATCTATTTGATTCTTCTCTCTTTTTTTCTTTATTAGTCTTGCTGGCGGTCTATCAATTTTGTTGATCCTTTCAAAAAACCAGCTCCTGGATTCATTAATTTTTTGAAGGGTTTTTTGTGTCTCTATTTCCTTCAGTTCTGCTCTGACTTTAGTTATTTCTTGCCTTCTGCTAGCTTTTGAATGTGTTTGCTCTTGCTTTTCTAGTTCTTTTAATTGTGATGTTAGGGTGTGAATTTTGGATCTTTCCTGCTTTCTCTTGTGGGCATTTAGTGCTATAAATTTCCCTCTACACACTGCTTTGAATGCATCCCAGAGATTCTGGTATGTTGTGTCTTTGTTCTCGTTGGTTTCAAAGAACATCTTTATTTCTGCCTTCATTTCGTTATGTACCCAGTAGTCATTCAGGAGCAGGTTGTTCAGTTTCCATGTAGTTGAGCGGTGTTGAGTGAGTTTCTTAATCCTGAGTTCTAGTTTGATTGCACTGTGGTCTGAGAGGCAGTTTGTTATAATCTCTGTTCTTTTACATTTGCTGAGGAGTGCTTTACTTCCAAGTATGTGGTCAATTTTGGAATAGGTGTGGTGTGGTGCTGAAAAAAATGTATATTCTTTTGATTTGGGGTGGAGAGTTCTGTAGATGTCTATTAGTTCTGCTTGGTGCAGGGCTGAGTTCAATTCCTGGGTATCCTTGTTAACTTTCTGTCTCGTCGATCTGTCTAATGTTGACAGAGGAGTGTTAAAGTCTCCCATTATTATTGTGTGGGAGTCTAAGTCTCTTTGTAGGTCACTCAGCACTTGCTTTATGAATCTGGGTGCTCCTGTATTGGGTGCATATATATTTAGGATAGTTAGCTCTTCTTGTTGAATTGATCCCTTTACCATTATGTAATGGCCTTCTTTGTCTCTTTTGATCTTTGTTGGTTTAAAGTCTGTTTTATCAGAGACTAGGATTGCAACCCCTGCCTTTTTTTGTTTTCCATTTGCTTGGTAGATCTTCCTCCATCCTTTTATTTTTGAGCCTATGTGTGTCTCTGCACATGAGATGGGTCTCCTGAATACAGCACACTGATGGGTCTTGACTCTTTATCCAATTTGCCAGTCTGTGTCTTTTAATTGGAGCATTTAGTCCATTACATTTAAAGTTAATATTGTTATGTGTGAATTTGATCCTGTCATGATGATTTAGCTGGTTATTTTGCTCGTTAGTTGATGCAGTTTCTTCCTAGTCTCGATGGTCTTTACATTTTGGCATGATTTTGCAGCGGCTGGTACCGGTTGTTCCTTTCCATGTTTAGTGCTTCCTTCAGGAGCTCTTTTAGGGCAGGCCTGGTAGTGACAAAATCTCTCAGCATTTGCTTGTCTGTAAAGTATTTTATTTCTCCTTTACTTATGAAGCTTAGTTTGGCTGGATATGAAATTCTGGGTTGAAAATTCTTTTCTTTAAGAATGTTGAATATTGGCCCCCACTCTCTTCTGGCTTGTAGAGTTTCTGCCGAGAGATCCACTGTTAGTCTGATGGGCTTCCCTTTGAGGGTAACCTGACCTTTCTCTCTGGTTGCCCTTAACATTTTTTCCTTCATTTCAACTTTGGTGAATCTGACAGTTATGTGTCTTGGAGTTGCTCTTCTCGAGGAGTATCTTTGTGGTGTTCTCTGTATTTCCTGAATCTGAATGTTGGCCTGCCTTGCTAGATTGGGGAAGTTCTCCTGGATAATATCCTGCAGAGTGTTTTCCAACTTGGTTCCATTCTCCCTGTCACTTTCAGGTACACCAATCAGACACAGATTTGGTCTTTTCACATAGTCCCATATTTCTTGGAGGCTTTGTTCATTTCTTTTTATTCTTTTTTCTCTAAACTTCCCATCTCACTTCATTTCATTCATTTCATCTTCCATCACTGATACCCTTTCTTCCAGTTGATCACATCAGCTCCTGAGGCTTCTGCATTCTTCACGTAGTTCTCGAGCCTTGGCTTTCAGCTCCATCAGCTCCTTTAAGCACCCTTCTGTATTGTTTATTCTAGTTATACATTCGTCTAAATTTTTTTCAAAGTTTTCCACTTCTTTGCCTTTGGTTTGAATTTCCTCCTGTAGCTCGGAGTAGTTTGGTCGTCTGAAGCCTTCTTCTCTCAACTTGTCAAAGTCATTCTCCGTCCAGCTTTGTTCCATTGCTGGTGAGGAACTGCGTTCCTTTGGAGGAGGAGAGGCACTCTGCTTTTTAGAGTTTCCAGTTTTTCTGCTCTGTGGTTTTATCTACTTTTGGTCTTTGATGATGGTGATGTACGGATGGGTTTTTGGTGTGGATGTCCTTTCTGTTTGTTAGTTTTCCTTCTAACAGACAGAACCCTCAGCTGCAGGTCTGTTGGAGTTTGCTAGCGGTCCACTCCAGACCCTGTTTGCCTGTGTATCAGCAGCGGTGTCTGCAGAACCACAGATTTTCGTGATCCGTGAATGCTGCTATCTGATCGTTCCTCTGGAAGTTTTGTCTCAGAGGAGTACCCGGCCATGTGAGGTGTCAGTCTGCCCCTACTGGAGGGTGCCTCCCAGTTAGGCTGCTGGGGATCAAGGTTCAGGGACCCACTTGAGGTGGCAATCTGCCCGTTCTCAGATCTCCCACTGCGTGCTGGGAGAACCACTACCCTCCTCAAAGCTGTCAGACAGGGACATTTAAGTCTGCAGAGGTTACTGCTGTCTTTTTGTTTGTCTGTGCCCTGCCCCCAGAGGTGGAGCCTACAGAGGCAGGCAGGCCTCCTTGAGCTGTGGTGGGCTCCACCCAGTTCGAGCTTCCCGGCTGCTTTGTTTACCTAAGCGAGCCTGGGCAATGGTGGGCGCCCCTCCCCCAGCCTCGCTGCCACCTTGCAGTTTGATCTCAGACTGCTGTGCTAGCAATCAGCGAGAGTCTGTGGGCGTAGGACCCTCCAAGCCAGGTGCGGGATATAATCTTGTGGGCGCCGTTTTTTAAGCTGGTCGGAAAAGCGCAGTATTCGGGTGGGAGTGGCTGGATTTTCCAGGTGCCGTCTGTCACCCCTTTCCTTGACCAGGAAAGGGAACTCCCTGACCCCTTGCGATTCCCAGTGAGGCAAAGCCTCACCCTGCTTTGGCTGGCACACGGTGTGCTGCACCCACTGTCCTGCCCCCACTGTCTGGCACTCCCTAGTGAGATGAACCCGGTACCTCAGATGGAAATGCAGAAATCACCCGTCTTCTGCGTCACTCACGCTGGGAGCTGTAGACCGGAGCTGTTCCTATTCGGCCATCTTGGCTCCTCCATGGTGCCTTGATTATTCTTTTTGATACAGAAATTGTCTCAAATTTGGCCAGTGAGAGCTCTCTCAAGTTGACTTTTGTGTCCTTTTGACATGTCATTATCATTTTTTGATCACTTGTTTACTTTCTGATGCAAAAAGAAGTCCCAAGTTCGCCCGGTATTTTTTGTACTCCACCTGTGGATATATCATTTTTACCAAGGAGCCCCTTATATCAAGAATGATGTTTAGAAATCAAGATTTAGGCTCCAGAAGCAATGGCATCTTACTATTAGATGCCACTGATTCCAGGACTTCTAGTACACACAACTAGGAAATACAATTTTTAAAAAATTATGAGTTCATAGTAATATTTCCAAATAAAATTTAATTTTAATATTTTATTTTTAAATTTTATTTTTTTAATATTTAAGGAGCATTTATTTTTTCCTGTGAACTGTCCATTCATGTATTTTGCCTGTTTTCCTACCAGATTTGGCCTTTTTCTTCTTTAAGAACTCCTTACATATTAGGGATATTAACTCTTTGTCTGTTAAGTAAACTGCAAATATTTTTTCACCCAGTTTTGTATTTGTAATATCTGGCCCAGGTTCAGCTGCCTGGAGCTAACTTTTGAAAAAGGGCTCCTTATTCATAGGCAAAACTACAAGGAGAGGAATGAAACTCCTGTTTTCCAGGTGTCAGGCACTGTTCTGAGTGCTTAGTGAACATTCTTTTCTTGTACCTGGTGGCAAATCTTTGAACATTATTCCTTATCTAAATCCCACATGGCTAAAATGTTTTAGAAGTCAGAATTTTTCAGTTTTTGGAAAGGTCATATGGTACTTAGAACCATCTCTACTCCCCTAGCAAGGCCTGGGGCAGCATACTGAAATCATATACGTAAATATTTCTGTAGTGAAATGTGTGAATATTCCCATTAATTAAGATAAATAAAGACTATAGTTAGTTTCACCTCATCTCAGATCAGGTTTTGCTGCCAAATTAGATATGAAAAACATTTTTGATTATCAGAGCTTTTCAGATTTTGGAATCGTGGATAAGAGATAGTAGGCTTCTATCTATTATCCTTGCTTTACAAGCAAGGAAAGGAATTTTTATTTTTTATTCTTATTTTTATTTTTATTTTTTTGAGATGGAATCTCACTCTGTCGCCCAGGCTGGAGTGCAGTGGCACGATTTTGACTCACTGCAAGCTCCACCTCCCAGGTTCATGCCATTCTCCTGCCTCCGCCTCCCAAGTAGCTGGGACTACAAGCACCCACCACCATGCCTGGCTAATTTTTTGTATTTTTAGTAGAGATGGGGTTTCACCGTGTTAGCCAGGATGGTCTCGATCTCCTGACCTTGTGATCCACCCACCTCAGCCTCCCAAAGTGCTGGGATTACAGGTATGAGCCACCGTGCCTGGTAGAATTTCTTTTTTTTAACCAAATAAATCTTCTGGCTTTCACCCTTCTTTTCTTTTTTTCTTTCTTTTGTAAAGAAAGAAGGAGGGAGCAAGCTTGAGTAGTAAAGTGGGCCCCATGAAAACTACAGTATTTCTCTACTTCCCATCCCACCACCTCCCTGGAGCCAGGGTGAGATTGAGACAGGTAGCCCCTCCAGTAGCCCTTCAAACAATATTTTTTATACACTTCTTCAACATTTATTTGGAGGAAAGACTGATTGCTGCCTAGGGGATGTTCTGTGCTGGAAACCTGCGAGGGCAAAAGAAAAGACACACACACCAAATACCTTTAAGGGTAAACAACCTTTATCCCATGTAAATGGCAATGCAAATATAATAAGCAAATGATATAATAAGAAAATTGCAATGGGAAGGGGAGAAGGGAAAAAATATATATATATTTACACTCACCAGACTATGGAGAATTCATCACCAGACTGGGAAGTAACAGCCTGGGCTCCAGAGTCAGCCACTCATCCGTGCACAGACAAGAAGAGGTCTCATGAAGCTTCAGCACAGTCTGGGACCCTATCTCTTTTTGTAACCAGTTGTTTGGCACGAGGCCGTGTCATGAGGGCTCAAGGAACACAGAAAGGTCAACTTGTTTTTGCGATTGTCTGTTGTTTTTCAATAACTTACATACAGGAACAGATTTCTCCAAAACTGTGCTGGATGAATGCCCCAAGGGGCTCATGCAACCTGTTCCAGGACTTGGTGACTATTGTTTGTGTTCACGTTCAATTGAGTTCAAATTTAATATTTAACTTTCCCTCCACAGGGGAGGAATAGAGAGGAAAGACACAGATGATGGTGCTCAGCCTCTTCTTGACATTTCAAGCAATTCTGCTCAGGCCCTAAACTTGCATGCCTCTCTGAGACAGAAGGCAAACTGCAGTTGATCTGACTCACCTTCCTTAGTGGGGTGGTCAGAGACTATCTGCTTTTTAAAATTTTTGGTTATTTATTTATTTATTTATTTATTTTGAGATGGAGTCTCACTCTGTTGCCTAGGCTCAAGTGCAGTGATGTGATCATTGCTCACTGCAGCCTTGACTTCCCAGACTTAAGTGATACTCCTACCTCAGCCTCCTGAGTAGTTAGGGCTACAGATGCATGCCACCACACCTGGCTAATTTTTTCTATTTTTTGTAGAGACAGGGTCTCACTGTGTTGCCTAGGCTGGTCTCAAATTCCTGGGCTCAAGTGATCTGCCTGCCTCAGCCTCCCGAAGTGTTGCAATTACAGGCATGAGCCACAACACTCCACTTGAACTACCAGCCTTTACTCAAATGTGTCTTTTATGAGGTTCTTACATAGTATTCTCAATTATTTTCAGCTACATATCACAGTCTCTCAGAGAGGAATTATTATTATTATTATTATTATTATTATTATTATTATTATTATTATTTGAGATAGAGTCTCCCTCTGGTACCCAGGCTAGAGTGCAGTGTTGTGATCTCCAATCACTGCAACCTCTGCCTCCCAGGCTCAAGCAATTCTCCTGCCTCAGCCTCTCGAGTAGCTGGGATTACAGATGTGTGCCACCATGCCCAGCTAATGTTTTGAATTTTTGGTAGAGATGTGGTTTCACTATGTTGGCCAGGCTGGTCTCAAACTCCTGACCTCAAGTGATCCACCTGCCTCAACCTCCCAAAGTGATGGGATTACAGGTGTGAGCCACGGCACCCAGCCCCCCTCAGAGAAGAATTATAATACTACTTTTTCCTTGGTCTTATTCCATATCTGGTTCCATTTATAGAGTATGTTCCAGGCAAGTACGCTGTGGACACTGGTCTGTAATGACGAAATAGTTCCTGATTTGAGGATTATCTTGCTTTATTACCTCCATTTATCTAGCTTCTAGGACCTCCTTCCCTTCTGTAGGGATTTTACCATCTTTTTACTCTGGTTGTTTATGCTGTATCTACTTTTTCCATCAAAACCAACTTATCTTTTTCCATGGTGTCTCAGGGCAGTACTGAAAATCCAGTAAGTGATTTCTTGATAGAGAGGAACAGGTTTTCCTTTAAATATTAAATAATACAAAAAACTGGATTAGTGGGGCATTTTCCCAGAGTTTTGATCTGTTAAAATAATACCTTAACTCAAGTTCTCTAATGGGAGGCAGGTATTTTAATCAATACCAGGTAGATGAAAGGCCTGCACATTGAGAGCTTTTTATTGCATAATTCACACAGCACCCCATGATATTGCCTCTTCCCCAAAGAGCTGTCACATGGAATCCACTGTTTTGAGTTTTAAAAAGCAGCTCCTGTTTTCAGCCTTTTTATTTATTTATTTATTTATTTATTTATTTATTTATTTGAGACAGAGTCTCACTCTGTCACCCAGGCTGGAGTGCAGTAGCACAATCTCAGCTCACTGCAACCTCTGCCTCCTGGGTTCAAGCGATTTGCCTGCCTCAGCCTCCCGAATAGCTGGGATTACAGGCACATGCCACCACACCCAGCTAATTTTTTGTATTTTTAGTAGAGATGGGATTTCGCCATTTTGGCCAGGCTGGTCTTGAACTCCTGGCCTTAAGTGATCCACCCGCCTTGGCCTCCCAAAGTGCTGGGATTACAGGTGTGAGCCACTGCACCTGGACTGTTTTCAGCATATTTGATAGCTAAAGGAATAATATCTTTTTACCAAGCTCTTAAAAATCAATACAAAATAATACAAAAAACTAATACAAAATACAAAAATAGAAAAAGACATTCAGATTTTAAAATGGGAAAAGGACCAATAAACATAAGAAGAAAGTCAATCTTACTAGTAACCAAAGAGCAAATAAGACTAACAATGAAATATTTTTCACTTGTCACATTGGCAAATACTTAATAAAATCATAGTATTCAGCCTTGACAAAGGTTCAGGGAAACTGGCAGTCTCCTACACTGCTTGTGGGAGTGTATATTAGATGATCTTTCTGGAAGGAAATTTGGTAATATATTTTAAAACTTTCATAGATTTTGACCCAGAAAATTCTGCCTGGGTGTTCTCAAGACCCATTAAAGATATCGCAAAGATTTTTTTCTCACATTTTATTATGAAAAATTTCAAGCATACAGAAAAGTTGAAAGAATACCTATACATCCACCACCTAAATTCTACAGTTGACATTAATATTTTGCTAAATTTGCTTCATCACTTATCTATCTAGCTATTTTTTACTCTTCTCTAGCCATCTATCAACCCAACCTATTTTTAAAAATGTATTTCAAATTAAATTGCAGACACAAGTACACTTCCTCCTAAGTACAGTATGCATATTATTAATTAGCTCAATATTTGTTCATAGTTTTAATCGTTTTTTCTTTTAAGATAAAATTTACTATAACGAGATGAACAAAAAAAGTGTTATTTCTGACAAACGTATATAACTATGTAAACAAAACCCCTGTCAATATGCAGACCTTTACTATCATCTGAGAAAGCTCCCAGTACATCTCTGTTCACCCCTACCCTACCCAGGGACAACCATTGTTCTGACTTTTTTACACTATAGATTAGTTTTGTTTATTCTAGGAAGTCTTATATATGGAACCATACAGTACAATTTTTTTCTGTATAAGGCTTTCTTTGTTCATCCATGTTTTTATAGTTTGTACTTTTATTGCTAAGTCATATTCAATTACATGAATATACTGCAATTTGTAGTATACTATTGACATTGCCTGGGCTGGTCCCAGATTTTGCCTGTCATAAATAAATTGGAACACTTTTGTACAAGTCTTTTTGAGGACACTGTCTTCTGAGGAGTGGAATTTCTGGGTCATAGGGCTTGTATATGTTTAATTTCACAAGAAATTGCCAGAGCTTTTTCCAAAGTGGTTGTACTATTTTATACCCTTAGCAAAAATGTATGAGTTCTTGTTGCTCTACAGTTATGCTGATAAAGTATTTGATGTTAGCAGTCTTTCAAATTTTGGCCATTCAGGTGGGTGTATGGTTGCAAATTGTTATAGTTTTAATTTGCATTTCCTTGATGACTAATAATGCTGGACATTTTTATGTGTTTATTGGCTATTCATATATTTTCTGTGGTAAAGCATCTAGTCAAATGTTTACTCATTTAAAATTTGTTCGCCTTTTTATTATATATGAGTTATAGAGGTTCTTTGTAGATCTTGGATACCAGTCCTTTTTCAGATAAATGTTTTTCAAATATTTTATCCCAGTGTGTGTCTTGCCTATTCATTTTCCTAATGATATGAGGAGCAGATGTTTTAATTTAGATAAAGTTAAATAAATAAACTTTAATTAATTACTTTTTAAATTTTAATTTAGATAAAGTTAATTTAGATAAGTTATTTTTTATTTTATAGCTATTGCTTTCTGTGTTCTGTCTAAGAAACAGAAAGTTTTAAATGCCCAAAGGACATGAAGATATTCTCCTATATTTTAGCTTTAACATTTAGGTATATGATCCATCCTGAATTAGTGGATTTCCAGTTATTCCTGCACCATTTGTCAATAAGACTTTCCTTTCTCCATTGGATCTATTGGGTGCCTTTACAAATATTAAATGATTACATGAGTATGGGTCTTTTTCTGGGCTGTTTGTTCCATTGATCAATTTGTGAATCCTCATATCAGTACCACATTGTCTTGATTACTTTAGCTTTATTATAAGTCATTAAGTCAGGCAGTATATCTCCTCAGACTTTGTCTTTTTAAATATTATTTTTGATATTGTAAGTTCTTTGCATTTTCATATGTCTTAGAATTAGCTGTTGAATTTATTATGGAAAACACCTTAGTGGAACAATGATTGAAACTGCATTTGCTATAGATCAATTTGGACATGCTAACAGCATTGAACATCCATGAACATGGAATATATTCCAATTCATGAACATAGAGCATATCTCCATTTGTTTGAATTTTCTTTTATTTCTCTCAGCACTATTTTATAGGCATTTATGTCTTTTGTTATATTTATTTCTAAATAGTTTGTGGTTTTGATGTTATTGTAAATAGAACTGCTTTTGAATTTCATTTTATAATTATTTGATGCTAGTGTATAAAAATACAATTGATTTCTGTGTACTAATCTTGTGCAACCTTGCTAAATTCACTCATTGGTGTTAATACTCATTTTGTGGATACTTTATGAATTAGCATATAAATAATTATGTCTCCCACAAGTAGATCCAGTTTTACTTCTTTTTGAATTGATACATAACATTCGTGTATATGTATGGGGTACAGTTTTACTTCTTTTCAGCCCAGGGCTCTTATTTATTTTTCTTCACTTTTATTGTAATAGCTAGGACCTCCAGTTCAATGTTAAATAGAAGCAGTGAATAGGAACATTCTTGCCTTGTTCTTGACCTTATGGAGAAGGCATTATTCAAAATTTGTCTATTATGATGTTAACTGTAAGATTTTATAGATGTTCTTTATCAGACTGAGGAAGTTGCCTCCTAATTCTAGTTTGCTCAGAGATTTTAACATGAGTGAATGTTGAATTTTGTCAAAATCTTTTTCTGCATCTATTAAAATGATCATATGGCTTTTTCTTTTTTTTCTGTAAATAGGGTATATTATATTACTTTTCTTTTTCTTTTCTTTTTTTTTTTTTTTTTTTGATGGAGTCTCACTCTGTCACCAGGCTGGAGTACTATCTTGGCTCACTGCAACCTCCACCTACCAGGTTCAAGTGATTCTCCTCCCTCAGCCTCCCAGGTAGCTGGGACTACAGGCATGCCCCACCATGCCCAGCTAATTTTTCTATTTTTAGTAGAGACAGGGTTTCACCATGTTGGCCAGGATGGTCTCGATCTCCTGACCTCGTGATCTGCCCACCTTGGCCTCCCAAAGTGCTGGGATTACAGGCGTGAGCCACCCCACCCGGCCTATATTACTTTTGAAATGTTAAATCAACCTTCCATTCCTAGGATAAATCTCACTTGGTCATTAGGTATAATCCTGTTTATGTATTGATGGATTTGATTTGCTAAAATTTTATTATGGATTTTTACATATGTGTTTATGAGGAATATTAGTTTGTAATTTTTTAGTTTTGATAATCATGTTATACTGACCTTATAAAACAAGCTGGAAAGTGTTGCCTCCTCCCCTCTTTTCTGAAAGAATTTTGGTTGATTTGGTGTTCTTTCTTAAATGTGTGGTGAGGTTTACCACTGAAACTACTTGGGCCAGAAGCTTTCTTTGTGGTAAGGTTTTTAAATTATTTCAATTTCTGAAGTATATATTGAATTATTCAGGCTTTTTGTTGTATTTTGTGACAGCTTGGGAAAGTTATATTTTTCATCAAATTTTTCTATTTAATCTACATTGTTGAGTTTGTTGATATAAAATTGTTCATAACATTTTTTCTTATCTTTTTAATCTGTGTGAGATCTATAGTGATAATGCCTCTTTCATTCCCAATACTAAGAAAAATGTTTATGTTAAAAGATGATCATCCAGGGGTTCTCTAAAATGAAAAATGGGGGGAAAAAAACTCTTGAATGTTCAAAAATAAGGGATTGGTAAAGCAAAATACTTAGGCATCTTGACATAATGAATTACCGTGTGGCCCTTAAAATTATATTAAAACTACAATGAAATACTTCTACACACTTACTAGAATGGTTAAAATTTAGGAGGTTCACAATAACAAGTGTTGGTGAGGATGTGGAATGACTGTAACTTTCATTTCATTGGAACATTTCACTCTATTGTGGCAAGAGTATAATTTGGTAATTTTAAAACTGTGTGGCTATGTCTACTAAATCTTAAAATACATATACCTATGACTCAGCATTTCTGTGTGTGTGTATAAACACTCCTATTTATATATAGTATCCACACACGTACTATTTGTATATACTATAAATCTCTGCATATGTTCACTACAAGACATGCAGAAAAATATTCACAGTGAAGTGGCCTCATGGTCTGGGGTGACACTCGAGGTTCATTGTCTCACAGCCATGGAGATCAAGGACACGGAAACACAGAGCGAGGTTAAGAGCTGAAATTTAATAGACGAAGAAAGAGAATAGCTCTCTGCCACAGAGAGGGGTCCTGGAAAAATGGGTTGCCAATCCATGATGAAATGCAGGGGTTTTTATAGATGAGCTAGCGGTGAGGCAGTGTCTGATCTACATAGGGCATGAAAAACTGGTTAGAACCAGGTGCACCACCTGCGTAAGGGCACAAATCTCTGGCAGCCCCCACCACAATCTTTTATTATGCAGGTGGGTTCTCTGCCTGAGCTTCTCCATGTTGCCCAGTTCTTTCTTACTATACATGTGCTAATAAGAAAGGGAAGGTAGAACCCCATGGTGGACATGCCTGGCCCCCAGGTTGCCCCTTTCTATCAGTGCAGCTGCAGGCCTCCCCCTGTGCAAGCTTCCAGCTTCCTTATCTATGTTTGCAGCTTGAGCTTTCAGACTGCTCTTTGTTAGAAAAAAGTAATTTCTTGGGCTGCTTTTTGTTAGAAGGGAAGTTCTGCCAAGGACTCTTTTGCCCTCACTATCTGCCTAAATAATTTCTGTCTACCTCCTATATCAAGAGCAGTGTTATTCATGTAATCTCAAATTGGAAACATCAGTCACCATTAACAGAAGAATGGATAAATTCTGGGTGTAGTCATACAATGGAATTCTGTATAGCAATAAAAAAGAAGATCCATACAACAACATAAATGAATTGTCCAGACATTATTTTGAGAGAAAGAAGGCAGACACAAAAGAGTACAAACCATGATTCCATTTGTATGAAGTTCAAGGACAGGCAAAATTGACCTGCAGTTTAGAAGTCAGAATAATGGCTACTTCTGGATGAGGGGCTCAAACTAAAAATTTGAGAGCAGTTAGAGGCAGAGACAAGCACTTCATTCACTGCTACTGCAATAGGGAGCACTCCAGGGAGAGTGACTTTCTGAGCAAAATTTAGTTGGGATTGTTTCATTGGGTCAAGGATCAGAGTGGAAATGTGGTAAGAAAGCAAGTTTGCTGAATCAGGTCTCAGAATCAATGGCATGTAATAGCAATGAGTCCGTAAAACCTAGGTCTTCATTTCTATTTCTCAACACTCCTGTGATTTTTGTGGTCAACAAGCTCTGAGTCAGGATGTCTCATGGTATCTGCTTGCCACCATCTGCTCCTTGGAATTAATTGCTCCTTAGAATTTAGTCTCAGTCCTTGAAACTGTCTTTAGGCGTAGAAATTTAGTCTACCGTTCATGAAAGAAGTACAGCTTTCACAGAGGTATGAGGTCTGAGGTCTAAGGACATGAGAGAGCCCAGGAGGCTAGAAATATCCTATATCTTGATCTAGATGGTTAGAGGGGTTTATATATATGTAGATCCATTGAGCTGTTCATGTAAGATCTGTGTATTTATTGGTCATGATAAACTCAAATTTTAAAAATGAATTTATATATTTAATTGCACAGAAAAAAATATTTCTATTACAATGTTGAGTGAAAAAGGCAAGTTATGCTAGAGCATTTCTCCCTGAACTCACTTGTATTAAAAAAGTTTACATATAAGAAGAAAGAAGACTAGAAGAATATACTCCAAAATATGAGACTGTGCATAAGTTTTATTTTTTATTTTTGGTTGTTTGCATTTTCTAAACTTTAGAAATATAATTCTGATGTATCTGAGGTGGTCCAGCATCTTCTCCAAACTCTCTCAGCCCCAAGCTCAATAGCAATAACCACAGCATTCACAACCTCTGACCCAACGCATCAGCAACATCATCAGCTCTACCAGACAACCAGAGTAGCCATCTTTATCCCTGATCCCTCTGTCCCCTGTGAGGTAAAGCATGTGGCCTCTTGCTGAAGAATATTCCTCCCAGCTCACCTGATAAAATGACAAATCCAGAAACCTATATTTACTTCCCTTTCACAATCATTTAATGATATGAATTGAGCACTGTGGCTACCCATAAGGGAGACTGAGAAAAATAAGTCAGGATCCCCACTCTCCGGGGGATTCCACATAGAAAACTCAACACACATGGAGAACTTTTCTTGGTCATTTCTCTTAATCTCAGCTCTTTTTTTTTTTTTTTTTCCTGGCCCAGCTGGAAACAGGAATAATAATGGCACTTCACTCACAAGTTTGTCCTGAGGTTTAAATGAGGCAACATGAACACAGCATTTTAGCAAAGGGCCAGGTACGGACTGTGTAAGGGTTGTTGGCTGCTGTTTTCTCAGGCTCATCATTCATCACATGCAATCACTGCTCCCTGGCTTTGAATTGTTCCTTTAATTTTCACACTGCCCATGACAAAAATTTCATCAGAAAAAGGTGCATTTAGACTAAGGTTCTTATACCAGAAACACAATGAAAGGGATTGGTAAAAATGCTCCTTTGCATGAGGCAGGCCCATTTTGCTGGATTGTTCTGTGGAGTGTTCACAGATTCTAACAGCATTTACTCGTTGCCATAGAGACCATGTGACTAATTTGTTCAGATTCTTACATCTAATGGACAACCTGCTTATTGAAGTTCTAATGAACTCCAGTAAAACGCTGTGTAAGCAGCTCACTCCCAAACAACATAATAATCCCAGTAGGTATTTGAGATCTGCATCTCTTCTTTGGAATCTGTGTCTTACGGGTGGGAACAAGATTTTAAAGTTTCAGCGTATTAAGTTGTCTTGTCAAAGTTTGGAAATATTAAGCAATATTCTCTTACAGAAATTCATAATATTAAATTATTTAAAATGTTTTACCTAGGCTTTAACTCAAAAACTCCACAAGAAATACTCAAAGAAGCATTTAAAGAGTTAACAAGAATACTCATTGAAGCAGTATTTACAGTATAAAACATTGGAAATAACCAAAATTTTCAACAATGGTAGATATGATAAATAGATCATCATAGTTGTCCTTGATAGGATTCTATACAATTATTTAAAATGTTGTCATATAAGAGCGGGGTGTGGTGGCTCACACCTGTAATCCCAGCACTTTGGGAGGCCGAGGTGGGAGGATCACTAAACGAGGTCAGGAGTTCCAGACCTGCCTGGCCAACATGGTGAAACCCTGTCGCTACTAAAAATACAAAAATTAGCCAGGTGTGGTCCCGAGCACCTGTAATCCCAGCTACTCAGGAAGCCAAGGCAGGAGAATCTCTTGAACCCGGGAGGCAGAGGTTGCAGTGAGCCGAGATTGTGCCACTGCACTCAGCCTGGGTGACAGAGCAAGACTCTGTCTCAAATAAATAAATAAATAGTCATATAAGATTTACTTGTATCTGAAAATCATAAGTAAAAAAACAGGCTTCACAAAAGCTGATAGAAAATAATCCCATTTTGATAAACAATACACATAAATAGAAAAAGAATAAAGGATATATACACACCAAATGTTCATGGTGAGTGATAATGGTGGCATTATGAATGGACAGGCTTTTCTTCTTTGGTCTTTTCTATATTTTTCAAAGTTTTTTGTATTGAACATAAATGAGTTTTATTATCAGGAAAGGCTAAATAAATACAAGTATTTTTAAAATAATTAAAAGAAAGCTCCCCTTTATAGAAAATATGGACCGTGATCTGCTCATCTTTATGGAATAATGTCACCTAATTAATGTATAAGAAATAGCACTTTCTTATACATACTGCACCTCCCATTTTATTTTATTAATTTTTTTTTAGTCAGGGTCTTGCTCTGTTGCCCAGGCTGGAGCACAGTGGTGTGATCACAGCTCATTACAGCCTTGACCTCCTGGGCTCAGTCTATCCTCCCACCTAAGCCTCCTGAGTAGCTGGGACTACAGGTGCACATCACCATGCCTGGCTAATTTTTTTTTTTTTTTTTTTAGTAGAGATGGGGTTTGTCATGTTGCCCGGGCTAGTCTTGATGCCCTGGGCTCAAGTGATCTGCCCACCTTAGGTTCCCAAAGTGCTGAGATTGCAGGCTTGAGTCACTGTGCCCAGCCACTCTCTATTTTAATAATTGATTCTGAAAAGAAAAGAATCATCTATGGATGCTAAAATAGTTGGGTGAAAGTTAACTGGAGAATAGGATACTTACGCAGTCTCAAATTATTACACAACAGATTACATACTAATTACAAAGAGGAAAATATACCTTTACAATGGAGAGAAATGGCAGTCACCTCTTTAATCGAAAGATCAAAACTGTCAGTATCCAAAACGAGACAACACAATGTTTCCTCAATATAAGCAAATAAGAACTACACATTTCCTACATAACATTCTTGAGAAAGATGTTTATCTCGGATCTCATTATAAGGAAATTAGAAAGTGAGGCATTTTCTAACACAACAGTCCTCTACTCTTCAAAATGTCCATGTCATGAAAAACAAACAATGGTGGTGGGACAGTTTTAGATAAAAATAACTAAGGAGATATGAGAACCAAATAAATAAATGAACCTTGATTGAATTCTGGATTTACCAAAGCTGTAAAACACATTCGAGTACAACTGAGAAAATCTAAATATTGGCTGGATATTAGATAGAATTAAAGAATTATTTTTAATTTTCATAGATGTAATAATGCTGATGATTAAGAAGAAAATCTTTGTTCTTCAGAGAATGCTGCTGAAATATTTAAGAACAAAGTATCATAATGTCTGCACTTACTCCCAAATGTCTCATTAAAAATATACAAATAGGCCGGGTGCAGTGGCTCATGCCTGTAATCCCAGCACTTTGGGAGGCCAAGGTGGGCCAATCACTTGAGGTCAGGAGTTTGAGACCAGGCTGGCCAACATGGTGAAACCCCGTCTCTACTAATAATACAAAAATTAGCCAGGCATGGTGGTGGGTGCCTGTAATTCCAGCTACTCGGGAGGCTGAGGCAGGAGAATCACTTGAACCCAGGAGGCGGAGGATGCAGTGAGTAGAGATCGCACCACTGCACTCCAGTCTGGGTGACAGAGTGAGACTCTGTCTCAAAAAAGGAAAGAAAAAAGCAAATATAAAGTAAATGAGGCAAAATTTTAATAATAAGTGAATATAGGTGAGAGATGTACAAGTAGGTGTTCATTGTGCTACTATTTTGACACTTGTAGACTCAAAAATTTGCAAAATTAAAAGTTGGGACAAAAGTACTTGACAAATCATAAAGTACTCAAAAACAATGGCACTATGATTAGTAGCAACAATGAAAGTATTTAGAGAAAAAGAAACTTTTCTTACCATGTGTGGACAGTACAGAGAAACAGGTTGGTTTAGTTTTATATGAATTGTAATATTTCCTTCTTCCCCTAGAGACAGGATATTTGAGTTTTCACCCACAATCTGAAATTAGGTAACCATTAAAGGGATTTTCCTTACAAACCATTTGTGCTCTTCCTACCAGATCTAAACACAGGATCTAAACTTAAGCCTTACTACCCCCATTCAATATTCCAGGAAAGTGCTTGGTCAGTGTACCTAGAAACTGGGCAACCTAAGAGGGGTGTGGTTGGGTGGTGAGTGTGAGGGTGCCAGAGCTGGAAACATTTGGGTTTGCATGTCCACTCTGACACCTTCTGACTTTGAGAAGCTTGGATGCTTCTCTGAACCTCAGTTTCCTCATCTAGAAAAGCAGAGATTTAAAAATGCACCTACTGTATAGCTTTATTGTGAGGATGAAATAAGGTGATACAGGTAAGGGCTCCAGTGCCTGGTTAGTACAAAGTTTTAAGAAACCAGCATCTCGGGAAGGCCTTTCCAACCAGGAAGCTTAATTAGTCATCAAATGTTTAAGAAAATAAATATAAAAAACATGAAATTTTAAAAACAGATTTGGCAGTTTTATAACAGTATAGGAGGTGGTGTTATTTTTTCCTTTCAAGGATTGGAAGGCAGGTTGGGAGCAAATAAAAAAAAAATTTGAAAATAATGAGTTATTTCAGCTGAGTGGCTTCTTTATTGACTAAAATAGAGGATATGACCGTGAAGTAATGTGACATGAGTTAAAAAGTGGACTGAGATGCTACCTCAATTTTGAGGCCACAACCTTCCAGGTTATCACCTTGGAAAGCAATCTTCATACTCATCTTGAATTTATTATCCTTGCTGAATACTTTGAAACTTTTATATAGGAAGCACCAGCTCTAAGGATCAGAAGGTGCTCAGAGATAGTAGATCTTCATACTTTGATGGCAAACTTTAGACTTTAGGGAAAAAAGTGGCATTTAGTACTAAGTCTAGTAAATTAGATAAATTATCTGGAGAATACAATTTTAAATGAGATTTTTAAAAACTGATTCTATTTTCAATGAAATTGTTCTATGAATTTTATTTTTTGATTGTTTATTGATATTATATAGACATACAGTTGATATAATTTTTATATATTGATCTTATATCCTGCAACTTTGATGAACTCAATTATTAGCTCTAATAGTGTGTGTATGTGTTTGTATGTATGTATTCCTCAGGATTTTCTATATACATTGTGATGTTATCTGTTGAATAGAGATAGTTTTACTTTTTCTTTTCCAATTTGGATGCTATTTCTTTTTCTTGCCTAAATGCCCTGGATAGAACACCTCTATGTTGAATAGAAGTGGCAAGAGTGAATATTCTTGTAAGTCCTGATCTCAATGGGAGCACTTTCAGTCTTTAACTGTTGAGTATGATGTGAGCTGTGGGGTTTCTGTATATGTCCTTTAACAGGTTGAGAAAGTTCCCTTTCATTGCTAGTTTGTTGAGGGTTGTTACCATAAATAGGTGTTAAATTTTGTCAATGATTTTTCTGCATCTACTCAGATGATCAGGTGATTTATGTCCTTTGTTTTACTAATATGGTATATTAATTGGTTTTCATAGTTTGAACCAATTTTGTATTTCTGGTATAATCCCACGTGGTTGTGAAATATATTCCATTTATATGTTCCTTGTTAGGTGGGCTAGTATGTTTTTGAATTTTTTTGCACCTATAGTCATAAGGAATATTAATTTGTGGTTTTCTTTTCTTGTGATGTCTTTGGTTTTGGTGTCAAGATAATCGTGGCTCATACTATGACCCCATTTTGAGGCCCAGCCTCCAAAATCCTGGTCTTACATATTTTTTGGAGAATTTGTGAAGGATTAATGTTAATGCTTCCTTAAATGTTGGATGGAATTCACCATGAAGCCATCTGGGCCTGGCCTTTTCTCTGTGGGAAGTTGTGTGTGTGCACACGTGTGTGTTGGATGGGGAATGTAAGAAATTAAGTTACAATACTTCATTTTGACAAATTGAAAAATTAAAAACCTATTCATCACCTCCAAAAAGTTTCCTTCCACCCTCTGACTTTATTATTATTATTATTTTGGTAATAAGAACACTTAAAATATCTCCTTAGCAAGATTTTAAGAATATAATACAGTATTGTTAACTGTTGGCATTATGCTGTACAGTAGATCTCTAGCAGTTATTCTCTGTGTAGCTGAAATTTTGTACCCTTTGATGAATACCTTCCTGTTTTCTCCTCCCCACCAGCTCCTGGCAACCACCAATTCACTTTCTGGATCTATGAGTTAAACTTTTTTTTTTTTTAAGACAGAATCTTGCTCTGTCACCCAAGCTGGAGTGCAGTGGCGCAATCTCGACTCACTGCAACCTCCGCCTCCCAGGTTCAAGCGATTCTCCTGCCTCAGCCCCCCAAGTAGCTGGAATTACAGTCGTGTGCCACCACGCCAAGCTAATTTTTGTATTTTTAGAGATCTGGAGTTTTACCATGTTGGTCAGTCTGGTCCCAAACACCTGGCCTCAAGTGATCCAAACGTTGGCCGGCCAAACTGCTGGGATTACAGGTGTGAGCCACCTCACCCGGCCAAAATTGTTTTCTTAATTTCCTTTTTGGACAATTTATTGTAGTGTATAGAAACACAACTGATTTTGGTACATCGATATTGTATCCTGAAACTTTGTTAAATTTGTTTATCCTAAGTTTTTTTGGTAAATCTTTAGAATTTTCTATATATCATATATAGAAATATAATTTTCTGCACATCTATAAGATCATGTAATCTGCAAACAGAGATAATTTTACTTCTTCCTTTCTGATTTGAATACTTTTTATTTTCTTTTCTTGTCTACTTACTCTGGCTAGGACTTCTAATTCTATGTTGGATAGAAGTGGTGAGAATGTACATCATTTCCTTGTTCCAGATCTGAGAGAAAACGCTTTCAGTTTGTGACCGTTGAGTATGATGTTAGCTGTGTGCTTTTTATATATGGCCTTTATTTTGTCAAGGTAAATTCCTTCTATACCTAATTTGTTGAGAGTTGTTATCATCAAAGGGTGTTGAATCTTGTGGAATGCTTTTGCTGTATCTTTTGAGATTATCAAGTCATCTTTGTCCCTCATTCTGGTAGAAAGCATGTGTGAAGCCATTTGGGTCTGGGCTTTTCTTTGTTGGAAGGCTTTTTGTTTTTTGTTTTTTGGGGTTTTGTTTGTTTGTTTGTTTTTTGAGATGGAGTCTTGCTCTGTCACCCAGGCTGCAGTGCAGTGGCACAATCTCACTCACTGCAACCTCCACCTCCCGGGTTCAAGCGATCCTCCTGCCTCAGCCAGCCAAGTAGCTGGAATTACAGGTGCGTGCCATCACACCCAGCTAATTTTTGTATTTTTAGTAGACACAGGGTTTCACCATGTTGGCCAGGCTGGTCTCAAACTCCTGACCTCAAACGATCCACCAGCCTTGGCCTGCCAAATGCTGGGATTACAGGCGTGAGCCACCACACCCGCTGGAAGGTTTTTGATTACTAATTTAATCTCCTTATTTGTTATTGGTCTGTTCAGACTTTTTAATTCTTCATAATTCAGTCTTGGTAGGTTGTATGCTTTCAGGACTTTATTTTCTCTAAGTTGTCCATTTTGTTGACGTATAATTATTCTAGGGATTCTTCACATTTCTGTGGCAGGAGTTGCAGTGTCTCCTCTTTCACTCCTGATTTTCTTTCTTTGAGTATTTTTCTCTTTTACTTTTCATAGTTATAGGGTTTGTTGATTTTGTGGAAAGAGTTTTTTCTAAGAAAATCCTAAAGAACATTTTATTTTTTATTTTTTGTTCATACTTTAGTATGCAATGAACATTTTAATTTTTTCTTATTTTTTGAGAGGAAAATTATATGCTCATTTTATTCATGACTCTAAATGCAAAGGTTCAAACAAACAAAAATTAAGAAATTTTACCCAAGAAAATAAAATCAGGAAAGAAATGCAATGCAAATTTAACATTTGAAAATATTTTTAAATTAACTCTAACAGGTTAGTCGAGAAAAACTATTTTATCTTTTCAACAGAATCGGAAAACTCATTTAATATAATGTAATACCTATTCATGATTATTGGAAAAAACAAACATATAAACCGCAACAAATTAGGCTAACTTCCACACTCTGTTAAATAATATATAGTAAAAATGGATATGCAAACAAAAAACAAACAATAGAACTCTACAATAAACATCTTTAAAAAATTGGGTCAATTTCGGAATGATACAATAGTTAAAGTAAATACTAATGTTTGTCTCATTCAGGTTGAGAACTTACTATTTCCTTTTGACCAATGTATAAAAAAAGGCAAGATACACATGAAGGCAAAGGACTATCTTAAAATGAATAATGGTAATTTTATAACTGCTGCTAATTTGAGCCTGCTTTTATGTAATAAAATGCTAGACACTAACATTTGCCTTACCATCTTAGTATTGCTACCTATGCCTGTACTGTGAATTCAGCAACACCATTCCCAAATACACTACAGTGTTTATAATCAACACCTGAGCAGCTGACCAGCGGCTAAGACTTCCCACTTTAGTGTATTTTTAGTTCAAGTACAGAACCCTTATTATGGTACATTCAAAATAGTTGTCTTTATTTTGCTCATATCTTTCTAATAGCAAATATGTTTTTCTTTACTTTCTCCATGTTTGAAACTTGAACTACATTAAAGGGATATTCTGCAAAATTGTCAGCATCTCTTTCCCTCATTCCTGTGTCTAGG
The DNA here is from genome assembly GCF_000001405.40 of Homo sapiens. NCBI lineage: Eukaryota > Metazoa > Chordata > Mammalia > Primates > Hominidae > Homo > Homo sapiens. The sequence goes on along the minus strand of NC_000012.12, from coordinate 7,232,749 downwards.
CTCTTTATTCTAAAAGGACATTGAGGGGAAAATAAAAGCAATAATGTGAGATTACCCTTGGGGTGCATTTAGAGAATGTTGGACTTTCCTTGTTGCCTACCTTTATGTTAGAAATTTAGATAAAAAACCGTAAGAGCTCACTTAATAATAGCTGTCATAATCATTACTATGATCTCCTACCTGGACAATATAAGGTAGCAGAGAGCGTGGCTTCAATTTTATTATTTTGGGAGTGGCACAGAGTAGACCCTATTTAAAGAAATGCAGACAAGTTTTTATCTTCAAAAAGCAATAAATTAATGGATCTAGTCATAATCATCAATGGCTACTATCATCATGAAAAAAATAACCTAACCAGACATTATGTGCCTCCTAAGAGAACAACATTATACAGCCTAAGAAGTAGTCTTGTTAAAAAAAAAAAAAATCAAGCAAGAGTCTGACTAAACCTCTAGATCAATTTACAGGAAATGTAGGGGAACAGAAGAACATGTAAACCACACCATATGTATGCAATTAGCAAAATTCAAGCTGTGAAATATTCAAAAAAACCAACAACTCAGTTCTTGAAAATAACAAATTGCAAGGGAAAAAGAAGGTAATGAGAAAATTCATAGATTAAAAGATACACAAAACACTTATCAACTAACCCAATGTGTGAGCTTAATTGGAACAAATGGTAGCAAGAAAAGATGCATGACTTAGATAATCAATGAAAATGTGAATGGTGGATATTTGATCGTAAGAAGCAATTATTGTTAACTTTTAGGTATAATTGGAGAATATGTTTGTTTTTAGAGTCCTTGTTTTTTAGATATATATACTAAAGCTATTTATGAATAAAATGTAATTTTGGAGATTGGTTAGGAGTAATGAAAAAACAGGATTAGCCATAAGGTAATAATTGTTGAAATGGGGCAGTAGATACATGAGAATTCAATATACAATTTTGTCTATTTTTGTATGTCTTTTGAGATTTTCAATAATAAATGTTTCAAAAATAAGTAATTGTTTTAGGCTGCTGAGAAATACTTCAACACAGCATATAGGGCACTCCAGAGAGGGCACAGATGTCTACCTCGGAAGACATGAGAACTGGATCTTGTATGAGTCAATCATGGGTGTAATGGGATGGGGAAATTTTTATTTATTAGAATTTCACAAAAACCAGGTAAGATGGTCCATCCTGGAGAGCCTGCTTCCTATAAGGGAAGTCATCTCAGTGAGGGAAGTCATCTCAATGAGGGAAGTCATCTCCATCTCAGTGAGGGACTTGACATTTCCCAAGGGGCTGAGTGCTGTGGAAAAATTTAGAGGTGAGACTCCTGGATGGCAAGGCAGAATAATCTGTGAGATGGCAGGGGAGCAGTGCATGACAGGTTTCCTCTCCATAGTGCCCCAATCTACATTAAAGTTACTCTTTTTGTGAATTCACAATTGTGATTTCCTCTGCTGTAGAAAACAGCAAGGGACAAACATCTGTGTACCAACTGGCATGTGGCCAAATGGAGTCAGCACACACAGATGCAGAAAAACAGAGGGAAACTGATCCCATTCACTTTATTTTACAACTCCAGTGACATAGCTTTTGCATTTGCTGGTTTCTCTACCCTCAATGCTCCCTCTACTCACTTCTCTTTTCTACCTTGGCTTAGATGTCACTTCTCCCAGGGTGCTCTCTCTGATTCCCCAGGCCAAGTTAGATGTCCCTTCCACGCATTTCCAGTGTAACCTGTGTTTCTGCTTCATCACGCTTTTTCCACTGTACAATTGCCTATATTATTTGTTCTTTTGATGAGGACAGGAATTTTTATTATTATTATTTAGAAAATAGAGATAGGGCTCACTATGTTGCCCAGGCTGGTCTCAAACTCCTGGATTCAAGTGATCCTCCTGCCTCAGCCTTCGAAAATGCTGGGATTATAGGCAAGAGTCACCACACCAGGCCTACAAAAGTAATTATTTCTGTCTTTTACATAGTTATTTCTCCAGTACCTATTGCTGTGTCTTATAAAAGAGAATTAATATTTTCCTGTGTTTCTTGTGTTCAAATTGGGGCCCCCAGATTCTGAATGTTTTTGAGAATGGCCATAGTGATCTCATTGTAGTGTACTATGGTAACTAGTTTTATGGTTCCTTTAAGAACTCCTCTTTTCCTCCATGTAATTCTGGTGGGACTATTAATCATGGTCCTATAGATCCACTCCTGGGGATGAACAAATGTCCCAGGTTAGACTCCTTAAGTTACAGTCCCAGGGAAAGGCAGATGGCAAAAGCCTGGCCAATCAGCATATGTTCCAAGAATTTTCCAAAGTAGAGGTGGGGGAGAAGTAGGGCTATTTTGACCTTGACCTAAGGAGAGGTGACTCCAGAGTTGCTGGTGTTTATTTTGTCTGCTTTGTGGAAGAAATTCATCAGATAACAACTCGCAGAAAAAAGTAAATGGAGTGATTGAGAGGGAGAGAAAGAGAGGGATCTGATGTTTTACAAGTTAATATGTTTTAATCCTGGTGTTTTGGCACCTCCAGTCTTGATTCCGTAAGCTGCCTTGATGGTGCTCCCAGCAAAATGGATTTATAATTAACACTTTTGCTCAGGCTTGTTTGAAATAAATTTCTGTCACTTGCATCCGCAATAATGCTGGCTAACACAAGGGTCTTTAGCTATTGCCAGTATATTACAATTAAATGGAAGATGTAAATTTTCTCTTGTGTAGGCTGTGTGACTAACTAAAAATGCCAATCTATTAAGTGTTGCTGGAATCATATCAACTTAGTGTGGTAACCTTGCTGATTTCAGATGTTCTGAGTGTCAGCCATATTTGTATTTCATAAAAAGAAAGATAAAGCCAAAATCAGTATTGCCTAAGATGTGCATTTTCTTGTTAGACAGAATTTTCACAAGCTGAGATCAGTGGGAAAACACAATGCAATGAGTCTCGGGTACTGAAAATGTCAACTCTTTTGTAATTAAATAGATCTGTGAGTGTGGTATAGACAGAATTTGAGACAGAATTTGATTATTTCTTAAATTCCCTCTTTTATGCTTTTGAATTATAATCTGCCTACCAAGTGTGAGCTTGACTATGATGTCATCTTGAAGATTTGAACCTTGTGTTCTGAATTTTCTTTTATCTTTCTAAGTGAGGGTGTTTCCTGAGCCAATGGAACCACATGGCACCACCAGTGTCCTCAAACTATAGACCTCTCCCCAGAGCCTGGGCTATCAATTTGACTGTTTTGTCTTCTCCCAGGCAGGCTGAGGTGTTTCTAGTCACCAGAGAATGTTTTTAGAAGTATAAGGACAGAACTAAGTCCTATAGAAAGGCTTTGGTGTTACCAAGATTATGGAATTCCCTTCTTAGTATAATTCATAAAAACAGTAGTAACATATAAAACAAATGTAAGAAATCCCCCCTCCCAAAGTCTTATTTTTCCCATGCTGGCTATTTGAATGTTTTTAAAATAGTGGGTATTAAATTCTTTCAAAAATATTTTGGGTTTCTGCTTCTCAGGTACCCTATTTTATGGACCATCTAGCAGTCAATGCAGTTAATCCAGGCAGCACCTCCCTATGTTCTATTGTTCCTCTCCACCTGGAAAACACTGAGACCAATTCTTGTAAAACTTTGGCCACCAGCCTAAGGTACCAGCTCTCACATTTCTATCTGTGGTGTTCCCATCATATAAATTCCTCTGCTTATTTCTCTTTTCCTGCATTCTCATTTTCATGTTGCAGGAACAGGACTGTTTGTTCCCTGACTCTTCCTCTCCCTCCAGAAACGTTTCATAGTGCCCTCTAGATAGACTATCAATTGAGTGGTTAAGGAACTATTCTACATCCACATCTTCTATATCTTCTTCACTTGATGTTCTCTTTATCATTTACCTTTCCAGAGACCTGGCTCTTCCATGTAAAGATGTTACTACTTTTCCTTTTCAAGAGGGGGATGTTGATTCTTCTACACTCCTTAGGTTTGGCATCCTCTGAGCTCCCAATACCACCTCCTGACCATTACTTCTCTGACCCTGTGAGCAATCCCCTTGTCTTTTTGAGACTCACACCCTTTACTTTTACCACCCTATGCCACTCTTGGTTGCTATAATTTACCAACCTGTCAGTCATTCCTTACTCATTAAAGCCTTCAGCATGAGGTTCATGATCCTTCCTTTGACTCCATGTCCCACCATTATCCTGAGTGCCTCCTACATTTATATGGATAATCAGTCCTACCCCTATTCTCTTCCTTCCTTGATCCTGATCTCCAGAGAGTATCATGACACTTAATCTACCTGTGGCCATGTCCTTGTATTGGCATCACCTGTAAATGTTCTATCTCTGAAATCGTAAGTCTATGCATCTCACTTTTGAGTACTATTTCTATGGGCTCAATTGTGTCTCCCCAAAACTCATGTGCTAAAACCCTACTCCTCACTGTGATGGTATTTGGAGATGGGGCCTTCAGGAGGTCACTGGGTTTAGATGAGGTTATGAGGGTGGCACCCTCATGATGGGATTCATGTCCCTGTAAGAAAAGATGCTGGGCATGGTAGCTTGTGTCTGTCTTCCTAGGTACTCTGGGAGGCTGAGGTGGTAAGATCACTGAGGAGAGGAGTTTGAAACCAGTCTAGGCAAGATAGCAAGACTGTGTCTCTCCTAAAAAATTTACAAAAAAACTAGTCAAGCATGGTGGTGTACACCTGTAGTCCCAGCTGTTTGAGAGGCTGAGGTTAGAGAATCTCCTGAGCCCAGGGATCTGAGGCTACCAGGAGCTATGATCACACCACTGCATTCTAGTTTGGTCAAAAGAGCAAGACCCTGCCTCTCAAAAAAAAAAAAAGACACTAAAGAGCTTGATCTCTCTCTCTCCCTGTCAGGTGAGAACACCATGAGAAGTTGGCAGTCTATAACTCAGAAGAGGGCCCTCACCAGGACCTGACCTTGCTCGCACTCTGATTTTAGACTTCCAGCCTCTAGATATTTTATTATAGCAGCCTGAGCAGACTAAGACAACTACCTTCAGTCCTGCCATCCCCATTGACATCTTCAGTGCCTTGTCTTCTCACCACTGATCTGCCTTTTCTTGAATTCTCCTTTTCTGATCCACTTAGTTTCTTAGTCTTTCATCTTAATGCCAATATCCCTAGATCCCTTACCCACTGCCCTTTTATTGCACCTTCTTGGCAAAATGTTAATCCTGCTTCAATCTAACTGTCCACTTTTACCATGCTTTTCGTCTATATTTTTGAGTGATATTGGAGAATATCACACAACTAAATAGTGACTTAAAAAAATGAAGACTAATGTTCTCCAGCCTCAAATGTGCTCTTATCATTACCCATTTCTCCTTTATTTTTACAATTTGCTCTTTCTTCTATTTTCAGCAATGATAATTTTAAACAATTCTCCACTAAGACTCCTACCCCACCATTTTCTCATTCTTATCACATGACATTGCCTTACACTCCACAAAGAACTACAAACCACTGCTCAGCGAAATAAAAGAGGACACAAACAAATGGAAGAACATTCCATGCTCATGGATAGGAAGAATCAATATTGTGAAAATGGTCATACTGCCTAAGGTAATTTATAGATTCAATGCCATCCCTGTCAAACTACCAATGACTTTCTTCACAGAATTAGAAAAAACTACTTTAAAGTTCATATGGAACCAAAAAGGAGCCCGCATTGCCAAGTCAATCCTAAGCAAAAAGAACAAAGCTAGAGGTATCACGCTACCTGACTTCAAACTATACTACAAGGCTACAGTAGTCAAAACAGCATGGTACTGGTATCAAAACAGAGATATGGACCAATGGAACAGAATAGAGCCCTTGGAAATAATACCACACATCTACAACCATCTGATCTTTGACAAACCTGACAAAAACAAGAAATGGGGAAAGGATTCCCTATTTAATAAATGGTGCAGGGAAAACTGGCTAGCCATATGTAGAAAGCTGAAACTGGATCCCTTCCTTACACCTTATACAAAAATTAATTCAAGATGGATTAAAGACTTACATGTTAGACCTAAAACCATAAAAACCCTAGAAGAAAACCTAGGCAATACCATTCAGGCCATAGGCATGGGCAAGGACTTCATGATTAAAACACCAAAAGCAATGGCAACAAAAGCCAAAACAGACAAATGGGATCTAATTAAACTAAAGAGCTTCTGCACAGCAAAAGAAACTACCGTCAGACAGAACAGGCAACCTACAGAATGGGAGAAAATTTTTACAATATACCCATCTGACAAAGGGCTAATATCCAGAATCTACAAAGAACTTAAACAGATTTACAAGAAAAAAATCAAACAGCCTCATCAAAAAGAAGGCAAAGGATATGAACAGACACTTCTCAAAAGAAGACATTTATGCAGCCAACAGATACATGAAAAAATGCTCATCATCACTGGCCATCAGAGAATGCAAATCAAAACCACAATGAGATACCATCTCATACCAGTTAGAATGGCAATCATTAAAAAGTCAGGAAACAACAGGTGCTGGACAGGATGTGGAGAAATAGGAACACTTTTACACTGTTGGTGGGACTGTAAACTAGTTCAACCATTGTAGAAGACAGTGTGGCGATTCCTCAAGGATCTAGAACTAGAAATACCATTTGACCCAGCCATCCCATTACTGGGCATATAACCAAAGGATTATAAATCATGCTGCTATAAAGAGATATGCACATGTATGTTTATAGTGGCACTATTCACAATAGCAAAGACTTGGAACCAACCCAAATGTCCATCAATGATAGACTGGATTAAGAAAAGGTAGCACATATGCACCATGGAATACTATGCAGCCATAAAAAAGGATGAGTTCATGTCCTTTGTAGAGACATGGATGAAGCTAGAAACCATCATTCTGAGCAATCGCAAGGACAGAAAAGCAAACACCGCATGTTCTCACTCATAGGTGGGAATTGAACAATGAGAACACTTGGACACAGGGTGGGGAACATCACACACCGGGGCCTGTTGTGGGGTGGGGGGAGGGGGGAGGGATAGCATTAGGAGATATACCTAATGCAAATGACGAGTTAACGAGTGCCGCACACCAACACGGCACATGTACACATATGTAACAAACCTGCACATTGTGCACATGTACCCTAGAACTTAAAGTATAATAATAACAATAATAAAATAATAATAATAAAATAAAAAAGACTCTTAGAAACTAAGATCCATAGGTTGGAAACTACTTTAGAATAACTAAACTCATAAAAATAATAAGTAATTAAATCATCTGACCATTTTGAATGTTTGCCAAATTAATGGGAGGAATCTGAAAACAGACCAAATTAAGTGTTCCCCTACTTTTTTAAGATCAAGTATATTTTGAATACAAATAGTATAAAGAAACTGAAAACTAAATACTTGACTGGCATTGAGACAAAAGAGACTTCACATTTAACACAGGAAAGGATGTCATTAAAAATTAATCCTTGCTTGAAAAAAATGGGGTTTTTCCCCCTTTTTCTCTTTTATTCTGGTAAAAAAGGAAAAGATAGGAACATATAGATGATTAGGTAGCAGAATCATGTGGTGGCTAAGAGCCCAGTTTTCAGAGCCAGACAAAGTTGGGTTGGATTTAAAACCAGGCCTCACCTAAACCAATATATAGGAAGGATCTTGACAAGTTTCTTCACACCTCTGAGTCTTTTTCAAATGTAAAATAAAAATATACAAAAAAAAAAAGAGAAAAGAAAAAAAGTAGAGAACACTACATTTATGCATATCCAAGTTCTTGTGTATACATTTTTAAGCCTCCTACAGATGATAAATTCCTAAATCTCCCCAAGTTTATGAATCCACTGAGCTGTCACCTACATGGAGTCCTTCCCGATCCTTCCAGCTAGAAATTGCTGGCATGTCTATGTAATCTGTATTAACTTGCTTACCGTCTCCAAAGTGGGAGCTTCTTGAGAATAAGAACTGTGTCTTAGTCTTCGTTGAATCTGCAGGGCCAAGTAAAGCCATAACACACAGTAAGAGCTTAATAAATGTTGGATAAATAAAGAAATGAATGCATGAACATAGAATGAAAATAATCCTAAAGTTAATGACCCTCAGGGGACATTGGAGGTAGGGAAGGAGGGAGACACAAAATTCGAGTAATCACCCTCAGCACCGACTAAACTGGAGACCCTACCGGTCAAAGCAATCAAATACAAAATGTATTCAAATCCCACTCTGGGGAGGCTCAGACTGCATCCAATTTCTGCATGAAACTACACCTCAGAAGCCTCTCCAAGGCAAGAAAAAACTGACAGCATCACTATCAAGATTCAGATAGGAGGCAGCATACACAGGAATACTCATTAAATATTTATTTTCCAAATCCCCAATGACAAGTTCTGGCCAATAAAGTGTGAATGGATGTCATGTGTGTCACTTCCATGTGGAGGCAGTGAAAAGTCCAAGTAAGATGCTCCAGTCTCTCTCTTCCGCTGCCCTAGCAACTACATGTTCCAGATGGTGCATCTACAAGATGGTGGAGCCCAGGTCAACCTGGGTCCCTGAGTTACTATGTGGAGCCAAGTCCTCCACCAACCACAGCAGGTTTGTAACATGGTGATAAATAAATGGTGTGTGTGTGAGCTGTGGAGATTTGGGGGTTAACTTGTTCCAGCAGCATAAGCTAGCCCATTCTGATGAATATAATATAGAAAGAATACTTGAAAAGAAGATGGAATCTTTTGCATTAAGGTGCTTCTCAGTAGTTTCCTGGATCCAGGCTTCCTTCTTCATATTCATTCCAAGCAGCTCTCTTAGATCTCGCCTTGCTTCTTCTATTGGACTTTGTTGGCTTCCAGTCACAATTTATTTCTGATTTACTGGCATCTAGATTTAAAACTCTTTTTGAAAGCAGCTGGACCTACGTGCATTCATCTCCTTTTTCTTTTTATGTCTGTCTCTACTGACAGTCATCTTCCCATTTCTTCCCCTCTGTCCCTGATCCATGACCCTTAATCTTAATCATCTCTCCTTTCCTCCAGGTGAATCAATCCATCATCTTTGATTTTATTTTTATTCTTCCACCATTCCTATACTAATGAAAAAGCAATATATGCATTTTAAACCTCTTCAGTTTCTTCTTGATTTTTTTGGCAAATCTGATCCCCAGATTTAGTGCTCCATGCACAGGCTCCTTTAATTGCCTTCTTGGGTAAGAAATAATTTCACTGGGCCTGGCACAGTGGCTCAAGCCTGTAATCCCAGCATTCTGAGAGGCCGAGGAGGGTGGATCACCTGAGGTCAGGAGTTCAAGACCAGCCTAGCCAAGATGGCAAACCCCATCTCTACCACAAATACAAAAACTAGCCAGGCATGGTGGCATGTGCCTGTAGTCCCAGCTACTTGGGGGGCTGAAGCAGGAGAATTGCTTGAGCCTGGCACGGTGGAGGTTGCAGTTGAGTCGAGATCGCGCCACTGCACTCCAGCCTGGGTGAGAGTGAGACTCTGTCTCAAAAATAATAATAATAATAATTTCACTGAATTGCTTCTTTTCTTAAAAAAGACAATACATTCTTTTAATAATAAGGACTGTTTTATCTCATTTTAATATTAATACAATCTAAATGGCAACTTGGGGGAAATCGTAGTCATGATCAGAACCAGGGATGGATCCAGGGAGGAGACTAAAGTTTGTGCAGTTCGAGGAACCCTCTATAAGTAAAAGAATACAAAATTACCAATATGAAATTCCATGGTCCTACTTCAGCCCTCTCCAGTTCAAGGAGAAGTATGGCAGAGAGGGGGTTGGAGTGGAAAGAGTCATCTTAACTAACTGCATTGAAAATAGTTTACTTTTGCAAAGTTTACAGAAGCATGTGCCCTTGCAAACACAGTGTCAGGGCCCCTCCCAGAACCTTGGAAGTAGCTGGTGCAGGGAAATTTAGGTCCTGAAGCTTAAACTTCATTAGCTTCACAATTAATCCACCTCTGTTCAGAAGCTGGTGTAATTAACAACTCCAAAGCAATTTGAGCTCTTGTGAGTGGAGATTCTTAAGGTAATTGAATCCAAGGTTAATGACACCACAGTTCTATCTTTAAGCCAGAAGACAGAGGAGGAACAGAATTTGGGCATCTGATCCAAGATTGTCCATCTCTGGCTGGTACTCAGAGTTCAAAGCCACATGCTCCCACACAGGTGATCTGTCCTACACATGCAGCTTCGGTGCACTTTGAAGTCCTGCCTGTGGCCGGGCGTGGTGGTTCACGCCTATAATCTCAGCACTTTGGGAAGCCAAGGTGGGTGGATCACTTGAGGTCAGGAGTTGGAGACCAGCCTGGCCAACATGGTGAAACCCCGTCTCTACTACAAATACAAAAATTAGTCAGGCATGGTAGTGTGCGCCTGCAATCCCAGCTACTCGGGAGGCTGAGGCAGGAGAATTGCTTGAACCTGGGAGGCAGAGTTTGCAGCAAGCTGAGATTGAGCCACTGCACTCCAGCCTGGGCAAAAAGAGTGAGACTCCAAGTCTGCAAACAGATTCTTTCTTTCCTTATTGAATCCTTCCTCATCTGGGCATGCTAAGGCCTCTGCAGGCCACAGGCATCTGCTGGGGCTCTGATAGGGCCCAAGACTGGGGGAAAGCCTATATCTACTTACCTCCCTTATGCCCCCATTTTACCTCACAGCTACTGCTACTCTGGTGCCTGAAATTGTTAACTTATTTATTTCTGGCCACTTACTCTTCTAGGCTAGATTTTGAGGGGAGTGACTCTGTATTTCCAATGTCTATAACTTAAACGATACTCAACTAATGTTTATTGAATGCTTGAATGGCACTGTGCTAGACATTTAAGAGAAATTATCTTATGTAAGAATTGGTTTTCAGAACATTACTTAGGCAATTTATATTTTCATTTCAAAGGCATAAGTTTTCAGCAATAAATAAAGCAAATTCCAATTTTCAAAAACAGAAGCAGTTTATTTCCAACAAACGTATACAAGCCACACATCTCTCCTGTCTCCAAAGATACACAAGACAAACCACAACATACTAACAGGTGGAGACCCTGAGGCCTCTTACTAAGTCTTAATCAGACATAACAGAGGAGGCAGGATGTTTATATGTGTATTTATCATTTGGCTGCTTTTCAATTAAAACCACATAGAAGTAAAACAAGAAGAAAAATTTGCTATGAAAAAAAGAACTGCAGCACTGTCTACATGACATAAGGATAGAGATGAGGTGTAAAAAGAGTTGTTTTGCTTGAGAAAACAGCTTAATTAGCCTTTCACCACTGTGAAAGGAGAGTCCTCATGAGCTGATCTTGAAGGATGCTGTAGAGACAACAGAATAAACAAGAAGCCCAAAATAATCAGGTGATGTCTCAACTTCCAGTTCAATGGAATCATAATTATGTACCCTGGTAGACGTATTCATCCCTTGAGAACTAAGAATCTAAATCAAAGTTTCCAAAGTTGCAGGAACAAAAAGCACACATTTTGTGTGTGGATAATAGATAACAATGAAGAAAGCCACTTCTCCTTCCACCCGTTTGTTCCTAGACCTATATTTTCTGACTATGGGAGAGAAACTACCATATATTGGTCACTGATTCTGATCAGACACTACATCTTATAGGACAGAACCCTAACCCCTCATGGCATTGTCACTCAGCTGATGCCATAATTGAGTTGTCAACAAACTATTTCATAATTCTATCAGGCCAGTTACTTCTGAGTGATGAAATGATATACGTAAGATTGTTGAATAACATGGGTATGAACATATTGCCTGGGTTTTTTGCTGTACAATGAATTCGTAGTACAGAAGCAGTATTACATAGGATACCATCATGGTGGATAAGAATTCAATACATCCAAGAATCATAGTGGCAGCAGAAATGTCATGCACAAGAAAGACAAATCCATATCAAGTAAGTATCTATTCTAGTGAGGAAAATAATCTTGTCCTTATCCATGATGGAAGAGATCTAATATCATCACCCTGTTCATTGGTCCAATGAGCAGCACTGAAGTGGCTTGGGAAAGCAGCTGGTTGCCATTCACAAAAAAGGTCATCTTGCCAAGATGACTTTTGAGCACCACCTCTATAACAGATGACATTTAGTGAGCATTCACATGGAACACGAATATCTCCACACCTGTGCCCTTACAAAAGATTGATCTACATGCTTCTTCTCTAATTCATAGTCAGTCCTCCCTAAGTCCCTGAACATAGAGCCAAACCATCCGCCACTACCCGTGAATCAGCTTAGATCCATAACTTCTGGCCTTTCTCCTTCCAGGTAAAATGGACAGCTAAGTGCACTGCTCAAAGTTCTGACCATTAAGAAGATATTTCTTCCTAACTGCCTTTCAGGATCACCCTTGGGGAATTCTATAATGCCGTGGTCATCCACTTTTAGGAGGTACCAGCATATCATCAGAACCATCTGTAAATCAGACCTGAATTTTTTTCCTAGTCAATTTGTCATAGGAAGTTCCCCACGGAGCCTAGGTGGGGATTAAAGGAGAGGTGGCAATGCATCAAGATTAGATGCCACTGAAGATGTTAAAATATAGAAAGGAATGCGTTTCAGTGAGTAATAGCTAACATTTTTTAAACTTATATGGCAGGAACTATTCCTTATGATGATATGTAATAATTATTCTAATCTTACCAATAACCCTGGGAGGTAGGGTTTTTCTTAACATTCCTATTCTGCAAAGAGGAAAACCAAGTTAAGTCAGTCATCTAAGGTCACCCAAGTAGCAAATGTGGTACTGTGAAGGTGGGCAGTCAGACTCCTGAACCTATGCTCTTAACTCCAGACCTTGAGGCCTAGCAATCTTGGGTAGATGGAGGAGAAAGCAGAAAGAGAGATGGCAGCAAATCTCTTGGTTGCTACTAAGGTCCTTTGGCGCCATCTGCTGTTTAGTGCCAGAGTTGGCAATTCCAAATAGTTTGGACTCCTATGATTGATGCTTTTTTCTTTCTCTTACCTGGAACACATATGCCTATCATGTTGTCTTCTTCCACTGTTAGGTCAGCTATTCAAACAAAAACATTGAGATTATAGATCTCATTTTAACTTCCTAAGTGAGCCCAAATACGGGCCAGAAGAGTGTTGGTGTCCATTTCTGTTTGAATGTTGAAGGCTGTCTGACTTTGTGCCTGCTTCTAGTATGGTCCAAACAATTGAAGATATTTTGGCTTTGAGAACACCATAAAGAAGAATGAGATCCTGTCATTTGCAACAACATGGTTGGAACTGGAGGTCATTATGTTAAGTGAAATTAACCAGGCAAAGAAAGATAAACGTCACATGTTCTCACTTATTTGTGGGAAGTAAAAATTAAAACAACTGAACTCACGGAGATAGAGTAGAAGGATGGTTACCAGAGGCTAGGAAGGGTAGTGGGGTGGGTGGGGGGGAGTGAGGATGGTTAATGGGTACAAAAGAATAATTATAAAGAATGAATAAGACCTAGTATTCTCTAACACAACATGGTGACTATAGTCAAAAATAATTAATTATACATTATAAATAACTAAAAGAATATCACTGGAGTGTCTGTAACACAAAGGATAAATGCTTGGGTAATGGATACCCTATTTACCCTGTGTTTATTACATATTGCATTCCTGTATCAAAATATCTCATGTAGCCCATAAATATATATACCTACTATGTACCTACAAAAATTAAAAAATTTTTTTCAAAAAAACACCAAAAAGTAAGAGAACTGCAAATATATAATAGTGGTAGTCATGGTAGGTTTTGCTGCCTAGTAGCGGCTGCCAGATATTGCTAATGGAGTCAGCACAATAATCTTTTTAAACTGATGAAGCCTTTGAAAATTGTGTCGTTAGAAAGATTTTTTAAACCAAGTTAAGACAAGAAGTTTCCTTCTTTACGACGTGTTAGATTAAGCCATTCTGCAGGGATTGGGGGATAAGGGTTCCCAGATTGTTAGAAAACTTCAACTAGAGTAGAGTTTAGAGGAGAACAAAAGATATGACCCTGAGTGGCAGTTCTATCTCAAGACAAGGTCCCCATTGCCTTAGCAGATTAAATACGCAGTTTGCTAGAAGACAAGCTGTGTGAGTGTCTTAGCCTAAGGTTGTGAGTGGGTTGTTTTACCCTGATTCAACTATCTCTTTCCTTTTCTTTGAAACACAAGGCCGCCATTTAATATGTGTCAAAACTTTAATAATTTTCATCTATTGTTTGAACAAATGAGGATTTGTTTTCCTACATGAATTGTCCAAGATGGTAGGTAGAGAATCCAATATGAGTTCAGGATCCCAAGGAAACTCCAGCCCGTTCATTCAGAAGCAGTGTCTGCAGAGGCTGTATATTTCTAAAGAAAAACAAATGGGTAAATTGAATAAAACCCAGTCGTACAGTTTCCACTTGAGGAAACTTTGACCTAGAATAGTTTGCCCGTCTCTAGAATATTCTTATATTTAAAGACCAGAAAGTGTCTCAATTGCAATGAATTCCTACTTTAGTTGATATAAGAAAGACCATTAAGCATCTATATGAATCCTGGAAGGACTCTTAAAGGCTACTGGTGATAGGTCACTATCATAATAATCGTCAATAAATCATACCTCCCTGTATCCACATCTCTTTGCAGTGTGTCATTTCTTCTCTCTCCATCTCCCCATCAAGAGATGGAGTCTATTTCTTCACACCCTTGATTCAGGGTTGAACTTATAAGTAAAATAACGTCTAACTGATATTAGTTAGACTAACTAACTCCCCTCCCTGAAGTTGCCATCCCACTCTGCATGGAACTGAAACTGCACGTCTCTTGCTGACCACCACAAAGGGACAACAGCCAGGGACTGACTGTGAAGGGACTTAGGGTAAAGGCACAGTGCAGCCCGTACAACTCAGGGAGGGGAGGAATGTACAGGTGCACATGCAGGACACTCGCTATGCAGCAGGGCCTATAGTGTCCCTGTTGGCCCCCTAAGTCATTTCCAGCTTGGGTGTATGGGTGGAGGCTGCAAAGCCCCTGCAGCCAGCCCAGGCCACCAAGGGTCATTCTCCACAGGGACAGGCGGCCCCAGTTATGCCTGCCCTGATGCAGCAGTCTGACCTCCTGCCTGTGGGACCAAAGGCAGAGCCTTGTAAAATAAATAATTTGTTTTGACCAATGAAAGGTGACAGGAGTGAGATTGTGTGAGATCCAGAGACTTGCTTTTGAGAGGCTTTGCAGTTCCTGCTCTGTCATTTTGACACCCTGAGACCACCATGCTGTAACGAGGCCGTCTCACCTACTGAGGAATTCTCCTCCACCTTGGAACATCCCAGCCCTAGTTGAGGCATCAAATGACGGCAGGTGGCCCCATGAATGTTCCCCGGTGAGTACAGCGAAGAAGCGCCCAGATTGCCAATCCACAGAATAGTCAGAGATAATTAATTATTGTTGTTTTAAGCCACTAAATTTTGGAGTGGTTTTTATGCAGCAAGATATAACTAATATACTTCCCAAGAAAAGGTAAATCCCAAACCAAACTCTGAATGCTTTAAATGCACTTGCCCTTTACGAAAAACTTTCCTACTTGGAAAATGAGAACACATTCTTAATTGTCACCACCTTAATTTGCCCAAATCTACTAAATATGTTAATATTCCCCATGGGCTGATAGTTCATAGAACTAAATCTTAAAATGAAGGTTTTCTACTTGGGAAAGGTTTTTTCAAATGAAACACTGGATTACTTTGAATTATAAAGTCATGGTTAAAAGTAACTACTACATTGATGTGAAGAAAAAAAATAAACACGTATGAATTAGTGTGAATAAAGTAATAATTTATTAACAAAAGATTAAACATTCCTATTCTCTAACACAAACACTTTATCTCCTTTAAAAAGTTGTTGGATGGAAATAAAGGAAATCTTACTTTGGTTTAATGACTTCA
This sequence comes from Homo sapiens, assembly GCF_000001405.40. Taxonomy (NCBI): domain Eukaryota; kingdom Metazoa; phylum Chordata; class Mammalia; order Primates; family Hominidae; genus Homo; species Homo sapiens. The sequence goes on along the minus strand of NC_000012.12, from coordinate 7,216,827 downwards.
GGGTCCCTGCTGTGTTACAAGAAAAAATACAAAAGAAATACAAATGGGCAATAGGCTAGTGATTAATAGTCACGTAAAGACTAAAGAGAAAATAAAAATAATACAAAAAGTTTTGGGTCTAAGTTTCTAAAAGTTGTTTTGTTTTTGACTTTTATTCCAGGTTCTGGGTCTAAATTTCATTCAAATATATAGTTACAGATTGAAAGATATTTTATTTACAAACCTTTTTGTCCTAAGATCTTAAAAACAAAAAATAGAAGTTATGATCGTAAAATAAATATGATAATTCAATTTTACTCCAAAGTAAATCAATTTGTGAACTTTGGACATACAATAGTTCTATATAAATATTCTCTCCCATTTTTCCCACAGTGTAAAATAAAAATGCAAACATGGTATTACAGCTTATGCAAGAGTTTGGATTTTCCTTTCTAAAATACTAGATTAAATGAAATTTAAATCACTTACACTTGCCCTGGAGATAAAGTAAGTTGTTATTACCTTTGTCATTATTTAAGAGTAGGTAATGTATATATGGGTGTGAGTGTTTAAGGAATTTGGGCCGGGCACGGTGGCTCACGCCTGTAATCCCAGCACTTTGGGAAGCTAAGGCGGGTGGATCACCTGACGTCAGGAGTTCAAGACCAGCCTGGCCAATGTGGTGAAACCTTGTCTCTACTAAAAATACAAAAATTAGCCTGGCATGGTGGCAGGCGCCTGTAATAGCAGCTACTCGGGAGGCTGAGGCAGGAGAATCGCTTGAACCGGGGAGGCAGAGGTTGCAGTGAGCCGAGATCGTGCCATTGCACTCCAGCCTGGGCAACAAGAGTGAAACTCCATCTCAAAAAAAAATTTTTTTTTAATTTAATTAATATATTTAAATTGATTACAAATAATTTAAATCGCGTCTTTGTAAAATGGCTTTTGTTTTGTTTTTGACTTTTATTCCAGGTTCTGAAGTACACATGCAGGTTTGTTACATGGATAAACTGCATGTCGCTGAGGTTTGGTGTACAAATGATCCCGTCACCCAGAAGAGTGAGCATAGTACCCAACAGTTTTTCAACCTTCATCCCCCTCCACCTCTCTGGTAGTCTGCAGTGTCTGCCGTTCCTATCTTTATGTTCATGTGTACTAAATGTTTAGCTGTCACTTATAAGTGAGAATCTGTGGTATTTGGTTTTCTGTTCCCGTGTTAATTTGCTTAGGATAATGGCCTCCAGCGGCAACCATGCTGCTGCGAAGGTCGTGATTTTGTTCTTTTTCGCGGATGCATAGTATTCTATATTGCATATGTATCACATTTGCTTTATCCAGTCCACCATTGATGGGCATCCAGGTTGATTCCACGTCGTTGCTATCATGAATACTGCTGCAATGAACATATGAGTGCATGTGTCTTTTGGGTAGTGATTTATTCTCCTTTGGGTATATACTCTGTAATGGGACTACTTGGTCAAATGGTAGTTCTAAGTTCTTTGAGAAATTTCCAAACTGCTTCCCACAGTGGCTGAACTGATTTACACTCCCACCAACAGAGTATAAGTCCCCTTCTCTCTGCAACCTCACTAACATGTTACTTTTTTGACTTTTTAATAATAGTCATTCTGACTGGTGTGAGATGGTATCTCATTGTGGTTTTGATTTGCATTTCATTAGTAATGTTGAGCATTTTTTCATTTATTTGTTGACCAAATGAATGTCTTATTTTGAAAAGTGTCTGTTCATGTCCTTTGTCCATTTATAAAATAGTTTTCTTAACCTTAGCCTTAGTGACTGCAAATTTTGCGGACTACAAAGTCACCCAAATGCATAATCTGAGTAAAATTTTAAGATGCCACGTCTCTGATAAATTTGGGTTATCAACAATAATTGTATTGCTCATTGATGCTAGCTTCAATATAATTTCTAAAATCCCAAGATGAATTTAGAACTTTTGACTAATATAATACTGATATCATTATCAGTATTATATTAATAGGTAATAGTCTATATCCGAAGATTTCCAAAGAAATTAGTTTCAACATCTATTCATGTTTTTAATGTAAAAACATGAATAATGTAACATTCACAATTTTTTAAGAGAATAATTCTTTTTTTATTTTATTATTATTATACTTTAAGTTTTAGGGTACATGTGCACAATGTGCAGGTTAGTTACATATGTATACATGTGCCATGCTGGTGTGCTGCACCCATTAACTCGTCATTTAGCATTAGGTATATCTCCTAATGCTATCCCTCCCCCCTCCCCCCACCCCACAACAGTCCCCAGAGTGTGATGTTCCCCTTCCTGTGTCCATGTGTTCTTATTGTTCAATTCCCACCTATGAGTGAGAACATGCAGTGTTTGGTTTTTTGTTCTTGTGATAGTTTACTGAGAATGATTTCCAATTTCATCCATGTCCCTACAAAGGACATGAACTCATCATTTTTTACGGCTGCATAGTATTCCATGGTGTATATGTGCCACATTTTCTTAATCCAGTCTATCGTTGTTGGACATTTGGGTTGGTTCCAAGTCTTTGCTATTGTGAATAGTGCCGCAATAAACATACGTGTGCGTCTTTATAGCAGCATGATTTGTAGTCCTTTGGGAATATACCCAGTAATGGGATGGCTGGGTCAAATGGTATTTCTAGTTCTAGATCCCTGAGGAATCACCACACTGACTTCCACAATGGTTGAACTAGTTTACAGTCCCACCAACAGTGTAAAAGTGTTCCTATTTCTCCACATCCTGTCCAGCACCTGTTGTTTCCTGACTTTTTAATGACTGCCATTCTAACTGGTGTGAGATGGTATCTCATTGTGGTTTTGATTTGCATTTCTCTGATGGCCAGTGATGGTGAGCATTTTTTCATGTGTTTTTTGGCTGCATAAATGTCTTCTTTTGAAAAGTGTCTGTTCATGTCCTTCGCCCACTTTTTGATGGGGTTGTTTTTTTCTTGTAAATTTGTTTGAGTTCATTGTAGATTCTGGATATTAGCCCTTTGTCAGATGAGTAGGTTGCGAAAATTTTCTCCCATTTTGTAGGTTGCCTGTTCACTCTGTTGGTAGTTTCTTTTGCTGTGCAGAAGCTCTTTAGTTTAATTAGATCCCATTTGTCAATTTTGTCTTTTGTTGCCATTGCTTTTGGTGTTTTAGACATGAAGTCCTTGCCCATGCCTATGTCCTGAATGGTAATGCCTAGGTTTTCTTCTAGGGTTTTTATGGTTTTAGGTCTAACATGTAAGTCTTTAATCCATCTTGAATTGATTTTTGTATAAGGTGTAAGGAAGGGATCCAGTTTCAGCTTTCTACATATGGCTAGCCAGTTTTCCCTGCACCATTTATTAAATAGGGAATCCTTTCCCCATTGCTTTTGTCAGGTTTGTCAAAGATCAGATAGTTGTAGATATGCGGTGTTATTTCTGAGGGCTCTGTTCTGTTCCATTGATCTATATCTCTGTTTTGGTACCAGTACCATGCTGTTTTGGTTACTGTAGCCTTGTAGTATAGTTTGAAGAAGTCAGGTAGTGTGATGCCTCCAGCTTTGTTCTTTTGGCTTAGGATTGACTTGGTGATGTGGGCTCTTTTTTGGTTCCATATGAACTTTAAAGTAGTTTTTTCCAATTCTGTGAAGAAAGTCATTGGTAGCTTGATGGGGATGGCATTGAATCTGTAAATTACCTTGGGCAGTATGGCCATTTTCACAATATTGATTCTTCCTACCCATGAGCATGGAATGTTCTTCCATTTGTTTGTATCCTCTTTTATTTCCTTGAGCACTGGTTTGTAGTTCTCCTTGAAGAGGTCCTTCACATCCCTTGTAAGTTGGATTCCTAGGTATTTTATAGCTTAATTCTTAAGTCATTTACACAGCCAGACTTTGTCATGTCCTGCACCTATGTAGTGTGGAAACTGCTCCTCCACCTGCCCAGCCCACTTCCCGCCTGGGTCTTTGCACCACCAACCTGCAGAGCCCAAGACACCAGCTGCCTCGTGATCCCCCAGGTGGTGACAGGTGCCACAACAGCTTCCTGTTTTCCTCCCCCAGGTGTTTAATTTTCTCCTCTAGAAAAGTATCAAACATGCACCAAGAAAATTTGAGAATTACAGAGAAGTATGATCTCCCCACTTTTAGCACATTGGGATAGTTCCCTATTGTCTTTTCAATGCATTTTTTTCTTAAGACAATCTGTAAATAATTGACCAACCATTTTTCTCACTATATTGTTAGCATCTATTGTCACTGGAAATTATTCCATAAATGATTAAATAGCAATAGCTATATTTCACTGTCTGGACAATTTACTTACCCAGTTGTCTTTTAGACCTGTTTTTTTTGTTTTTTGGGTTTTTTTTTTTTTTTTTTTTTTTTCTGGCAGCTTTTGAGCTCACCGGAAAAAAAAAATTAGACTTTGGCCAGGTATGGTGCTCCTCCCTGTGATCCCAGAACTTTGGGAGGCTGAGGCAGGATTCCTTGAGGCCAGGAGTTCAAGACCAGCCTGGTCAACATAGTGAGATCTAGTCTCTATTTGAAAAACTTTTTAAATAAATTTAAAAGTTAGACTTTTTTTTGGCTGGGCACGGTGGCTCACGTCTGTAATCCCAGCACTTTGGGAGGCCGAGGTGGGTGGATTGCCTGAGGTCGGGCGTTCGAGACCAGCCTGACCAACATGATGAAACCCTGTCTCTAATAAAAATACAAAATTAGCTGGGCGTGGTGGCACATGCCTGTAATCCCATCTACTTAGGAAGCTGAGGCAGGAGAATCGCTTGAACCCAGGAGGCGGAGGCTGCAGTGAGCTGAGATCACGCCATTGCACTCCAGCCTGGGCAAAAAGAGTGAAACACTGCCTTAAAAAAAAAAAAACAAAAAAAAAAAAATTTTTTTTCCAAGTCTAATGTGCCCACAAACATCTATCTCCAAGTATAAATATTTGTGTATATTTTTAAATTTTTCCTCAGGATAAATACCCATCTTGATATGGCACTTGATACAGTTCCCGATAAAGGCAGGCAGAGCCAGATGAAAAGCTTTAGAAACCCTAAGCACTGAAAAACTATCAAAATCCTTCCATGTAATTCATAATACAAAACAACCTAACAATTATATGGCACTGCACACTTTCCTTTGTAGTAGTAACAGGAGTAAAAATTCATGATTATCGACATCTCTTTCTCCTGCTAGCCCAGAGGCCCAGAGAACAGGGACCCTGTCTCCTGTGCTCTATCATTTTTAGAGGGATGAGCAGGTAACCAATATACCAGTGAGAATTTGAAAGGCAGAAACTGTTGAATCCCAGTCCTCCAAACGCCAACTCACCTTCTGCCATCCCAGCTTCATGACCAGCAGAACTCATACCCACATCAGTTCCATTTATTCTTCGTACAAATATTTTACAGTTTTATTTTTAAATCATTTACACATATTCATACAAAGAAAAATAAATTTCAGGATGGAATCCTGGGACCATGGTAGTTTAAAAAAAAAATCTCTCTGATCATTAGCTACTAAAGACAAGGCAAGAGGCTTAGCAGTCATTTCTGGGGGTTAGTGTATCTCCCCATGCAGGGGACAACTGAGAAGAATCCAAGCTGCTCCCTCATCTTCCTTCGATCTAGATGGGGGAAGGGGATTTTCCAATGCTCTCCCCTAGAAACATTTCAAGAAGTACAGCAAAGGCTTATGGTAACACTGAACCTATTTGCTAGAAATCTGGCAAGATTGCACTTTCTGAACCAATTTTCTATAACAGTTGGCTCAATTCCCATTCACAGGTGCTTCTAAGAGGATGAGGGATTGCCGCACTCACCATACCCCCTTCCCACTTGCTCTGTCCTCCCACCAACGTTCCTGAATAGAGCCCTTGATCTCTTCTGATCTAGTCCCTCCCCGCTCCCACCCAGCCTCATTTCACAAGCAAACCTTCCTCCTATGCCACACACCCAGACACTCTGTAGCAATTGGCCCTGGCAGCTCCTGAGGACCGCTGCAGTGATGACACAGGACTATTGCATCAGCATCGTGCTCACAGGGAATCAGAGCTCAGCCAGGAGAGGTCCAAGAATGACAGAACCATGAGCACTCCTACCAAAACTCAGCTCTGCTCAGCCAAATCAACAATTCAACCCAACAGGCCAACTCCTAACACATCCCATCCAGACAGACATTAGAGGCGCACAGCAGATGAACCTCCTACTTACACTGCCCAAGGAAGCTGGACTATCAATTCCCAGTAAAAGTGGGGGAAAGGACAGACATTACAGATGTGGTAGACCCTATCAGAAATGGCAGCTGATGATAACAGTTACCCTAAATCGTGGGGTCCTACCCAAAAAGCAGCACCAAGAAAGGGCATGATGAGCAGAGAGATCTGTAGCTGGATGTACAGCCCTTGAATTACCAAGGGACTCAGAGATGACACAGCTCATTTTCCTACAATTATGTAGGAACTAGAACACAGACTACCCACCCCTACGTTGAGGCAGCTCCTGAAAGGCCGTACCGCTTATGGTCATCAGCCCGCCCCCTTGGTAGGCCCATTTGGGGAGAGGGAATCACATCCAAAGCGGGGATCCCTCCAGGTGGACACTCACAGGGCAGCCCGTCCCACTGTCACTGGGGCAGGCCAAACATAGTTAGGAGGGTGGACAGATCCCGCGCGTCGGCTGCCCCATAGGCATCGCTCTGGCCTAACATAGACAATGCCAAACGCAGGGTGCTCCAGATGTTCTCCGACATGGCACCTCCTTCACCCCGGGGGCCCCGGCTTTTCCTCTGCATGTTCAGGGCCTCCAGAAAGTGCTCCACAGCCTCCCTGTAAGGAAGAAGAGGAATGAGAGCTGTTAAGCTGAACAACAATGGAAGGAAGCAGGTCAGCTAGCAGTGGGAGGGAGAAAGCTAGGGCTGGTTAGTCAAACAGGATCTAAGAATAAGGAGCTAGGGCCAAAGGCAGGGAGAAAAAGCTCATTCATTCATTTCTCAATAGATACTCTCACCGGTGAGCCCCGAGGTTGATGCAGCTGATGCCCAGGTTATAGCGGGACCGGATATAGCCAGGCTGGAGCTCGAGGGCCCGGCGGTACGCAGCTACTGCTTCTTCACTCTGGTTTCCATTGGCCAGGGTGGCGCCTAGCTTATTCCACAGCAAATAGTCCTGGGATAGGGATGCAGAACGGATGGGAACAGCTTGACTCAGCTCAAACTCTGCACATTACTCCACCGACTCAGCTCAAACTCTGCACATTACTCCAGCTGTTTCACTACTCTGTTAGCTAACATGTTTCGTCCCATTCCATTCTCAACAGTTCGGTGTGTGGCTACAATGTAGCCCCTCTCACCCTATGCAGACTCTCTTATGTCCAGATGACCCTACACTCCCAGCCTTCTTTTCCCAGTCCTCCCAAGGCAGTCAGTACATGGAACACTGGAATGAAATACCCCAAGACTCCAAAAGTCTGAACAAATTATTCTTTTTTGTGGGGGTGGGCAGGGTCTTGCTATGTTGCCCAGGCTGGATTTGAACTCCCAGGCTCAAGTGATCCTCCCACTTCAGCCTCCCAAGTAGCTGGGACTACAGGCATGCACCATCAAACCCAGCTTCCCAACAAATGGCTCTTCAATAAGGTACACAGTCATGTCCCATTTCCATTCCTCCCCTGGGCTCACATTGGGACGAACGCTGAGGGCAGCTGTGAAGCAGTCCACGGCCTTGTCATACTCCCCACTCAGGTTGAAAAGGACTCCCAAGCCACACTGCACATCAGGGTCAATGGAGGTAGGGTCCAGCCGCACAGCTGCCAGGAAGAGCTCTTTCACTTCAAGAAACAGGGAGCTGGATGAAAAGGAAAAAAACACAAAGTAGGTAGATGAATGTCTCTATTCCCATCCCCCCAAATTAATTTCTTCATTGATCAACCATATCCCCAACATTCATCAATCTATCAGTCATCTCTTCTACTCTCAAAGTCCAATATAGAAGCCTGTTTTTCTATTTCATCCTAGCACTGAACTGTAGAATGCAGACCTCCTTCAACTTGATCCTAGGTTTCCCATCCCATTCTCAGGACCCTTCAGTCTCAATCCATCCAAACTTCCAAAACCAAGGTCACCCTCCTACTGGGACTTAGGTTACTGTAATTCCTCATCCTAGGAACCCCTCATACTCACTCAGACAAGAGAGATCCCAGGATACGCTTGCTGGGGCCCAGTCCTGCCCCACCAGCCCCTTCTTCAGCAGGTGTCACCAGATGGGCATAGGCTGGTGTGTACCGCAGCCAGTCTCGTAGGGTTTCACAGGCCTGTCGCTGCAGGGACTCGTTGGTGAAGCTCACAGCCAGCGCCATCAGTGCTGTCTGGTTATCTGGCTTTAGCTCCAGACACCTGTTTGATCAGGGATGGGCAGACTTGATATCTGCAATGACTGACACTGGCACATGTGAGCACCCTGGGATCCAAGCCAAGCTTTGAAATGCAGAGTCACAATGGCCTCACCTGTGACTCCTCTGACATGAGTTAATAATAAAGTTACAGATCTAAGGGGAAGGTTTTAGCAGGCAAGGAGCCAACCAAAGCCGCAAATAAAATCAAAAGCCGATGAAGGAATGGAATTCACTCCAACCCTCAGAGTTTCAGCATGAGAAAACACTCTTGATAGCACTCAGAAAGAAGACAAGGATCCAGGTCTGGGCTTCTGTCATTCAAAAGGTTATATGCAGAGCCTTGGAAGCACCTCACCCACACCTTTCAGTGTACTCACCTCCGCAATGCACTGATGGCTAATAGTTCTTGTTCATTCTCTGCCTGGGTGGTACCCAGATACTGCCAAGCCTAGAGGGAAGTTGACAGATTCCATCACCCCATATTCACCTCTCCATTCGCCCTTCCCCCTGGCTTCTCCCACTCACCATCTCGCTCTCAAGCCCCTATCCTAGGCCATCACCCAGGCCCTAACCCATCTGCACTACTCTCCTTGGGGCCTTTCTCAAGATGGAGGAAGCAGTCTCTAGCCAGAAATGAGACTATGGAGTCACTCACTTCCATGTGCTTAGGATCCTGCTGCACAGCTGCCTCAAAAAGCAGCACAGCATTTGGCAGGTCCCCCTCCTGAAGGCGCCGCAGCCCTTCTTCAAAAGGCTGAGGGTGATCACGCAAGGGGTTCTCCTCCTCAAACTGGTACCCCTACAAGAAAAGCACGTGAGAGATGGACTGAGAGGTGGCACCGTCAGAACAGCAGGGATGTGAGGATGACAACCAGCAGGCAGAGAAGCTGAGGGCCTCCAAACAGGTTCCGGAATTAATTGCTGGCAAATTCTCCATATTATAAAGATCATGTATGACACAAGTAAAATCATTTGGTATCAGGTTTGTGCTCCCATCTCCTGTTCATGATACCTGGGAAGCTAGGAAAGTCTACAAATTCATCTGCGCTGGAAATAAGCTTATTTTAGGAAGTCATCACAGGCTTGTATTCCCACACCTTGACTTCTCACCACGGGGCAGAATGTCTCAACAGGATCTGCTTATAGTAATGAGACAAAGTGTCCCTAGCTATGCAAAGTGCATTTCTTGTTATCCTTCAATAATGTGATGATGTATAAAGGAAATGTTGTTTGGAGTCCTGCTATTCAAATATAACTCTTACTTAGCTCAGAGTCATTCCACATGTCAACTAGATAAAACATTTTCAAGCATTTTGAAAATGTTAATTTATTCCCCGATTTCATTCTTAATAATCATGAATATTAATCTGTATCTGACAGTAAGCAAAAGCTGGATCCCAAAATCCAGATGGCAGAGAATACTTCAGAAAGACACCATTCTCTTCCAGCTGAGGATTTCTCACTTTAGAGAAGAGTTACGATACTATCTGCAAAGCTTTGTCAACTGGCATTTTACACTAGGCAGAGAAGAAATGAGGTAAAGGGGAAGTCACTAGTAAGCTGCAAAATCTGGGACATGCAAATAAAAAGTCCGTTTTTGGAGAGTAGTTACCATCATAAAATAATACACCAGAACGAAAACAAGATGCAAAACAACAGGTGGAGGTCTTTCTAAATGCAGTTAAGAATAAATTCAGATAAAACTGTACAAAATAAAGACATGAGGCCCTTTTTCATTATTATTGTGAAAATGATAAAGAATCAAAAACACTTAAATCTTACCAGCAAAATTCTAAGTCATGATCAGATGCAAATTATTTGTCACAAATGAAAATTAAATAATTACAATGGGGGGTTTAAGAAGAAAGACATATTATAGTAGATTTGAGATAAATGTATAGAAAGTATATTTATATTGAAAACAAGTGTGTTTTTGGACATCTCTGCATAATATAAAAACTAAGAAGGCAGAAAATGACGCTAGTCCAGTGATCAGCAAACTTTTTCTGCGAAGGGCCAGATAATAAATATTTCAGGCTTCGTGGATCTGCTGCAACTACTCACCTCTACTGTTGTAGTGCGAAAGCAGCCAGACATAAGTAAACAAATGAGCACGGCTGTCTTCCAATAACATTTTATTTATGGACACTAAAATTTGAATTTTATATAATTTTCACTTGTCACAAAGTATTACTCTTTTGATTTTCTCCAACCATTTAAAAATGTTAAAACCATCCTCAGCTAGTGGATCACTAAAAACATAAAGATTTATCCCACAAGCCAGTGTGCTGGCCCTTGCCCTAGACTATTACAGTTCAATAAAATAAATCCTTCTGCATTCAACCTCAACTATTGTTCATCATTAATACGTGTTTTAAGCCACTCTACAGAAAACAGAGATTACTGTCATCTATAATGCAGTTTCCTAATAAAAGTAATTCCTGCCTCTCAGAGCCATTGAGAACATCAAATGGGAATCTTCACCAACGCCTTACCAAAAAGCTTAAGATACTATCTGTAAATAGCTATTATCCTCACTGCTCTAGATACTTCCTTAAGATATGATGGCCTGTATATGACAGCCAGAAGTGATGCGAATGCTCTTCAGGTGTCTTCATTAGATAATACAACAACTCAATGCCACCATCTTGCAACCACAGGATTCTCTAAGTTTCCTCTCATCCATATTATCTACCCTCCTTGAAGTCTCATCAATTGCTGATCAAAGAGGAATTTTCCAAAATTAGAATATTTGCATAGATGATGGAAAAAGAGTACTCTGGGGGATCCCTCAACAACCCACAGAACACAGGATAAGCTTGGCTTCACTGTTACATCCTGAAAAGCCAAACCCAAGTCATTAATTTTATCTGATACACGGTCTGGTCTGCTCCAAAATCTCATAGGATCAAACTGCAGAAATGATCACTACAAAGAGTTTGTCCCATCACATACTTCTCTTTTATCATAATAGTATATTAATATCTGCCTGAGCTGCAATGTAAATTGTCTCTGAAAATATAAGGGCTATCAATAAACAAACAGTGCATTCAAAGAGATCCATGAATTTATGTAACAATCAAGAGTCAAGTCCTTTGTTTTTAAAAAGTTCTATTGACATGGAATTCAATATTAGCTTAAAGCCAGATACTGTCTAATTGCTTACTACATCACTTTTTGAGGAACATTAATGCAAGTATTTCTAGTCCTAATTTTGCAATATCCCAAAGTATCAATGATATCAAGTAGGGCTCAAGAATCTACAAACATACTTTTAAAGTTTTTAATTAAAAAATGTATTCTGGATATGACACCAAAAGCTCATATCCCAAAAATCATTGCAAAGACTAATGTCAAGAAACTTTCTCCCTATGTTTTCTTCTAGGCATTTTACGGTTTTGGGTACTGCATTTGGGTCTTTAAGCCATTTTGGATTAAGTTTTGTACATAGTGTGAGGTAACGGTTCAGTTTCACTCTTTTGCACATGGATATGCAGTTTCTCCAATACCATTTATCGAAAAGACTATCCTTTCCACATTTCTATTCTTGGAACCTGATCAAATGTGATTTTTTTTCTAAAAAAAAATTTGCTTTCTAATTTGTCACATTGTTCTATGTGTCTGAAAAAAAAAAATGTATTCTGGCCAGCATGTCATAAATACGAGAGTAATAAATGATAAAAGAAAATGCTGCTCATACAAAACTAGTATTATGTCTATATGTATGAAAAGCATGGACATTTTTACATAAATGTACAACTTTCCATTTATAAGTTGATGGGGCCTATGTGACTTATCAAATTGTTAATACAAAATAATAACAAAAGTGTTATCTATATTTCCTTCAGTTCTTCCTTATCAAAATTATATACAATGAACTCATAGTCTAGTGAAATACATGGCAAGGTCCCAGCTGTCTTTTCCCTTATATCACACAGGATAGTTAGAAAAATCCAGATCAGACTGGAATAATAAGCAAAATCATATTTTTCCTAATACTGTTCTTCACTGGCTCTCAAACTCTAGCCTTTTTCTGAACTGCATCTTCCCATCTTTGCATAGCTCCCTTATTACATCAAGATCCATCTCCAGCACCCTGGTTTGCATCTCAGGCCCTGGTTCCAGCCCCACAATACTTTCCCAACCAGATCTGAACTGAGAAAAAGACATCACTACTCACATCCCCAGTTCCTGTTTTGCCTTTTTTCAAAACCAAGTGATTCTTTCCCCTCTTCATGTTTCAACTCAGGAGCTCAGTTATTAAACACATCCCCAAATATCCTACAACCCACAGGTAGATTTGTTTTTCAGTAAGACCCCAGAAGTAACATATGCTTCTAAGTCAACAGCACATGCTATAGGCAAAATGCAATCATCTTTCATACTACTAAGAAATTTCCCTAATATTTAAGTTATCTAATATAAATTCTTTGAAAACCCTAAATTAGGGCAAGTGGCTACTACCTATAAAAGATAAGAACTTAAAATGAATATGTGAGTTTAAAAAGTAAACAGATATTAAGATGTGGAGGCAAAGGGATAGTCTGTCCACTAACACTCCCCACCAAAGGAGTCAGCAGTCTTCTCAAAAAGCTCCCAATCTGACCTCCAAGCAGAGCTACTTCCTCTGTGCTTTTAATGCAGCAAGCATGTGCAAACCTCCTTCACAGGTGTTATGTACTGGACTGTCGTTATTGACAAAGATAGTCTCATTAACATCTATATCCCAAGAATAAAGTTTATACTCAATCACTGAAGAGGAAGGGCAAGGGAATTATTCAGACTTCTTTTCGTGGAAAGGGACTCAAGAAAATACTTAAAAGCACCCTTCAAATTCAGGATTAAAGGAAAGACGTTAAAAAGAAGGAAGTTCTGGAACCTGAAAAACTAAGAGTTTTTACCTCACCTTATCATAGGTAGCTGACGTAAGGTCATCATAGTCAGAAAGCCAGGGGTGGGCCTCAGCATCCCGTTTTGCCATCTCCTCCAACTCTGCCTGCAACTTGTCCCAGAAATCGACATCAGACTGTAAGGAAGGGAAAGCAGATAGAAAAAGGAGATCCATCATGACCACCCCACCCCACACTCAGCTCTGCTGGGATTCTCTAAGGCAGCAGTTCTTGAATTTCAATATGTTTAAGAATCATCTGAATAAGTTTTTTAAAATGCAAATGGCCAGATGCTATCCCCAGATACTGATTTAGTAGTCTGGGGTGATGGCCAGAAATGTAATGTAGTGCAGTGCAGTGCAGTGCAGTGCAGTGCAGTGCAGTGCATAGTTTAGTTTAGTTTTTTGTTTGAGACAGAGTTTCACTCTCGTTGCCCAGGCTAGAGTGCAATGGCGTGATCTCATCTCGTTGCAACCTCCACCTCCCAGTTTCAAACATTTCTCCTGCCTCAGCCTCCCAAGTAGCTGGGATTACAGGCATGCGCCAACACACCACGCTAATTTTGTATTTTTAGTAGAGACATGGGGTTTCTCCATGTTGTTCAGACTGGTCTCGAACTCCTAACCTCAGGTGATCCACCCACCTCGGGCTCCCAAAGTGCTGAGATTACAGGCATGAGCCACCATGCCTGGCCCAGAAATCTGCATTTTTCAACAGCACCCACCCCATCCCCAAGCAACTCTGACACAGATGATCCAGGTCCACTATGAAATACAATTTGCATCATCTTTGATGTTCATACACCCACTCACTCCAAGGAGTGTTTTCTTTTGGGGTGTCTGCTCCTGCACTATCTGCTCTCACCTCTATAGCTGACTTGGCTCGTTCAAACTCCATATCAAGGGCAGATGTGTTTACTGGTCTTGTGAACTGGTCAACCCAGGCATCTGATGTACCCTGCGACAAAAAAGGATGGTCAGTACCACTACCACCAACTTTCTATCCATCAGACGCACACTAAATACCCACTAACCACCACCAACCTGGGTACTTCTGAGAAAATCATTCTCAGAATCTCTTTCCCACCCACTTGGGACCTGGATGCTATCAAGACAAGCTGGTCTTATCCTTCCCCATCTGGGACCACTGACCACTGAACCCATGGCCTGGGGCATCAGCTGGCTCTGAAGTGGGACTGGAAAGTGACAATGTCCTACCTGCTGCTGTATAAACTCTGCTGCCCACTGTTCTGCCTGAGCTCGGCCCGACCCTGCACCGGACTCCAGGGACACCTGCCCTTCGCCAATCTGCCGCACGAATTTCAGGAACTGGGGCACAGAGACACACACAGGCCACTTGGGAAAGGACTTCCAGGTGTGCACTCTCAACCATGCCCAAGAGGACCCTGTACTCACCCCTCCCCTGACCATCTCTAGCTGCAGACAAGATATGCTAAAGACCCTAAAAGAGGTAGAGAGCAAAAAGAAAGGGATTTCTGGCTCTAAAGACTTGCAAAGGCATCAGAAAAAAGAGTTAGTAGGCAAGGAGATGAGGGAATGAACACTAGAAGGAAGAGGCAGGATCTTAAGTCTCTGTTCTATAGACAGGAACGAAGAGACCTAAGATCTCTTCTCCTTCTCTTTAAACTAAACTGGGGTAAGAAAAGCAAGATTCTTGCCTTCCAAAACCAGCTCTGCTGGGCAAAGCAGCAGAGGGATGTGGCTCACCTCAGAATTAGCCAATTTGGGGTCATCCACTTTGGCCACAAAGTCACTGGCCGTGTGCTGCAGATCCTCCTCAGGATGATATTCATCATACCTGGAACGGGTAAGAACTAATTTTACACATTAGTCTGCCATCACCCTCCCCATGCTACTCCCCACTCCTAGCCCATGACAATGACAGTTCCTGTGAGGGAACTCCATTCTCCTGTTGAGAACCTACAAACTCCAATTTGCATTATAGAAGGACATTTGGGCAGGAGTGTGAAAGTACTAGCTACATCCTTCTAGCTCTCCCTTTCCCAAACATATCTTTGCATACAGATGGGATAGTAGCAGGCTCAAAATTAAGAAGGGAACAAGGTAAAATTATGAACTTTAAGATGAAGTTATGAACGTCATATAGGATAGTTAGGATTCTTGAAAAATATATATATATTTACCTATATACATATATTTTAAAAGTCTGAAAACTCCCTTCCTCCCAAATATAGCTGATATGTATATATACGTGTATGTGTGTATGTATATACATGTGTATGTGTATGTGTGTATACATGTATGTCTATGTGTGTGTATACATGTGTACGCATGTATCTACATGTTTACATATGTATACGTGTGTATATACATGTATGTGCACATGTATGTGTATGTATGCGTGTGTACATATGTGTATGTGTGTATATATGTGTGTGCGTGTGTGTGTGTGCACGCACACATGCATGCGCTTTTGGTTTTTTAAAGACAAGGTCTTACTGTGTTCCTCGGGCTAGACTTGACCTCCTGGGCCCAAGCAATCCTCCCACCTCAGCTTCCTGAGTACAGGCACACAACCACTGTGTCCTTGACTACATTTCAACCATAAATTCACAGGAGTAATAACCCAAGGGGAAATCTTAAAGAATAAAGTAAGCCCTCTCCCTCTCCCTCTCCCTCTCCCTACGGTCTCTCTCCCCCTCTCTTTCCACGGTCTCCCTCTGATGCCGAGCCGAAGCTGGACTGTACTGCTGCCATCTCGGCTCCCTGCAACCTCCCTGCCTGATTCTCCTGCTTCAGCCTGCCGAGTGCCTGCAATTGCAGGCACGCGCCGCCATGCCTGACTGGTTTTCGTATTTTTTTGGTGGAGACGGGGTTTCGCTGTGTTGGCCGGGCTGGTCTCCAGCTCCTAACCGCGAGTGATCCGCCAGCCTCGGCCTCCCGAGGTGCCGGGATTGCAGACGGAGTCTCGTTCACTCAGTGCTCAATGGTGCCCAGGCTGGAGTGCAGTGGCGTGATCTCGGCTCGCTACAACCTCCACCTCCCAGCCGCCTGCCTTGGCCTCCCAAAGTGCCGAGATTGCAGCCTCTGCCTGGCCGCCACCCCATCTGGGAAGTGAGGAGCGTCTCTGCCTGGCCGCCCATCGTCTGGGATGTGAGGAGCCCCTCTGCCTGGCTGCCCAGTCTGGAAAGTGAGGAGCGTCTCTGCCCGGCCGCCATCCCATCTAGGAAGTGAGGAGCGCCTCTTCCCAGCCGCCATCCCATCGAGGAAGTGAGGAGCGTCTCTGCCCGACCACCCATCGTCTGAGATGTGAGGAGCGCCTCTGCCCCGCCGCCCCGTCTGGGATGTGAGGAGCGCCTCTGCCTGGCCGCGACCCCGTCTGGGAGGTGAGGAGCGTCTCTGCCCGGCCGCCCCGTCTGAGAAGTGAGGAGACCCTCTGCCCGGCAGCCGCCCCGTCTGGGAAGTGAGGAGCGTCTCCGCCCGGCAGCCACCCCGTCCGGGAGGGAGGTGGGGGTCAGCCCCCCGCCCGGCCAGCCGCCCCGTCCGGGAGGGAGGTGCGGGTCAGCCCCCCGCCTGGCCAGCCGCCCCGTCCGGGAGGGAGGCGGGGGGTCAGCCCCCCGCCCGGCCAGCCGCCCCGTCCAGGAGGGAGGTGGGGGTCAGCCCCCCGCCCGGCCAGCCGCCCCGTCCGGGAGGGAGGTGGGGGTCAGCCCCCTGCCCGGCCAGCCGCCCCGTCCGGGAGGGAGGTGGGGGTCAGCCCCCCGCCCGGCCAGCCGCCCCGTCCAGAAGGTGAGGGGCGCCTCTGCCCGGCCGCCCCTACTGGGAAGTGAGGAGCCCCTCTGCCTGGCCACCACCCCGTCTGGGAGGTGTACCCAATAGCTCATTGAGAACGGGCCATGATGACAATGGCGGTTTTGTGGAATAGAAAAGGGGGAAAGGTGGGGAAAAGATTGAGAAATCCGATGGTTGCTGTGTCTGTGTAGAAAGAAGTAGACATGGGAGACTTTTCATTTTGTTCTGTACTAAGAAAAATTCTTCTGCCTTGGGATCCTGTTGATCTATGACCTTACCCCCAACCCTGTGCTCTCTGAAACATGTGCTGTGTTCACTCAGGGTTAAATGGATTAAGGGCGGTGCAAGATGTGCTTTGTTAAACAGATGCTTGAAGGCAGCATGCTCTTTAAGAGTCATCACCACTCCCTAATCTCAAGTACCCAGGGACACAAACACTGCGGAAGGCCGCAGGGTCCTCTGCCTAGGAAAACCAGAGACCTTTGTTCACTTGCTTATGTGCTGACCTTCCCTCCACTATTGTCCTATGACCCTGCCAAATCCCCCTCTGCAAGAAACACCCAAGAATGATAAAAAAAAAAAAAAAAAAGAATAAAGTAAGTTGGTTCGAGAACGTGGATGGAGGAGGCTGGGAAAACTGTCCATACTCCTTTCACGGGATTCGGAAAGAGGTATCTGAACTCACCAGCGATCGGTGGCTGTTCCCTCAGGTTCTCCCAGCCACAGCTTCTCCTCTGATTGCTCCAAATATTCCTCAGCCCAGCGGGCAGGGGACACAGACAAGGGGTCTGCAAGGAGCAGAGAAGTGGGGAAATCACACAGGTTCATTCAGTGTGGGATCAAGGAAAGGGAAAGAGATGCCCATATTCAACTGACCCTCTTAGCCACACCAAAGCAGACAAAACTCTGCTGACTCCCTCAGAAACCCCTGGTCAAAAGAATATAGTACTAAATTTTCAACATCCTCAATATCCAACCCATTCTCAAGGAGCCTGGGGCAGAAATTTACTGAGAGTTGGGAACGGGAGATCAAATAAGGAATCTCAGGAAAGGATTAAGAACCAAACTCTTTTTCTTGAAGTGCAAGATATTTCAATAAGAAATAGGAAGCGGAAGGGCTTTCACTTTCCTCAGAAGTACAGCAGGGAGCCAGTAAGGAGTGAAGGGAGCACAGAAGGGCTCCTGTTCCTTAACCAAGGCACTGGTCTGTTCTCCCTCTACCCAGAGTTCACACAATCCCGGCCAAAGGAGCCTTATTTCATTGTAATTTGCCTACCAAGAGAATCAGAGAAGTGGAATGCTAGGCTAGAATTAAAGACACATAGGTCTGCTCTTCCCTATGGATGTTTGGTGGGTTTTTTCATTTTTTAATTGAAATGTAATATACAAATATGAAACCATATAATGTCTACCAAACTTAAGTGTACAGCTAAATTAACTTCCACATTTGATACACTCACATAACCACCACCCGGATCAAGATACAGAACGTTTACAGTTCCCTCACAGGCTCCCTCAGTCTCCCAGCCCCCAGAAGTAAACACTATTCTGACTTTTCTCACTTTTGATTATCTTTGAGTAGCTATGTTTTTTCAGTCTAATTTTAGAAACTGTCTCAGAAGCTCTAGTGACAAAGGGGACTGCTGCAACATCAGAATTAACCTATCAAGGCAACAAACTCAATGAGGGTGCTGAACTGTTTTTCATCCTCCAGGACTTTGCCCTTTACTATCCTGTGGCCAGAAAAAAAAAACAAGGAGACTGACTGCGGGCACTAAAGAACACAAGGAAACAAAGAGAAGGCACAAGCCTACGGTGTTCTTTCCTTCTGCCCTGTGTCCAGAACTAATCTTACTAGTTAGTCTGCCACCACCTTCCCCTGCTATTCCCCACTCCTGGCCCATGACAAGGACAGTTCCCAAGGGGGAACTCCACTCTCTTGTTGAGAACCTACTAACTCCAATTTGCATTAAAGAGGGACATTTGGGCAGGGGTGTGAAAATATTAGCTGATACTAGCAGTCTTTGTCCCCAGTTTCAAGATCTGACCACCCTTGCTTTTACTACCCCTTCGGTATTAAAGTACAAAAACTTCTACTCCATTTTAACTGAAACTTTGCCTGAATAATGTCAACAAAGTAGTCTCAAAATCTGAGCATGAAATGTCAAAATGTGAAAAACAAAGATCAAGACTCTCAGAATACACCTAATTATAAATAATAAGTAATTACTACTTATTATATTATATATAACATATATAATTACATTATATATAACATATAATTATTACATTATATATAACATATATAATTATTATATTATATATAACATATATAATTATTACATTATATATAACATAATTACATTGTATATGACATATAATTACATTGTATATGACATATATATAATTATTACATTGTATATGACATATATAATTATTACATTGTATATGACATATATAATTATTACATTGTATATGACATATGATTACATTATATATGACATATATAATTATTACATTATATATGACATATATAATTATTACATATGACATATAATTATTACATATGACATATATAATTACATTATATATGACATATATAATTACATTATATATGACATATATAATTACATTATATATGACATATATAATTATTACATTATATATGACATATATTATTACATTATATGACATATATAATTACATTATATGTGACATATATAATTACATTATATGTGACATATATAATTACATTATATGTGACATATATAATTACATTATATGTGACATATATAATTATTACATTATATGTGACATATATAATTATTACATTATATGTGACATATAATTATTACATTATATGTGACATATAATTATTACATTATATGTGACATATATAATTATTACATTATATGTGACATATATAATTATTACATTATATGTGACATATATAATTATTACATTATATGTGACATATATAATTATTACATTATGTGACATATATAATTATTACATTATATGTGACATATATAATTATTACATTATATGTGACATATATAATTATTACATTATATGTGACATATATAATTATTACATTATATGTGACATATATAATTATTACATTATATGTGACATATATAATTATTACATTATATGTGACATATATAATTATTACATTATATGTGACATATATAATTATTACATTATGTGACATATATAATTATTACATTATATGTGACATATATAATTATTACATTATATGTGACATATATAATTATTACATTATATGTGACATATATAATTATTACATTATATATGATGTAATTATTACATTATATATGACACATAATTATTACATTATATATGGCACATATAATTATTACATTATATATGACACATATATGTATGACACATAATTATTACATTATATATGTCATATATAATTAAATTATATATGACATATATAAATTATGACATATATAATTAAATTATATATGACATATAATTAAATTATATATGACATATATAAATTATGACATATATAATTAAATATGACATATAATTAAATTATATATGACATATATAATTATTACATAACATATATTACATTATATATAATATATAATGTAATAAATACATTATATGTAACATATGTAATAAGAAATACATTATATATAACATAATGTAATAAGAAATACGTTATAACATAAGAAATACATTATATATACATTATATATAATGTAAAATGTATATATAATATATATAATATATAATGTATAATGTAATAAGAAATATGGTTGGCAATTTTTTTTGACCATAGATCCATCTGTTAATTTCAAGGACTCTCAAAAATTAAATACAGATTCTGCTCACTAGCTCTTACAGGAAGCATTTCTCTTCCATTTGCCCCAATTAGACTGTTGCCTCAAGTGTGGAGACGGAAAGGAGATGCTTAATACTCAAAGAGACTTTAAGATCTCCTAGTTCCTTAGTTCCATTCTTAGTTGAAATTCTTAGCTCCATTCTGTTGAAAAATAACTACTACCTCCTCAACTCTCCAAACACTTCTAACTCTCAACTAGAGTATTTTGCAAAAGCATATTCTGGCCATAAGTGCTCCTCAAATTCACAGAAAACATTTCAAATTCCTATGAAATGGTCCTCTCAAGGACAAAAAAAAAAAAACAGAAAAAACACAAAGCACCTTTGAATTTTTACAACAGACATGAGGACTTAACAATAGATATGAGGCAGTTTAAGAAAAAAAATCCCAGAGCTGAGAAAAACTATCCTCAAATACCTATAATTTGGTAGTTGGCCAGATTAAATCGCCACAAGACCCAGAATTTCTTGGCATTGGGAACCTACTCCAACAAGAGTCAAATAACCGAAAGAATCAAAAGAGTAACACACTGCCTTCACAATCTTTGAGAAATTCCTACAGAAAATCAGATCCATGTGGATACATCTGAGATCAAGGCAACTAAGGTCTACAGAGGGGATGCACTGCCTGAGGTCATACAGATTAGTAGAGTGAGAATAACCTAGACACCAAATACCCCACTCAAAATGTGCACCTCATATAATTTCTCGTTGTTTACTCATTCCTTCTAGGCACATCTTCCCCAAGCTCAAAAGTCAAAAACTCAGAACTTGCTACTCTTACTCATGAAAGTTTCTGTGTCTGCTAAATAGCAGCACTGTGGAGAAGAATACAAGTTGTAGGGTCAGTCTACCCACATTTAAATCCTAACTCCATCACTTATTCACTGTGCATCTTCAGACTAGTTACTCAACCTTCTTAAGTTTCCATGTCCTTATCTTTAAAGCAGAGATAACAGTAGGGGCTGCGGTGAAAACCAATGAATACAGTAACAAATGTTAGTTATTATCATTAGTCTGCTCATGGCAAACCTATAACAAAAGCAGAAAACATCACAATGAGACTGTTATTCCAAAGCCTCTCCTCCAACATCCAGAAAAGATCTGTTGCCAATTATCTTCTGCTACTGCTATCCATGGCTTTTCCCATGAAAGTGCAGGTTTATCTCTCACGATTATCATATGAACCTCACATACCATGTCAACCGAAGCTGTCTAAATTTAAGAACCCTGAAGATGTGTTTTATCTCTAGATCTGAGCAAACACAAGATGGAGAATTATTTGACCCAGAAGATTTAAGACGGGGGGATTCCATTACAAAATAAGGTAAGCTAAAAAAATGAACTTCATGTGGTGAGAGAATAGTTCTGTATCTTGATCATGATGGTGCTTACACAAATCTACACATTTAATAAAATTGCAAAAAACACACACACACAAATAAGGGCATGTAAAACTGGTGAAACCTAATAAACTCTGAGGATTGAAACAAGGGCAACTTCTTGATTTTTGATCTCTGCATAACTGCTATGTAAAATGTTACCACTGGAGGAGACTGGGTGAAGGGTATACAGAACCTTCCTATACATTTTTTTTTTCAACTTCCAGTGAAACTAAGTACTTCCAAATAAAAAATTTAAATTTAAATAATTGAGCTGCAACATTCTTTTTAAACTTGATTTTGACTCTTAACAGTGGAGATTTTAAAATAAGAACTTAAAAAGTATAACCTTCTTTCATCTCAAAATCTACTTATCTATAAAGCCATAGCTAACCCATACAATTGTATCAACCACAAATGCTGTAATTAAAAATGAAGGATAATAAAAAAAAGTCAGTTACGACAAAATGAACTCCTTTCCTTTAGCTTTTTCTCCCAGATCTCAATTCATTCATTCAATACCAGAGGCCTACTACATGCAAAGCAATATACTGCTGCAATAAGACATTTTTATGAAGGCAGACTTCAAACAGCTCAACTCCCATTCTAAGGTTTGCATGTCTCTGCCTCTGTGAAACAGGCACGATTCCAAAAGAATCTACAAAATACTAGAAGAGCTCTACTAAGAGCATTTAACTGGTGAGACAGATAAAACATGTTTTTCTAAAGTTCTTTTTCATTTCAAGTTAAGGAAGATTTCAATGGCTGCATGCAATTCAGGTAATTACAGCAAAAATTTCATCCATCTCAACGCTCATAGTAGCAATGATTTTTCTGAATTATCAAAAATGACTAATGCCCACATTACAACAGAAGCCTCTCTGTGATAAGAGATAGCACTTAAGTCTAAGGTTTATGTGAAAAACTGAGTTTCTGTCTTGGAGAGGGTCTTTGCTATGGTTCAGATTTTAACTTGCGGCAATTTCACAAAGAATCTCAACGTGAGGGCGCGTGCGGTGGCTCACGCTTGTAATCCCAGCACTTTGGGAGGCTGTGGTGGATTACTTAAGGTCAGGAGTTCAAGACCAGCCTGGCCAACATGGTGAAACCCTGTCTCTACTAAAAATACCAAAATTAGCCGGGCATGGTGGCACACGCCTGTAGTCCCAGCTACTCAGGAGGCTGAAACGGGAGAATCCCTTGAAGCCAGGAGGCAGAGGTTGCAGTGCGTACAGATTGCACCGCTGCACTCCACCCTGGGTGAGAGCAAGACCCTGTCTCAAAAAAAAAAAAAAAAAAAGAATCTCAAGAGCCACACAGACATGAGTTTGAATATCATCTCTATTATTCAATGATTTTGCACAAAGTATTTAACTTTTCCAAATCTCAGTCTCCTCATCTATAAAATGGGGGTGGGATATCCACCTTGTGTTACTGTTACTGTGAAGTTCTAATGAGCTTAAGAAGATAAAGTGATTAGCACTCTTAAAGCCAAGAGCACCTACTGTTCTACCTTAACTCCAACTTATGGGTGGGAAAGAGACACGTGATAAAAGAGACCCACAGATCTTATTAAAGGTGAGTTTTAGTTTTTAGATTTGGGATTTTTCTCTTGTGTGCGGAGAAGCCCATCCTAAACATGGGCCTCCTTCACACACATTTGTCCCTGATCAGATAGGCTTCGGGTAAGAAGAATCAATCCTAAAGGATGCGAGGAGCAATGGATGCTCTCAAGGAAAATTAGACTTGAGACCTTGAAATCTGTAGCAAACGAAGAAAGAACATAAATTAAAATGGTGGGGGTAGAAACCAATTCAGTCCCTTTAATCATCTCAGAAAAATTCAGGAACCATGATGATGTGACTCCCCGAGATCCTGGAACTTGGTAACTTTCTCTATGTGTATCTCTTGTTATTCTTGATATCTTAAACAGGAAAAAGGCTAACTTTTGAGAGCAATCAGGAAGAGGAAAGCTGAAGAGACTGCCCTTCCCACCATGTACCTGATTAGATAGGCTTAGGGCAAGAAGAATCAATCATAAAAGATGCAGGAGCAATGGATGCTTTCAAAGAGGAAAAATTAGGCTGAAACCTTTAAGTCTGTAGCAAAGCAAGAAAGAAGATAAATTGCAGGCCTGACAGTATAGCATCACAGTTAAGGCCACAGGGTCAGGAATCATTCAAATCCAGGATCAAATCCCAACTCTACCACTGACAAAGCTGTGTAACCTTGGGCACACTTCACCTCTAAGCCTCAATTTTCTTATCTTTAAACTAGGTCTAAAAACAGTAACTACCTCTAGGGTTCTCATGGAGAGTAAGTAGATAATGCATTCAAAGCATGTAACACAAGGCCTAGAACGTAACTATTGTTATTAATTTTTATTATCATCATCATGGTATGGTCTTTACCTTCTAAAGCCATACACTTCAGGCACTGGAACTTCACAATAACACTCTGAAGGCCCCAATTCTGTTCCAAATAACTTAAGGCCAGAATCCCAGGTGCTGTAGTGAATACTCTCTTCCTCGGCAACACTGCCATCCATCCAATCTGTAGATCCTCTCCACTAAACCACAGTGATAAAGTAAAAAGGCCAACCAAACTCTTCGTTCTCTCTATCCAAAATCTCTTATCCAGTACAAACCCAGTCCTCTCTTTAATATACATTACATTCCGTTATCACCTAAGGGAAATTGAGTTCAGTACCCTACCCCTCTAGAAATGAGTCATGAGACCAGAAAAATCGTAATCACACTATAACGTGAACAGGGGAAGGGTATAGAATTCTGTCCCATAGAAGCCAATATAGATTTTCCCATAACAAGTTTCACCTGTAACTTCAGAGATGAATTCTTGGGACCAGTCAGTCTCATTATAATCCTGAGTTACATCCACAGCATCTCCAGCTGCAAGAAACTCCTGGGCCCAGTTCTCAGACAAGGCCAAGTCTGCCACACCAGGGGCTTAAAAGAGAGAGAGAGAAAACTAAGAAAGAATACATACATACCATTCCATCATGCCTAAAGAACCCTGAATCCACGTGAAAACACTCTGTTACTTTTGTCTCCTTCTGCATCTCAGGTCCCCAATGCCAGCAGCATCCAATGGAACCCCCTTCCTTGGCCCTGGCTACATGGAAAACGATCTCCCCTCCCACTAGACTCTGGACTCACCTCTCTGGGGAGCCTGGCGGAAGTTTGACTGCTCAATCTGCTGCATCTCAGCCAGGAGGTCATCCATCTTGAAGGTCTGAGGGGCACGGGACACAAGGGGTGCATTCTGGTCCTGCAGGAATTCAGCCACCAACTGCCAGAAGGGAAATGATGAAATGAACCCATAGGCTTGGGAGGCCCCAGCAAGAGGCAGGACCCACTGGAGGGGGATCCCAATGTTAGATACAAGGAAAGGAAAACACAGAAACTGGAGACACATAAAGAGAAACTGTCTTTCCATAGATTTAGAAGGACGAAAAAATACATTTAAAAACAAGCAGGCATTCTCATTCGGTCAGGAAAGCCCAAAAATTGAAATACGGGTGAACTAAGTTTAAAGGTAAAAACACAGTGGGCAAGAGAAAAATGGGACAGAAAAGAGACTGGTCTATTTACCTCATCTTCAGAAGCTACTCCCAAAGGCTTGGAGGCCTAAGAGAGAAAGACAGAGATGTACAATGACGCAGTTCCTCTAAAATCAGGGGTTGATGAAGCCCATAGGCATCTGAGCCTCGGCTTCTTCATCTATAAAATGGTTGCATTTATTTAAAGGTGCACAGGGTTTTCTAGTGTTTATAAACGCTCAGTAAGTGGTAACTACTATGATTTGCAACACAATAGAGAAAGCAGTTATACCAAGATGTGCAAACAGCCCCTCCACCTCAGACCACCACCACCTGGGCTTTCCACCTCAAGAACACTCACTGCCTCAGAGGCTGCACCTGGGCTTTCCACCTCAAGAACACTCACTGCCTCAGAGGCTGCACCTGGGCTTTCCACCTCAAGAACACTCACTGCCTCAGAGGCCGGGGCTCCGGGGGGCCAGGGGCCAGGCCTCAATCCCTCCTGCCGAAGGGCCTTGTCCTGGGTGAAGTGCCCGGCGAGCTTCATGAGCGGGTTGGCACCCCCGCATTCGGCCTCCACCAGCTCCCGCATTGCCATGGTGACCGCCAGCTCTCTGATGGACACAGGAGGTTTGGAACTGAGGTACCCAAGCCAGACCCTTCTCACATCCACAACTCTGCCCGTATCTGAGGAAGGCACACAGGCGTCTGCCCCACACTGGCCGCCCTCCACCCCAGTGCTTTTGCTGCGACCCCCACCTCTGCCAGGAGTTCGAGGGAGGTCGGTACTCTCTCCTGCCGCCCCCCTCAAAGGCCACCGCTTCCAGCCTGCGCCTCTGCAGAGGCCTCCGCGACTACGGTCCCATGGGCTGGGGGCCAGCAGCTGCCTCCACAAAGGGGCCTGGACCCCGGGGGACCACGGGGACGCTTCAACAACCAGGCTGGACGGCGACACTGCCCGAAGAAGGGACAGTGGGAAAACAGCCCGACCATACCTAGCCCCGCGCAGCCCCAGCACGCGGTGAGCACGGCAGAGGAGCATTCCCTCCCCTTAAGTCACCGGAGCCCTTCCCCCGGCTCGGCCCGGTCCCTCCCGCGCTCCCCACCGCCCATCTCCCCGGCCCTGCTGCCGCTCCAGCCCCGCCCCTGGGACCCGCGAGGCCACCGCAAGGGTGGGGAGGGCCCAGGGACGCGGCCCCGGGCCCCCTCGGGGTCAGGCGCTCACCGCGGAGCGCCGCGCCGCACGACCCGCCGGGGCACCAGGTGCTGGCTTGGGGGAGGGGAGAAGAGGGGGCGGGGAGCCAGGGGGCGGGGCTCAGGCTTAAAGGGGCCGTGACCGCCCCGCAGCGGCCCAGGCCCAGCGGAAGCTGTCTGAAAAGGCGGGGCCTTAAGACTGCGACGCAGCCTGACGGGAAGAGCCGTGAGTCTTAAAGGGGAAGAGCACCTTAGAGAGCGGGTCTTGGAGAGTCGCCTTTAGGAGCGCTCGAAAAGGCCACGGGCCCTAGGATTTGTTTGACGGAAAGCTCAAAGAAGAGTGGAGCTAAGAAGGGCTTCCCAGGCTCTGGGGGAAAGCCGAAGACGCGAGATCCTAGGCTCAGTCGATCCTGCCTCTTCCCTTGGGCGCATTGTGACCTAAGGGGATTCAGTGCCCTTTCTGAGCCTCAGTTTTCCCCTCTAAAATGGGGCTGGCTAATGTTCCCAAGCCCAAGAAAGAGAAAAGCCCTAACACCAGGGGCTGGGGAGTCCAGTCCGAAGCCTTCTTCAGCCTCCTAGGCCTGCCCCGCTTCCAAATAACCCCTAGCGGGGTAGCGTCACTGTCTCCATGGAGACAGGGGCCCGCCCCCGCCTTAATCCCTCTCCACCTCTGCATAATGGGGAAAATAGCACTGCATGATGACAAATTCCGGAGACCAAAATAGGGTCCAACGCATCCTGAGACCTCGAGCTGGTAACGTACAGGGAAGGTGAACAGTGAGTCAGCCCTTCCTTCCGCTAAGTCAACATAGTGGCCTTATTCCCATCACTCCAGGCTGGGAAAGGACAAACATACAAGAAATGCTTTTAATCACGGAATAAGACTAAGCCTCAAGCCCCCTCATCTGCCAAAGAGTGTGCTCTGCTGTCAAACCTCAAAGTCATTGAGAAACAAACCCTGATAATCTCACCCAGCTTCAAGACCAAGGGAGTCCTAGTGTCATGGAGAAGAGCAAGGAGGGGCCCAGGGCTGCCGGTAAATGACCAAGGGCAATAATGCCAGACGAACAGAAGTACCATCCCAGCCCAGGGTGCATGAGCGGAGGCAGGCAGGCAGCAGGTGGCGCCATGGGCCGGGCTTGTTTCCTGGCTGTTCTGCAGATTTCAGAGGTGGAGGCCTCAGGGGGCCACAGGGAATGTCTGTGTAAACTCATCCCTGGGAAGACAGAGAAGCTGCTCTGACACCTCAGGGGAACAGAATGGCAGGGGACAGACCATAAGACTGTGCAACATTTCTCCTTTTCCTTGCCTTTTCGCCCTCTTTCAGAGGCCCCACTTCTACACCCCGTTTTCTTCCGGAGCACACAAATCCCAGCCCTTGGGCGTCCCCTGTTCTCAGGCTGCCATCGTGAGGAAAATACCTGATAAACTAAACCACACAAGGATGAAGAGATGCCCTCCAGAAGGTGCATACTTTTAAAAAGAGGACCCCCTAGAGAGAGCAATGTTTAAAGGAACCCATCTGATACAGTAGAATTTCAGAACCTCAAGGCAACCAGAGTTTCCCAGTACCACTTAAACATCACAACACACATAACCTTCTGCTCTGCTAGGAGTTTATCAACTGATTAGCCGTAACTCACTTTGTGTGCAGATCTTGGAAGAATGCTAATAATAATAACTGATGTTTACTAAAATCCAGGTGTTGTGTAAAACACTTTATGTATCTCAATGTTTTTAATCTTCTTAATACCCCTATTAAATAGATATTAGTAGACCCACTTTACAGATAAGACTTGTGCAAAATCAGATGGCTAGGAAGTCAAAATTTAATCCAGGCATAACTCTAGGCACCTACTTCCCAGTCTTAGAGAAGACTTACTGATAAACCATGGAGATCTTTGATCTCCTAGGCCATAGAATCATTCACAGAACTTGGTCCACAGTCCCAGCCAGAGGTGCTGGGAAAGGGCTAATAGAGTGACTTTGGTGTTTAATATTTAATTTACTGAAGCTCTAGATTTGAAACCCTAGATTTTGTTAATCCAGGTTCAACTTTAAATTCTTGTTCTATTCATAAAAGTAGTAATTTTTATAAAATAAAAATAATTTTTACTTATTCTTTAATGTTTGACGAATTCAAGTTCAATAGATGTTTAGACACACATTGCATTGACTGTGTGCCAGGCATTGTTTCAAGCACTTTTCAACTATTGATTTATTTAATCCTCCTAATAGTTATTAATAATAACTATTATCCCCCATTTTACAAAAGAGGAAACTGAGGCACAGAGAAGTTGAGTGACTTGCACAAGGTCATACTAATAAATAGCAGAGCTGGGATTTGAACCCAGACCACGGTCACCAAACTGTAAAGGGCTCAATGGTCAATATTTTTGGCTTTGTAGTCCATGCAGTCTCTGTCACAGTGACTCAACCCTGCTGTTGGAGCACAAAAGCAGACATAGGCCACACCTAAACAAATGAGCATGGCTGTATTCCAGTAATGCTTTTTATGGGGACTGAAATGTGAATTTTATATAATTTTCATGTTACAAAATATTCTTCTTCTTTTGATGTTTTTCCAACTATTTAAAAATGTCAAATACTTATTTGTTTTGAGACAGTCTTGTTCTGTCACCCAGGCCGGCATGCAGTGGCGCAATCTCGGCTCACTACAACCTCTACCTCCTAGGTTCAAGTGATTCTCCTGCCTCAGCCTCCCGAGTAGCTGGGACTACAGGCACATGCCACCATGCCCAGCTAATTTTCGTATTTTTAGTAGAGATGGGGTTTCACCATGTTGGTCAGGCTGGTCTCAAACACCTGACTTCAGATGATCCACCCCCCTTGGCCTCCTGAAGTGCTGGGATTACAGATGTGACCCACCGTGCCCAGCCAAAAAACGTCAAATACTTCTTAGCTTGCAGACTATGGAAAAACAGGGACCAGGCCATAGTTTGTGGATCTTTGACCTACACAGTCTTATTCCAGAGTCCATGCTCTTAAACACTGTGCTGTACTTCTGCTTTTTAGAAATAAAAGACAAATTTCCTAATATTTTTAACTATGTGACATTTAATATTCATATTTTAAATACCTGACAGGGCAAACAACACTACTAGGCAAAACCTTTCTGAACTTTTATTCAACCCTTTAATAAATCAAACTTATAAACATTTATTCAATTTTCTTAATCCTCTTAAAGTCATATGTCTAAAACTCTTTTCTTTTCTTTTTTTTTTTTTTGCTGTTGCAAGATTTAATAGAGTGAAAACAGAGCTCCCATACAACGGGAGGGGACCCAAAGGGGGTTGCCACTGCCAGCTCAAATGCCTGGGTTTATATCCCGATCATTGTCCCTCCCCCTGTGCTCTCAGGCAATAGATGATTGACTATTTCTTTACCTCCTGCTTTTAGCCTAATTGGTGTTTTAGTGAGCTCTCTTTACTACCTGATTGGTCAGGTGTGAGCTGAGTTACAAGCACCCTGTTTAAATGTGAGTACAGTCATCTTCCCCAGCTGGGCTTAGGAATGCTTAGTTGGCCTAGGAAATCCAGCTAGTCCTGTCTCTCAGTCCCCCCTCTCAACAGGAAAACCCAAGTGCTGTTGGGGAGGTTGGCCAACGACTGCTTTAACTGCTTCCTGCTGAATTGGGGCATAGTAGGTCATGCAGTTGAGATTTCCTCAGCAGGGGTGCCTTTGATGTCATCAACATCAGAGCATGGCCTAGCAGGTCCAGGGGTCTGTAGTAGATCTTAGTCATGGACTGCATCTGGGGCTCCATTTGAAGAGCCATTTGTAGTTTTTACAGCTTTGATTCTGGAAGAGACAAACTTAACAAGGAGGTTAAAGATACAGGGATTGAAATGTATGGCCTGAAGTGCAGGGGGAGGCACATCCAACAGTTAGTAGGGTTTGGGGATAAAGATAAGCCAGTATTGGCTGGATACGTTCCTCACTGAGGGCCCTGGTGCCTTTGGATAATTTTAGCCCTAAGTATTTAACCTGCTGTAAGCAGAACTGAGCCTTTGGTTTGGAAACCTTGTAGCCACAGGTGGCGAGGAAGTTTAAGAGCGCTTGGGTAACTCGATGGCACAAGGTTTCTGAACGGGCTGCTAAAAGTAAATCATCCACATACCAAAGGGCAAGAGTGTCCAAGTATGAGAACTGGCTCAAGTCTTGTGCTAATGCCTGGTCAAATAGATGGGGGCTATCCCTGAACACTTGGGGTAAAGCAGTCCAGGTGAGTTGAGATGTTGGGTTCAAAGGATCTTCAAAGGCAAACAAGAATTGAGAGTCGGGATGTACGGGGATGCAGAAAAAGGCATCCTTAAGATCCAGGACTGTAAACCACTCTGCTTCCTCTGGTATTTGTGAAAGCAAAGTATAAGGGTTAGGTACAGCTGGGTATAGAGGGACAACGGCCTCACTGATAATCCTGAGATCTTGCACTAACCTCCACTGTCCATTGGGTTTCTGTACTCCTAAAATTGGAGTATTGCAGGGACTATTGCATGGTTTTACTAGGCCTTGGGCTTTTAGGTCCTTAACGATCTTTTGAAGTCCAAGTTGGGGCTTGTTGGGCTGTCCATCAGAGAGCTGGGTGGATCTAAGAGGGTACTGCCTTTGGTAGGGGAAGGAGGCAGAATCCTTTAGTTTAAGTTGAACAGGACAGGCATTCTTCACTTGTCTATTTGTCCTTCTGTGGCCCAGACTTCAGGATTAATTCCTTCCTCAAGTAGGGGACAACAAATGGGTGCTCCTTCTCCTATATTCAAGTGTATAATGGCCCCTGCTTTTGCTAGAATATCTCTCCCTAACAAAGGAGTGGGGCTTTCAGGCATAATTAGAAAGGCATGTGAAAAGAGTAAAGTTCCCCAGTCACAACTTAGTGGCTGGGAGAAATATCTAGTGACTGCCTCTCCTAGGACCCCTCAGATAGTGACAGATCTGGAAGACAGTTGTCCGAGACAGGAGAGTAAGATTGAGAAGGCTGTGCCAGTGTCCAGGAGACAGTTAACCTCCTGGCCCTTAATGGTCAAGCATACCCGGGGCTCTGTGAGGGTGATGGCATGGGCTGGTGCTTGCCCTGGGCACACAGTTCTGCTGCTGGATCATCTATCTGGTTAGTGGCTTCTGACTCAGAGGACCTTCGTTCCCTGGGGCAGCAGAACTTCCAGTCATTCCCTTGACATAAGGGGCATGGACAAGGGGGTGGCTTATTTCTATTCGGACAATCTTTTTTAAAGTGCCCTTGTAGACCGCATTGGAAGCAAGCATTCAATTTACCCAGCCTTTCTGTTCCAGAGCCTCCAAAGTCTGCTTGCTTGAAGGCCATGACTAAAGCTGTGGCCTTTTTTTAATCCCGTTTGTCCCATTCCGCCTGCTCCTCCTGATCTCTATTATAAAATACCAAGGTTGCCAAGTTCAATAGGGTTTCTAAGTTTTGCTCTGGGCCTAAGGCAGATTTTGAAGTTTTTTTTCCTAATGTCTGCAGCTGACTGAGTGATAAACTTATCCTTTAAGATTAGTTGGCCTTCAACAGAGTCAGGTGACAGAGAGGTATGCTTTCTCAATGCCTCCCTTAGTCTCTCCAGAAAGACAGTAGGATTTTCTTCCTTTCCCTGTGTTATAGCAGACATCATTGAATAGTTCATCAGCTTCTTCCTAGTTTTCCTTAGTCCTTCTAGCACGCAAGTTAGCAAATGTCTGCAGCACCAATCTCCATGTTCTGATTCTGCGTCCTGATGAGGGTCTACACTGGGAACTGCCTACTGGCCTGTGGGGAATTGTTCTCTTTCCTCTGTTGTCATACTATCATTGACCTGATTGAGATACCAGAGATCGCCAAACTCTCGGGCTACAGTTATGGCGGCACTTCTCTTGTTTGGGGTTAGTGTCTGATCTAGCAGTAACATTATATCTCTCCATGTCAGATCAAAGGATTGTCCTAACCCTTGTAAAACATCAACATAGCCATCAGGGTTATCTGAGAATTTACCTAGGTCTATTTTAATTTGCTTCAAATCTGAGAGGGAAAAAGGTACATGCACTCTGACTGGGCCAAATTCTCCTCCCACTGCCTGGAGGGGGCATAATCGGGAAATATTGGCACTCTTTGGTTCATTGTTTACCCCTTTGTCTATCTCCTTTTGGACCGTTTGTGTGAAGGGGGGTCCTTATTAGTTGGGGAAAGAGCCGGGGGAATGCTGGGGTAGGGAGGTAGATTCTGAGAGCTTCCTATAGGGCATAAATTACACTTTTTACGTAACTGCAAGTTATCTCTTAATGAAAAGAAAGTTTGCACATATGGCACTTCACTCCATTTGCCCTCTTTTCTACAAAAGAGGTCTAGCTATAAGATGGTGTTATAATTTATACTTCCCTCAGGAGGCCAGGTTTCTCCCTCTTGAAGAGGATATCATGGCCAGGCAGTACTGCAGAAGAATATAAGTTATTTATTTCTTAGTGTTTGAGGGTCAAATTGGTCCCAATTCTCCAGAATACATCTTAGGGGCATTTTTGCCTTGGGGGGAACATTTCCCATCTGAAAAAAGAACATAGGGATGCCAGCACCCCGAGTCATTTTCCAATGCGCATCGCATCAGTTTTAGAGCATCCTCGGTGGTCTTAATGCTTATTCCTTTCCAGGGTGCGTAACCACCCATGGACCTCTGCTTATCGGATTAGTTATGCTCACCAATGTAGCAGTCCTGCACCTGTTTTCCCACCTTTCTTGACCACAAAGAAAGGGGTCGGGGCTGCTGGATTCTAGGGGTCCTTTACTAGCATGCCCAACATTGCCTTTGCACTCAGGGGTGAGTTCTAGAGCTGGGCTGTGTTCCTGAGTATTTCATAACAACCCAGTTGCCCCATGAAAATGCATTCCCATAAATAACAGTTCCTATGCAAATTCATTTCAGAGAGGGTGTAGGTAACCTTTTGAGTCAGGATTGAGATAGAGTTTTTGACCACTGGGGCCTTTGTCCTTCTTTTTCTTTGTAGGAATATGCCCTAATTATTGATCTTAAACTTTTTGTTGTCCCGGATTAAGTCTTTTTGGGTACAAAATATGACAGATGGATCCTGTTTATCCTATGTGCCTTTTTCCTATGAGAAGGGGAGCAAGGAGAAAAGGATGGACTTGCTGGCTTTATATGCTAAAGTCCAGTAAATAAACTTCTGGGTGCTATGTTGTCTTTCCAGTAGTATTGACTTACATAGGATCACTAGGCAAAGCTGTGAGAGAGATAGTTTCTCTCTTGGTAGATGGATTTTGGGAACACAGCGGAAGGACGTTTGCTCATTGCCCCCATTTGCCACTATAGGAATATGTGCCTTCCCTTAATTTACTTAATGCATTTTCATCCTGATCTATTATATTGTTGTAGACCGAGTTCCAGTTGTTAAAGTACTGGGTCATCAGTTTTAAGGCCCTGGCAAGGGTGGTGGGGAATGGGTCCCACATAACTGCCTATGTTGACAGCTGTATACCTAAATTGGGAGGGACACCAGGGGCAAGACTCCCTGGGTTCATAGCCTAGGTGCCTAAGGATGCAGCGTAGAGCTCCCTTAGATCCCTTTGGAGATACAACTTGCTCTAATACTTGGGAAAGGAAGTAAAAGTCTGAAGCATTTGTACCTAGGAGGCAGGGATCAAAGGCAGTAGATTCACAGGTAAGGAGAATTTGGGGGCTACACTTTCAAGAAAGTCGTGATCAGAACTCAGGAGGTATGGGTCAGAAGGAGAGGTAGTCGCACATGCATGGGCGATTGTTGAGTAGAGACTTCTGGCTGTGCCATGATCTTGACTGGCCAATGCCAGGAGTTCAGGATGACACCTTTCTGCCTCTAGTCAGCCCTCGACTTCCCCCAGGAATATTGTGAAAGTGGAAGCTGGTTCCAGGCAGACCAATGCTCCCAACCCACAAGGGTTGGGAGTTGTTAGCCTTTTCCCAGAAAGCCTCACATCTGAGTCTTAAGTCCAGCAGCCACGCTAATCGTTTTTAACCAGCTGACAGGTACCTGGTATTTTCCTCTGATTCTAAGGAAGGATAGGATAGAACAGCAAGCAAAAGTGGTCCAATATTACTCACCGCTTTGGAGAATCCCCGTATAGGCCACCAAATCTTACTGGTGGGTCTTTGTTCTTAGAGCTCCCAAGATGGTGGCAAGCCACTCCCAAGATGGCAGCAAGCCTTTTGTTCCCTGACCTGGGGTTCTTGGCCTCACGAATTCCAAGGAATTGAACCTTGAGCCATGCAGTGAGTGTTATAGCTCTATTAGAAGCCATGGGTCATGGAAGAGAACCATGGAACACAGCAACTAGTGTTCAGCTTGATTAGGACAAATCTGGACACTTAGCCATGCAGGAACAATGGCGAGCCTCTAGCCCGATCGGGAGTAGCAACAGGCACCTCACTGGATCAGAAGCGCAGGGACACCCTGCCAGATCCGGAGGGGTGGAAGTCAGCAGCAGGTCTACAACAGTGGTGATCAGCAATGGTGGACGGCAGACGAAAGCTCAGCTTGAGCCAGAAAAAACATGGACCAGAAGAGTGTGCAGTTCCAAGATTTAACAGAGTGAAAACAGAGCTCCTGTACAACGGGAGGGGACCCAAAGGGGGTTGCCAAAGTCTAAAACTTTACTTTCCAAATCAAAGGCTAATCCATCAGATTCTCTAAAACATCAAACATTTTAACTTATAATGTCACTTTTACATCTCTGCAAGGCAAATTTACTGACTCAGGTAAGTCAAGTTTACTGGGTTAAATTTAGAACTACAGTGTAGATACTTAAAAGTCAGAGATTTGAGACCAAGACTCAAGACATAGACATATCCCCAAGACAAGGCTGAGTCACAAATGAATACTCTCAGCACTGTTTTAGAGCTGAGCTCTGCCTGCTGTGTCATGGATCCCTAAGGCCATTTCCTCCACTTGGTAACGATATCCAAGTCATGAGTTAAAACTCTTTTTTTTTTTGAGACAGAGCCTCACTCCATCTCCCAGGCTGGAGTGCAGTGGCAGGATCTCAGCTCACTGCAACCTCCACCTCCCAGGTTCAAGCAATTCTAGTGCCTCAGCCTCCCAAGTAGCTGGGATTACAGGCATGCACACCACACCAGGCTAATTTTTGTATTTTTTTTTTTTTAAGGAAAGAACAGGGTTTTACCATATTGGCCAGGCTGGTTTGAACTTTTGGCCTCAAGTGATCCACCCACCTTGGCTTCCCAAAGTACTGGGATTACAGGTGTAAACCACTGTGCCCAGCCATGAGTTACAAGTTTACCTAGCTATCATCTCATTTAGGTACAGCTACTTTCTTTGAATAAATTCATTTGAATAAATGAATTTCTTTTTTTTTTTTTTTTTTTTTTGAGACAGAGTTTCGTTGTTGTTGCCCAGGCTGGAGTGCAATGGCACAATCTCAGCTCACCACAACCTCCACCTTCCAGGTTCAAGCGATTCTCCTGCCCTAGACTCCCAAGTAGCTGGGATTACAGGCATGCACCACCATGCCCCGCTAATTTTTGTATTTTTTAGTAGAGATAGGGTTTCTCCATGTTGGTCAGGCTGGTCTCAAACTCCTGACCTCAGGTGATCCACCTGCCTCGGCCTCCAAAAGTGCTGGGATTATAGGCGTGAACCACTGCACCTGGCCTAATTTCTTTATTTTCTAAGTGTTCAAGTCTACATTCCTCTTGTTTGGAGGAGGGGTAATACTATGGTTTCAATGTGTCCCCAAAATACTAATGTGCTAGAAACTTAACCCCTCTGCCCTCATGAGTGGATTAATGTTGCTATCATGGGAGTGGGTTTGTTATAAAAGCAAGCTCTCTCTGTCTTGCTTGCCCTTGCCCTTTCACCATGTGATGCCCTCCACCATGTTATGATGTAGCAAGAAGGCCCTCATTAGATGGTGGCACCATACTCTTGAACCATGAACTAAATAAACCTCTATTCCTTATAAATTATCCAGCCTCCATAACTATGATCTAAATAAACCTCTATTTTTCACAAATTACTCAGTCTGTGATATTCAGTTATAGCAACAGAAAACAAACTAAGACAGGTAGGAAATGGGGGATGACCCCATCTGATTTGATTCTTTAGTTTTTTAATGACATCAGATGCAGAGTAATAGAAGTTTCCATGCTCTGGAAATTGCAAATCAAGTTACAGTCTTTACACATGTACATTTGGAAGGGCTTGTTGCTTATAATTACCCATCCCTCCTTGCAGCCCTAGTAGTCATCATTGGCAGAGACAACTTGGCAAAGGATGAAAACAGTATATGTGATGAAATGCAGCAAATCTTGAAGCCAGGACCATCTAAAAAGACCTGAAGAAATCTTAATTTGCTTTAAAAGTGTTCAAAGTAGTGATATCTAGATATACCGAGGTATACCCAGCACTATGCACCTAGGTTTGGGTACAAAGTATCTTAACTCCATCCCTGGCCACCCAGTAGAGAACGCTGCCAGATAGCTGCAAGGACTGTAGTACACACTGTCTTCACCCCTATGTCTTAGTCTGTTCTGGCTGCTATAATAAAATACCTTAGACTGAGGGCTGGGGCACCGTGGCTCATGCCTGTAATCCCAGCACTTTGGGAGGCGGAGGCAGGTGGATCACCTGAGGTCAAGAGTTTGAGACCAGCCTGGCCAAGATGGTGAAACCCCATCTCTAAAACTACAAAAATTAGCCAGGCATGGTGGCAAGTGCCTGTAATCCCAGCTACTTGGGAGGCTGAGGCAGGAGAATCGCTTGAACCCAGGAAGTGGAGGTTGCAGTGAGCCGAGATCGTGCCATTGCATTCTAGCCTGGGTGACAGAGCAAGACTATGTCAAAAAAAAAACAAAAAAAAAAGGAAAAAAAAAAAAACCTTAGACTGGATGGCTTATAAACAACAAATATTTACTTCTCACAGTTCTGCAGGCTGAGAAGTCCCATCAAAGCACCCACAGATTCAGTGTCTGGTGAGGTTCTTGCTTCCTCATAAATGGTGCCTTCTTGCTGCATCTTCACATGGTGGAAGGGCCAGCCTAGCCACCTCTCTGGGATCTAGCAACACTAATCCCATTCATGAGGCAGAGCCCTCATGACCGAATCATCTCCCAAAAGCCTCCTAACCGCCTCCTAATACCATCACACTGGGGGTTAGGATTTCAACATATGAACTATGAGGGAGACACAAACATTCAGACCATAGCATCCTGCTTCTAGTAGAATCTTACCACCTTTGAAATCCAGAGAAGTTTCAGAATATGTCACCCTTGCCAAATCCAGCTGGGAAACCTTTGATTGTCCCCACACAGAAAAGAAGGAAGGAAGGAAAAAGGAAACCAAGATTTTTTTGCTTGGGAATATTTCCCCAAATGAGTGGTTTTGCTCCCTTTTCAGAGTTTTTTCACCAAATATCTATAGCATATACAGATAAGCTGTGTGTGTGTGTGTGTGTGTGTGTGTGTGTGTGTGTGTGTGTGTGTGTGTGTTTGGAGAAAGATCCTGCCTTGGGAAAAATGGAGTAGACATAATTTTCTCTATTCCTTCCATTCAGTACAACTTAAAACCCTGAGCATTATATGTAAACCAAACATAAGAAGACTCTCAAAGGTGTAGAAAAGAAGGCAGACTGGCTAGGGACCACAAGACCCAAGAAACAACATGGTAATGAGTCCCATGGGTTTCCTTTTTGCCTCACATATCTCATACTGAGTGCTAAAGAGGCCAGCAACCCAGAAACACCAACATGCCCAGACAAAATAAGCTCCAATAAAAGCCTGCTCTTTCTAACCAAAGGACAAGAAGAGGGGCAGCCTACCAAGACAGAAACTTCTAGACAATAACCACTCCATTCGAGCTAAACACCAAATTTAAAACTGTGCCCCTACCCACACAACAAGCAATGGCCAAGAGGGGAGTCTAGACTTCCTCCCTCATGAGGCTGTAAGAAGACACCCCAATACCGAGGTGGGTACCCCTAAAACCGAGGAGTCAGCAGAGCTATGCTCCTTCTGGAGGCAGTAGGGAGAAATCTGTTTTCTTGTCTTTTCCAGCTTCTAGAGGCCACCTGATTCTTTGGTTCATGGCACCTACCTCTGTCTTCAGCCAGAAATGTCTGGCCAAGCCCCTCTAATATGGTCATCCCTCTGGTTCTCTCCCTGCCGCCTCCATCTCTCACATATAAGGACCTCAGTGATCATATTGGGCCCACTTGGATAATCCAGAATCATCTCTACATTCTCTCTCCATATCCTGGAGGATAATCTCCAAGACCTCTACCACATTCATTGATTCTAAAAAGTTATCACACCAAGAGAATGCAGTAATAACTTTTTTAAGCCACTTAGTTTGTGAAAAATTTTTATAGCAGCAATGAGAAGACAAGCCACTGACTTGGAGAAAATATTTGCAAAACTCCTACGTGATAAAGAACTGTTATCCAAAATATAAAAAGAACTCTTAAAACTCAACAATAAGAACATAAGGTGGGCCAATTAGAAACTTCCATCTTCAACTGTAATTTCTCTTTGCCATGTGGCCTCACCTATTCACAGGTTCCAGACAGTACGACGTGGACATCTTTGGGAAGGACATTATTTTGCAACACACCCACTGAAAATATCCTTCAGGAATGGAGGGAAAATCAAGACATGCTTCATTAAGGAAAATGAAAAGAATTTGTCCCCATCAGACCTACCCTGACTGAATAGCCAAAGGAAGTTCTTAAAGCAGAAAGGAAACAATAAAAGAAGGAACTCAGGAACATCATGAAATAAGGAAAAATGCAGTAAGCAAAAATATGGGTCAATACAATAGGCTCAAGTTTTCTAACATATGTTTGACGATTGAAGAAACATCATATCATTGTTTGTTTTTTGGAATAAGCATTAGCTAAACAAATGAAACTTAAGTTGCCCAACCAGTTACTTATATTCAGCATCTATGAGTTTCAGTAACTTCACCTTGACACTCACCACATTTTGTCATCTACAACCTGAAGGGATTGCACAACAGATTTCTAAAAGTCCCTGTTTCTAAAATCTATGACTGTCATGTAGTAAGTAGTGTCAAATGCCCTCTATAAGAGCCAGTCTCATTGTCCATTTTAATTCAATAATTCGACAAGTGTGTATTAGGCACCTATTGAGCACAAGTCCTCATGCTAATTCCCTAATTTCTTATCATTTATAATTCCTTATTATTTAGGCATTTACTCTGATATTTGCATTATCTTTAAATCCCCTCCCAGGGCTTAACCTTACCAGTCCCACCACCACCAAATATACATGCTTCCTGTCCATGGGAGCCTTTTCAAGTAGGCTGCTCCCACCCAGCTGCCCAAGCTGGCTTCCTGTGAGACCTCTACCACATTCATTGATTCTAAAAAGTATCACTTTAAGAGAATGAGAAGACGAGCTACTAACTTGGACAAAATATTTGCAAAACTCATACGTCATAAAGGACTGTTATCCAAAATTTTAAAAGACTTTAAAACTCAGTAATAAGAAAACAAACAACTCAACTTGAAAATGGGCAAAACATCTGAATAGGCAAAAGAAGATATACAGATGGCAAATAAGCATATGAAAAGATGCTTAGCATCATATGTCATTAAGAATTGCAAGTTAAAACAACAATGACAGACCACTACACACCTATTGGAATGGCCAAAATCCAAAACTCTGGCAACACCAAATGCTGACAAGGGTGTGGAGCAACAGGAACCCTTTTTTGTTGCTGTTGGGAATGCAAAATGGTACAGCCACTTTGGAAGACAGTTTGGCAAATTCTTACAAAAACTAACCATACTCTTATCATATGGTCCAGCCATCACACTCTTTGGTATTTAACCAAATGAGCTGAAAACATATCCACACAAAACTTTGCACAATATTATTCATAAACACCAAACTTGAAGAAGGAAACCAAGATGTCCTTCAGTAGAGGAACAGATAAACTGTGATTCATCCATACAATGGAATGTTATTTAGCAATAAAAAGAAATGAGCTAACCAGCCATTAAAAGGCATGGAGGAAACTTAAATGCATATTACTAAGTGAAAGAAGCCAATCTGAAAATGATTCATACTATATGATTCCAAGTATATGACATCCTGGAAAAGGCAAAGCTATGGAGACAGCAAAAAGATCAGTAGTTGCCAAGGGGTGGAGGTCAGGGAAGAGGGATGAGTAGGTGGAAGACAGAGCATTTTTAGGGCAGTGAGGCCACCCTGTAATGGTGAACTTATATCATTTGTCAAAACCCATAGAACTTACAACACAACAAGTGAAGTCTACTGAAAACTATGGACTGTGGGTGACCATGATGGGTCAATGTAGGTTCATAATTGTAGCAAATG
Organism: Homo sapiens; assembly: GCF_000001405.40. Classification (NCBI taxonomy): domain Eukaryota; kingdom Metazoa; phylum Chordata; class Mammalia; order Primates; family Hominidae; genus Homo; species Homo sapiens. The sequence continues at coordinate 7,175,409 of NC_000012.12, read as the reverse complement.
CACCCTCTGGTAAGGGATATTGAGAGTAGGGAAGTCTGGGGATGGGGACAGGGGGTATATGGGAACTCTCTGTGCTTTCTGCTCAGTTTTTCTGTGAACCCCAAACAGCTCTAAAAAATAAAATATATTAAAAAAAGTATTACTGAGCTTCTTCAGATGAAAGTGGAGTATGTTTCCTACTGCCTGTTGCTGCAGAATTTAGCCAGCTGAGTACCCTTCCTCCCACAATATTTCTGTAACACAGAGGAGATAATACACACCATTGGTTACACACAGCCTGTATTCCACAGACTTTGGCTGATGACAGGGTGAGCAAGATATATTACGTGTCTCAGGGTAGCACCTAGTAGCACCTGGTAAAAATTCTCTGCTAAAATTAAAGAGGGAAAGTATAGTAGATGGTATGTCATGTTATAGTCATATAACATAAGTCATAATTCCAGGCATAAGTCCCAGGAGCATGGGTCTCCTTCCTTCTCACATCCTTATTCTTGGGTGTAGGTGCCTGCTTCTGCACATTATTGTAGAAGAGATGACAATAACTGAAGTAACTCACATTTTTAGGGAGTATTCCAGTTCCAGGAACTGTGCTAAACACATTCTCAGTAACTATAAGAATGTGGGAGACAAGCAGGATTGTCTGGTGAATTACCTGGGGAGCTCCTTCCAGTTGCCTGGCAAGAGGCTAGCTTGGAGGGCTGGGAAGATCATCATCCTCTTTCTCCCAGCAGGACATGCCACTCCAGACAGAACTCAACTTCCCTAGTGACTATTGGCTATCCAACCTCTCCTCCAGGTAAGAAAAGTTATGCCTGATCTCAGTATATTCCAAGGTCTCTAGATGCTGGGCTTCATGTTTTCCAAGGTATTGCTGTAAATGATTAGCACTCAAACTCAGACTGTCAAGGCCACAAAGCCACCCACACTTGCCTTCTAAAAGTCACAGCAATAGGAAGAGGGAGCCTTCTTAACCCCCTCCTCAAAATGCTGAGAGAACAGGGAACCTATTCACCTGCTGACTCTTCCACCTGCTTCATCCCATAGCAAATGACCCACTAGAGTTTTCTCTAAGGGCTTTGCAAGAAAGAATGTAAGCCCCATGACAGCAGAGATTTCAGCCAGCTCAGTGCTGGATCTCCAGGACCTAGAACTGTGCCTGACACACACAGTAGATAATGTTTTAATTGGTTTTATTATTTTTAGGTATGGTAAATCCAACAGATCAGGAAATTACTGCCATTGAAAAGATAGTTTGTTACAATTCCCAGAGAAGTGGGGGGCACACCATATCACAAGGGGCCAAATGTGGTAAAGGAAAGAAGGGAGAAAAGGAGGAAAGCAGGAAGGAAGGAAGGGAGGGAGGGAGGGAGGGAGGGAGGGAGGGAGGGAGGAGCCAGCCATCAAGTCATGAAAATAAATGGAAGAAAATTAAAATACATATTGATAAGTGAAAGAAGCCAATTTAAAAAGGCTACATAATGTATTATTTCAGCTATATGACATTCTGAAAAAGGCAAAACTATGGAGACAGTCAAAAGTTCAGGGGTTGCCAGGGGCTCAAGGGGAGGGAGGGGTGTGGATGAGTATATGGAGCACAGAGCGTTTTTAGGGCGGTGAAATTATCCTGTGTAATACTGTACTAGTAGATACATGTCATTATATATATCATTACACATTTGTCCAAACCCACAGAATGTACAACACAAAGAGTGAAGCCCAGTGAAAATTATGGAATTTCAGTAATCATGATGGGTCAGTGTAGGTTTATCAATTGTAACAAATGTTCCACACTAAAACAAGATGATAAAGGCTTGTTATCCAAAATATTTTTTTAAACTCAACAATAACAAGTCAATTTTAAAATTGGCAAAAGACCTGAAGAGACACTGCATTAAAGAAGATATACTGATGACAAATAAATATATGAAAAGATGTTAAATATCATGTCATTAGAGAATCACAAGTTAAAACAACAATGAAACACCACTACATACATATTAGAACAGCTAAAATTCAAAACACAGACAACACCAAATGCTGGTGAGGATGTGGAGCAACAGAAACTCTCTTTCATTGTTGGAGGGAATGCTAAATGGTGTGACCACTTGAAAAGATAGTCTTAACAGTTTCCTACAAAACAAAACATACATACTCTTACCATACAGTCCAGCAATCCTTGGCATTTAACCAGAGTTGAAACCTGTCCATACAAAACCATGCACATGAGTGTTTATAGCAGCTTTATCCACTGCTATATCACTGCCAAAACTTAAGAAAAACCAAAATGTCCTTCAATAGGTGAATGGATAAACAACTGTGGTACATCCATACAATGGAATATTGTTCTAGTGGTTACCTTTAACACACTTAGTTCCCTTTTTCTTTAGACAATCCTATTGCTACTTTCTATGAACAAAAAAAGACTAGCTTATAACTTTTCTTCCTCCATCTCCTCCCTTCCTTCCCCTGTTCAGCTTTAGTCATACAATCTTCCTTAATGTTTACCCTTTATACTTTTGAAGATGCTCAACTCTTTGCTACTTGATTTGTCAGCTTTACATGATATCCTTTCACTTGTAGCTATTACATAAAATGAATCAGTGAGATTTTTCTGCTGTTCTCCTTTTTCCTCCCATTTTGTTTGTTGTATTATTCTCTTGTCATTCCTATTCCCACTTTTGTTTTACTCTTAGTTTTGCAGTTAACTATTATTCAGTGCTTGCCAACTAGTCCTTTTGCCAAAGGGAATGGGTTTTAAGCACTTTTAAGTTCTTTATGTCTGCCATTGTATAATGGGAGTGTTGTTATCCTCTTGTATGATCTTACAGCAAATCATCTGGTGAGGATTTTGGGTAGTGAGACAAATGAGGCTGGGCATGTGTGGGATAGGAATAAACTACTGAGTAGAATGTCAGCCTTGGATACAGAGTAGCCTCGGAGTTCATTTAATGAGTCTATAGTTTTTGCCCATAGCTAAGCCTCCTGGGAGAAAAAGCCAAGTTGTACACCCATGCCCCAGGTGTGATGGTGCATACCCATAGATTCAGCTACTCAGGAGGCTGAGGGGGGATCACTTGAGCCCAAAAGGTCAAGGCTGCAGTGAGCTATGATCGTGCCACTGCACTCCAGCCTAGGCTGCAGAGTGAGACCTTGTCTCAAAGAAAAAAAAAAAGAAATTCTGGAATTTGAGTTGGATGTACTGCCCCCATGTTATAATATTAAAAGTAAAATTTCCCATAATTTAGCAAATTAATATCTTATGAAAATTTGGTTTTAGCATGTAGACCATTTTTCAGAAAGTCTATTTTAAATGATTTTGTTTTAATTACAACTAGTTAAATTATACCCAGAATTCCATACATAAATCCCCTTCATAAACCTTATCATGACTTACACAGACCATACAATATGCTTGGACTTTTTGACTTGTCTTATACTATCTCTTTCTTACATAACGAGTCATTTTATTTTAGGACAAGAATTTACAAGATCCCTCTTCATACAAAATTATTCTTTATATTTTTACTTGCCAAAAATCTTTTAATCTGTAATTTTTTATATAATTTTTTTAACTTACTGGCTCCCTCATATTTTGAACCTCTCAATAATTTTTAAATTAAACAAAAACTATTATTATTATTCCCCAATAAAGAATATAATTTTTGTCATATTTTATATAAACCAAGGATGTAAGAAATCCTGCACTGCCCATGAAACACTGACATTTTATAGATGAGAACCATTGCACAATTTCAAGATTTTAAACCACACAAAAAGTTCACTGTTTAAGTATCTATTATATTTAGATGTTGGGAACAGGCCCCCCAAAATCTGGCCATAAACTGGCCCCAAAACTGGCCATAAACAAAATCTCTGCAGCACTGTGACATATTCATGATGGCCATAACACCCATGCTGGAAGGTTGTGGGTTTACCAGAATGAGGGCAAGGAACACCTGGCCTGCCTAGGGCGGAAAACTGCTTAAAGGCATTCTTACACCACAAACAATAGCATGAGCGATCTGTGCCTTAAGGACATGCTCCTGCTGCAGATAACTAGCCCAACTCATCCCTTTATTTCAGCCCATCCCTTCGTTTCCCATAAGGGATACTTTTAGTTAATCTAATATCTATAGGAACAATGCTAATGACTGGCTTGCTGTTAATAAATACATGAGTAAATCTCTGTTCGAGGCTCTCAGCTCTGAAGGCTGTGAAACCCCTCATTTCCCACTTCACATCTCTATATTTCTGTGTGTGTGTGTCTTTAATTTCTCTAGCGCCGCTGGGTTAGGGTCTCCCCAACTGAGCTGGTCTCAGCATTTAGACGTATTTAAGATTTCACTTTTAATAGTTTTATCTAGACTACCACCAAGAACCAAAATAACCACACAAAGCTAGTCACCACTTAAAGCTATTGTAATCATTTTTAAGCCTATGAATATTAATAGTTTATTTAGGTAAAAATCTTAAAGTTAAATTGTAGAAGATACAACATTTTTTTAAAAACTAGTAAGTTTACAATCATCTAATCTGTTTAATTTATGAGCATTCTTTTATAAGGCAATTTGATAGCATGCTAGACACAACACATATTATATGAATGAAGTGACCTATATAAGACAGCTGGATTCAAATTATTTACAAAATTGGGACCATCTATTAGGCCAAAATTTTTTTTGCCCCAGTAGATATGGAAGACAGGAAAAGGCAGGGAAGGAAATCCCATAGCATTAAATAAGGAAGGGAGAAGGCAAACTGCATTGCTCAAGGAAAGACCTTGGAGTACCCAGGCTGCCAGAGAGCTCATACAGCAGTGGAGATATTGAAGAAAAATGTTCAGCCAGCCACTTGTCTACCACTGTGGGAAACTGTCCATTGAGTCAGGGTCTAAGACCCCCAGTAAACTTATTTGAGCAAGACAACTAAGTGTAGCTAATGGAAGGTTAGCTCTGTATTGACAGGGAGTTTTTTCCCTATCTCACCAGGGACAGTTAGGACATTCTCATTGCCAGTGGCCCTTTTGCTTATGGTAGACACATATGGGCTCTTGTCTGGGCATCCCAGATGCTGATCTTGTGACACTTTCTTGGGATGGGCAACTTTGAGGTGGCAGGGGGCTTAAAGTAACTGTTAACAATTGAACTTTTGGGCTATTTTTTGTTGTTTTTTTCACCTCTTTTGCCCTGGCCCTATTGTTGTAAACTTTATAGGCCATGTTTAAATGTTGACTTTGGAGGTTTAAAGTCCCATTGCTGCTTTTTGTAGCTTCCTCCTAATGTCAGGGGCAGATTGAGTAGTAAAATGTATACTCAGGAGAGCTTGCCCTTCTGAGGAGTCTGGGTCTGCATTGGTATATTTCCTGAGTGTCTCAAACAAATGACCTTGAAACAGTGGGAATTTTGTCTTTGAGTTATTTCTCTCACCTTGTCATAATTCACTGGCTTAACCACACACCTTTTCTTCTGCTTTTTTTCCACAGCACAGCAAGCAGATGACAATACTTGCAAGACATGATGTGTTAAATTAAAAAACATAGTCTATTTAACAAATTCTTTTATAAATTTTTCTGGATTCTCTGGCCAAATTTTTCCTTGTATAAAACTAAATCACACATAGAAAATGGCACATGTACTCTGTTTCCTCATTTCTATCAGGCACCTCCCTCAATGGACACAGGTTTGATTTTTGGAGCTGATATGGAGCCCTACTCCTGGTGGTACTGGTTGGTACTTTCTCAGGCAGCAGGGTGTATAGGCTGGGGTAGCTGGATAAGAGGAAGGGGTGCCCAATGACCTTGGGTGGAATTCTTCATTAGAGAACTGGCAGGACCCCCCTCAGAACTGGGGGACTGAGGAGACTCCAGGGAGGCCATAGGCCTTCTAGGGGGAGCAGCTAGGAGGGGATCCCTTAGGCACAGCTTCCTGTTACTTAGAAGTAACATGAGCCAATAAAGGACCATAAAAGCCTGTACACAAGGGATCTCCTCTCATTTCCGTTCTTCTTTACAGAATGAGTCTAATCGTAAAATATTATTATAACATATAGAACCATGTTTAGGCCAAATCTATTGGTTTTCTAATTTGTATTGAAACCAAGTGGTATTGCAATAGAATATGAGTTGCTTTTTCTTGAGGCCAAATTTGAATTTGCTCTAATAGCCTAAAAGACAACCCAAGTGGCAAGTCCTCTGGGATACCTGTCATTGTCCCATGTCCCATGTTTCTACCGGACATAGTTTTTCTAAGTCTAGTGAAAGGAAAAGGAACTGGGCTTTTACTATGTTTTCCTTTTAGATTCTCACTTCCTGCTGAGAAGGTGTAAGTATAAGTAGCAAGGCGTTATGAAAGTGGGTTATAAGGATTTGCCAGTGAATGAACTATGACAAAAGGAGTATTTTTTAAAGCAAAATGTAAAAGGAAAAGTGCAAATAAAGTGACAATAAGAAAAGAAAATGCTGTTATGGAAAATGATAACTTTAGGTCAGGAAACAAGAAAAGGCAAGACCAAGATTCCCCCTAGGGTGTGCCTTCAACCCACAATCCTAGAGGGAACACCAATGCTGAAAGCCCTAGAGCATTCAGAGTGTGGCCAACAAAACCAAATGCCAAAAATCCAGAGTACCAGAGTATCAGCCAGTGAGGGTCCCTACACCAAATGCCAGAAATTCCAGAGTACCTGGGAGCTAACCAATGCCAATAACTTCAGAGCATCTAGGGAAAAGCCAACAGTGAATCCCAAAGGCCTGGTGGGAGCCACAGAACAATATGACTCCAGCGTCCCAGAGTCAACACAATGGGAGGGCTCTCACAACCAAGTGACCTGCTTTAAACAATTGCCCAAATACAGTTAACAAAAAGTCAAAGCAAAAAGCACTGCAGGCAAAACACACATTTAAGAACTGAAAATAAAATGGCTGGTTATTTAAGAAAGAGATAGTAAAGACAAGTCAAAAAGTCCAAGCATGTTGTAAATGGTCTTTGTAAGTCATGATAAGGTTCATGAAGGGGAATTTATGAAAGGAATTCTGTGTATGATTAAGCTAGCTGTAATTAAAATTGTTTAAAATAGACTTTCTACTTTGGGAGGCCAAGGTGGGTGGATCACCTGAGGTCAGGGGTTAAAGACTAGCCTGGCCAACATGGTGAAAACCCATCTCTACTAAAAATACAAAAATTAGCTGGACATGGTGGCAGGCACCTGTAATCCCAGCTACTTGGGTGGCTGAGGCAGGAGAATCACGTGAACCCCAGAGGCAGAGGTTGCAGTGAGCTGATGAGATCACGCCACTGCACTGCTACCTGGGTGACAGAGGGAGACTCCTCTGTCTCAAAAAAAAATTAAAAATTAAAAATAAATAAAATAGACTTCTAAAAAATGGTCTACATGTTAAAATCAAACTTTCTTGAGGTACTGGTTTGCTAAATTATGGGAAATTTTGCTTTCAATACTATAACCCGTTGTGTTTTTTTTTTAAGCTTCTCAAATTTGTGTCTCCAGTCCTTTTTGGGCCATCTCTTCTCCATCTCTTAGATTTCTTTGGAGTGCATCATTCTTTCTGATCTAATTACTGATACAAGTTTCACACACACACACACAACCATCACTGTGAATATTTTAAATGTCTAATGTGTGTGAGAAAGACTATTTCCAGGTATCTGGGTTTTTAATCAATGTTTATTAAAATTATAATTATAAAATCTGATTTTGCATAAGCCTTTAAATTCGAATTACAAATCTTGAAATTCTGTCTATAAATGTACTAAGTGTTGTTTTTGAAAAAATCACTTCCACTTGTTCTTTGATTGATGTTTAACTCAAACAGATTTACATTTTCTTAGCAATGAGTCCTATTTACAAAGTTAGCACATTTTTCATAACTGATATAAACCATATTCACATGCTTAATATATTGAGTTTCTTTTCCTCATGCTTTTCATTGCCTGACAAGGTAGACTTAGAATCCTTATATGCAAAATCTTTCTCACCACTTCAGCAACTCCTGTAAATCTAATTACTTGATTTGCCATGTTCAGATGTTTGATGTGTCCTAAATGTTCTAATACTGCTTATAAGCTTAAGCAGCATCTTATACCTTTCAACTGAAACTCATCAGTCTAAAATCACATATTTCAAGTTGAAAACACAATTTAAATTCAGGTTTAACTTAAATTCATACAGATTTTTAAATTTATCTTAAACTTGACTTCACAATATTATAATTTACCTCACTGACTCTATACTAAGTTTCACACCTTGTCAGAGTTGTAGAGTCATTTACCCCACTAAGCAAAGCAGTTTGACCTTCTCAGGAAGATTGTGGTTATTAGGTCAAAAACTTAGTACCTATTATGGAATGAATGTTTGTGTCCCCTCCTCCTAAAAAATTTATATGTTGAAATCCTAATCCCCAACGTGATGGCATTAGGTTGGTGCAAAAGTAACTGTGGTTTTGCCATTTTAAAAAATGGCAAAAACTGCAATAATATTAGAAGGTGGAGCCTTTGGGAGGTAATTAGGTCATGAAGGTAGAGCTCCCGTTAATGCAATTAGTGTCTTTCCTTATAAAAAGAGATATGAGTGCTCATCCTCACTCTCTCTGCTCTCCACCATGTGCAAGAAGATAGATGTCTACCAACTAGGAAGAGAGCCCTCACCAGGAACCAAATCTGCTGACACCTGGATCTTGAACTTCCCAGCCAACAGAATTGTGAGGAATAAATGTATGTATTTTAAGCCAGTGGTCACCAACCTTTTTGGCACCAGGGATCAGTTTCATGGAGGACAATTTTTCCAGAGACTGGAGGGTGGAATGGTTTCAGGATGATTCAAGCACATTACATTTATTGTGCACTTTATTTCTATTATTATTACACTGCAATACATAGTAAAATAATTGTACAACTCACCATAATGTAGAATCACTGGGAGCCCTGAACTTGTTTTCCTACAACTAGACATCCTATCTGGGGATGATGGGAGACATTGACAGGTCATCAGGCATTAGATTCTCACAAGGAGCACACAACCTAGATCCCTCACATGCACAGTTCACGACAGGGTTTGTGCTCCTATGAGAATCTAATGCTGCCACTGCTCCGACAGGAGGCAAAGCTTAGGCAGTAATGCCAGCAATGGGGAGCAGCTATAAATACAAAAGAAGCTTCACTTGCTTGCCTACCACTCACCTCCTTCTGTGGCAGCGCAGTTTCTAACAGACCACGGACTGGTACCAATCAGTGATCCAGGGGTTGGGGATCCCTGGTTTAAGCCACCCAGGCTATGGTATTCTGTTACAGCAGCCCAATTGACTAAGACAGTGCTATAAAACAGTGACTTGTCAGATTGAAGAGCAGGACAAGAGAGCTACTTTCTGCCAAGGTAATTCTCACCAGTGACCTCATGAGCATTCTCCTGGTAGATTTACCTCTGCTGACCACAGGCCAGGCTTTTGGCTGGACTGTTTCACAGCTCACATCAGCAGGGCATCTTCTGCATTGTGCCTTCTCCCATCTTAGGTAGATGGAACAGTACTGCACCCATACCTGGATCCTTAGCAAGTTTTCCTCGCTTAATAAGTTCTGCATTTTGTTTTGCATTTTTCTTGTCTCACCAGACTCTATAGCCCTGTCAATGGCCTTGTCTAATCCTCTAATTGAGGGTCATCAGACCCACATACACCTTTTCACTTACATACCCATCTGGCCTGGCCTCTAAGTCCTCATACTTCTTTAACATTGTCTAGCTTGTCTTCAAAGACCATAAGCCTTTCTCCCAATGAAATTTCCCTCTTCCCCCATCTTAATCAGCCTTTTTTTTCTTTTGTTTTTATTTATTTCCACTGCACCCGTTCCAGAAGAAAGACAAAATTCTACGTTGTTTTGTTGTTGCTGCTGCCGTTGTCTTTAACTAGTTCTTCCTTGATTCCTTGAGCAAATCTGATTCTTAGAATGTTTTAAACATAGGCATTGTAATTGCCTTCTTGAGCCTTTGGGTTTGCAGTAAGTTCAGTTATCTCTACATCCTAACAAGAAAATGGTATATAATAAGGGATTCTTCCTCCTTTTGATATCTACATTGGGAAAAATATAATATACTTAGTGAGTAAAGCCACAGTCTAGGTCTCCAAAATTCAACTTCATGGCCAAGGATTGTATAGGTAACCAAAGGATGATAAAGATTACAATTCAACACCTACCTTGAGATGGTTGGAAGTAACTCCTCAGAGCTTGTGGACAAGCCTCATGATCTGAGCTCAAGACACCTCCACATTTTACTGTCTCATCTCATGGTACAGCTCCCAGTGACAATAAGACCAGGCATGGCCCACTTAGGCCTGCACAAAGCTCACACACACATGCTTGGGAGAGCAACTTAGCTTCTTTTTAGATTTGAAGCTCGGACTGAAAACCTGGCTGAAAAACACAACAAAACAAAAAATCATTCCATCCACCAATGCTTACCTAGAAAGCTTTTATTTTTGAGAATCTTTTGAGATTCTGCCCCTTCTGAGTCCAAAAGACTTTCTATATGGTGAGCTATCCTCCTCTATCTTTGCCTTCCGTGCAGCACTAGATCACCTTTGCTCATGCAGCTCAAAATTGGCCACAGAAGTTGGAATCCAAAACTCTGTGAGATCTTGCTTACTAAGACCCTAGCAGCTCAGTTCCTGTCTGCTACAGTCCCCATCTGTTAAAAAATAATAAATAACAGGCCAGGCGCGGTGGCTCACGCCTGTAATCCCAGCACTTTGGGAGGCCGAGATGGGCGGATCACCTGAGGTCGGGAATTCGAGACCAGCTTGACTAACATGGAGAAACCCCATCTCTACTAAAAATATAAAAAATTAGCCGGGCATGGTGGTAGGTGCCTGTAGATACTCGGGAGGCTGAGCCAGGAGAATGGCATGAACCCAGGAGGCGGAGCTTGCAGTGAGCCGAGATGGCGCCACTGCACTCCAGCCTGGGTGACAGAGCGAGTCTCCGTCTCAAAAAAAAAAAAAATACAAAATTTAGCCGGGCATGGTGGCACATGCCTGTAATCCCAGCTACTCCGGAGACTAAGGCAGGGGAATCGCTTGAACCCAGGAAGCGGAGGTTGCGGTGAGCTGAGAACGCGCCATTGCACTCCAGCCTGGGCAACAAATGTGAAACTCCATCTCAAATAATAATAATAGTAATAACACTGTGCCTGTTTAAATAATAACACTGTGCCTGTTTAAATAATAACACTGTGCCTGTTTAAAACAGTCTGGCAATGATAGTCACACTCCTATGGGCATTAGCCACAGTAAGCTTCTGTGAGCTGCCAACGTGAAAAAACCCAGGTGTGTCTGGCTCCAAAGCATGTGTTCAAAATCACAACCACATGCTGTCTGGGCTTCAGATGGGAGAAGCTTGAGGAATTCTGCCATCCCTAAAACCCTATGCTTTTAAAGACCCCAGCATCACTGGAACTAAGGATGGTTTTGTTTACCTCCCAGTAATTAATGACAACGATAGCTAACAAGTAGCATGCACTTTACAGCATGTCAACTCTGAGTTATTCAGAAAAGGTTATCTTATTTAAGCCTCATTCAACCCCTTGAGTAAGTAATTTCCCCGTTTACGTGATGAACCAACCCTTAGAGAAGCTGAAGACCAAGACTCAACACTAAGTTCCTGGGATTTGAACACAGGCAGCACTGACAGCAAAGTCCACGTTCTTAAACCCCTCCCCACGACCATTGCACCCAGCAAAAGGAGGCCTCTGTGCTTTGGGATTTCCCCAAACCAAAAAGATGGCATAGCAAGAATACGTCCCCGAGGAAGAGGGGAAGTCGTCCAATGGTCTGGGAGGGGGCTAGACTTTCAGGGGGCAAGTGGCACGAGCAGCCTGCATCCTCCTTGGGCCTGGTACCCTGGGGCTTTGCGCAGTTGTTGTCTGGAAACTGTGTTTGCCCCGCTTCACTGCTTCTTGCCTTTGGACTTACCTTTCTTCTCTGTAGTGCCATGGAAGGAAAACTACTCTCCTTCCAGTGACCTAACTAAAAATCAGAAGTTTTCTTAAATGCTGCTTTTGCCCCCTGGTAACACCCTCTTCCCCCAGAGCCAGCCACACTGCGACCCAAGGAGAAAGGGTAGCACAATCCCAACCTTTAAGTGTGGAAGGGAAGAGACCACGTCCGATGGGGGAGGTGGGAGAGGGGCCACAGAGCTGGGGTGAGAACTTCTGAAACTGGAGTCAGGTCGCTGAGATCGGATATTGGGACAGAAGCTCCCTTATCCTTATGAATTAGAATCCCCACCCAGGAAATACAGGATTCCTACTCCTTTTCTGACAACGCCAGCTCCACCACATCCCGGAGTCTTCATTCCCCCTCCACCTACCCACTGTCGCTAAATTTAGAGCCTCATCTGTCCTCTTCCTGTAGGACGTGGGTATTTTAAGTGCTCCGCAGCGTGGTGCCGCAGGAGAGGCAGTGACGCCAGCACCGTGGAGGCTGGCGCGTCAGCTCCTCCTCTCTGCCTGTCAAACGCGCCCACCTGCCCGGGCTCACCCATCTCTCTCCACACCTGTCTCCCTTCCTCCCGTTCTTCCGTTCTCCCAGGAGGCCGCCAGAGGGAGCACACTGAGAGCCTCCGCAGGTTGCTGGGGAGTTTAGGAAACTGCACCGAGGAACCTAATGGACACACTCATCTCCATTTCACACTTATGGACAAATCAGGGAAACACCTCAGAGTCTGAAAGTTTCACCAGCTCTTCTGGACTGGTGAAAGAAGAGCTCCTAGTTGGGACAGGTCTGGGGATATAGGGGATCTACTTTGGGGAGCCCCTGACATGGACCTAAAATCTGAAGGGAACGTGAGATCTCCCACAGCACCTAGAAGGCTGGGAGCACATGTGACCTTCTAGGCCCACCCCAGTGAAGCCCCCAGGGTGAAGGTGCATCAGCCCAAAGGCTGCAGGGTGGAGTGCAGACTTTGAAAGTGGGTAGAGCCACACCTCTGCCCACCGCCAGTGCATTTGTGTCCAGCTGCTCTGACGGCACAAAAGCGAGTTTCCAGGACTCTGGTTTGGTAACAGGAAGAAGGACACACTTTGTTCTTGAACTGGTGGTTAACCCAGTTGCCTCTAGAGCATCGCTTTTCCCCGAGGGCATGCTTTTCATCATGCACCTTTAGAGAAGCTAATTAATTGTCATTGCGGAGAGTAGACTTGAGAGGAAAACAGCCTTCCATTGCAGAAAGAACGGTTTGAGTGATGCCAAGGCAAATGTGTTTGCTGTTTCAAATGAAATTGGGAATAGGTGAATTGGAAACCCTGCCCCGGGCCTGATAGCCCCAGGCTTTGCCAGCTTCTTTGAGGGAGGTTAGGAAACATCTTTCCAGGAGATCTTGAGCAACAAAATAAAAACCCATGCAGAATCCTGCCTGCTGCCCTTTCCCTGCGTCACTGGAGCTGGCCTCCTGCCTCAAGCCTGATCCCTGTTTAGTGTGTGTGCGAGTGTGTGTGTCAGAGACAGGCAGAGATTGAGAGAGGGAGGGAAGTCAGCGAGTGACAGCAGAAGTTCAGGGCATGTGGTGGCACAAGGAATTCATGGTCTTCCCCAGGCCTCTGGTGCCCATGTATACCCCCACCCCAGGTAACATCTCGATGGGCCCAGTAGTCACATGGGGAGATGTGCTAACCATGGGCCAAGACTTGGGCATCAAACACTGAGGGTGAAGAGGAGGGCCGGGAAAGGTTACACCAGAAGAAATAATCAGAGGTGAGGGCTTCTGATTCTGGAGAGTTTCCAGGAATCTCAGGTAGAGTGGTTGCATTTAAGAGAAAAACCCATGTCCAGCCCCAGAGGCAGCTGATCCAGGAAGGCCAAGAGTCAGGCCGAGGCTGGGCAGACACTAAGAGAAGGACATATGCTACTTTGTGGCAGTCTGCAGGGGCGTGTGCATCAAGAGGGAAGCAGAGTTCATGGCAAGCTTGCCTTCTTACCCACAGCCCCTATCCCTGAGACTTGAGCTAGAAGTGAATAAGGACCCCCGAGCCTCAAGTGTCAAGGACACACACAAAAATAATAGAACCTGCTTGGCTTCTGCTCCTCTTCATGGGAAGCTGCATCTCCGAGACAGGGTAGGTGAGGACTAAGACGATGACAAGAAGGAGGAGGGGGCTGAACTTCACCCACTGAAATTCAGGACCACAAACTATTAATAAAAACTCTCAAGCCCCTTTGAGAGCCAAAGCTCTCAGATGTCTGAAGTCTGTGACCTTTTGAGCCTCTGGAAGACTCTAGGTAGACAGGCAAGGCGGTCTCCTATGCAGTATTGCCTCAGACCCCAGAACATCAGCTTGGCATCTAGGCAGACCTAGACTACAGGAGAGGCCACTACAGGGCGTCTGCTTGGCCATGCTCAGCCTTGGACCTCCCATGCCATGGGCCACCAACGGAGCTCTCCTCTCTCTTCCTACCAGTGAGTCTTCCCTGAGTCTGAGAGCCATACACATCACCTCAGTCACCACTGACTGAGCCCCTACTGTGTGCCAGGCCCTGTGCAAGTTGCTGGGGATACAGAGAATCTGTGGAGAGACAGACATGTCCCTCAGCTTTGTAGTCAATACCATCATGGAGGCGTGAATAAGGGCTCCCAGAGCACAGCAGAACTCCTGGTAGAGGCAACTCTTGAACCGGGTCTTCAGTGATAGTAGAAGACTGCCAGGCACACAATGGGTAAGGGACATGCCAGGCAGAGGGAACAGTACATGCAGACACAGAGGCGAGAAAGCAGGGTGTGTGTGGGAAGCATATGTGATTTCTGTGACCCCACCGCAGGGGTGCAGGGGTGGTGGCCGCAAAGAGGCCAGAGAAGGAGGAAGGCAGGACCTGCCCCACCTGGTTAAGGGGCTAAGGCGTCAGGACTTGACCTAGGCCTGACAAGGAGGTAGGAAAGTTGCTCTACCGGAGAGTGGTCCAACCAGAGTTGCACTTGAGAAAGGCCACTGAGATCCAGAGTTGAGGACGGGGTGGAGTAGAGCAAGGCATAGGAGACGAGGACAGGTGGAAGGCAGGTGCGAGGCAGGTGGGAGGCAGGTGGGAGGCAGGTGGGAGGACAGGTGGGAGGCAGGTGGGAGGAGAGGTGGGAGGCAGGTGGGAGGCAGGCGGGAGGACAGGTGGGAGGCAGGTGGGAGGAGAGGTGGGAGGACAGGTGGGAGGACAGGTGGGAGGCAGGTGGGAGGCAGGTGGGAGGCTCTTGCCACAGACCAGGCAAAAACACAGAGGGTACAGGTCAAGGCGGCGGCAGCAATAAGGGGAATAGAAAGCAAAAGACCTATTGGAGAGATTTTTAAGGGGTAAGAACGACAGGGTTTCATCACCATTTGGCCATGGGGTTGAGGGAGAGGGAGGAATCTAGACTGACTCTCAGATTTCTGGCATAGGCGAATGGGTGAAAGGTGATAGGGATAGGTCACAGAGAAGTCGGGGAAAGGTGGAGTCTGAGGCACAGGAAGGGCAGGTGGATATGCCAATAGGTAGTTGCAAATGTGAGTTAGGAGAGAGATTCAGGTGGGAGATAAAAATATGGAGGCATCAACATGCAACTGGGAGTTTGCGGCCATGGGCAAGGACAAGGCACCCGGTGGATGTCAGAACGGGCGTCAGGCGGAGCACCCACCTCCACCCCAACTGTGCTACAGGCAGCCGCAGAGAACCAGGAAGAGCCTAAGGATGCCCTACTCTGTCATGCTGCAGGAAGGAACTAAGACTTGGATCCCTGGTATTTCTTGGGCCAGGACAGCACCAGAGGGATGCTCCCACCAGCAGTTCACTCTTCTGAAATAACCCCTTGGGGTTATCATCCTTTATCACCTGGGGCTTAAGTAAGACCTGGGTCAGAGAACTAGTGGCCCAAAAGGCTGCAGAAGGGCCAGACTCTGCCTGCTGTCAGGCCAGGGGCTGGGCCCGAGTGGAGAGGGCGGAGGCCACTAAGCAGCCATGTGAGGCAGCCACAAGGACATGGGCAAGGCAGGCAGACATCCCCTGGGTCTGAGCCTTGGCTAGCAGGAAAGGGTCAGCCTGGGAACAGTCTCCAGATCCCTTTGGTACAAACAGCAGGGTTGCCTGCCTTCTCCCTGGGGCCGCCCAGCAGGGAGCCCATGTGCACAGGCAAAATGTTCCAAGTTGTGGGGCGGGGTTGGCAGCACCCCTGCAAGGCACTGGGCATCTGCCCAGGTGTCCATAGCATTCCCTGAATCTTCTGTACTTTTCCAGGGGGTGCTGAAGGAAGGGAGGCGTGGGAACCATCTGCCCCCAGCTTACTTTCCAGGTGATCTGGCATCCTGGGGACTTACCTGGTCAGGCCCCCAAGATCACCAGCCCTGCCCACCTCACTTCAGCTCTGTGCAGAGACCCAAACAGCCCCTGAGGCCCCAGAGCCTCCACCACACCCACACAGGACCAGGCAGTCAGGAGGCGCCTCACAGAGCTTTTTTTTTTTTTCTGATTGTTTTATTTGAAAACCCTAGGATATGTCCCCTCCCTCACCACACCCAACCCCCCGCCCCTGCCCCAGGACATGACGATGCCTCACACACACACACACACACACATACACACAAGGCCGTGAGCTGCACGCAGGAACATGGGCTGCACTCACGACAACATTGAAAAAATATACATTATATATGTACACCCGGGGCCCCCACGTCCCCTCCCGTCCCCGCAGCCTGGCCACACCAGGTCACGGAGGAGGGGCCGGGGCTGCAGGACCTCAGGACTGCAAGGGCAGGAAGGGAAACAGGACAAGAAAGGAAGGAAGTTGGAAAGGAGGGAGAAATGGGGTCCCCAGACTGAAATGGAAATGAGGTGGGGCGATCATAAGAGAAGCAGGGACGATGGTCCAGCTGAGGGAGCCCTGCAGAGGGGGAAAAGCTTCCCATGGACAGGAGAGAGAAGGGAAGGGGAGAGGAGAGGGTTTCCTTCAATCCCACCCCCAGCCCCAGCCCCAGCCATTGCAATCGTCACCCTCTCCCCAACACAGTGAGTGCTAAGGGGGCAGCTGCCATTGGGGGTAGAAAGGCAGCTGAAGTCCAGCCCACTTTCCAACCCAGCCAGCCCCAGTGCAAGGGGCACACCAGGAGCATGACAGCCCAGAAGTGAGGGATGGGGGGCCGGGGGAGGGGCAGGGCGGACTCCAGAGGGCCCGCTGGGGTTTTGAAATGAAAGGAGGACTGGTTCTGAAGCCTCTCTCCCTCTTGGTCTCTGTGTTCCCAGAAAGTCCTTCTCCCATGTCTGGAGTGTCTGTTTCACCAGGGCAGAATTCCCCCTCTGCGTGGGGAGAGGTGTAGGCCTTAGTAGCGGTGTGGGGGGGTCTCGATGATGCGTCTCTCGTCGCTGCTGGGGGAATCGGCCACCTCCGAGTCACTGCTGTCCTCATCCTCCTGCTGGCCCCCAACAGCCCCCGTCACACAGGACTGCCGATTCTGGTAGGACTGGAGGGCAGGAACAGAGAGGAGAAGGGATCAATGGCCTGCACACATCCCAGCCTCTCTTTCAGGGACCACACTTCCCTCGGTCCCCTTAACCCCTGTGTACCCCCTTCCCTGCCTGAACCTCTCTCCCTCCGGCTCACTGCAGCTCTGCGAACAGCCTCCACCCAGGCCTGCCCCTCCTCAGGAGTCCTCACCGTGTGTGCTCCACAGTCTTGACCCTACAGAACCCCGCTTCCCCAGGCCTCTCACCTCCATGGGGTTCACAATGATGGTGAGAGCTGAGTCATCCCAGAAGAGGTCTGGGTCCTTGGGGTCACTGGAGGCCCCTGGAGGCCCGCCGGCCCCTGAGACGCGGCGGTGAAGGGAATGGATGCGCACCAGGCCCAGGACGACCATGAGCACCAGGAAGCCCACGCACACCACAATGATGAGGGTTGCGGCGCTGGGTATCACTGCAGAGAGAGCGCGGGGGTGAGCAGAGCGTGACTAGGCACACCTGGGGGCACTTGGACAGGGGGCTGGGTAGGAAAAGAGGCAGCCCGGGCTGAAGGACTCCCAGGGCAGAACACACGGTGGCCGAGAAGAGAGGAACACCTGGAGAAGCCAGAAGAGAAACAGCCCACCAGGAAGGGCAGGAGACGAAAGGGGAGGAAGGGAGCTGCTGCAAGGCAAAGGAACAAACACAGAGGGAGGCAGGTGTACAGAGAGGCAAGGGCAGAGGAGGAAAAAGACTCCCTGCCCAACACTGTCATGAACAGCCCTATTCGCAGAGGACAGAGGGCAAGGACTGGAATCTGCCCCTGTCATTCCACCTGTGCCTTCCCCAGAGACCACTCAGCCTAGGAAAGAGGTGCCAGTGCCCAGTGAGGGAGAGGAGGGGCCCCCACACGGGCTTGGCTGAGCAGGAGGAGATGCAGGCTCCAGGCCTGGGCTGGCTGCAGGAAGAGGGCACTAGCACCTGAGGCTGGGGACAAGTCCAAGGGGCACAGAGCAGCCCCTTCCCTTACCCACCTGGACTGAGCTCACTCCGTGACACCTCCCTTCTCCTGGTGGGCTTGGGGCTCCGGGACGTCTGGGGTTCCTGCTTCCCCAACATCTCCCCCTGAGGCATACCTGCCTCCCCCGTGGCTCTCCCATGCTTCTGGCCCTGCAGCCCCACTTTGATGCCCAGGCTCAGAGGGGCATGGACCTTCAAGGGCACTGAGACACAGAACGGTGCGTTCACTCTCACACGGACCTTAGAGCTGATGGCGGCAAAGCAGATGTGCATGCACAGGTACATGCTCAGGAAGACCGTGTGGGCACACAGCTGCACAAAGGTTGCCACGCCCCACACCCGAGCCAGGCCTTTGCCAGCCTGCATGCTGGCCCACACCAGCCACCTGGCCGCCTGCTCACACTGCGGGAGTAAAGGAACGCGTCTGGGGGTCTCCAGCAAGGCACGGTAGAGCCATATGTGCAGCATCACCCAGCTCCCCACCAGCTGGGCAGACCAGGCAACCCCCTGAAGGAAGACATAGACACTACAGACGTGGGCCGTGAGGGCCACAGAGCGAGCCGCCATGAGCACAGCCCTGCCTGCCTCCTGCACACACACACACAGCTCTCGAAGAAGCACAAGGAAGAAAAGCAGGAAAGCCCGCAGCCCCAGGGACAGCAGGTGGAGGCAGAGACCCCACACACGCACCTCCAGGCCCAGGGCCCTTACGGGCAGCTGGGTCACTACTCCCCACATGGGTGCACACCCCTGCCCACCATGCATACACAGCAGCTCCTCCCTGGGCGGTCCCGTTGCTGAGGGACTATTCCATGTATGTGTGCCCCAAACACACACAGAGACCAGCAGTCACACAAGCAAGCCCCTAGAAAAATACACACATCGCATTCCAGCCCCGTCCGCAAATTACCTACAGCCTGAGACTCATGTGTCAACAGACAGAGCAGAGCGTAGGGAAGCGCATGGCCCAGGAGCTCCTCACACTCACACCCACACCCTGCTGCAGCGCCCCTCTCCCCAGCAGCCAGCACACTCAGCTGCCACGCACTCCAGGGCCAACTAGGTGTGTGGAGAATGCCCTGCCTGGGCAGGCCACACACCTCCCTGAGGCCACCCTGATGGCTGTCTGCCAAGTTGGTCCCCATCCTGACCCACAGCCCACTTGAGGCCACCAGCCAATTAGAACGGACTCTGCTGGGGCACACTCCCTCGACACTGGTTCCAAGGTGAAGACAGGACTGGCTGGATCAGTATTTCTCAACTTCCTGGGAACGGGGGATAAGGGAGGAGGGGACAGAGCTGTCTCTCCTGCCCATCTGCAGGAAATAGTGTCTCTCAGGTCTCCACGTCAACAGACCAGAGCCAGGGGCAGTGCCTTCACTGGCAGATGGGCCCAGTGGCTAAGCCCAGGCTCCAGAAGGGGTGGTGACCCCACCCTCAGAGTGGAGGCCAAAGCAGGTGAACTTCCTCTAAGCACACAACGATGACGAGCTAAAGCTGGTTTGCGCCCTAATCAATGCAGTGTCCCTCCGAGCTCCTGGCCTAATGAAGGAAATGACAAGTTGATTGCCAGGACAATAAGAAATGACCACAGGAAAGACAAAATGCAGACACTCTATCTACAAGCAAACAAGTCTGGTTAATTAGTTTAAGATGAGTCAGGAGCCCGGGGAGATGGGAGGATTTTTAAATCAGCTACAGATAAAAATCAAGAATTTAAGAAGTGCGTTCAGCTTTTCTTGCTACATGAGATCTGAGCAGTTAATTCTGGCCTTGAATGACCTCCAGAGCCAACATTAAGGGGTGACTTAGCAAATGGTCCATGGGATTGCGAGGACAGTGGAAAGCCCTGTCCATGGCCCCACACGGTGCTCTCTTTGCAAAGAGCCTTGGGAGAGATTTCTTTCTGCCCCCCGCACTCCCAGGGCTTTTCATGAAATAGCGTTTGGCTCCTATCACGGCTCTCAGAACTGCTCAGGTTTCCTTTTGCTTTAGCTTTGAAGAAGCTCAGGGTCAAAATTCTGGCCCGTGGTAGCAACTGCATAGCATCTCATAGTACGCATGTTATGAGCTGACTTTATTCCCTGGCTTCATTGGATCCTTATTTCATCATTACCTGTTCCTCCTTACTTCCTCATTCATTTTCTTTTTGTCCTATTGCTTTGTAACTCTTTCTGCAAAGCTTCAGATACTTGTAGGAAACAAAAGAGGAAAATTATTCCCAAACTTTTAAAGATTACATGGGATTTTTAAAAACCACTGACACGTGGCTCCCACCCCCTAGACATTCTAGGGTATAATTTAGGTGCCGAGAGTTTTTAAAGCTCCCCAGGTGATTCTGGCAGTCATCAAAATTTGATATGAGTAGATACATAATACCCTCATCATCCGGCTTGCTCTTCTCAACCAACCTTATTCTCTCTAACCATAAACACTCTTAACCACCTATCTACCCCCGGTTCTCAAATTCCCATTCTCTCTCACACCCATCCAAAAATCCCTTTTACAGTTCAGGTCCAAATGCAAACTCTACATGTGCCACAAAATCTCCCCTGACTGTTCCAGTTTACCCTGGTTCCAGTTCACATTCATCTCTCTTTCTCTAGTGCACTTAGGAGATTTAGAGCAATGGGCCTCCGTGCCACTGGAGGAGATCGTACCTCTCACTGCTTCTGCATGTTTAGAATGGTTTGATATTGTGAAACCACAGTTCTGCAACACCACTCGAGATTTGTAGGTGAAAGGGAGGGAGCACCTTGCGGAGTCAGAAAAGGCATATGGAAAGGGTTTTATGCCGTGAATGGCCTGTCAGCTCAGGCATGCCAATCACCAGTGCCCTCAGGGAAGCTACGAACTCTGTGTCCTATTCAGGTCAAAATAAGAGAAGAAGCAAAGGAAAACTGCTGCTCTCAACTGAAATCTGAGGGAAGCTTGATCAGCCTGGACATGAGCTCAGAACAAAGGATGGGGAGACTGGGCTTCACCGAGGGGAGGTGAAAGGGTGCCGTGAACAGACACTCCTCCAGGGGCTGAGGGGTGAGAAACGCTGCCCGCCAGACCAGCCCATGCAGGGCAGCTGGACACTCAGGGGAGAAGGTGCTGGGCTCCTAGAACAAGAAGTCTCTCACCTGGGGCCTTATACCAAAGAAAGTAAGGATCGAGAATCTCACCAGGCCAGGCAGCACCCCTATCTACCTTGAGCCTAATCAGAGTAGCAGGACCTAGTATCCAACCAGAAAAGATTGAGTGGAATGATCCCCAATGAAAGAACTGGAGAAAGTGCTATGGAATCACAAGAAGGAAAAAAATTTATAGCTGGCCTCAAGAGTTTATTTGAAATAAATAGGTTTAGCTTGCTAACATGTCTCTATTGACTAAATACTATGTGAAACTTCTCTAATCTTTGCAGCTTGGTTATGCCTTATATTCCCCGCTAATCCTCACTTCCACCTACTTGCTATAGTGAATCACAGTAGAACACTGAAAAAGGCGTCTGCAAGTCCAAGTGCGGCGGCTCACACCTGTAATCCCAGCACTCCGGGAAGCTGAGCCAGGATGACCGCTTGAGCCTAGGAGTTCAAGACCAGCCTGAGCAACAAAGTGAGACCTTGTCTCTATAAAAAGTCTTAAAAATAGCCAGGCATAGTGGCATGCATCTGCTCCTCAGGGGGCTAAGGCAGGAGGATTGCTTGAGCTCAGGAGTTCGAGGCTCCAGTGAGCTAGGATTACCACTGCTCTCCAGCCTAGGCGACAGAACAAGACCCTGTCTCTCCCTCCCAAAAGCCTCTGCGGTTGTTTTCAGGGACAGCAAGGAAGAAGGGAGCCAGTCCCAGAAAAATAAAATAAAATAAAATAAGAGACAGTGTAGGTGGTGGCCGTTGCACAAGGAGAGGAAGCCAGACTGAATCCCTGGGGGCATCAGAGGAGCTGGCCTCAGTCAGAAAACCCTGGGAAGCCCCTCAGGGGCTCCCCCTAATTATATGCAACTCTAAAGTAATAAGACTAATCTTTTTTAAAGCATCAAACATCTGGGGAGAAGGGTGAGGGCCATGGTTAGTGCACAGACTGGAATCATGCCTCCTGGATTTAAATCCTGGCTCCACTTACTTTCTAGCTGCGTGAACTTGGGTAAGGCACTTGAACTCTCTGTGCCTCTGTGTCCTTGCCTGTAAAGGGGATAATTCTGGTACCCATTTCATTGGTTGTTTATGATGGCTAAATGAGTTAATAAGCGTAATCCCCCGAGCACAGTGCCTGGCACATGATGAGAGCACCCTGTGTTTGTTATAATTATTATTACCCATCACATATATTGAAATAAGTTCTGTACTTTCACATAGTGTTCAGAGACCACAAATTTCTTCCCAGAAAGCACTAGTGGACTCCTTTGAGAATTGCCTTCAATTCTCAAAAGCCTGTGACACAACCTTTTGACTCTTTTCAAAGGTGACCGATCTATGGCCTTTGAGAGTGGGTTTAATGTTTAAAAACTTAAAATTATATCCAGATTCAACTTTGGCAAAACTGGGTGATGAAGTTGAGTAACACTGAACAGGGTCAAAAGCAAGTTATGTCCAAAAAATAACAAAAATAAATGCACCTCATAAATTGGCTCTGAAAGCAATTCTAAGAAGGGGTTCCAAAAATCACTTTCAACAACATCAGCATCATTTGCAATTTTTAATAATGTGGGAAAATACTTGTTTTATAATATGAAGTGTAAATATCAGGTTACAAAATAGGCTAATCCTAACTTTCTAAAAAGGAAAAATTAAGCATAGAAAAAAGACTGGAACAGAATACTCATATTATCAGTGGTTTCCTCTCTGACGGAATTATGGCTGAGTTTTCCTCGTCTTCTTCTTTCTTTTTTTTTTTTTTTTTTCCTTTGAGACAGAGCCTTGCTCTGTCTCCCAGACTGGAGTGCAGTGGTGTGATCATGGCTCACTGCAGCCTTGGCCTCACAGGCCCAAGAGATCCTCCTACCTCAGCCTCCCAAGTAGCTGGGACTACAGGCACCTGCCACCATGCCCAGCTAATTTTTTTTATTTTTTGTAAAGACAGAGTCTCACTGTGTTGCCCAGGCTGGTCTCAAACTCCTGGACTCAAGTGAGCCTCCTGACTCAGCCTAGTGTGTTGGGATTACAGGCATGAGCCACTGTGCCTGGCCTGATTTTTCTTCTTTAAAAGAAATATTTGATATTTTCTGGTTTTTCTACAATTACGCAACTCAAAAGTTGAAAATAAAATTGCACCATTCGTAAAGGACCATGACCGGGAACCTTTGGGACCACGGCCAGGTTGCTTTGAAGGGCAGCTTTGAAGGGCAGCACTCCATCTGAATGTAACGCTTTGCATATTTGCATATATTTTTTAGAAATATTCTTGTGACTGCATACGTAGCACATAATTTTACATGTAATAGTACCAATTCTCTCCTTGGGGATAGGGACTGATCTATCCTATAAATCATTTAGATCATCTTAGGACAGTGCTAGTACATAGTAGGTGCTTAGTAAATACTTGATAGTTTCACCACAGAGGATCCTAGGTCCAGGGCTAATTTGATATTGCTTGGGGCTGGGGAAGGAGGCATCATCAGGTATAACAAACACGCCTAAACCCACACTGACTTTATGACTGCAGGCATAAGCATCCCTACAATGACACAAGGCTCATGTTCTTCACAAGGGAAAGTGAATGATCCAAAGGGAGAGAGGGATTGGTCCATAGCTGTCAACTAAGGCAGGTACCACAGGGAACAGAACCCATTGCTCCACCTACCTTGTCCTCTCCCAGAGGTGGAGGGGGAGGATACCTGTCCCAACACACTCACCTGCCACCTGCCCCTCCCTGCCCAGCCCCACCAGGCTTACGTACTGGAGTTTCTGTGGGAGCTGGCTAGGCTGTGTCCAGCCATCTCAGGCGGGGGCTGGTGACCACGGTGCAGGAACTGCTGGGAGCTGAGCACGTGGCTGGGGTGGGCAACCCGGTTCATGCTGTGCAGGACATTGACCTGGGCAGAGGGAGGGCTCCATGGGCACACACGCTTCTCCCAGGTCCTCCCCACTTCTCTAGACCCCAGCCCCATCTCCTAACTACTGCCCCCATCTCCTTCTCCTCCACCCACTGCAAGGTCCAGCAGCCCTCCACGCTGCCATGTCCATGCCCACCAACTAACATTTTGAGTCCATGCCACCTCAGCTCCTTTCTGGG
Organism: Homo sapiens; assembly: GCF_000001405.40. Lineage (NCBI taxonomy): Eukaryota > Metazoa > Chordata > Mammalia > Primates > Hominidae > Homo > Homo sapiens. The sequence goes on along the minus strand of NC_000012.12, from coordinate 7,150,727 downwards.
GGTGGGTAACTGTGGAAGGAAGGAGACTCTCTGGGTACCTCCACGATGAATTCATTGCTGGAGTAACGGCCATTCATTTCCGAGCAGGAAAGCCGGAACTTCCTGGTGTAGAGGGCAGCTCCGTGTCGCAGCCGATAACGAGCCTGCCTCAGGATCTCTTCATACACAGTGATGCTCTCCACCCCTGGAGATGAGGAAGCACCTCAGGGCAGGGGCCAGTGGAGGCAGGACCTGGGCAGGACCCTCTCTCCTGGACTCCCACCAGCTGACGCCACACAAGCTGTAGAGCAGGTCAGCCCCATCTCCGCAGAAGTGCGACCTGAGGTCGAAGGGAGGGATGCTCCCCTCCATCCCTGCCCACTCTGACTAACTAGGATGGAGAGATCAAGGCTCCATTTCCTGCTCTGTAGGTTCTGAGGAGGAATGGAAAGAAGGAGATAAAGACATCCTGAAAGACAGAAAGGGAGATGGCAAGCAGGAGGGAATATGAGAAAGAGGAAAATACAGAAGTCCTCAGTGAGCCCTGGAAAGGAGTGGAAATAGAAGGGAACTGATTATCTCCATCTTCTCCATTCTCCCTCCTGGCTTCCTTTGGAAACTACCAAATCATCACTCCCACTATTCACTAAGAGATGAGTACTTCTTGTAAAGCTCTGGTGTGCACGTGAGATGAGTGAGCTGAACAACAGAGATGACCGGTAACAAACAGACAGCTAGAGGGTTAGAAAGCTGGGCAGAGATGAGCCGAAGGAGGAGAGGAAGGTGAGAAGCCTGAATGGAAACAGGAGTGGGACCAGAAGTGGAGGTGAGCCAGGCTATGGAGAGGAGCAGGAAGACAGAAGCATTCGGAGCCTAAACCCAGCACACCTTCCCTAGGGACAATCAAAGCCAGAGGATCTTCCAGGCTAGGAAAATGCAAAACGGCACTTGTCCACATCCCTGGACCTGGAAGGAGGACCCTCTGGGCTTCCTAGGCCCTTACTTTTTGGGAGGGGCACACACACACAGAGGACAGGCCCTCAGGCCCCACTGACCAGCAATAGTGAGGTAGGCAGATGTGTTGGTGAGCTCCAGCCCCCGCTGCTGCAGAGAGGTTGTGTCCAGGAGCAGGCTTTCCCGCTCGGGATCCAGGTCATCCCCCACCAGAGAAATTTCACAGCCATCCAGGTTGTGCACAATCTCATCCGACATGCGTGTGTCTGTCACTGGGTTGGGGATAGTAGGGTCTGGGTCAGAGCCAAAGGGCCCACGGAGGTTCTGAGACCCAACCATGCCCTCATCACCACTCTCCCTCCCTTTCCAGGGCCAGGGAGAGGGAAGTCAGCATCATTTTCAAGAATATCATTATGCAACAATTCATTTCCACCCACGTGTTTTCCACTTGCTCTCCTTCTTAAAGGTAAGTTGTTCAGTCAAACAAACACAGGATGGAGTCGCTTTCTGCTTCCAGCCCCAGGAGTTCTCCCACACTCTGACTCCAGACACTGGCTGGTTCTCTGGATGGTGTTACTCCCCGAAGTCGTCCTTACCTGTGCCCTGCCAACTCTCATCCTTTTTGGCCTCCACCTGGTGAGAAATGGAGCAGGTGATTTGAAGATCAGGGAACAAAGGGACGCCGTTGGTTCCCTCAAAGTCCACAGCTGGGCGGGCAAAATGAGCAGTGCCACTCAGCAGGATCTGGGGGGCGTCAGGCTGAAGGACGACCACGTAGCCCTCCACTTCAGGGATGGAGACGCAGGACTCTTCGCTGAAGCACCTATGTAAGAAAGCAGGAGAAGCAGCATGTGACCCCAACACTTCCTCCCCGAAAACCCACATTCTGTTTCACTCCCCGCCCCAGCTACCTCTATCATAGAGCATCTCATGTCAGGAAGGGGCAGGGGAAGAAAGGGGGTCATGCCTCTGCATCCCAACCCCCACAGCAGTTGAAGGGGGACATATCCTTTCCTGGTAGGATGTCACCAAGGAAAATGTCGAGGACAGAAGGTCAGGTAATCCCAACCTGTGGGTGTGATCACACCATCAATGCCCTACCCCAGGATTATGGAGTACCTATAGATGCTATTTTAATGAAAAACAAAGCAAACTGAACTGACAAACAGGTATATATACACACACAGTTCTTTATCCAGCAGTTTAAAAGTACATGGACTCAGTATACTATCCGGCACATATGCGCCCAAAATTATTCAACAATAAAAGTAGAATGTGGACATCTATCAAAGGATGTCCTCCTCTTTGGTGTGTCTTTCATTCCCTTCAATATCGGGGAAACACACTTTGGTAGGTGAGATCATCTGACCACCTTGGACCTAGATCCACCGTCTCATGAAGCTTGAGGATCCAGGCATCAGGACAAGCTATCCTTAGAGGACTCTGTTGAGCCAGACCAACCAACAGCACAGCTGCTCAGCAGTGATGCTCCCAGGATCACATTTAGCCCCACCTTTACCAGTAATAACAACACCTCACAATCAATAGCCCTTGCCAGTTTATGAAGCATTTTCCCACATTTCTTTCTTTCTTTCTTTCTTTCTTTCTTTCTTTCTTTCTTTCTTTCTTTCTTTCTTTTTGATGGAGTTTCACTCTTGTTGCCCAGGCTAGGGTGCAATGGTGCGATCTTGGCTCACTGCAACCTCTGCCTCCTGGGTTCAAGCGATTCCTCTGTCTCAGCCTCCCAAGTAGCTGGGATTATAGGGCGCATGCCACCACACCCGGCTAATTTTTGTATTTTTAGTAGAGATGAGATTTCTTCATATTGGCCAGGCTGGTCTTGAACTCCTGACTTCAGGTGATCTGTCCGTCTCGGCCTCCCAAAGTGCTGGGATTACAGGCGTGAGCCACCGCACCTGGCCCATATTATTTCATTATATTATAACCTCATTTCTATGCTGTAAAATGCCTAAAGCTCAGGCTGGGCATGATGGCTCATGCCTGTAAATCCTGGCACTTTGGGAGGCTGAGGCGGGAGGATCCCTTGAGCTTAGGAGTTCGAGATCAGCCTGGGCAACATAGTGAAACCCCGTCTCTACAAAAAATACAAAAATTATCCAGGTGTGGTGGTAGATGCTTGTAGTCCCAGCTACTCAGGAGGCTGAGGTGGAAGGAACACTTGAGCCCAGGAGGCAGAGGTTGCAGTGAGCTGATGAGATCAGGCCACTGCACTCCAGCCTGGGCGACAGAGTGAGACCCTATCTCAAAAAAAAAAAGAAGAAAAGAAAAGAAAGAAAAAGAAAAAGAAACAATCAAGGCTTAAACCAGAGTCTAGGCTTAAATCATTCTTCTCCTTCCAGGTCCACTGATTTTTTTTTTTTTTTTTTTTTTTTTTTTTGGCAGAGTCTCTCTCTGTTGCCCAGGCTGCAGTGCAGTAGTGCCATCTCAGCTCACTGCAACCTCTGCCTCCCAGGTTCAAGCAATCTCGTGCCTCAGCCTCCTGAGGAGCTGGGACCACAGGTGTGCGCCACCACACACCGCCCAAGTCCACTGATCTTTCCACTAAACCACAGGCACCATTTGGGGCCTGGGTTTGCACCAGGGAAATGTATCTGTAAAGAAGTTTCCCCACTTGAACAAGCAGACTTCACGGTGGAGTTAGTGATCCAGGAGCATGGACTCTGATCCCCACGCTGGTGCTAGCGGAAATGATTTTACAGAGAGGACTGTAATTATTAGTGTTACTGAGCATGCCCAGCTTGAATGCTGGAGTAAAAAGGGAGAAGGCATCATCTCAGTAGGCATGATGAGCTCAGAGCCCCTGAAGTTGCCAATGCCCGGGATGTGCTGAGTTCCTGTACCACACGGAGCAGGGCCTATTACAGTCTGCCATCCAGATAGGCCTAGGGCAAAGCCCCTTGGGAAACAATCCCAGATGACCCTGAAGGCACAGGCTCCAACAGACATCCTCCCTGCAATGAGCAATGCTGTGCTGTGCCGCTGGTCTGGGAATCCCAAGGGGAATAGGAGGCCTGACCCAAAGGCACCGTTGGTCTGGTAGAGAGATTAGACGTGGCACACAAAAGTTAAAAGAAAGGCAAATATGGTCATCGCCATATGAGTGGAACAAACAACCAGAAGAGTTCAGAGGAGGGAGAGGTTAGTTCTGCCTAGGATAAGAGGAGGGTGCTTGGAAAAGGAAGGTAGGAACGATCAGAGAAAGTAGCAACTGAGCTAGCCTTTGAAGGAGGGTAGTACTGACCCAGAGTGGATGGCGAGAAGCTTACTAAGGGGAGTAGAGGAACATGAGGCAGGAACCACCAGAAGCCAGATGGCTGGCAGCTTTAAATGCCATGATAAGATCTGTTTTTTTTTTCTCTCTCTCTAATTTTTTAGAGACAGGGTCTCGCTTTGTCGCCCAGGCTGGAATGCAGTGGTGCAATCATGACTCACTGCAGCCTCGAACTCCTGGGCTCAAGTGATTCTCCCACCTCAGCCTCCTGAGTAGCTGGGACTACAGACTTGCGGTCTGTTGGTTGTGCAGGCTGGTCTCGAACTTCTGGCCTTAAGTGATCCTCCCACCTTGGCCTCCCAAAGTGCTGGGATTACAGGTGTGAGCCACGGCACCCAGCACATTTGACATTTTTATGCAGTGGGCAAGAGGAAGCCACCGACGTCTTTTTCATCAGGGAAGTGTGATGATGAAAACTCAACTTAAGATCACTCACCTAGCCTCAGAGTAGAGGATAAATAAAATTCGAAGACTAGAGATAGGTCAGCTAGTTAGGAGGCAATGGGCCAGATAAGAGGTAATAAGACCTGGGCTAGAACAGTAACAGCAGCAAAAGAAAGAGGAGACAGATTTCAGACACGCGGCACAGAGGCAGGGTCCAGGTGAGCTGGCAACTGATGGGCAGTGGAGGATAAAGACAGGGAAGAATCAAAGATGACTCAGAGGTTTCAAGCTCTGGATGACTGCAAGGACAGAGGCACCATTACAGAGAGAGTTCAGGGAGAGAGGCTGGTTTGGGATTGCAGTTGATTATTTCAGCATTAGCTCTTTCGGTTGAGGTGCTAGCAGAACTTCTAGATAGAGGTTACAGGAAGCAGATGGAAAGTCAAGAGCTGTGGAAAGAGGACAAAACTAGAGAAATAGATGTGGTATCTATCTGTTCAGGGGTCAATTCCACAAGTAAATGGGCTTTCCAAGAAAAATACTAAAAAAAAAAAAAACTTCAGGAAAACTTGCATTTAGGCATTGACCAAATAGTTGCATAAATCTGGCTTTAAATAGACAGAGGTCCAAGAACTGAAAACTGGAAGCTATGAAAGCCACAGGGACAGGGGCAAGGAAATGCATCAGGGAAAGGGAGGTATTGCTAGGTACCTGTCTGTGTCTGTTACATACACACAAATGCGCGCGCACACACACACACACACACACACACCCCTCTATATTTTCTCCCGTGACCTCAGGGAAGTATTAGGATAGCACCAACCATGTAGTAACCTTAGAAATGGAGAAATGAAAACTCTGTTTCTTAACCTCATAGAGAAAACATCAAGGCCCCTTTCCTCAAAGGCAGGTTCCAAGCCCTTGGATAAACCTCTATCCTGGGCATGAAAAAGATAGCAGGAATTCAGATGAGGCAGTCAGCAAAGAGAATGTCAACTCCTCCCCCCGCAGGAACTCCCCTTGCAGAGCTCCACCCTAGGCCAAAAACCAGAGCCCTCCCTTCTGCCATGGCTCCTCAGCACTGGAGGGGACGAGGCAATGCCTTGGCTTCTGAGGGATCAAGCCTTTCATAACTGGATGACAGCCCTTTAACAACTGGAGCTCTGACTGGGACATGGCGGGGTGCATACTCAGCAATCAGCTGCACCCACATTAACTCAACTGCCTGTGACCTTCAGCTCCACACCCTGAACCAGCAAATTCCCAAAAGCCACAGCCCGGGGCCTTCCACAGCTCTAACTGTGAGGCCTGATAATCACGCCCAGTCACCCTCTAGGGCTCAGAGCCCTCTCCCCTCTAAACCCACCCCTCCCAGGATAGGGGCAAATTTGAGATGTTTATCTTCATATAGCTCACAGAGAAACTGAGGCAGAATCGGGGAGAGGGGTAACAAGATTGGAACGCAGAAATCCTAACTCTTAAATCATGTAATTCACCCACTAGATGGCAGTATCTCCTAAAAACCGCCCATAAACCATAATAAGGGGTGAAAATGCCTTTATGTAATAATAGCCAGCATTTAAGCGGCATCCACTCTCTGCTAGGCATTTGATCCAGATTATATCATGTAGTCATCGTAACAATTCCACGAGTTAGACTCTATTGCTATCACCACTTTATAGCATTTGCCCAGTGCCAAAAAGCTAGCAATAGACCCTATGCTCTTAACTATCATACTTTCGTTGCCTCTCAATTGATCTGTATTTTTAAACATGTAATATATACTCAAACCTTGAAATAATCTACAATTTTTCTTTTAAAGACTCCAAAAGTCATTCACTTAGAATTCAGAGGTCAGTAAACTTTTTTTTTTTTTTTTTTTTTTTGAGATGGAGTCTCGCTTTGTAGCCCAGGCTGGAGTGCAGTGGTGCAATCTCGGCTCACTGAAACCTCCGCCTCCTGGGTCCCAGTTCAAGCAATTCTCCTGTCTCAGCCTCCCAAGTAACTGGGATTACAGGCACGTGCCACCATGCCCAGCTAATTTTTGTATTTTTAGTAGAGACAGGGTTTCACCATGTTGGCCAGGCTGGTCTTGAACTCCTCGTGATCCATCTGCCTTGGCCTCCCAAAGTGCTGGGATTACAGGCGTGAGCCACCGTGCCCGGCCAGCAAACTTTTTCTATGAAGGATTAGATAGTTCTGTTTGAGGGGGCCATATGATCTTTGTCCCAACTACCCACAGTTCTGCCATCACAGTGAAAGTAGCCATAGACATATGCAATGAATGGGCACTGCTGTGTTCCAATAAAACTACAAAACAGGTGGGCAGGCCAGATTTGGCCTAGGACTGCCAACCCCCAGACTTAGGCCATCGTACGTGACCTTGCAAGAGCTTGGTGAAGCAAGATTAAAACAAGTGAAGCAGCCAGGACTCACCATTTGCCCGAGGTTATCCAAGCAATTCGCATTGAGTCAGAATTAATGTCAGGTCTCCCCACTCCCAATCCTGTGTCCCACTTTACGTATCAGCACAGAGGCATAGAGAAGATCAAAGCCCGGAAACCCTAGATGTGTGACTTGGTAGAAAGAGTAACAGATTGATTGTTGAGAAATCTGAGTATAGTCCAGACTCTTCTACCAATATTGCTATGTGACCTTCAGTGGTCAATTGTCTCCATTTGAGGGCCCAATCTCCTCATCCATAAAACAAAAGAGGTATGCCTAGCTCTAGGTGACGCCTTAGGCCAAGGAGCTGTGACACTGTCTGGCTCTGCTTGGTGATTTGCCCTGCCCCACCCAACACTCACTTGACAGCAGTGGTGAGGCGCAGGGGCCTGACGCCGGGCGTGGCAAAGCGCAGAGTGTTCATGTAAGCCACATGCTGCAGGGCATGGTTGAAGGTCTCCACATCATCCCCCTCCAGGGTGAGCAGGGACTGTGAGGGGTTCACGTGGACCTGGGCCCCAGACACAGATACAGCTGAGAGCAGGGCCAGGAGGTGGCAGAGGAAGGGAGCAGAGGTAGAGGGGTAGGGCAAGGGGGTGGGGCAAGGGGCATGCTGGGAAGAACAGGGCTAGAGGATGGGGCAATACCTTCATGCCTTTGCCCAGGCTCTCGAAATCCCTATAGTCCAGCCCCTCCCGACATGCATAGAGGCACTCGATGACCTCGCGGCTCTCCAGGCGACCTGAGCGCACGCTGAAACCAGCCAGGTAGCCATGGAAGTAGTGGTGGATCGACAAAGGGTCTCCTAGGGTAGGAACACAGGAGCAGGACGGGAGGTGAGAAGAGAGGAGGATGGAAAAGGACGAAGGCTGAGAGAAAGGGAAAGGAGAGAAAGAGCAGAAGAGTTGAGAAAGAAAAAAAGGAGAAATGTGGAAACCAAAAAAAAAAAAAAAAAGGAAAAAAGAGAGATGAGAGGTGAGGGAGAAGTGAAGGTAAGGGGGGAGGCTAGAGAAGGGAGAAAATGAGACAAAAGAAGACAGAATAAAGCCAGGGGAGAAGAAGAAGGGTGAAAAGTAGAAGCAACAAAGATGAGAGGGAGGAAGAGAAGGAAACAGGACCAACAGGAGGAAAGAGTCAAAACAAGGAGGGAGGGGGAGGCGGCAGGAGAGAACGTCTTTCCAGTGACATGCAGGGAGACCAGGATGGATGTGAGCGAGCTTCACAGATGCCCAGACCTTCCCCTTCTGCGTGTCTGACTCCTGACTCCTGCCACCTCCCTTCTACCATGTGGAAAGCCACCAAGAGAGCCCCATTCTTCATTCTGTGGGCAGGACAGGATACCCAGAACCCAGCCAAGCTGCCTCTAGCCTTACCACTCCAGGAGCCCCTGCCCTGCTGTATTTCTTGGAGGCTCTGCCCCCTGGTGGCCTAGGAGGCTGTCACAGGCTGGATAGGATTTGGGGTGGAAAAGGGATCTCAGAACAGAAAGTGAAGATGAGAACTCTCTGGTCTCCAGTTCTTACACACGGAGTACCTTGGGTGGTGTCTGTACTGTTGTCTCCCTTTTCCTTCTCTTTGTTCTTCTCCTCTGGGGATAAAAAAAAAAAAAAAACAGTGCTGGTGAGCTCAGGGATGTGGAGAGATTGACAGAGAGGAATGAGATGTCTTCCTCTCATCCCCATGAGTGCTCTCATGCCCACATGGGATTCTGACCCTGCCCATGTATAACTTGCAACCTCTCAGCTCAGCCCCAACCCTTCTTTTGTCATGTTCCAACCTCTCCAGCCTCTATTATAGACAAACCCCCAAATACGATATGCTGCTGAGGAAACACGTGGGCTCTGGTAAGACAGACAGGCACATGTGCACACACACACTCCCAAGAGGAGAAAAATTTTTTCAATGGCTTAAAAGTTGGAAGACCGAGGACACTCTAAGGGGTTACTCTCCTTGAGCAGGGGAATGGGCTATGGAAGTCATCATCACTTTGATGGAAAAAAGTGGAAACTGGCTGGAGTTACAGAGAGAGAGTCTGGGGATGCGTGAGAAGTTAATTCCTCCAAGTCAGAGGTGATGACCCATTGGATTAGTGGGAGATACGGGAGGGAGGCTGTGGTCCCTTCCCATGGAGATCTTCAGAGTCACCCTGCACAGCTGCAGAGAGATGCAGGAGGCGGCCTCAGCTGCTGGGTCAGACTGCCCTTGCTCCTCACCAGCCTACCTCCCTTCCCAAATCCTGAACCACTGGAGTCTTCACTGAGAAGCTTACCAGTCCAGCAGGCCCCAATCATGAGAGCAGGCTCCCTTCGGGGTGGGTGGATGAGGCCATTGTCATGGATGAGGGCAGGGTCGAAGGAGATGCCGTCGGTATAGAGTGTGACTGTGGGGAACTCGAGGTTCAGAGCGTAGTGGTGCCACTCATCATCACAGACCTGGGAGAGTAGGGTAGGGGCAAGAGCCTCTCAGGTAATTCGTCTTCAGAGAGCTAACCCTAGGCACTGCCCCATCTCCTGGGAGACAGGGGACAGTCCCTTTATTCCCAGTTCTACCAACAGGGCTTACTAGTGCTTTGCTGCCTATCCAGCTCGAGGAATAACATCCTTGTCCAAAATCTATCAGGCAACCAACCTAGTAGCAAAGATTCCACTCTTCAGGTAAATCGTTAAAGCTATAAATATTCCTAAGAGGAGTAACACACTTTCATGAATAAATTCCCTGCCCCCCGAACTTATGTATTACATATGTGTGTAAGGCACTGGAAACTCTAGAGATGGGGTTTCCTTCTGTCCCCCAGGCTGGAGTGCAGTGGTGCAATCATAGCCCACTGAAGCCTCAAACCCCTCGGCTCAAGCAATCCTCCCACTTCAGCCTCTGGGGTAGCTGGGACTACAGGTATGTGCCACCATGTCCAGCTAATTTTTTTATTTTTTAGAGATGAGCTATCACTATGTTGCCTAGGCTGGTCTCCAACTCCTGGCCTCCAGTGATCCTCTCAGCCTCCCAAGTAGCTGGGATCACAGGTTATCTCTAGGATAGCTTCTAACCCAACATTAAGCACTAAAATAAATATTGCTTCCCTTTGCAGTCTCTCCTAGGGCCAGCCAAGATGGAATGGGGGATGGTCAGAGGAAAAAGGGGCAGAGAGTACTCTGCCTCATCCAGTTCCAAATGTTGGGGTCCCTCAAGGCTCAGACCTAGGCCCTCTTCTCTTTCCTCTCTACACTCTTTTCCTAGAAGTCACCTCATCTGTTGCCATGGGTTTGGGTACCATAGTTATACACTGGTAACTCCAAAATCCACATCTCCAGCCCATAACTCTCCTCTGAATGCCAGATTCTCCACTTGGATGCCCACAAGTATCTCACATTTAACACGTGTAAGGTGCAAGTCCATGCCCTTTCCCAACTCCCTCAGTTTCTCCCCAGGCAGTATAAATGCTCCATCATCCATCTAGCTGCTCAAGTGGCTGACGTAGGAGACAACTTTGATCTTCCCTTTCCCTCAGCCTCCACATCCAGTCCATTAGCAGGTGCTGTTGATCCCAGGTCCAAACAGAGCTACAAGCTGCAGGTTTCTGTGCAGGTCTCTCCGTCTCCATTGCCACACATCAGTCATGTCTCCAACCCCTTTCATGAAGACTGTTGCAACAGTCCTGTTTACTGTCACCATTAGATACCTTCAATACAACCATCCCACAGTTGCCAAGGGGATCTTGTTAAAATGTAAATCTGGCCAGGCGCAGTGGCTCACGCCTGTAATCCTAGCTCTTTAGGAGGCCAAGGTGGGTGGATCACGTCAAGAGATCAAGACCATCCTGGCCAACATGGTGAAACCCCATCTCTACTAAAAATACAAAAATTAGCTGGGCGTGGTGGCACACGCCTGTAGTCCCAACTACTAGGGAAGCTGAGGCAGGAGAATCTCTTGAACCCGGGAGGCCGAGGTTGCAGTGAGCCAAGATCGCACCACTGCACTCCAGCCTAGTGACAGAGTGAGACTCCATCTCAAAAAAAAAAATAATAATAATAATAATAATAATGATGATGTAAATCTGATCAGGTCATGCCTCTGCTTTAAAATCCTTCAAAAAACACTTCCTGTCTCTCATATGACAAAAATCTAGACTAACCCTGCTGAAAAAGTCCACTGTACAACCTGATCACTGCCCATCTCTGCAACTTATCTCCAGTCTTGTTCACTGTACTCCAACCGCACTGGCCCTCTTTCCATGCTTGGAACATGCTGAGCTCTTTCTTGCCTCAGGGCCTTTGCATATGCTCTTCCCTCTTCCTGGAACCTTCCCACACTCTTCCCACACCCAGCTATTTCTCATCCTTTAGCACTAGGCTTAAATTTCCCCTCAGTCAGGTCCCCCAGGAGCACCCAATCTAAGGCAAGTTCTCCTTTCCTTGCCTCCCGCCATGCTCTGCCCCAGTCCCTTGCCTGCTTCTTTCAGAGCATTTCTCACAATTTATCATTTTACATGTCTATTTACTTTTTAAAACTTTATCTCCCCAACTGAAATGTAAGTTGAATGATGGCAAAGATTTTGTTTCATTCATTGTATTCCCAGAACCTAGCTGAATGACAGAGACTTAGTTGTATTTAATAGATACTGGTTGATTAAATGAGGGTGAATTGAAGAAAGATAGCAAGGGTAACATTACCAATATTTGCAGTGTGAGGGGGGAATCAAGAAACAGCAAATGACAGACTGTCTCTTTAAAAGAGTGCCACAGACAGCAAAACTTTTGTAGACAGCCCTCAATTATCTAGTTTATAAATTATCTGGGCACTTCTTTTCTCTCTTCTAATGCTTTTTTTTTTTTTTTTTTTTTTTTTTTGCCGTTTGCTTACTCAGCCACTCCACCAGGACTTGCAAGAGAAACAGAAGGAGGTGAAAACTCAAATTAGTCCTCACTGGTCCTTGTGGTCAGCCTGGAGAATAAATAATGAAGAGGCTGCAACTGTTGGCTCAAGAGAGGATTTTAAATATTTTATCCATTTTTATTTATCCCTCCATAATCAGGGCTGATAATAGTGAGAATTAACATATACAGAGGGAGTGCTTTTCAGTCTACAACGGTCTATTACATCATTTAATCCTAACGACTCTGGGATATAGAATTCTTTTTATCCCTATATAACAGGGTTGTTTTAACCCTGAGGTTTACACATATTAACCAAGATTTCATAGCCAGCAAATTCCCTTGGCAGGACTCAAACCCAATCTGTGTACCTCAGAATGACTTATTGTCTTGATTACAACAGGCTAACTGCCTGAGAGTCAGGGATGTATACTGTTAAAGTCCTAAATAAGAGAGAGAGAGAATAAAACAAGGAGGAAATAGATGGTTGGTCGACTTTGGTGTTAGTAGTCATTTGTTCCCTTTTTTTTTTAAATCCAGAAGTGCTTTCTGCAGGGGACAAGCTTTGGGAAAAGGGAACAAGAGGACCTGGGAGTAGAATGGTCAGGGGCTGAAAGTGAAGAAGCAAAGAGAGGGCAAGGGGGAACCCAGAAAATGCTGACCCTGCCCAGAGAAGGTCCTTTCCTAAAAGTGAGTCACATCTACTCAGCCCTCCCAGGAGCCTGGCTCTTGCCTCACCTGCTCCAGCTTCCAGAGGAACTTGACTGGGCGGGCACTCTCAAGCAGGGGCCAGTAGAGGAAGGCAATCCTACAGCCGTGGACAGTCAGCGAGTAGTGAGAGAAGCCGTCCTCTGAGGGCACAGGAAGGGGATGGGGTCAAGTGCAGAGGCTGAGGCCAGAACAAGTTCAAAGCAGCAGGAAGGAGAGGATGTTGGATTCTCTTAATCCTCTCTCATTCCCTCGTTCTCTAGCATTTTTCTTTCCTCTCTCTCTCTCTCTCTCTCTCTCTCACACACACACACACACACACACACACACACACACACACATTCCAGTCCAAGTGATAACTTGGGCTTCTTAGGCACCCTGGCTGGCTGGCTGAGGAGGGAACATCAGCTGGCCCACTCCATCACCAGCTCTTCATCAGTCCTTTGGTTAATACATACATCATGGGTGACAACCCTTTTCAAAAGAGTTGTCAAGGTCAAGAGAAATGAGGTTGGAGAATTGGCTAGAAATGAAAGAGCAGGTCAAGACTAAGCCCTCTCCAGTGAAGTAGGCCCTGCAGTTGAGGGAAGAACAGGCCTCGGAGTTGGGGCCAACCAGTCCCAGGATGGGATGATGAAAGAATGGGGCACACCATTACCCAGGCTTTCCCATTGCAATGGAGGGGCTTTAATGGAGGTGGAGATGGGGGGTGGGGACAGCCTACCACATGGTGGGACACAGAGAAGTTGACTGGGCAACTGAAAACAAGAGTAGCAGCAAGGAATCCCATTGCACTCTGACAGCAGTACGATCCAACATGTCATGTTGGGGATAAAGCACAGAATCAAGGCATATCACACCTGGCACTTGCACCTCACAAATGAAGAGAGGGGAAGTGACCTGTTCACAGTCACACACTGGGCAGTGACAGAGGCGGGACAAGAAGCCAGTTTCCCCCTCTGGCTAGTGCCTGGAGGGGAGGCTCACCATTCTGGACAGTGTTACATACGATGGTTTCCTCTTCCTTCTTGCCCTTGTTGGGAGTTACGCCATGCTTCATCCAGAAGGACAGGGTGAAGTGGTCACTGAGGCTGTCCTGGGGCCCAGAGCCCAGCCCACTGGGGCCACCCAGGGGCACCTGCACAGCCTGGGTGCCATTGAACCAGTAGATCAGGCTGCTGTCCTGGCTGTAGTGCACCGAGAGTCCTGCTGTCCAGTTGGCATTGGGGCCAGGCATGGGCAACAGATCCACCTCCCCAGTGGCAGCACCTGTGGGAGCCCCAGGAGGCACAAGTGTCAGAGCCAAGAAGCAGCAGATGGTGAAAAGGGCAGGAGGCAGGGAAAGAGGGACTGATGGGAAAAGATTTCCTACAGCACGTCTTGCCACCTTTTATGGCCTTTCAAAGACAAGAGAGGGATGAACTCACTTCTAAGAGTATCTCTCCAGTTAACCCATTCTCCAACTCTTCATCTCGCCCTACCATTGTTCCACCATGCATCCGGTGACTGTCTGGTGCGATGACTATGCATCTTTGCCAAAGACATATGTACCTGCCTTTTGGGCCGCAAATGCTAATCGTGTCACAACCTCTATGGATAAACACCTGTGGATGGCCAGTGGTGATGTAAAGCAGAGTCTTGGAAAAGTTTGGACAGAGGTTGGATGGGAAGGGATAGGCCTGAGGCAGTGTTGGGGGCACACCTACCACAGAGTTTCCGCAGCGCCCGCTCTGAGTAGTTGTCACGGTCACAGCCCTTGGCCACATGGCTGGTCTGCAGCTCTATGGTGGCCTGAATGTTCCAGAGTGGTTCATCACAGGTCTCCAGGCGGATACCAGGGAACAAAGCCAAGCTCCCAGCACCTGGTGCATATTCGATCCTTTTGTTCCAGCCTGCATGGGTGAGACAGAGAGGGTGATGGGGAGAGAGAAGGGTAAAGCAGCCTCCCCTCTCCATGCTCCTCTTGCCATGTCCATGGACAGTTTGGGGCTCCTGGCAGGATGGCCCGGCTAGAGTAGATAGCTGCAAGCCTGCCCCAATATCATCCAAGCCCTAGCCTGGCCCCCATGATTGTCAGAAAGGACAGAAAGAGAGACCAAGAAAAAAGATGATTCACAAGATGGGGCACAGCGCTGAGCTCTCACCTTGCCAGCTGGGTTTACAGGTGGGCTTCACCTGAATCTCCACCTCAGCATCATCTGCTGCCCGCTTCTTCCCACAGTCATAAGCTGTCACTGTAAACTTATAGAGCCTCTCACCACTGTACTGCAGCTTCTCTGTGTTCTCAATGTTCCCTGGGGTGGGGTCAGGAGGACAGAGCATTAGAGCATTGGAGAAAGCCCAGGGCAGGGAGGGGAGGATGTCTGAGATCATCGGGCAGCAGGCAGGTTAGGCAGCAGGACGCTGGGAAAAAAGGCATCTGGGAGGAGAAGGCTCCATTTGGGAAGAAGGGTGAGGTGAGGGTCTGAGGGGCAAAAGTGGAGAATGCAACCCTGGGTTGTCCTGAGGGAGGTGGGTGCTCAAGGGGAACTGGGTGGCCAGGGAAGCCAGGGGTGGACTCACCGTCATTGTCAATGAGGAAAGGGGTGTTGGGTGTGAGAATCTCATAGTAGCAGATCTGGCTGTACTGGGGGGAGCAGTCACCGTCAATGGCTTCCACCCGCAGGATGCGATCGTACAGCTTCCCCTCTGTCACAGCCGCACGATACAGCCGTTCCACAAACACTGGGGCAAACTCGTTCACATCGTTGACCCGCACATGCACAGTGGCCCTGCATATGCCAGAGAGAAGGAGGGATGAAGACACGTCAGCCAGCCTCGACATTATACATTGAGATACAGCCTTGATACAGCACACCGAGGTACAGCCTCGATACGGTACATCAAGATACAGCCTTGATACGGCACATGGAGGGACAGGTTCGATACCGTACACCAAGATACAGCCTCAATACTGTACACCAACAAACAGCCTCAATATGGGCACAACGAGATACAGCCTTATACTGTACACCAAGGTACAGCCTCGACACGGTACACCCATATGCCAGAAAGGAGCAAGCAGGAATCCCGACGGAGAGCCAGAACAGGAGGGAGCCTGCCCATCTATCCCTGAGACTGAGGCAGTCAGCACGCTCCTCCCCACCCCACAGGGCACCAAGCTGCATCAAAGTCATGCCAGGGAGAGGACAACACCAGAGGGAGGGCCCAAAGAAAGGAGGACTGATGTAGGGGATGAGGAACAAGGCCCAGGGGTGCTCAGGAGCTGATTTTGATGACTTCTGTGCAAAATGCTATGGGTCAGGGTGCCAAGAGGAGGGGTAAGGCATAAAATCCAGCAGGGCCTTCCTTCACAACAGTCAGATCCGGGGGGATAAGCAAGGAAGATGCAGAGTAAAAGCCAAATTAAAACCAGCCATAAGAAGGGAAATGGCATGTGTACAAAGGTCACAAGTCATCTGACATGTCTGCACAGTACGTGTGGGCAGTGCTGCCTCCCGCACATGCGGCCCCTCCCTAGTCATGCACCGGGGCAAGCAGAGCTGGGTCGAGGCCCTTCATGCTGAGCCCTGCCCCAGGCCAAGACCCAGGCTCCCAGGCCCCAGAGGCAAGGGTCCTATCTTCAAATGGGAAACTGAGTCACAAAGAGCATTTTATCTCTAGTGCCTCTTAGTGGCTCAGGAATCCTGACTGAAGATCTTTCTCTTATTCTCAAATAAGAAGTTAGCTGGCAACAAGCGTAGGTGTCCCAGACCCGAGCCTCTTTCTTGCTACAACCATCGCCTGCCCACCCTCACCTAGAGCTATATGTGTATGATAGGGATCGTGTGTGTGGTATACACTGCAAATAGACTGGAGGGGGCAGTTGAAAGGGAACTGGATGCATGCTGAGTGTGTTCATCCTCTTCCTTCTTGCTCTCCTCCTCATCATTATGCCCATGTACTGTGCCCTTCAACGTGTATCAGGCACTGTGGTGCATGCTTTCAACACAAACCATCTCCTTGAATCTTCACAGCAGCCTTATGAAGTAGGTGTCATCACAATCTCCATTCTACAGATAAGGAAAAGCAAGTCCAGAAAGGCTAGGCTGCCCAAGGTCATGAGAGGCAAAGCCAAGATTAGATCCACTGAACTCTACTATACGTTTCTGTCACCTTGCCTGAAAGTCCCTAAATCCTAGGAACAGCAGGGGATGGGGCTCCCTAAGTCCTAGGAACAGCAGCGGGTGGGGGTGGATATTCGATGACCGCACGGACAGAGGATGGTGGGCTTGGGAGCAGGGAGGAGGACCCTGCAACACATGGGGCAGGAGACAAGGACTTCCTCACTTGTGGGACTTCTTGGTGTTGGCCCCGTCGGGGCCCTCGCCACAGTCATAGGCCTGGATGGTGAAGGTGTGTTCCTTCTGGGCCTCGCAGTCCACAGGCTCCTTGGCCCGGATCAGCCCCTCTCCTGTCGCCTTGTCAAGGATCACAGCCTCAAAGGGCACCCCAGACCCATGGAGCCGGAAGCCGCAGATCTCACCTGGCAAAGGGGAGAAGGGGAGGAGTGAGGCTGCTGTGTCTCCTTCCCCACCCTCAGTCTCCCCACCTGGGGTCCAGCTCCACCTCTCCTCCCAAAGCCCTGTCCCTTCTCCTGTAGGCACAAAAGCATTAATGATCAAACACGCAACTCTAAGCCCAGCTTCCCTGAGCAGCAACCTCCCAGAGCCTCCAGACCTGAGATCTGACAAAATCATGATGTGTTTAACCCTTGCCTGGCCATGTCCTTTTCTGGCATCCTTGACTCAATCTCCATTCTTCAGTGGAGACCATTCCCCTCCTTGAGCCCACTTTTATCTTCCCTTACTTTCTCATCACTCCCAGGACCTTCCCTCCCTCCCTTGCTCTTGGCCCTCCCACCCACTTTTCTCTGTCCTACCCTGCCTTGCCATCCCCCAATCCCAATTACCTGCATAGCGCAGCGGGGCATCCTTGTCCAAGGCAAAGAGTGGTGGATTCAGTAGGACCGTGTTGTCATTCTCCATGACGATGCCCTGGTACTCTGCCTCAATCCATGGCTTGTGCTTGTTGGCTGGCCCCACCCCAGGGAGAGGAGAGGAAGCACCTGTGAGCAGGGCCTCTACTCCCACAACAACCCTTGTTGACCCAGACAACTCACACCCCAGCACCATCACCTTTTCCACCCCCTATAGGAGCACCTTACAGGAGGCGGGTGGTTGAGGACAAGAAATCAGCTACTAAAGGAGTCAGAGGGTCTGCGGGAGGTCATAGCCTTCTCCTATAGCAGGGTAGACAGTTCCCATGGAAACAACCTGCCCTGGGGGTGAAGAGGAGGGGATCACTATCTCCATGGGAACCATGGTCAGGAAGTGGAGAATGTTCTTTAGCGATTTCACGTGCTAGAGAATGGAGACAGGGAACTTCAGGGAGCAGTGGTGGGCTGTGAGAAGGCCCTGGGAAAGGGAAGGGATAGATTAAGGGCAGAATTGAAACTAGAAAAAGATCTAGAAGTTTCCTGAGATCCTGATTGCTTATCCTCCTCCCAACTCATTTCAGTCCTGATCCCTTCACTCTGCACTTCTCCCAGCCAAGCCCCAACTTGAGGCCACTCTCCCAGAACACAGGATGGGGAGAAAGGAGAGAAGTGAAGATATATAGGACAGAGGGAGGGGGCAGAGAGGGGCAGGAATGGAGCAGAGGAATCAATGCTGAGCAACTGGACCCAGCAGAGCCGTCATCCTAAGGGATTATCGGGCTGGCCTAGAAACATGACAAATCCCGTCCCTGCTTCCCACCCCCACACCCAAGAGAACACATTCGAAACCGACACATTTCTATGTCCTCCACAAGACCATCAAACCACATTCCCTGAAACCCACTTTTTATACAGAACTCAATCCCAGTTCTTATCTACCCCATCCCTCTTCCCTTCAACCACCAGCCAATTCAGAATGGATGCGGGACTCATCAGACTCCAAATCTCCCCATCTTCTACCAGATTCAGCCTGGTGAGGGGCTGTGGGGAAGCATATTTCCTCCCCTTCCACATCACCCCCCACCCCAGCCTCCACGCTTGCTCTAATCCCATCATCATGCCAACACCCAGGCTCCCAAAGCACAATCATGAGGCAGAGGGAAACTGAGTCACCAAAAGGAACCTCATCCCCAGTATCTCACGGTGAGCAAGAAACCCTGATTTCCATTCTTTCCTCCAACCACACACCAGCAAGCCTTTGGCATGGGAAGGCTTTCTTACTGATGACCACCATAACCCCTTCCTGAATGCTGAGGAGAAAGCCACAAGATGGTGCACAGGAGGCGGTACAGGAAGTGGCAGGAGGCTAGGAGGCGAGGCTGAGGTCAGAGATGCAGGCAAGGAAGAGAGAGCGGTGGAAGGGCAGGGCTGGGCGCCCTCTGCACAGCTCCCCCTCCCACCCTGCTTGTCTTCCCAGGTCTCTGAGCCTCTGTCTCCTCTCCTCCTGGCCCCCTGCGGTCTCTGCGTTTGCTCCCTTTCACTCCTAGGCTCCCGGGCTCCTCCTTGACTCACTCTTTTCCTGATTTTCCTCATTCCTCCCTCTTTTTTCTGCCTCCACCTTTACCCTTTTCCATCCCCTCCTTACCCCCTCCCACGCCTCATCTCCGGTCTTCTCCTTCTCAGCTTTCCCTCTCATACTCATTTAGCGCCCCCCACACACCCACTTCTGCCCTTTCCTGCCAGTCTCCATCCGTTTCCACCTACCTGAGCCCTCTGCCCGCAAGCCCTCCCTCCCGTCCTCCCTCTCCGTCTGTCCGACAGCCCCGCCCAGCTGAATGTATCCGCTGTCTGCCAGAGAGGGCAGCTCTGGTAACCCACAGCCCAGCTGATGCAGGCAAAAGGGTCTGAATGCAGAGGCACACGCAAAAAACATACGTGCTCCGAATTGCTGAACTGCAGCAAATACTTTCTCCCCAGGATGGGATGGAGGCGAAGCAGATGGATCTGCCACACACCCTTAGCATGCGCCAGTGAAAGGGAGAGCCGCGGGGAGAGGCCTATCACCGGCTCGGGGGCAGTCCTTCCCAGACCCGAGGTAGCCACCAGCGTGTAGAAATTAGGGGAAGGGGAGAATAGAGACCCCAGGACGGGAATGGAGACCAAATGGGAGCAAGATGACCAGCAAGAGAAACGCATGGGTAGAGATGGACCAGAAAGGAAGATGTAGCTGGGGGAAGAGAAAGAGAGGAGACGGAGCAGGTCTGAGAACGGATGGGAAGGAGGGTGATCAGAAGAGGGCCAGACACCTGTCAGGTGCCAGGGAGCCTCGACACCTCCTTCCCACCCCCACCCCGCACGGCGCTGCCCGACGCCCCTCTTTCGGTACCCCCACCCCCACCTCACTCACCTTTGTTACAGGAGCAGGACGCGAGCAGAGAGGCCAGCAGAAGGGGCAGCAGCAGGAGGGTCATGGTGCGGCGTGGGGCAGGGCAGGGCCAGGCGTTTGCCTCCCCTGGGAGCCTCCAGCCTGCGGATTCCACCTTGCGGGAGGGATACAGGGGGTCTCCAAGGAGCGGGGTACAGCAGGGCAGGGACGGAAAGGAGCCTGCCGCCCACACTAGTCCATAAAGCGGGCCTGGGCAGATCCCAATCTGGGTAGCTGAGGCGGTGGACTTGCAGCGGCTTCCCGTTTCCCCCAGCCCAGCGTCCTCACTCTCTCACTCCCACCCCAACCCCGCTACTGCAGGATGACGTCAGCACAGCCGGGCAACGATTGATGGGGCCGCCGGCCAATCAGGTGACTGGGAGGGGGGGGGACCAGGTGCTGCAGCGGGGGAGGGAGCCAATGAGACTGGGGCGTCGGGGCTGGAGAGTTTCAAGGCTCCTTCCCCTGGCTGCAATTTTGGGGGAGCCGAGGAACTGCGGGGGCTGGGGAGGAAGCTGGAGAGCCACGGAGGGGGTGGGAAAGAAGAGGGACGTGGGGAGAAAGAAGCCAGAAGCCAGGGGGTGGGGAAGAGAGACGTCAGCGGGACCTGAGGGCGGCCAGGAGGGGTGGCACCGCGTCACCCCGCCCCCCAACTCTGCCATAACCTGTTTCCACAGCCCCTTCCATCCACAGATCCGTGCTGCGTGCCCTCTGGGAAGGGTGAAGTAAAACCCTCAGTCTGAGCCTGAGAAATCCTGGCATTTGTAGCCCAGGGCTGCGAGGAAGCCACAGGGCGGTCCGCAGGGCGGTATCGAGGCTCTGGGACCCAAGGAGGGGCAGGACGTCGTGCACCCCTCGCGCACGCACCTGTCGGGACCGGCCGCCTCCTCCTGCCTACCTGTCCTGCCTCCTTCGCCCCGAATTTCACCTTAAACCATGATGAACCAAGCCCAGTGGATTCTGAAGCCCGGGACGATGGCAGGTTCGAGAGAGAATTGGGCAGCTGGGGGCGGGGCACAATATTATTTAGGCGCCTCCACCCCACCTTCACAGAAATACATCTGGAAAGCATGGGCTGTCCTAGGGCTGGGGACTGGGGGTTACGGTCTCATCGATGACTCAGAGGGAGAGAAAACCCCCTGGGTCCCAAGCCAAAAAGAATAAAATTCTCCAGAATAGCCAACAAACTCCTCTCAGGCTGTCTGTTCCGGACTTTGAACTCAGCACCCCTCGGGCTCCACCTCCCTCCTAATGGCTCTTTAGGACCAAGAGTCTGGAATGCCACTTTGGGGTCCCAGTTGAGCACACTACCTGAGGGAGCTCTGAGAGCCAGGCCTACAGGGTGCTCTTCATGGTGGCAGCTGGCCATCCTCACCCCCTCCCCTCACATCTTCCAACATCACTCAGTCCCAGGATCTCAGGATATTGTTGGAACTCATCTCCACCTCACACAGCCAGACCAGCCTCAGGTGTCTCCCAGGAAAGACTGCCCCTCAGGCCCTGGGACGGTTCCCAAGCCTGCCAGAAATGAGGTGGAGGCCAACACTGACCTTTGGATGGCTGAGTTTTGGATGACTGACAGCCCCAGATCCTGCTCCAGGTTCCTTCCTCAGGAAGGATCCTGCTCCAGGTTCCTTCCTCAGGAAAAGCCAAGGTCAGGCGCAACTTTGCCAAATCCCTGCCCCTCCTTCAGGCTGGAGACACCACCCCCAAACTCACCATGCGGGGAGGGAAGAAGTCTGGTAGGGACTCTTATTGCAACAGGGCCCCAGCCTTATAAAAAGCCCTGGTAACCCGGCCATTACACATCCTGTCTCTGTGTGTGGAGCTGGCTGGAATCTCTCAGCCTCACCTGCCAGACAACACCCCCTCCTTCCTCACCCTGTCTCCTGCATTCTCCTGAAACCTTCATCCACACAATGCCTCCCAACCTCACTGGCTACTACCGCTTTGTCTCGCAGAAGAACATGGAGGACTACCTGCAAGCCCTAAGTAATGGCCTCGCCCTCCCAGACCCCTGTCACTCCCTTTCTCCCCTCTTCCTTCCTGCTTCTTGGTCCCATGGAGAAGAGGGAATGCCCGGGGTTGGACACTGTGGAAAGGCTCAGGCGGCTGGCACCAGACCTGGGATCCATTTCTAACCAGGCATTGGTAGGAGGGGGTGAATCCACAGTCCCAGACCCAAAGAAGGGAAACTCACAGCCCTGAGGGGCTGCTGCAGGCAGAGGAGCTCCTGGCTGGCTAGCAGCACCCCTACTAACAGGCAGCCCCCACAGACATCAGCTTGGCTGTGCGGAAGATCGCGCTGCTGCTGAAGCCGGACAAGGAGATCGAACACCAGGGCAACCACATGACGGTGAGGACGCTCAGCACCTTCCGAAACTACACTGTGCAGTTTGATGTGGGAGTGGAGTTTGAGGAGGACCTCAGGAGCGTGGACGGACGAAAATGCCAGGTACATTTCCCCTGGCTGGGCGGTGGCCGGAAGGAGGCATCACAGGAGACTCCTAACAACATGGGGCAAAACAAAGTGACCTTCCCCAGCCAGAGCAGCGGGGAGGAGGGGAATGGTCACCACAGCAGGGAATGCAGTCCCCAGGATACCAGTCTCCAGAACTAACAGGTCCTGGTGCTCCCTGTCTCTCTCCCACTTCTTCCCTGCCCCCTCTTATCACCAGCCCAAAGGGCAAAGAACAGGCCAACCCAGACCGAAGAGCAAACATTTGCCCACCCTCCAGCCTGTGACACTGTTGGTCACCCAGAGTCCCTTTTACTTTAGCATCAATAACTTCACTCTCCTGCATTTCTTTCTACTTCTTACATATTCCTTCTTAGCCTCCTTTGCAGATCCTAGTCCTCCTATTAATCCTTTAAACTGGAGTTTTCTCCGCAGAGTTTTGTTCTTAATGTCTTCTCCCTTTTGTCTGCCCACTATCCATAGGCTAAATCATCTACACCCATGCCTTCTGCTTCCATCTATAGGCTGCCCTTGGCATGAATTCTCCAGCCAGAGCCATCTCCTGAGCTCCAGGGCAATGTTTTCAACTGCCTACAAAATACAGTTGGCCCTCCATATTCATGGGTTCTGCATCCACAGCTTCAGCAAACTGCAAATGGAAAAATATTTGGGAAAAATAAAAATAAAAAATAACAATACAAAATGATACAAATAAAAAACAATACAGTATAGCAACTATTTACAGAGCATGTACATTGCATTAGGTATTATAAGTAATCTAGAGATGATTTAAAGCATATGGGAAAAGGCTGGGCGTGGTGGCTCACACCCATAATCCCAAGACTTTGGGAGGCTGAGGCAGGCAGATCACTTGAGGCCAGGAGTTCAAGACCAGCCTGGCCAACATGGTGAAACCTCATCTCTACTAAAAATACATAAATTAGGCCAGGTGCAGTGGCTCACACCTGTAATCCCAGTACTTTGGGAGGCCAAGGCGGGCGGATCACCTGAGGTCAAGAGTTCGAGACCAGCCTGACCAACATGGAGAAACCCCATCTCTACTAAAAATACAAAAAATTAGGCAGGCATGGTGGCGCATGCCTGTAATCCCAGCTACTCAGGAGGCTGAGGCAGAAGAATCACTTGAACCTGGGAGGCAGAGGTTGCAGTGAGCCAAGATCGCACCACTGCACTCCAGCCTGGGCAACAAGAGCGAAATTCTATCTCAAAAAAAAAAAAAAAAAAAAATACAAAAGTACAAAAATTAGCCGGGCATGGTGGCGCATGCCTGTAATCCCAGCTACTTGGGAGGCTGAGGCAGGAGAATTACTTGAACCCGGGAGCCAGAGGTTGCAGTGAGCCAAGATCATGCCATTGCATTCTAGTCTGGGTGACAGAGCAAGACTCTGTATCAAAATGATAATAATAAAGTACACAGGGGGATGTATGTAGTTTCTCTACAGATACTAAGCCATTTTATTCAGCAGATTTAGTGAGGTGGGGGTCCTGGAACCAATTTCCATTTGAATGCCAAGGTCAAATTCAAATTCACTGTCTTCCTATCCAAACCTACCCCACTTTTATATCTACTCTCTCCACTAATGGCAATAACCAGCCAGGCCAGAGACCTGGGAGTCATGGTCAATATCTCTTGTTTCCTTACCTCTAGGCTCCCAGCACACACACACACACACACACACACACACACACACACACACACACACACCACCACCACCACCACCACCACATCTAATCGGCCAAGAAATCTTTGTAGCTTTTCTGCATTACCCAGTATAGCAGCTGCTAACTTCAGATGGCCGTTGAATACTTGAAATATAACTAGTCCAAATCTAGATGCTGTAAGTGGACTTTCAGACAATGCCAAATAAAAAGAAGCATTTCGGAAATGTTTATATTGGCTGCATGCCGAAATAATAATATTTTGAATATTTTTGGTTAACTAAAATATATTATTTAAATTAATTTCCCCTATTTCTCTTTACTTTTCTAATATGGCTCCTGACCCATTTTATTTCTGTTGAGCATCACTCTTCTAAATGGCTCTCCTGTGTTCCCTCCTAACCTTTCTCTATCACCACCCTAATTCAGGCCTTCATTTCCTGGTGCCTGAAATTGCTTTTTTGTGTTTTTGTGTTTTTTTTTTTTTGGTAGAGGTGGGGTCTCACTGTGTTGCCCAGGCTGGTCTCAAACTCTTGACTTCAAGTGATTCTCCCGCCTCAGCCTCCCAAATGCTGAGATTACGGGCCTAAGCCACTGCACCCAGCTGGTTCTCACGCTTAACCCTCCTCTAATCTGCATGCTGTAGCCACAGGGTCTACTTAAAACATAAATGTGATCATGTCACTCTCTGACTTACACCCTTTCAGTGATGATCTATTACATTACATCATCTGTTACACTTAACTCAGCATACAAGGGTCTCTGTGAATCAACTCTTCAATTGCCTCCACCACATATACTCTAGGTTAGAGCCCTTCAGAACTAATTGCCTTTCTCTTTTACCGCTATTTCTAGCTGTTTCTTTCCTTGCTAGAAATTTCCCATTCTCTCCAATCTAATTAACTCCCAACTTCCTTAAAGATTTCACTCTGCCCGCCCCACTGCCATCCCTCACTCTTGCCTGGTGTCACAGTTACCTATTTACTGATCCTCTATCTCTTCAAGACTCTGAGCTCCTTGTTTGGGGCCTATCCTAAAGGAGAACTCAATAAAGGTTGATTGGAATGCTCAGGCCCAGAGGGGCTGACCCTTTATTTCTAAGGATACTTCAGCTGTTCTTGAAACCGAGAAAGAGGAGAAATGAGATTACCTGGTAGGATTCCCAACCAATCTCTCTTTTTTCTCAAAAGTCCCTCTAGGTCAGCCAGAAGTATCCAGAGGAAAAAGTCTCCATTCTTCATAAATGCCCTCCCCAATTTCACCTCTACTTATCCTGCTACCACCCCTGCTCTCCCCTAAAGGTCACTGTAGACAACTTTGGGCCCCCCTCGGTGACCTTTAGGAGTGGAAAGCTGGGTGTGATGGTTCATGCCTATAGTCACAGCACTTTAGGAAGCGGTGGCGGGCGGATCACTTGAGCTCAGGAGTTTAAGTCCAGCCTGGCCAACATGGAGAAACCCTGTCTCTACTAAAAATACAAAAATTAACCCGGTATGTTGGTGCACGCCTGTAATCCCAGCTACTCTGGTAGCTGAGGCATGAGATTCACTTGAACCCAGGAGGCAGAGGTTGCAGTGAGCCGAGATCCTGCCACTGCACTCCAGCCTGGGTGACAGAGCAAGAACTTGTCTCAAAAAAACACAAAAAACAAAGAGTAGGGTGGAAAGGGAGTCCTGCTGAATCAGAGCAGCTCCCTCGCTCAGTGGAGGGGCTGCAGCAGACAGTATCTGCTGTGGAGTAAAAGGGGGAGCCCATTCAGAGTGAGATGGGAAGCATTTTGAGTGTCCTGCCTCCTAATCTTTCTTTACTCCCTCTTTCCCCTATAGACCATAGTAACCTGGGAGGAGGAGCACCTGGTGTGTGTGCAGAAAGGGGAGGTCCCCAACCGGGGCTGGAGACACTGGCTGGAGGGAGAGATGCTGTATCTGGTAAATGGGGTGGGGGCTGGGTGTCTGGGAGAAGGGCCTCCAGCTATAAGGCATCCCCTTGTCCAAACCAGATAGGTCCACCACTCTTCCCCCAGCCCAGCCCCAATCCCTATCCAAGGAATTGACCAGGGAGGGAAAGCAAAAGCACTGGGAGGAGTGGGGAGAGGAAGAAACAGAGTGGCCAAGGTGGGCCCTGGCTACGAGTCGGATGAATGCCCATAAATCATCACTGGCGAGATGGAGGCTTCAGCCACTCACATCCCCTGACCCAGCCACCTTCCTTCCTGAGGGGTGGAAAGTTGAGGATGTGGAATAATGATACAATTGCCCATACATCAAACACTCAAGCTGCTGTATCCGGAAGGAGTAAATGGAGGTCAAGGACCTTGAGAAAGGGGCTCTGGCTGGCAAACGCCCTCTTTCTCTCTCCCCCTCACTTCCCCTCTCTCCCCAGGAACTGACTGCAAGGGATGCAGTGTGCGAGCAGGTCTTCAGGAAGGTCAGATAGCCGGAGAGGAGCCAAGATCCCTCCAGACAGCACCAGCTCACAGACGCTCTTGTTGTGCCCCCTTCAAGCCCAGATTGTGCCAGGTCAGCTGTCCCTTCCTCTGGCCACCTTTCCTCCCTCTGGGTCCCTCCTCACCCCTCCCCGTGTTAATCTGTAACTTGCAGCCCCCAGGCCAAAGTCCTTTCTCACACTCCACTGCCCAATAGTGACCTCACTTCCAGGTCAAGGTCTGGCGTCCCAAATGAAAGAAGCAGGCAAAGGGAAGGAGCCCCTGAGAACAACCAATCTCCGCTCTCTCCTGTCCATTTGACCTCTTCTTTTCCTTCTAAGAAAGAACTAAGCTTTGGGCATTTGGCGATTAGTGAAAATTCTATCCTGATGGACTTCTGGAAAACTGTGACTGGGGTTCAAGAGTTTAAACAGGGGCTACTGGCAGAGTCTTTTTGTCCATTTCTTTGTCCTTATCCTTGAGAAAGTCTCATGTGCTCAACAAAACCAGGCCCAAGACACAGCCCCCCACACACAGGGTTCAACGGACTCCACGGTTCTGACATCTGAAGGCATCTGGCCATTTGATACTTCCATCCTATGTGTTGGGAATGAGGGATGGAATGGGGTAAGACCTTTGTCCAGTGCTTGGGGAGGCGGGGAGCTTCTAAATGGTGACCTGTCCTCCGTGTCTGCTTTGGGAAGGGCAAGCAGCAAGAAAGCCAGAAAAAGCTGAAAAAGGAAGTAGACGGAGGATGTGAGGTCAAGGAATAAAAGACAGTAATACAGGGGTGTGAAGGCATAGGAGGGAGAAGCCCAGCAGTCCTGGCTATAGGGACCCTCTGCTCAAAGGCCAGCAAGGCTGGAGACCAGAGATAAAGAGGAGAGCTGAGGACAGCAAGGGTCCCAGAGTTGCTGCCTTGGAAAACAGCCCAGAAGGGTGGAGCTGGCTCAGGGTCAAGGCCAGCTCCAGCCTCTGGCCTCCTCTCCACCTCCAGGGGCCTTGGCTCTTTCAGAATAAAAGTCCTAGGGGGCCCAACTATCAGAGTGAAGAGGGCTCAATGTGAGGGTGGGAAAAGAGCCTGGGGGAAGGGTTGAGGGAGTTGGAAAGTCCCTGGCCCTCATCAGATGAAGACTCTTGACCCATCTTCCTGCAACGGCTGGCCCCCCCATGCACACAAGACAGTCACTAGGGCTCTGGCCAAGAACTAGGGGCTTGTGATACTGATCCTACCACATGCTCTGGAATGAATTTGGAATAGAAAAAAAAAAGGAACTCAGGGTTGAATGGAAAATCTTATTCCCTGCCCAATCTCTGCAGATGTCCACAGTAGAGTGGAAAGCCCCTTCTTTGCAAAGCCACCCAGCAGAAGCTCTGAGGGCTGCTGGAATCCACCTTGTCCCATTCCAAGGCACAGGAGGATGCTCCGTGTGTACTCGCCCATTGCCCACATCTCCAGATCAACACAGTGTCCTTGCTCTTGAGTTCACAGTGCATGTCCAAGCCTCTTCCCACAGGACGGTCCTCCATGCCCTTCAGTGACCATGCTGGTCAGTGGAGTCTCGGCAGAGGCCTTGACTCAGGAACTTGTAGGCCCCCATGGTGGGTTTTTCTAAATATTTCTATATATTTTTATTTTTCCCCCAAAGGTTGACACTTCTTACCATGGTGGTTTTAAGACCCAAGCTAAAGTGGGCTCAATCCCTCAAAACTCCCCGTGATGTGGGCGTCCAGAACATGGCCACTGCAGGACCCCATCCTCCACTCGACCACACTTCTCCAGGGGCCAGACCACACCCAAAGGCCTGGAGATCCCCTAAGGGAGCACAAGCATCAGGGGAGGACTATGCAGCTTCAGAGGCATTTCCAAGAGGGTGGGAGCTCGACCTGCAGAGGGGAGGGGACCGCTGTGGGAAGCTGGAGCTGCTGTTTCCCCTGCGGACACTAGAAGCCAGGGATTCTCCAAATTCAATCCTCCCTCCTCCACCACCTTCTCTGATATTCCATTCCCACCACACACACACACACATACACACACACACATATAAACACACACCCAATCCATGTCCTGGTCCTCACAAGACCATTACCCCTCATTCAAATCAGGTTCCATCTGTCCTCAGAGGGAAGAGATAATCACCAGAGGGACCAAGATGTGAGTGGAGAAAGGGCAGGGGAGGGGACGAGGGCCACAGACAGGTGGGTCCCACACCAGACCCTCCCAGGGACACACAAAGTTGTGGAGTTGACTTGGTTGGCCAGAGTCTTAAACTCCAGGGATGTGATCAGGAATCCAAAATGTTTATTTCCATATGGATGGAATAACTGTGCTCTCTAAGTCAGCCCAATGCAGGCCCCTGCCCCACTCCCACTCCACCAGGCCCAGATTCCAGCTGGAACTCCAGATGGTCCCTGAGAGTCTGCAAAGACCAAAGGTCAATTCAGAGCCCTGTCCCCAAAATAAACTGAGCAAAAGTGGATGGGGAGGATGGGTACAGGTGTGTGTCCTGTGAAGCAGAGGACCATGTGCTGCCCAAGGACTTGGGCTCCATCCCACTGGGGGGTCCCAAGAGGAGGCAGAGCAACAAGGTCTAGCCGTGTACCCCTCCCCACTGCCCACCTCTCCCCTCGGCCTCCACCTCCCACATGACCCTGACGCCTACGTGCCCAGGCCTATATGTTGAAAAGGAGCTCAGGTAGAAGCAGGAAGTGCCTCAGCTCTAAAGCACAAAGGCCATCCCGGGTCCAATCCTGTAACATGGTTGGACCACTTATTGGCAGCAGAGAACTCCTAGAGGCCACCACAGATCTCAAGATCCCAAGAGACAGCAGAGGCATGGCCATTTTGGTACCTTTCCCCCACCCTAATGTCACTCCCTAAGATGCAGGAACCCCATCTGGTCTAGCCTTAAGTACCCCAAGTAAGAGGCCTGGTATCCCCAGCATGCGGACGATGGAGATGAGGGTGGGAGCTGCCCCTTCCCTCCCCACCCCTCCAGCGGCTCCCTGCTCTTCCACAGGATGCACTTCCTCCCCTAGAGCCTGCTGCTCCCACCTGGCCTGGGACCACTTTTTCTTTTTTCTTTTTCTTTTTTTTTTTTTTTGAGACAGAATCTTGCTCTGCCGCCCAGGCTGGAGTGCAGTGGTGCAATCTCGGCTCACTGCAGCCTCCGCCTCCCAGGTTCAAGTGATTCTTGTGCCTCAGCCTCCTGAGTAGCCGGCACTACAGGCACGTGCCACCAGGCCCACGTAATTTTTTTGTATTTTTAGTAAAGACTGGGTTTCACCATGTTGGCCAGGCTGATCTCGAACTCCTGACCTCAAGCAATCTGCCCGCCTCAGCCTCCCAAAGTGCTGGGATTACAGGTGTTAGCCACCGCATCAGCCGTGAGGCCACTTTCATAACCCCCAACCAGCTCTCTGGGAAGTCTCCCCGGCTCCCTCTCCCTGGTGTAACGCCCTCAGTCATAAGAGTACCCATGCTTTCAGGGTCCCTGGGGACTCACCCTGCACATCCTGGGGCTGTGTCCATGATTATGGGCAGATGAGAATCGGGGAGACCTTGTAGGTACAGCAGGAGGTGAAGGGCAAGAGGTGAGGAGATCTGGTGGGCAAATCCAGGCGCCCTGTGAAGGACTGTGATATAACTGACCTGAGTTTGCATGGAGGACAGAAAGAAAGAAACAACAGTGGTAGCCAAGGCCTCTGAGGCCAGGGTGCAAGGAGTACCCAGAGAACCCTGCCTGCCCAGGGGCCAGAATCGGCACTCTCCAGGCCTGCCCCCTCTCCCCAGACCTCAGCCAACAGGACGGCATTGCTCTGTGGGAACCTGTGCTCCATGCTGAATATGCACCCCTACTAGAGGCCACTTAGGTACCGGGGGTATAAAACGTAGCTGACCTTCCACACTCACCTTTCCAGCAAAAACAAGAAGGATCTCCATCTTTCTCAAGGGCTTCTTGACCCACCATCTAGCTGGGGGTGAGCCTCCTGCCTCCCCCTACCCCACCCTTTCCCAAGCTCCCTTCCCTCTGCCCTCACTTTACTCTGGCCACCAGGGAGAGGAGGCAGCTCTCAGAGCCTCTGTTCTGTTCCCCGTGGGCAGTGCCCAAGCAGAAGGTCACCAGCATAGCCAGGCCATTGGGTTCATGGACAAATCACTTGCCTCAGAGGCTCTAGAGGAACCTAAAATGCCACCCAAAATTGGGAGGCAGTGCTGCATAGTGGCCAGGCATGAAATGCCACCTATTACTAGCTGCAGGAGTATATACAAATCGCCAGCCTTCAGCAGATGAGCCACATTGGCCAGCCCACAAGGCAACACCAAGAGTATTTCCTTCCTGCTGGGAATTTTGTGAAGATTGCATGCACACTCAGCAGAGGACCTGGAGTGGAGTGCGCCCTGACAGATGCTGGCTATCATTACTTGCACTATTCCCTGCCTCTTCACCTGATGATTGAAATTCTCTTAACTAGAAGCAAAGCCTTGTGTTCTTCAGTTAAGGACAAGGCATCAAGTGCCACTACCCTTGAGGTTACACAGTGACATATTTACACCGAAGTGTAAGTGACACATACCAGAGAATGGGGGCTAGTGTAGCCATCATCTTGCTGTCCAGGCAGGTAAACCATCTGGGGGTGACAAGGATGAAGGGGAGTTGCCTCCCTAAGGGATCCATATCCAGAGTCTCTCATTGCACCCCACCCCCCATCCCCAGAGAAGGGTGCCTGGGCTCCCCGGGACAGCATTGCCCTCCAGAGCCCCTGCTGCAATAGCCACTCTAGCCTTCCCACCCATGGAGAGAAGGCTTCAATGCAGGAGAAAAGGGATGACGCAGGGACAGCTGCCCAGCCCAGTGCCACTGCAGTGATGGCTGCACAGTCATCAGCTCCATCCACCCCTACCCCCCAGCCCTTGGGACCCCCCCCCATCCCCCACAGTACGTACTGCTATCTCATTCAAGGTGCCGGGCACCAGCAGCAGAGGCCACATCCCAGACCTGGACTCCCCAGCCACCAGCTGCAGGTACTGCCACTCTCCCTTAACCCTCCCAGCTACTCCCCTCCTCCCTATGACAGCTGAATACAGGAACCAGCGCCCTCACCCTGCCCTGGAGCTTCCTCATGCTTCCCTCTTCTTGAGAGGCCTCCACCCTCCTGGCCCTGGTCTCCTGCAGGATATCTCACCATCTTTCTTCTTCCTCCTCCTCCTCCTCCTCTTCTTCTTCTTCTTCTAAAATGATTTTTAAAAACACTTCATGAATTTGCATATCATCCTTGCACAGGGGCCATGCTAATCTCTTCTGTATCCTTCCAATTTGAGTATATGTGCTGCTGAAGCGAGCATATCCCATCGCCTTTCTACACCAGCAGAGCTCCAGCTTCCCCTCCATTCATGCCTCAGTATGTGCCCACACCCCTGCCCTACAGATGAGTCATAGATGGAGGGTCTACCTCAATGTGAATGGAACAGTTTTTCTTCCACGCAAGTGTGCATATCCCACACGATTCTGTCTTGCATGCACTTCTTCAATGTACGGTGCGTGTGCCTATTGTCGTGTGGCCTCTCCATCCTCTGTTCTATAGAACTGCTGAGAGCCAGCATCTTCCTTTCCCTCTCTGTACACAGAACAACAGCGGTGGCATCTTCCTTGACCCAGGCAGGTGGCACAATGCAGAGCTAAAGGCACCGCTCGAGGAGTCGTGTAACCTCAGGCGAATTCTTTCACTTCTGTGTGCCTGTGCTCCCTCCCAGGCCTGGTCCCGATCCACCTTCTGTCTTGTCTTTCCCACCTGCTCCTCCTCTTGGATTCCTCTCCCTTCCCGGCTGTTTTCGGAAGAGGCTCGCTCATATCCTTGACCCAGCTGTAAGGAAACTATTGTCACCCTTAATGAAACTAAAGCTTATCCTGCTGGGTCCTCATTGGAGCAAGAACCCACAGGTGAAGGGGCAGCCAGGTGGCAAAGCCCCCACCCCAGCCTGTCTCCCCACCACTCCTTCTTTTCTGAGAAGCACAGGTGGGACAAGGTGGGCCTCTTGAATGAGGGTTTATTAAAGTCTTGGAGGAAACAAAAGGGAAACAGAACAGAGAGTTATACTCACCTTGATTATCTGAGGCACAAATGCAGCCTCAGCCATGAACATATTGAAGGAAGGGATAGTCCAGTATGTAACAGACGCACCCTGCTATTGGCAAGCAAAGCACAGATGGAGTGAATTTAAAGAGTCCTTTACTAAAGGACTTTGTTTCAGGACGAAAGTCCACACAGAGCCCACAGGGTGTGGGAGATCTGAGATCTGGAACTGGGATCTCTGGGCTCTGAACTTGTTCTGTTGGGCAATCTGCTGATGGAGACCTTGTCTTCGAGTGTCAGGATGCACACTGTGGTCAGCTCCCCCTAGGTTGCAAAGGGCATTCTATCTGGGACTTGTCTTCCCTGCCCATCTGCTCTCCTTTTCAACAGCTTCTTGGTTCTTTTGAAACCTATGCTGTCTTCCCAAAGCCCTACCTCCTATTGTGTTGGCCTCCTGTAAGCCATGCTTTCATCTGTCCAGTCCTGCTCTTGGTGGGATGAA
Source organism: Homo sapiens (assembly GCF_000001405.40). Classification (NCBI taxonomy): domain Eukaryota; kingdom Metazoa; phylum Chordata; class Mammalia; order Primates; family Hominidae; genus Homo; species Homo sapiens. The sequence continues at coordinate 7,117,554 of NC_000012.12, read as the reverse complement.
CGAGAGGCCTCTACAGATCTCAAGGTGGAGGAGGAGAGGGTCAGAGCCCCCAAAGGTACTCTGGATTTGGGTAAATGCACCTGAAATACAACCATACCCAGCAAAAATAACATCCTGCTAGCTGATCGTCTGCACTTATTGTACTAAAATAATACATCTACTTCTATGAGAACCAGCGTCCGAGACAGCCACCAACAATACCTGCTTCCCAGTATTCCTGTCCTTGTGATGTCTCCTTCCACATCGGGTTGTCTGTGTGACCAATGGAATAAGGCAGAAATGATGCTACGTCACTTCCAAGGCTGGCTTATAAAAGACACTGTCACCTCTGCCTTGTTCTTTCCACCTTGGGTCACTCTGGGGAAAGCCAGCTGCTATGCCGCGAGGACACTCAAGCGTCCTATGAGGAGGGCCATGTGGCAGGGAACTGAGGCCGCCTGCCCACATCCATGTGAGTGACCGTCTGGAAGCAGACCTCCAGCCCCAGTCCCGCCTCTGGAGGACTGCAGCCTGCACCTGGACCAAAGCCTTGTGAGAGACCCTGATCCTAAACTACCCATCTCAGCCGCTTCTGGATTCCTGACCCACAGAAACTGTGTGAAATAGTACATACTTGCTGTTTTAAACAAAATGTGGGGGTGACTTTTTACAAGCAGACAGATAACTGCAACATAGTCTCAACCTTGAATTTCATTGCAAATGACCCCATCCTGACCATAACCTCAATATTCGCTAAGTGGGCAGAAGAATGGGGTTGGGGGGTGGGGGCAGTAGATGACTTCGGGCAGTAAAAATGTGTCCAGTCACAAAAAGGCATGACTCCATCCTCAGTGCTCACAGCCCTCCCATCCTAGCTCTAAGCTAGACCCTTCCACGAGTCTAGAGAGTGAAGTTCAGAGGCAGGCAGCTGCCCCCTTTCCCTTCCTCTTTGAGGCCCACCCACCTGAGTCCTGTCTGAGGACTGCCTCTCCCCTAGGTAATTGTTAAAAGGAATGTCCAGCATCTTCAGATGGTACCCTGCTCGTTTCAAAGTTGTGTGACCTTACTCTGTGGCTTCAAAAGGACAAAGACATCAGAATACAACTCAATGCACCTCACGCCATTAGACAGCATGAGTGACAAGCCGCAGGGAGGATATATCAGACAGCACCAGATCTTAGCTGGTAGGAAGCTGATTGACAAGTTCTGTGGAGGACAGAGCAGCAGAGCCCTGAAGTCCACAGCAATAAGGGGAAGATGGTGTTCTAGACACACCAGCAGGGAAGAGCCAAACCTGGATGGTCAGTTTGACCTCCCAGGGTAAGGAGCCTCTGGGTCTTCTCTACCTCTCCCAGGACCACCACAGTGAAACTAGAGCCAGAGGGTTCTTTGCTGAAAAGAGGGTGAGTGAGGTGGAGAGATGCAGATGAGAGGAGGCTTTATGCAGAAGCCATCAGGTTGTGCCATATCTAAAGCCTGGAAAAAGGAGGATACCAGCTGATAGGATTTGGCTCTATGTCCCCAACCAAATCTCATGTGGAATTGTAATCCCCACGTGTTGGAGGAGGGGCCTGGTGAGAGGTGATTGGATCATGGGGGCAGTTTCTAATGGTTTAGTGCCATCCCCCTAGTGCTGTCTCCCGATGGAATTCTCATGAGATCTGGTTGTTTAAAAGTGTGTAGACTTCTCCCTTCTTCTCTTTCTCCTGCTGCCATGTGAAGAAGGTCCTTGCTTCCCCTTCGCCTTCTGCCATGATTATAAGCTTCCTGAGGCCTCCCAGTCATGCTTCCTGTTAAGCCCGCAGAACTGTGAGTCAATTAAACTTCTTCTCTTCATGAATTCCCCAGTCTCAGGTAGTTCTGTACAGCAGTGTGAGAATGGACGAATACAGCAGCGAAGGTGGTACAAGGGCTTTCTGTTCCACTGTGCTCTTCCTGAGTCAGAACCTTTGGGCAGTCCCCAGCCTGCCACCTAGGGACTTCTGCTGCCACCCAGGAGAAGCAGAATGCCCACCAGGCCCAGATCTGCTACCACTTCCAGAAGCCCTGTTACTAAATGATAGGCCCCAGGTGAGGACCAGCCAGGCCCTCTCCAGGGCAGGATCCTTCTCCTTCTACTCACAGAGCTGCTCTCTACAACCAGGTACCAACAGTGAGGAGGCGGTCACGTGGCAATGATCAGGCTTCTCACTAGAGAATAGTAAATGGGGCAGGGCCGTGTTCAGACCCTCAAACTCTACCCAACCCCATCTCCCAGATGCACCTGTCTACCACCTGCTTCTCTTCCTCCCTGCACACCTTGAAAACTCCAAAACCTGGTGCATACTCCCCACTCTGCCCCATCCCAAGAACTCACCCACAGACGCAGGTGGACACCTAGATGTGCTGAGTCCTAGGGCTGCCACAGCCTGCAGGACAAAATTCCTCCCTCAAGGAACCCACAGCCCTGTGGGAAAGACAGACACACGGGCAGGAGGTTATCATGCATCAAGAGTCCATGAGCACAGGGAAAGTCATTTTCTCTGAGTCAAAGAGGGCTTCCCAGAGGAGAGGACACGGGGAGAGAGGTGAGTAAAAATGGCCGGCATCCAGGGCATGAGTACTACATGCCGAACGCTGACTCTTCTCAGGAACCCAAGCACAGGTTATTGTCCCCATTCTACAGATAAGAAAACTAAGGAACAGAGAATTTTAAGTAATTTGCCAAAGGTTATACATGAAATAAAAGACAGAGATGGGATTTGAACCCAAACAGATTGGAGCCTGACCACCCAACCCTCAGTTTCTCCACCTCGCCCCTATTGACGTTCAGGACCAGGTAACATTTTGTTGTGGGACCTGCTGCCTTGTGCACTAGGATGCTTACCAGCATCACTGGCCTGTATCCACTAAATGCCAGTAATGGAAAAAAGAAATCTCTAGATATCATCAAATATCCCCTGGGGAGCAAAACTGCTCCTTGTTGAGTACCACTGATCTAACCATTTTGCTATTCTATTCTGCTTCCTAAGCAAGTAATGATATTTATTGTTTGCCAAATGACAGACACTGCCCTAAGCAATTCTGGTTATTAACTCATTTAACCCTCACACCAACCCTCTGGTGTGGGTACCGTTGTCCTCATCCTTGTTCTTCAGATGAGGATGTTAAGAGGCACAGAGAAATTATGTAAGCTGGCCTTGGTCACCAAACTTTTAAATGGTAGAGCCTGGGTTTAAACCTGGTGAGTGTGGCACACAAGCCCACTCCTTTAAGCAGCATGTTATGCTGATGACTGAAGAACACGGCATTGGTCGGGGAGTCACACATGCAAACGCAAGGCATGTTTGTGAAGCCATAGCATCATGACCGCGCCTGGAACACACATGCGAGGCGGCAGCGGTGGAGAGCGAAGCCAGAAAGTCATGCAGAGCCTGATTATGAAGGAAGAACCTGACGAGACAAACAAGTGGCTGGGGCTTCATCTCATGGATCAGGAGGCACAGTCATTGAAAAGTTTTAACCTGGGAAGGGGCACGATTGATTGAGATTTTAGATACTGGCAGAGTAGGGAGGATGGGCTTAAGGGCTAAACCTAGTGGCTGACACTCCATTGGGGTTGAGCTAGCGACTGCCTAGGTGTCCATAAGGCATGGAAGTCAAGGCCCTGACATGAAAGCCTGAGATAACTTGGGGGTGGAGGAGTGTGACCCATTAGGGTCACCCCTCTGCCCTGGGCTGTCCACATCTCCACTGGCCATGCCAGACAGAAGCAAAGGGTCCCAGTCTGGCTGACTCAGCCGCCTCATCACCCCTGCTGCTCTTCACCTCGCTCCTGTATCTCCCTCCTCACCTGGCACTGGGCACAAAAGCCCCCACGTGTCCCAGCCCAGGGCAAGGTATCTAGAGATAAGACAGGGAAGCTGTGGACAGAAATGGCTCGTGCTGCCCCAGACTCCTCTGCCTGGGCTCTCCTGTGGCTGTTTGGATTCCAGGAGAGGGCAAGCTCCTCTCTAAATGCTGGGGGCTCATGAAGGCTGCAGAGAAACTCCCTGGCCAGGAAGCCCCAAGGCACTTTCTGTTGTCCTGCCCTTCCCCTTTCAGGACAGAAGGGGGCAGCACCAACACGATTTTCAAAAATAAAACCAAAAATAAAGTCACTGGAGCACCCCAACCTTGTTTGCCCAGCTAAGATTGGAAAGACCCATGCCTGGCCTAAGTTTATATGCAAGGACAAAAACTTCTTCATTAATCATGTGGATTAAAGATGCCGATTAAAGGATCCATCCCCTCATTCTCTAATCCTGTCTGGCTCAGAAAGGACCATCTGGTCACAATTATAATTTCAGATACATTTATTTTGTAACTATCAAAGTTATTAAATAATATTAAAGAAGTTTTACTAAACAGAGAAACATGGTTTAAATCATCCACAACCCCATACTCTAATAGGAAGCAGTTATTTTAGATTTTTCTCACGGGTGCTTTCTATATTTGTAAACATAGTATCCTTACAATTTGGTAGCTTGCTACCTTTACTTAGCATGCCAGGAATCCCAGCTCCCTTACCTGCACTTGGGGGCCTTAACATAGAGCAGAGGTGGCCTATGCTCTTTAGGGACACTTGGGTAAGGGAAAGGGAACTGAAGTAAATGATTGAAGTGTTAGCAATAAGGTGACCAACTGTCCTGGCGTGTCGGGGAACTTAACTGGTTTTAGTGTTGAAAACCTCATGTCCTAGGAAAACCTCATTTCTAGACAGACCAGGATGATTTCTAATAGGTTACCCTATTAGAAAAAAGTCCCCCCAAATTCAGACATCCATTTTCATTTCTACATCGGCCTTTCAGCTATACTTCTTTGCTTTTTTCTACTAGTAGTCACCCTAGGGCAACTGTTCTCAAACTTTATACCCTTAAAAAATTATTGAGAACTCCAGAGAGCTTTGGCTTATGTAGGGTATATCTATTAATAGTCACTGTACTAGAAATCAAAATTGAGAACATTTTAAATCACAAAGATACACAAGCACGCATCCCGCTCACTGCCACGGATGAATCATTGCACATCACGTAGCCTCTGTAAATCCACCATATACCATGACAGAATGAGAGGGAAAAAAGCAAAGAACATCTGAGTATTTTTATGAAAGTCATTTTGTTACCTCACAGACCCCGTGAAAGGATCTTAGGGCCTGTGGGTCTTCCCACACCACAGGGTGGAGACCCGCTGCTCTGGGAATTAGTCTGCATCCTAAACTCCAGTTTTCTCAGTTCCTATTGTACCACTTCATGTGAAATGAAGGAAACTTGTAACCATGAGTCCACCCCCTTGTCCTCTATACCAGCAGTCCCCACCCTTTTTGGCACAAGGGACTGGCTTCATGGAAAACGGTTTTTCCACAAACCAGGGATGGGGCCAGAGGGAGATGGTTTCAGGATAGTTCAAACACATTACATTCATTGCATGTTTTCTTTCTATTATTATTGTTATTGTAATATATAATGAAATATTAATAATTATACAACTCACCGTAATGTAGAATCAGTGGGAGCCCTGAGCTTGTTTTCTTGCAACTAGACGGTCCCATCTAGGGGTGATAGGAGACAGTGACAGGTCACCAGGCATTAGATTCTCATAAGGAGCACACAGCCTAGATCCCTCCATGCATAGTTCACAATAGGGTTCGTGCCCCTATGAGAATCTAATGCTGCTGCTGCTGCTGCTGCTGACAGAAGACGAAGTTCAGATGGTAATGTGAGTGATGGGAAGCAGCTACAAATACAGATGAAGCTTTGCTTGCTCACCACCACTCACCTCCAATACTGGTCCACGGCTCAGGGGTTGGGGACCCCTGCTTTATACTACAGTCTTCATATATGTTACAGCTACATATGTTATAAACCTCACAATACAATGTTATAATTTTTGCCTGGAACAGTTCTACATATTTTAAAGACATTAAAAAGAAAATCGTATTTTATATTTACCTTCAAATTTACCGTTCTTCTTATTCCTGTCTGCAGCTCTGCTCTTCCAATTTGAGACAGCGTCTCACTCTGTCACCCAAGCTGGAGTGCAGTGGCACCGTCATGGCTCACTGCAGCCTCCATCTTCCGAGCTCAAGCAATCCTCCCACCTTGGCCTCCCAAAATGCTGGGATTATAGGCGTGAGCTATCGTGCCCGTCCTAAAGAACTTTCTTTAGCGCTTCTCATAGTGGAGGTCTGCTGGCGACAAGAATCTCTGTTTTCTTTTATCTGAAAATAGCTTTATTTCATCTTCATTCTGGAAGAATACTTTCACTAGAAAAACAATTCTGAGTTGACTTTTTTTTTCCTTCAGCATTTTAGAGATATTCCACTGTCTTCTGGTCTATATTGGTTTTGATGAGAAAAGAGTGACATTGAAAATATTGTTCTGTCTAGTCTTTAGGATGGGATTAAAAAAAAGAAAAGATTTTCTCTTGTCTTTGGCTTTTAGCAGTTTGACCATGATGTGCCAAGGCATGCCCTTTTTTTCATTGACCACTCTGCCAGTTAGAGACGAGGTCCCAGTGTAGGGGAGGTGGTGCTGAAAACACAGCGGGGCACAGCTCAGCCCTAGCCCACAGGGGCCTGCAGTGACCAGCTATGCACAGAGCCATCAGCTCCTTCTCCAGTCTCACATCACCAGCCATTCCTCCCCTTGCCCTTGACCCTAACTCATGCTGCAGCCGCACACGCCACCTAGGTGAGACCAAGGTGGGCCCTCATCTTCAGAGTGCTGGATTACCCCAAACAGGGACCACATCCAGACCCTGGACTGCCCAGTCACCTGGGGCTGCCGGTGCATCACTGCCTCCCCACCCTCTTGGCTCCCTGTCCTCTTTCTCACCCAGCCTCACTCCAGCACTTTAACCCCTATCCATTTAGGGTGACCACCAGTCCTGGCTTGCCCAGAACTTCCCTCATTTTAAAACGGAAAGCCTCATGTCCTGGGAAACCCGTCGGTCCCACGCAAATCAGAACAGTCGGTCACCCTACCTGTCCTGGAGTTTCCTTCCAAGGCCTTACTCCTCCCTCCTCCAGCTCATCTCCAGGAAAGTCTTCTCAGATGGGCTAGCCTGAGTTTTCCAGTTCCTGCCCCTCTTAGCAAACAAGGAAATAATGCTCTGAAGGGAAACGAGGGGTGGACTCCCCAATCCTGATCTGAGTCTTGGCTGGTTTCTTCTTAACACATGGGTCTTGGGATTGGTACCATTGTTCACTCTTTGGCTGCATCTCTGGCTCCCAAGGTGCTCCAGGTGACCCTAAGAGTTCTATGAGAGAGCAGGTTTCAGTGGTCTCAGGGGAGGAAAGAAGTCCTAGTCAGAGAGGCCCACTCCTCGAAGATGGGTATGGGAGATCATCCCCAGTTGTGTTTGGGGTTGGGGTGTGGCAGACAGGTAGGCTTGATCTCAAGACTGTACCTGAGACATTGCATCTGTCCTGGCCATCACTCTCTTATCATCTCCTTGTAGCCATAGACTGTGGCTCTCCTAAATCTCTCTAGCCTAGAAAAACCAAAGATGCAGAGCACACCCTGTTTGGGTCTGTAACTTGCCTCCATATTACTATATGCAAAATGGGGGAAGCAATAGATTCTTCTCTGAGAGGTGTGTGTGCGCGCGCACATGCATTTGTGTGTGCATACAACGTAAGGCCTTCCACACACCTGCCTTCTCTGAGGATGGGACCACCCATCTCCATAAGAGCCTTCTGGCCTCCTACCAAGCTGTGGGTGAGTGTCCTTCCTCGGGGAGCGGTGAGAGCAGGCAGGGGCTCTAGTATCTGCCTAAAGAAGCTTGAGTGACGGCTTGAGTGATGACTGGGACTAGGGACTGAGGGACACCTGGGCTCGACCCCAGCCCTGACCATGCTGGACAAGCAGCCTCCAGAGGTTGTGAATAGGATTCAAAAGACCACCTAAGCGCATGTCCCCCACCCCTGCTTGGGGAGGAGGGAAAGGAAGAGAAAGCTCAAGTTCAAGGATCACAAACTTCAATTCTACAAGAGGGAGGCTCCCCGGGTATGTCGTGAACGGAAAGGTCGGGGAGGAAGAGACATGGCTGATTGAAGGCAGCAGCCATAACTCACAAGGAGCCATCCTACACACATGGCAAAAATTAATGTTAAATAGTACAAAAGGGTCGAGTCAGTGCCCTGCCACCCTGACCTCTGAGGGCCAGCGAGGTTTTTGGACGTTTCTCCCCTAAGCTGCGGCGGGCCCGCTGTTCCTGAGTCAGACGGCAGGTGGCGCTCAGCCCGGAGAATTGGAGAAGGGGAACTGTGGAGTTGCTTAACATTTCCAGGAACTTCCTCCTCCCCCACCGGCCTTCACCTTTTGTTCCCTATCCTGGGCCAGTTCTCTCGCAGGTCCCAGATGTCCAGTTCCAGATGCCTGGACCCAGAGTGTGGGGGAAATATCTCTGGAGAAGCCCTCACTCCAAAGGCTGTCCAGGCGCAATGTGAGTGTGGCCCCGGCAGAGGAGGAGGGAAGAGGACGGGAGGGGAAGAGAAAGGGTGGGTGGCCGCAAACCCTCCCTCCCCCCACCCTACCCCCCCCACACACACATCCCCCCCCCCCCCACACACACACACACACACACACCTCCCCCACATACACACACCAGCAGCAGCAGCAGCAGCAGCACAGCAGATATTCCATGGGGAGACTGAAATTTGCCTGTGGCCTCTAGCACCTTCCCAGAGGGTGGTCGGGGGATATTTACGGCAGACCCTCACTCGCCCCACCATTGCTCCCTCGGATCCCAGGGTGGGGTGGGATCTGCTGAAGCAGAAAGCACCCCCCTCCTTTGGACGAGACTCTCCTGGGAGATGAGCAAAGGTGATGTCTTCGGAGGATGGAAAACCCACAATCCTAGAGCTCAGGCTGCGCGGGAGGCTGTAGGGATTGGGGTGAGGAAGGGGAGCAAGGGAGGAGACGGGAAGTGCCCGGGCCTCAAGGGTGAGGCCACAGCTTCTAGCCCTGCCTCGCGAGGCCTCTGAGTCCTAGCGCGGCTCCCCCGCTCCTCCCACACCCACAGGCTTCCGGCCATAGCTGCGCGGCCCCACCTTGCCCTCCCCCCAACTCACAGGTGGTGGCTGCTTCTCTGGGGAGTCCTCCAGGCTTGCCCAACCCGGGGCTCCGTCCTCTTGGCCCAAGAGCTACCCCAGCAGCTGACATCCCCCGGGTACCCAGAGCCGTATGGCAAAGGCCAAGAGAGCAGCACGGACATCAAGGCTCCAGAGGGCTTTGCTGTGAGGCTCGTCTTCCAGGACTTCGACCTGGAGCCGTCCCAGGACTGTGCAGGGGACTCTGTCACAGTGAGCTGGGGATGGGGGGGGTCCCGCCAGGACTGTGGCCAGGGAGATTCCCGGGGTTGTGGGAAGTGGCGGTGCCCTGAATCCCCCATCTGGAGGAGGGATGAATTTTCCATGTAGGGGCAGTCGGGCTTGGCTTACCGGGGAGCAGTGGTGGACCCCAGGACACAGCCTCCCACCAGCGCCTCCGGGGCTGCCATCTGGGCCCCACAGAGCAAAGAGGGCAGCAAGCAGGCCCTGCGTTTGGAAGGCTTATGAATGGACACACAAATCTTGCAAATCTATGGAGCCAGGGGCAGGGACGCACATATTGGTTGTTAAAAATATGTCATCATGTATTTGTTGAGTGCCTGCTCTATCAGGTGAGGAAGCTGGACACAAATAATAACAAAAGATTAAGTCACCGTTCACACTTACCTTGGAAGAGCTATTACAAAACTTCTAACGCCAAAGCCTTATTCAGAATAAGGACATTTTAAAAACAGTACTTGATGGAGTGATGCAAGCTTGCAGTCCCAGCAGTATAGTCAGGAGACTGAGGCTGGAGGATCAGAGGGCTGGAGCCCAGGGTTCAAGGCCAGCCTAAGCAACATAGCAAGACCCCATCTCAAAAATAAGTAAATAATAAATAAAAATAAAAAGAGCACATTATCTTTTGATTTAAATTTTATTTATATCAAAATGACATAAATTTTTGAACTTTATTTTTTAATTTTAAAATTTTTAATTATTATGGATACATAATAGTTGTAAGACTTTTTGTTTTTTAATTAAAGTTTTCTAAGGCTGGGCGCAGTAGCTCATGTCTGTAGTCCCAGCACTTTGGGAGGCTGAGGCGAAAGAAGCACTTGAGCCCAGGAATTTGAGACCAGCCTGGGCAACATAGCAAGACCCCATCTCTACAAAAAAATTTAAAAATTAGCCAAGTGTGGTGGCACGCACCTGTGGTCCCAGCTACAAGGGACGCTGAAGTGAGAGGATCACTTGAGCCTGGAAGGTAGAGGCTGCAGTGAGCTCTGATCATGACACCGTACTCCAGCCTGGGTGACAGAGTGAGACCCTGTCTCCAAAAAAAAAAAAAGGTTTTTAAAAAGGTTTATGAATAACAGCAGTCTCCAAGCTGTTCCTCCCCGCCCCTGAGTGCTGCTCCTCAGGAGCAGTCATTTGCCAATTCATGTAGCTGTTTCATCTGGTCTTTAACTTCATATGTATAAATAACATGCTTATTTGTCTTTCATTTTTACGTATTTTCTATTAATGCTCAACTACAGTATAGAAGATAAGGACTAGCTTTATCTGTCTTCAGTCTTCACCACCCACATTTCCCCTCCTCATTCTGCCAGTTTACCTATATTATCATTTTTAGTTAAATCTTTATTCATTATTTACATTATTATGACTGTAAAATATTCACATCTGAGCACATAGCATAAAATAATTATATTTCTTTTCTTCTCCAACTTTTGGGTTTCCTAGGAGTCAATAGTTACATGGAGTTTTTTTGTTTTGTTTTGTTTTGTTTTTTGGTGGGGGGTGTTTGTTTTTGTTTTGCTTTTTAGTTTGCTTAGTTGTCTCTGTAACTAATCTCACCAGACTCTTAACCAGGAGTGTAAATCTTCTTCTGAAATACTCAAGCATGAATTTCAGTCTATCGGTCCTCCTTTTAATTGGTGACATCCCTCCTGAAGATCTCTCGATTTATTTTCACAGCCTGAGTTCTTTGCTCTCTAAGCCGTCACACATTCTGGGAGTTCTCTTCTCCCTCTTTCTGGGGATTTCCTTTACCTGTGCTGAACCTGAATCCCATACCTTTCTCTTTTTTGGTTTACTCTCCCATTTTGGAGGAGCACCTTCACCAGTGGCTTCCTTAGAAAGGGTATTTTAGAGTGAATTTTAGAAGATCTTATATATGTCTAAATGTCTCAGTTCTACCCTCACAGTGGAGGGATAGTTGATCTGGGTATAGCATTCTAGATTGGAAACCTTTTTCTTCCAGAATTTTGATGATATTGTCTTCTAGGTCTAGACTTTGTTAAGAAGTTTGATGCCCTTATCATTCCTAATCCTTTGTTTTCTCTCTCTAGAACTTTTGGAATATTTTCCTTATTACCAGTATTCTGGACTTTCATTATGATGTCTCTTGATACACGTGGTTTTTTACTCATTGTGCAGATTTCTTTTAATCTAGAGCCTCTTTTAATCTAGTCCTTCAATTCTAGGAATGTTCTTGTGCTATTTTTTAAATAATTTCCAGATATCTCATTTCCTTAGTTTCTCTTTCTCCTATAATTCAGCTGTTGTATGTTCTAGATTGATTCTCTAGCTTTGTTATCTGTTTTGTTCTATTTACCATCTCTTTTGTTCTGCCTCCTGGGAAATTTTCTCATCTTTAAATCCCCATCTTTTAGTTAATGGTTTCTTTCCACTGACATATTATTTCATTTCTAAGGATTCGTTCTAATTTTCTAAATGTGCCTTTTTATAGAGTATTGTTCTTGTTTCATTGATGCAGTATCAACTCCTTTCCCTCCTTTGGGATTATTTTTAGATGTTTCTTCTGTTCTCTATAGTGGGTCTATTTCATCCAAGTTCTTTTTTACCGTTTGTCTGTTTTGGTCTCTGCTTTTTGTGTTAGAGACTTTCCTACGATATCTGATAATACTTGGCTGTCCATTCATATTTAAGGCCGGGCGCAGTGGCTCACATCTGTAATCCCAGCACTTTGGGAGGCCGAGGCAGGCAGATCACCTGAGGCCAGGAGTTTGAGACCAGCCTGGCCAACATGGTGAAACCCCGTCTCTACTAAAAATACAAAAATTAGGCAGGCATGGTGGTGTACGCCTGTAATCCCAGCTACTTGGGAGGCTGAGGCATAAGAATCGCTTGAACCTGGGAGGTGGAGGTTGTAGTAAGCCGAGATCAGGCCACTGCACTACAGCCTGTGGGGTGCAGAGTGAGTCTCTGTCTCAAGGAAAAAAAAAAAAGAGTGGAGCACTAAAATACTGATTGGAAGTTCTGTGTGGATAGCTAAAATTTGTCAAATGATAGGTTTGAAAATAGGGTTATCGACAAGGTGACCTAGATGTGCCACTGGGGGCCTCCCAACTGTCAGGATGTAAAAGCATTTTATTTGGGGGCAGCCAGTTTCCCCTGAGAGGACTCCTGCAGATTCCAGCTCAGGGACCCCAGCATTCTGGTCAACAAGCTGAGAAAAGGGCCTGGTGGAGGGAGATGCAGCTCACTGTTTGGCAGGTAGACTTTCACTTAATCCTTCTGTTTTTGGTACAGTGAGTCCTCACTTAAAATCATCCATAGGTTCTTGGAAAGTATGACTTTAAGAGAAATAACATAGAATGAAACCAATTTGGCCATAGAGCTAATTGATATAGACAAGAGTGAAGTTTCTACAGCAATTACTGATCACAGAAACATCACCAAACCTCTAAATAAAGACCCCAAACACTTCTAATATTAAATATTGAAATACATGTGAACTATGCCTACATGTAAGAAAGGTTAATAAAAACGAATAAGATTATTTACCCAATTATTCCAGTTTGGGGTCACGGGTGGCCACAGCCTGTTGCAGCAGTTCAGGATGCAAGGCATGAACCAGTGCTGGACAGGACACCATCCTGTTTCAGGACGCACTCACACACTCATACTCACTCACACTGGGACCGTGGAGACATACCAGGTCGCCTAGCAGGCACAGCTTGGGATGTGGGAGGAAACCAGAGGACCTGGAGAAAACCACTGAAGACATGGGAAGAATGTGCAGACTTCACCCAGAGAGTGGCCCCGGACACGGGGCAATATTTTTTCTCGTCAACGTCATAATGAAACGACGATGTTATTCATGGACCTGCTGCACTGGCCTTCGCCCCCTCTATCAAGTGTGCCGCGGGGCCTCAAGTCCAGGGTTTCTTGTTAAGCTCATGCCTTCTGCCAGGGTGGGCCAGAGGGAGTTGCCTGGGTGCACAGAGATTCTAGGATTCTGCAGTCTCCCTCACAGGCTTCTGGTCTGCCATCCCCGTGCCAGCCCTTCCCTCATCCCTATCTTGATTCCCCCAATTTTTAAAACTTCCCCTGGTTCTGTGATGAGAACCTGCTTGCTTTATGTTGGCTCCCATCATTGCAAACTCAAGTTATCACTTGCATCTCCACTCCATCTTCCAAAGTGTGTTGACACCTGTCATCTGCTGTCATCTTCTCTCCCTTTTTTGTCCTTGGTTATGTGTACCATTTTATCCCTTTGCTGTCATACGACTGGGGTTGAGATGGGAGAGGAAATATATGCATGCATTTATTGCTTCAGACTTAACCAGTCAGGATGATACTTTGTTCAATTCAGCCTATGTCTGTTGAGCACCTACCATGAGTCCCGTTCCTCTTAAATCATGGAGATTTTTAATCCTGGCCTTTTTTCTTGTCATTGAGAAACTTCAAGTTCAGAAAAAGGATTCCTCCCAGAGTAAGTCACACACACACACCCCTCAAAGGCAGAATTCAGCACACTATAACCTAGTTTATTTTTTTACTTGTCAGCGTCCTCAGCCACTGCTCCTCGGGAGCAGAACTGTGCCTTTGTCACATCTGTGTCCCCAGCACCTAGCACAGTATCTTACACATAGTACACAACCAGTAAATGTGTTAAAGGAATAAGTGAGAGAGTGAATAAAATGCAAGCTTATGTGTGTGCAGGACACACAACATAATGAATTTTGAAGGAGCAGGTATTGAGTATCCATCCTCACCACTGCTCTTAGTGCAGACTCTGGAAGATGCCATAGAACATGCTGGAAGAGGCCACACAGACCATTATATAGGAGAGGAAACTGAGATCTTGGGTGCTTCAGAAACTCCCCATTTCACACATGGAATTAGTAGCAAAGTCTAGAATTTAAGGGTCTTAGGACTCAGTCCTGTGTCCACTCTACTTTCCTAGTTAGAATCCTAAGCAATTGTATTTCGCTAACAATTCAGGGAAAAGGGCAAAAAGAAAGCTGGAGGGTTTTACAACCAAGTAGAGCAGTTGAGCACCATTTCCTACATCAAATTGCTTCTTCCCCAAAAAGCAGGCCTCTTAAATGCCAGGAGTTACATTTGCTGATATTCTAAGCAAAAGACCAGTATTGGGATTTGTCTGAACCAGGTATTTGGGGCGATTGAGAAATTTTCTTCATCGCAAATTTTACCCAGTTACTCTGATCATAATGACATGGTCTGGATGAAGTCTTGAATGAATTTGGGACTTGTGGAGAATGAGGGAATGGAGAGCTAGCAAAAACCTAGGATATATGGATCAGTATGAAAACCAGAAATAAAATGAGCTAAGCAGTGAGCTGTGTGCCTGGAACAGAGATGAAGCAGGAAGCATGGCCCCTTCCTTGAGTTAAGGAACCCACAGGAAGGTATTTGAGCAGAGGCGAGACAGTCAAAAGGGCATTGAAACAGAGACAAGCTGCCCGATGAAGCAACACCATCCAGTGCAGCTGGACTGTGGACACCTGTGTCCTTAGGTTTTCATACATTGTGAGAGCTTCGTTTACAAAGTGCATGGGATAAGAGGAGGGGCACCCCAAAAGAAGGAAAGCAGGAAAAGGCAGGGACCCCAGAGGCTCAGTCTCTGCAGAGGGTATTACTGCCTCACAGATGTTGGCCAAAGAAAGTTACTCACAGAAGTGGAAGGTGATGGGATGGGCTTTGGGGATGGAGGAGAAGCTGGATGGGAGGGGCTTATGCCCATGTTCATTGAGTCAACGCTGTGGTGCTGTAGGTACCACGCTGAGCACCAGGAACTCAGTGGAGAAAAAGACAGAAGTAGTCCTTGCCTTCTTAGAATGCATAATCCAGTGACTCCCATGGGAACCCTGGTGTTCCCAAGGAACTTCTTAAAAGAAGGAAAATATAGTGGGTTACGTGAAATAATTATGGTAGGCTAAAGAAACATTGTAGTATGTGGTTATGTCTGGAAGAAACTCAGGCGTCAATAATGGAACCAGAAGCTAGTTGAGGAAGCCTCTGTGAGGTGCCTTCTGAGCCCCAGAGGGGCACGGCCCGTCTAGATGGGGCAGGAGTCACACCGAGGATGTGCCCCTGTGATGCCAGCAGCGCGGATTCACCCCACACCTATCTGCAGCCTCACTCCTCCTCCCGCTTTCAGATCTCATTCGTCGGTTCGGATCCAAGCCAGTTCTGTGGTCAGCAAGGCTCCCCTCTGGGCAGGCCCCCTGGTCAGAGGGAGTTTGTATCCTCAGGGAGGAGTTTGCGGCTGACCTTCCGCACACAGCCTTCCTCGGAGAACAAGACTGCCCACCTCCACAAGGGCTTCCTGGCCCTCTACCAAACCGTGGGTGAGTGTCCCTCCTGGGGGTGCAGGGAGGGAGCCTCTGTTCCCAGCCATGACCCTGGTATCTTCAAGCCTTAAGTGGAAGCTTGAGTGACAGCTGAGGCTGGGGACTCAGGGACACCTGGGCTGGATCCCAGCCCTGCCCCTGCTGGCAAGCAACCCTATTAAGAGACAGCCGTAGCTGAGCCCCCAGCGGTTGTTTCCATGCAGATTTACAGGCCCAGTGTTTGCAGATCATCTCATTTTTAAAGAGATGCCAAAAATCCAGATTTTTAAGTAAAATTATAAATTTTCAAATGATGACTCAGATTTGTTTTTGAAAGATAAATACTGGCTGGAGGCAGTGGTTCATGCCTGTAATCCCAGCACTTTGGAAGGCCAAGGCTGGAAGATTGCTTGAGGCCAGTAGTTGGAGACCAGCCTGGGCAACATAGTGAGACCCCGTTTCCACAAAAAAAATTAAAAATTAGCCAGGCATGGTGGTGCACACCTGTAGTACCAGCTACTCAGGGACTGAGGGGGAGGATTGCTTGAGCCAGGGAGTTTGAGGCTGCAGTCAGCCACAATCATGCCACCGCACTCCAGCCTGGGAGACACGGAGAAACTAGAAGAGAGAAAGAGAGGAAGAGAGGAAGGAAGGAAGGAGGAAAAGGGAGAGGGAAGGGAAGGGAGGGAAGAAAGCGAGAAAGGAGAAAGAGGGAAAGAAAGAAGGGAGGGAGGGAGAGAGGGAAAGTAAGAAGGGAAGGAAGGAAGGAGGGAGGGAGGGAGGGAAGAAGGAGGGAGGGAGGGAGGGAAGGAAGGAGGGAAGGAGGGAAGGAAGGAAGGAAAGGAAGGAAGGGTGCACATGATAAAATATCATTTTTTTAAGTATGCTAAAAAGTAAGTCTTCCTCTGATCTCTGGCTCTTAACTCCTGGCTGCCCTCCCCAGAAACAACTGTGTTCTCCATTTCCTGGATATTCTTCCCGGGAAGAGGATAAATTGTGTGTGTCTATATTGCAAGTGTTCTAAACGTGGTATTTTTCTACTGAATAATATATCTTAAAGATCATCCCATTCCATATGGACAGCACTAACTCATTTATTTTTTATTTTTTATTTTATTTATTGTTTTTTGAGACAGAGTCTCGCTCTATTGCCCAGGCTGGAGTGCAGTGGCGCAGTCTCTTCTCATTGCAACCTCTGCCTCCTGGGTTCAAGCGATTCTCCTGCCTCAGCCTCCTGAGTAGCTGGGATTATAGGTATGCCACCACACCCAGCTAATTTTTGCATTTTTAATAATGGTTTCACCTTGTTGGCCAGGCTGGTCTCAAACTCCTGACCTCAGGTGATCTGCCTGCCTCAGGCTCCCAAAGTGCTAGGATTACAGCCGTGAGCCACCGCACCTGGCGAACTCATTATTTTTAATGACCACATAAAATCTCCTTGATTGATGTGTCATAATGTATTTCATCAGCCCTCCTGATAGATACTTTGCTGCCACACATGGTGCTACTGTGCATATCCTTGCATTTACATCTTTGAGCACATGTGTGAGAATATCTTTAGACTAAATTTTTAGAAATGGAGTAGGTTAAAAAATATTTGCATTTTAAATTTTGATATTGCTAAAATTTTCTCCAAAACGGTTTTGCTAATTTACATACCTATCAAACATATATGGAAGTGCCTGTTCCCCCCTACCCTGCTTGTCACAGTTATCTTCAAACTCTTTGAGTGTTGTCAATCTGATCAGTGAAAACGAACTCAAATGTTTTAAAAAAACTAAAAATAAAAAATAAAACACTGTGCAAGTCAAACCAAGTATAGCCATGGGCCAGAATCAGCCCCTGGGTTGCCAGTTGGCAAGTCTGTGCTAGGTGCTGTTTTCCTATAGCTGTGAACTATAGTCAGCCCATCAGCGAGGCCAGCAGGGGCTCTGAGGCCATCAACGCACCTGGAGACAACCCTGCCAAGGTCCAGAACCACTGCCAGGAGCCCTATTATCAGGCCGCGGCAGCAGGTGAGTCCCCACCTGCCGAGGGGTGGCTTCCATCCACCTCATTCCCACCCAAATGCCTGACACCCTCTGAGCACCTGCTTCGTTAACCAACAGCTTCAACTCCGAGCCTATTTCTTTGCCTCTCCTCATTTACGCCACAGGGGCACTCACCTGTGCAACCCCAGGGACCTGGAAAGACAGACAGGATGGGGAGGAGGTTCTTCAGTGTATGCCTGGTGAGTAGCCACCTGCTAGCACCATTCCCCCAACAAGCCTCAGCTGCAACTGGGACCTACAGGACACAGGGGTTAAAGGAAAGCCTTAGAATAGAAAGGAAGATAAGAAGCAGAAGGTGAGGAAGAACAGGGCAATCAAGAAGGCCCAGAAAAGAACAGGCAGGGAGCTTGTTCCTCATTCTTCAGGGGTCAAGATATATCTGAGGAAAAGCATGAAGGACGTTCATGAGATGGACTAGAAAAGGAGGAAGAGAGACCAACAAGCTGAAGTAACAGAAAACCCTCTTTTTGTGCCATACATTTTAAGGATATACCGACAGGCTCTCTATTCCTAAAATATCTCCCTACCTAGATGCCACACAGTGCCAGACAGTCAACCATTTTAAAAAAAATTATTGAGATAAAATTCATGGCTGGGCGCAGTGGCTCACTTTTTTTTTTTTTTTTTTTTTTTTTTTTTGGGATGGAGTTTCTCTCTTGTCGCCCAGACTGAAGTGCAACGGCACAATCTTGGTTCACTGCAACCTCCATCTCCTGGGTTCAAGCGATTCTCCTGCCTCAGCCTCCTGAGTAGCTGGGATTACAGGCACCTGCCACTATGCCCAGCTCATTTTTTTATTTTATTTTATTTTTTTTTTTTTTTTGTATTTTTAGTAGAGACAGGGTTTCACCACGTTGGTCAGGCTGGTCTTGAACTCCTGACCTCAGGTGATCGTCCCGCCTCAGCCTCCCAAAGTGCTGGGATTACAGGCTTGGGCCACTGCGCCCAGCCTTAACCACTTTAAACAGTACAATCCAGTAATGTTTAGTGTGTTCACAATGTTGTGAAACCATTACCACTAATTCCAGAACATTTCCATTACCTTCCCCAAAACAGCCCAGTACCTCCAACTCTCCCCTGACAACCACTAATCTTCTATCTCTATGGATTTGCCTTTATGGATTTTATATCAGTGGAATCATATAATGTGTGGCCATTTCTGTCTGGCTTCTTTCAGTTAGCGTAATGTTTTCAAGGTTCATTCCTGTTATAGCATCCATCAGTATTTCATTTTTATGGCTAAATAATACTCCTTTCTATGGATACGCCATTTTGTTTATTCATTCAACTGATGGACATTTGGGTTGTCTCTATTTCTTGCCTATTATGAATGATGCTGCTATGAGCATTTGTGTACAAGTTTTTATATCAACGTACGTTTCTAAATCTCCTGGGTATATACCTAGCAGTAGACTTGCTGGATTGTATAATAATTCTGTTTAACTTTTTGAGGAACCACCAAACTGTCTTCAACAGCAGCAGCACCAAGTTACATCTCACCGGCAATACATGAGGGTTCAAGCCCACCATTTTTGAGATCCACGCTTTTGAATGAAAGCATTGCCTTCTTTTGTTTTGTTTGTTTGTTTGTTTTGAGACAGAGTCTCGCTCTGTCGCCCAGGCTGGAGTGCAGTGGCGCGATCTCGGTTCACTGCAAGCTCCGCCTCCCGGGTTCAAGCCATTCTCCTGCCTCAGCCTCCCGAATAGCTGGGACTACAGGCGCCCGCCACCACGGCCGGCTAATTTTTTTTTGTATTTTTTAGTAGAGACGGGGTTTCACCGGGTTAGCCAGGATGGTCTCGATCTCCTGACCTCGTGATCCGCCCATCTCGGCCTCCCAGAGTGCTGGGATTACAGGCGTGAGCCACCGCGCCCGGCCGAAAGCATTGCCTTCTTAACCCAATCTGATCCACGGAAAACTCTAAGGGTAGCCTGAACACTCGCAGTGCTTTGGGGATGGTTTGGAGGGCAGGTGGTAGTGGGAGATGTTACAAATGAGGAAGTGACACAAAACTGAGGCAGGAGGCACTGAAACAGACTCTGCCTGTAGTATGGGGGCCCAGGATGGTCCAAACGAATGGCTTTAATGCCTCTGAGGAGGCAGGAAGGAGAGCCCTGCAGAACCAGCCCCAAACATGTGCTCATCTGTGCTCCCTACCCTCAGTCCACTGTCCTGAGTCCCATGCAGGATGGGTGCCCCGTACACTTGGCATTGATTACCTGTCCTTGTCTGCCCACATGGTCTACACCGTGGGTCTGCATCAGTATAAGAGTCCTGATCCCGGCCAGGCGCGGTGCCTCACGCCTGTAATCCCAGCACTTTGGGAGGCAGAGGCGGGTGGAACACTGAGGTCAGGAGTTTCAGACCAGCCTGGCCCACATGATGAAACCCCGTCTCTACTAAAAAATACACAAAAATTAGCCGGGCGTAGTGGTCGGTGCCTGTAATCCCAGCTACTCGGGAGGCTGAGGCAGAATTGCTTGAGCGCAGGAGGCGGAGGTTGCAGTGAGCCGAGATCGCGCAAGTACGCTCCAGTCTGGGCAACAAGAGCGAAACTCGATATCAAAAAAAAAAAAAAAACGTCCTGATCCCAGAGTCTCTTCACGCGTCCCCTACCACAGCACTTCAGAGAAGCAGGTCTTTAATCAGTGTGTCTAGATGCAGCTGCTGACTGTCACCCCTACCCCGCCTCTCTCCCAGTCTGCGGACGGCCAGTCACCCCCATTGCCCAGAATCAGACGACCCTCGGTTCTTCCAGAGCCAAGCTGGGCAACTTCCCCTGGCAAGCCTTCACCAGTATCCACGGCCGTGGGGGCGGGGCCCTGCTGGGGGACAGATGGATCCTCACTGCTGCCCACACCATCTACCCCAAGGACAGTGTTTCTCTCAGGAAGAACCAGAGTGTGAATGTGTTCTTGGGCCACACAGCCATAGATGAGATGCTGAAACTGGGGAACCACCCTGTCCACCGTGTCGTTGTGCACCCCGACTACCGTCAGAATGAGTCCCATAACTTTAGCGGGGACATCGCCCTCCTGGAGCTGCAGCACAGCATCCCCCTGGGCCCCAACGTCCTCCCGGTCTGTCTGCCCGATAATGAGACCCTCTACCGCAGCGGCTTGTTGGGCTACGTCAGTGGGTTTGGCATGGAGATGGGCTGGCTAACTACTGAGCTGAAGTACTCGAGGCTGCCTGTAGCTCCCAGGGAGGCCTGCAACGCCTGGCTCCAAAAGAGACAGAGACCCGAGGTGTTTTCTGACAATATGTTCTGTGTTGGGGATGAGACGCAAAGGCACAGTGTCTGCCAGGGGGACAGTGGCAGCGTCTATGTGGTATGGGACAATCATGCCCATCACTGGGTGGCCACGGGCATTGTGTCCTGGGGCATAGGGTGTGGCGAAGGGTATGACTTCTACACCAAGGTGCTCAGCTATGTGGACTGGATCAAGGGAGTGATGAATGGCAAGAATTGACCCTGGGGGCTTGAACAGGGACTGACCAGCACAGTGGAGGCCCCAGGCAACAGAGGGCCTGGAGTGAGGACTGAACACTGGGGTAGGGGTTGGGGGTGGGGGGTTGGGGGAGGCAGGGAAATCCTATTCACATCACTGTTGCACCAAGCCACTGCAAGAGAAACCCCCACCCGGCAAGCCCGCCCCATCCCAGACAGGAAGCAGAGTCCCACAGACCGCTCCTCCTCACCCTCTACCTCCCTGTGCTCATGCACTAGGCCCCGGGAAGCCTGTACATCTCAACAACTTTCGCCTTGAATGTCCTTAGAACCGCCTTCCCCTACTTCATCTGTTGACACAGCTTTTATACTCACCTGTGGAAGAGTCAGCTACTCACCCGCTATTAGAGTATGGAGGAAGGGGTTTTCATTGCATTGCATTTCTGAAACATTCCTAAGACCCTTTAGTTGACCTTCAAATATTCAAGCTATTCTGCAGCTCCAAGATGCAATTATAGAAACAGCTCCTTTTTTATTTTATGTCCTCTATATGCCAGGTGCTTCACCTGTTATTTCACTTAATCCTCATACCATATTTGCAAAGGATGTGTTATTATCTATGTGTGACAAATGAGGAAACTGAGGCTCAGGGGATAAAGGGACTTGCCCAAGTCCCACAGCTGGTGTGTGACTGCAGAGACTGTGCTCTTCCCAGTGTGCTGCAATACTTCTCAACCCTCCTCTAACCTGCTGTGTCACCCGCTTTCCCTCCCAGCCCCCACATCCTTACCATTTTCCCTCCCTGGGAATTCCTGCTTCTGCGAAAATGGTATCCTCTAGCTCACACTTTCCTAATGGCCCCATCTCCTGCAGAAGCCAGGTGAGCCCAGCACTGGACTGAAGTTCTTGCAGACACCCCACCTGTGCCCCTATCATCAGGGGAACTGCTCCACCTGAGAGGACCAACTCTTTAATTTTTAGTAAAACCTGGAGGTGATGGGCCGGGCGCAGTGGCTCACGCCTGTAATCCCAACACCTTAGGAGTCCGAGGTGGGTGGATCACGAGGTCAGGAGATCCAGCCCATCCTGGCCAACATGGTGAAACCCCATCTCTACTAAAAATACAAAAATTAGCCGGGCGTGGTGACACGTGCCTGTAGTCCCAGCTACTCGGGAGGCTGAGGCAGGAGAATCACTTGAACCTGGGAGGCGGAGGTTGCAGTGAGCTAAGATCACGCCACTGCACTCCAGCCTGCGGACAGACCAAGACTTCATCCCCCCCAAAAAAAAAAGATTGGAGGTGATTTACAGTGAAAGACACAAATAAAATACAACTGTTCAATGGAAATAGAAAATAAACACCATAAAAGAGAGAAGAGAGGTAATTTGTTAGCATCAAGAGTCAAGTTGCTATATGGTCAAAGGTTAAATTTATCTCTAAAAAATGGCAGGATTCAAAGTTGTACATACATGTGATTACTTCTGTTTTTTACACCCACATACAGTACAAAAGATTATTAAAAATATTCCCAAAAGGCAGGTGCAATGATGCACACTTATACCCCCAGCCACTCAGGAGGCTGATGCAAGAGGATCGCTTGAGCCCAGGAGTTGAAGTCCAGCCTAAGCAACATAGTGAAACCCCATCGCCAAAAATATAATAATAATTCTCTCAAAATACTAAACAGAGGTGGTTTTATTGATAAGATTTTGGCTGTTTGGTTTTCCACTATTCTCTATTGGCTAAAATTTGTTTAATGAGCATGAAATGTTTTTATTTTATTTTGCTTATTTTTATGATTGCAAAAAATGATATGAGTTTCTCCCTGCCAAGGCAAAAAAATATATATATACCTATATTTATATGTGTATGTCTAGATCTATATCTCTACATCTCCATCGCTGTCTCTGTCTAGAGATAGAGATATCGACAATGAGAGAGAGAGGGAGGTAAGAGATAGAGATGATGGAGATAGATGAGCTAGCGATAGAGACATATCCACAGAGGAAAACCTACCACTACTTTAAGAGAGAAATCTTTTTCCCAAGAATCAAATCCTTAAAGGAACAAACACTGTAACCGACTATATCCTCAATAATTGTTTTAAAACAAACGCAGCAGCATTTCATATGGCATTTTTTTCCTTCTTGGTATGAGTCAAGGACAAAACAAAGTCAAGGACATAACAAAAATGTGTGAGTAAAGGTTATTTTGAATGGTTGGGCAGAGTGGAGACAGGGCTGGGACTGAGCTAATGACATCCAGGTTTGCCGCTCTCCAAGCGTGTTGCACAATGCCAACGCAGAACTGAGAATCCCTAGGATGGACGGAAGAGCTTCAGCTAAGACTTACCTCCTTACCTGTTCCCTCTGCCTCCATTATGAACATACGGCACATGCGCGCGTGCACACACACACACACACACAAACTGCTGCTAGGATATTAATGTGCAGTTTGTTAGACGAGATTCCCCTTCCTTCTCGTCCTCTGATCTGGTGCTTTTCCTTCTCCCCCATCTTTTGTCTTTCCTGATCTAACAAGGCTGTGGATCATATGCTGATCCCATCACAGACCAGCCCTCCGTTAGGTTCAGTCCTCAGCTCTGACACACAGGCCTGCTGGAGAAACCCTCCAAGCGTTGGTGGATCTTGCACCTTCTGTGTGCCTGCTGTCTAACTACTGATGATGTGGTCACTGCCTGATGGGGAACTGCATCAGCTCTGTGAATTCTTGCAATCTATTGCCTGGGAAAGTGTCTTGCACATTAAACAGGTAGCCCATAAATGGATGAACGGGGGTGGGGGCAGAAGGGTGGAGGTTGGAGGGATTCATCTAATAAGGGAAACAAGCAGAACAGCCTACAAAGGCTTAAGAACGCAGAGTCCTGCTCTGCAGCCCAAGCCCCTCCGTGGGATGAAGTGCCATCAGATATTTGGTGCCATGGAGAGTTGATGAAGAAAGCCTTCCAAAAACAATGAAATTGTTTTTTAATTTATTTTAACTTTTAGAGACGAGATCTCACTATGTTGCCCAGGCTGGTTTCGAACTCCTGGGCTCAAGAGATCTTCCCACCCTGGCCTCGAAAAGTGCTGGCATCACAGGCATGAGCCACCACACGTGGCCAAGAGCAAAAGTTTTAAAGCAGGACACTATGGCCTGATGGACAGGAGAGACTAGGGTCCCTCCTCCCTCCCAGGGGCCTGGCTTCATCTCAGAAAAACCGAGTCCCTCTTGCTCCACACCCGCATCCTTAGCTTCAGCCCTGGCAGTTGTGTTGAGCAGATGCTAAGGAGATGGGGACATTTTACCCCCTCCGCAGCCGCCCCAGAGGGTCTCAAACCCAGGGCTGATTTAGGGTTGCCCTGACATGGCCAACCCTATTCTATGTCCAAGTGTCATTCATGGCTAAAGCAGGCCAGGGCCCCAAGGCAACCAAGCTCCTCTCTCCTCTGCCCGCTCCCACACACCCTCCTCTGCCCCAGTGTTCCTATCATTACGTCCTGGGCATTGAAACCCGGGCCATTCTTGGACCAGGGCTGTGGGCTGAATGAGGGCAGGAAGAACAGGGTCAATGGGAAAGGACAGCCCAGAAAAGAGAATTCACCACCACCTGTGGTCTCCCACTGCTTTGGTAGGAACCTTGTAAACACAGCAGCAGCCCCCAGGAAAGTCTTGGAAGAAGGGAGAAGCTGATCAGATTTAGAGACTGAGACATCTGGGCCTCCAACCCAAGGCTCCCCGGGCCCTAAAAAGCCAGACTCCCGTCTCCTTAGCCCTTTCCCTCACCGACCAGCAGGTGGCACCACAAACAGGGATTTCAAAACCAAAACTAAATTAAAGTGGAAACTCAGATCTTTTGTTTATGCAAATAGTTCATTCCCTCCAACATTCCTCCGGGAATGGTCCCCCCTCCACTCCACAGAAAACCCTCCCCTCCCTGCTGTGCATGACGCGGGCTCCCTCTGCACACAGTGCACGAAGACGCTGTCGGGAGAGCCCAGGATTCAACACGGGCCTTGAGAAATGTGAGTAAGGGTGATGGGCAACCAGGTGGGAGGGAGAAGCCAGGGGAGAAGCCAGGGCATGGGAGGCAATTCAGGGAGACAGGAACACCCTTCTCTCTTCACACACCTCATCAGTTCCACTGTGCACACGCGTGGACACACACAACACACGCCCCATCCCTCCTCCTAGGGATCAGAGGAGACTTCATACATAGATGCTCATGCCATGGTCCTTTCTTCCCTCTGGGCTCTTGGCAGGGAGCAGCGAGAGGAGGGGACCCCTTGCCCAGGACGGGACACTCTGTGCCTGTGTCCCCCACTCCACAGATGGTTTCTCCCAGACGCTCTTGCTGAACCTGTGGGAGCCCTTTCAGAGACCCACGGGTGGAAACCCTCACCCTCCATTAACTGGTCCCAAGCCAGTCCTATTCCTGGAAGGGGAGGGGAGGGACGCGTCCGGGCAGGGGAGGAGGCTGGAAAGGGAGTGTGAGGGGAGTGTGGTGGCCTCTGGACTGGACACTGCCCTGGAGAGTGACCCGATGCAGCAGCTGCACAGGCCATCCTCCCCACCCACGCACCCCTGCTGAGAACATGTCTGTGAGGTTCAGGGTGGGCAGAGAGGAGAATGCCCAGTGGTATGGCCGTCTCATCCCCTGCCACAGCCACTGCCCACATGGCAAGAGTGCTGAACCCCTCCAGCTCCAGATACTCTCTTTTGTTTTGGCAGGTGGCTCTTGTACCTCCTGGTGCCGGCCCTGTTCTGCAGGGCAGGAGGCTCCATTCCCATCCCTCAGAAGTTATTTGGGGAGGTGACTTCCCCTCTGTTCCCCAAGCCTTACCCCAACAACTTTGAAACAACCACTGTGATCACAGTCCCCACGGGATACAGGGTGAAGCTCGTCTTCCAGCAGTTTGACCTGGAGCCTTCTGAAGGCTGCTTCTATGATTATGTCAAGGTAGGGGCAGGATGGGCGGGCAGAGGGGAGACAAAACTGGGCCCTCTGGGATCTGGGATCTGTATGGCATGCACACCCCCAGACACAGCCCAGCCCCACAAGAGCTGATGGCCAACGGCCTCTCTGAGAGCCCGGGGATGCCCTGGATGGGCGCTCACTGGTGTAGAGGCCCTCGGTGAGCACTGAGGGGAGAAGCACAGAGAAGGAAGGGGACAGGACCCACTCAGGAAATTCAACATCCACTGAGTCAGGAAAACCTTCCCCATCTGCTGTCTAGCTGAGAGTCTTTGGGAAACCACTGTGCCTCAGCTTCCCTGTCTCCAAGGAAATGATTGACATGGCTGCCTGCTTCAACAGGAACACAGGGACATGAGGAGGAGAAATGTGGGCTCTGGCAGCACAGGAATAGCCTTCAGCAAGGACAGTGTGCTCAGAACCCTCACCTCTGTGGCAACCAAGGGTACCTTCCCAGGCCTGTCTTTCTCTATCCAGTAAAAATGAGATTCAGGGCTCAAGCAGAGCCTGCGAAGGTCCAAC
The DNA here is from genome assembly GCF_000001405.40 of Homo sapiens. Taxonomy (NCBI): domain Eukaryota; kingdom Metazoa; phylum Chordata; class Mammalia; order Primates; family Hominidae; genus Homo; species Homo sapiens. Next base: position 7,090,914 of record NC_000012.12, on the reverse strand, counting down.
AACTACCATTCCCAGGAGACCCCTGGAGATTATGCGTGAATTACATGACAATGGCACGTCTTACCGGCTCAGAAGACTTGGCGAGTGTGCAGTGTTGGGGGAGGGCGTTTGCTGGCAGAGTCAAGGAGAGGTTGAGGAGGCTGTGAGGAGGAAGGAAGAGGGACGAGGCAGTGCCTGCTGACACTGAGATGGGTGGGCTTCAGGGCTCATGTTCCGCCGAGGGCATCAGGAGGCACTCGAGGTGTGAATGGTTTGATTAGGCTGAGGTGGAATCTGAAGACAGAAAATAAAGCGGAGCTGTCTGAGCTCTGGGAATGAGGGGCAGGTAAAGGCTGGGTACAGACAACCAGGACCCCAGGGGAACAGGCCATAGGAGGTGGTGGGGATGGAGAAGGACCTGAAACCTGCCAGAGGAGCAGAAAACAGGGAAAGGGTGAGGTACCCAGTCCAGGACAACACGCAAAGAGTGAGTCAGTGGGAGACTCAGGGAACAGCTGAAAGTCACATGGGGAAGTTTGCAGCAGCTGAGCCCAGCAGGTAGTGACCAGCCAGAGCCATTGTGGTGCATGATGCACTCTGGGCGAGACAAGGAGGACCATCACTGAGCCACCACGTGCGCCACTCCGCAACAGATCTTCTTCCTACCCCCTGTCCTTCTTCCACCAGATCTCTGCTGATAAGAAAAGCCTGGGGAGGTTCTGTGGGCAACTGGGTTCTCCACTGGGCAACCCCCCGGGAAAGAAGGAATTTATGTCCCAAGGGAACAAGATGCTGCTGACCTTCCACACAGACTTCTCCAACGAGGAGAATGGGACCATCATGTTCTACAAGGGCTTCCTGGCCTACTACCAAGCTGTGGGTGAGTAGCCCCCCAGGGATCCCTTTTCTCTGACCTCAGCCATATTGAATGGGGGGCCAAGAAAGGGAATCTTGAATGCAAAGAAGCCGAAAGCCTGGCTTTCCTTGTTCCTCCCCTCGAGAGAGCTTTTCCTAACGAGGCCTGTCAACCTGGGCTCTGTCCCCATGGAGCAGTCCCCAGAGAGCATTGGAGAGGCCTGGAGGTCCAGGTGGCCTAAAGATGCCTTTGTCTTTAGGTCTCTGGTGAGTGACCTCCCTAAGATCAGAGCCACTACTCAGGTCTCCCAGCAGAAGCTTAACCCTCCTTCCTGAATGCCTTCCAGACCTTGATGAATGTGCTTCCCGGAGCAAATCAGGGGAGGAGGATCCCCAGCCCCAGTGCCAGCACCTGTGTCACAACTACGTTGGAGGCTACTTCTGTTCCTGCCGTCCAGGCTATGAGCTTCAGGAAGACAGGCATTCCTGCCAGGGTGAGCCAGAGTGGTGTAGCAGAGGGGAAGGGGTTGAGCCAGGGCTTGCTGGGCCAGCTGGAGTCCCCCGTAATGCCCTGTGGCTCTGCTCTCACAGCTGAGTGCAGCAGCGAGCTGTACACGGAGGCATCAGGCTACATCTCCAGCCTGGAGTACCCTCGGTCCTACCCCCCTGACCTGCGCTGCAACTACAGCATCCGGGTGGAGCGGGGCCTCACCCTGCACCTCAAGTTCCTGGAGCCTTTTGATATTGATGACCACCAGCAAGTACACTGCCCCTATGACCAGCTACAGGTACAGCCGTCCTACCCCTGAAAGACCCCTTCCTCCCCTTCTGTCTGCACTTGGCTCCTCTTGTCCCAACTTCCTCCTGGATCCCCTGGCCAGCTGGGGCAGGAACGGCCAACATCACCCATGGGCTGGGTAAGTTCCCACACAACTAGAATTGGGTCATGGGGATCCCTTTTCACCTTCCCCTGAAAACACACATAAGGCAGGATTTCATCACCACCACCACCACCCTGGCCACCAGGCTACTACCCAGTTGGCCCTGTGTAAAAACGTCCAAGCTGAAAAAAAAAAACCCTCCTCCCCTACTAGATCTATGCCAACGGGAAGAACATTGGCGAGTTCTGTGGGAAGCAAAGGCCCCCCGACCTCGACACCAGCAGCAATGCTGTGGATCTGCTGTTCTTCACAGATGAGTCGGGGGACAGCCGGGGCTGGAAGCTGCGCTACACCACCGAGAGTAAGGCTCCCTGCAGGCCTCCCTCGATGGCCAGCAATGGGGAAAAGGGGGGAAGAAGGAAGGACAAGTGGCTCTGAAATAAATATGCCCCCTGGTCTCCCCAACAGTCATCAAGTGCCCCCAGCCCAAGACCCTAGACGAGTTCACCATCATCCAGAACCTGCAGCCTCAGTACCAGTTCCGTGACTACTTCATTGCTACCTGCAAGCAAGGCTACCAGCTCATAGAGGTAAGAGCCCAGGGCTGAGGGGAGAGAGCCGGCCCAGCACCCCAGGAGGAATTCAGGTGGTGGGTTCACAGAGGATTTAGTCTCACCCCAGCTGGAGTCGTAGACGTTTCAGCTGGAAGAGTCTCCTGGTCCACCAGCTCTCAAACTTGCTGCACACTTAAAACAGAGAGTTTAAAATCCTGGAAGATTGCTTGAGCCCATTCATTCAAGGCCCCTGTGAATAGCCACTGCACTCCAGCCTGAGCAATATAGCAAGACTCTGTCTCTGAAAAATAAAAATAAGCAAATAAATACTGAAGATGAGGGCCCCCAACAGAGACTCTGATTCCATTGATCTAGAGTAGAGCCTGAACATCAAGACTATTTAAAGCTACCCAGGTGATTCTAATGCACAGCCAAGTTTAAGAACTATTGCCCTAGTCCAATAACTCAAGAGAGCTGAAGGAACTGAAAAGGCAGGGTGGAGATGTAGTGACTCGTCAACATCACGTAGCGATTGTGTACGGCAGGGACTAGGACGCCAATCTCCTGCCTCCTGCTCCGGGGCTCTTTTACACATGTTGGTGGTCTCCCCCTGCGCCCACCGTCCTGTCCTCGGCTCTGCAGATTCAGGAGGGAATATGGTTTTATCCATTGATCAATCTCACAAAAGCTGGTAAACTAAAAATCTCTGTCTCTGGACAGAGACCCAAGACTGGACATCCCATCGTTGTTCAACAGGTCCACATGGAACACTTAATCAGAATCAAAGAAGAGACCTAGGATATGTCCTTAAGTCACAGTTAATTCATTTAATGCACACTTTAAGTGTCTACTGTCAGGCACTGTCCTAGATGTGGGAGGTTCAGTAAAAAGAAACCCACATAGTCACACAGCCTTTGTGGAGCTCACATTTGAATGTTGCATCAAGTCGAGTTCACCTGATGCATTGTTCTTTACTCCAAGGTGCTTCCAGCTCCATCAGGAGGATTGGGTGGGTGTCCTGGGTCCAGAAGAATGGAGACTACCAACCTCTTTGCTCCTATTACAACCCTCCCTTGCCTGCACCACCCACTGCCCTTACTTTTGCATTTGTTATTCACATCATAGAATTTAAAGCAAGTCACACGGTTTCTCACATTACCTACATTTTACTCAGACGTTCTAGTTCTCATACACATTCTCTTACAACCTTTTCCAGGGCTAACTCCATGGAATGATTTTTGGTCTTTTTGTTTTGTCTTGTTTTGTTTTTGAGAGAGAGTCTTGCTCTGTCACCCAGGCAGTGGCATGGTCTCAGCTCACTGTAAACTCCGCCTCCCAAGTTCAAGTGTTTCTCCTGGATTCAAGCTATTCAAGTGCCTCAGCCACCCGAGTTGCTGGAATTACAGGCGTGCGCCACCATGCCCAGCTAATTTTTGTATTTTTAGTAGAGACAGGGTTTCTCCATGTTGCCCAGGCTGGTCTCGAACTCCTGGCCTCAAGTGATCCGCCCACCTCAGCCCCCCAAAGTGCTGGGGTTACCGGCGTGAGCCACTGCACCTGGCCGAATTTTGGTCTTAGTAAAACTTATTCATTTGTCCAGTAACTTTTCATTTCAAAGACTGCCATTTCCTAGTCTTGTCCCTGCTCAATAGCAACAGCACTTCACATACATCAACGTCTCCAGCACCTTTCAAAGCTGCGAGGTGGCTCTAGTATTTTAGGGAAGGCCTCTGTCCTTAGGAAAACTGCAACCCAGGAGAGATAAAGTGATGCACGCCTGGAGGCAGGGGACACCAGCAAGAGAAACACAGTTCTGCCCTGGAGCACAGGCTTTTGTTTTGATACAGAAAACACTCAAACGTGGCTTGTGATTTTTTCAAATTACAAATTGTGGGATTCAACTGGACCTCAGTAGGAACAGGCCACAGTCTAGAGAGAGGATGATCAGGTCTATCAGTTAGCTCTGCTCTGACTTGCTGTGGTGTGGCTCAATGCTCCTGTCTGTAATGGGCTGGGGAGAAGGAAGAAGGAGCCACATCCATGGGGGAGCCACATCCATGGGGGAGCCACATCCATGGGGGAGCCAAGAGATGTCTTGGTATTGCCTCCCACTCCTGTGTGGAAAGGGCAGGAAGGGGACCTCCATTGCCTCTTGGCACTGATGGCACCTCTATCCTCTGCTCAACAGGGGAACCAGGTGCTGCATTCCTTCACAGCTGTCTGCCAGGATGATGGCACGTGGCATCGTGCCATGCCCAGATGCAAGAGTAAGTCACAATTCAGGGATATGACCCTGGGGACCTCCCACCTCCTGCCTTGAGGACCTGGGCCAAGAAAGAAAGAGGGGTCCAGACTAAGCCTCTTTCCAAGAGACCCTCACCCTGACTTGTCCTTTGATGCCTATGGGCCATCTCAGGAATCAGTGAGCCCTCATCTCAGTGGGATGGATGGGCTCTACCCAGAATTGAATTTCATACCACCCAACTCCTGTCCATTGCAAGGGCCCTCCCCACTGACTATCTTTTCTAAGCTTCTGAGCCTGCTCTGCAGGTAGACAACTCACACTCCCCTCACTGAAGTTCCAGCACAGTCATTCTCAGCTCTCACCCTGCCCTGTGTTCTCTCCAAGTCAAGGACTGTGGGCAGCCCCGAAACCTGCCTAATGGTGACTTCCGTTACACCACCACAATGGGAGTGAACACCTACAAGGCCCGTATCCAGTACTACTGCCATGAGCCATATTACAAGATGCAGACCAGAGCTGGCAGCAGGGAGTCTGAGCAAGGTAGGGACCAATGCGAATGGAAATTTCCTCCCTTCCATCCCCTTGGGGTATCCTCTGAGATTTCTCCCAGTAGAATCCCTAGGGAATGCATATTAAGGTATCTGCCAGGGCACTGGCTTCAGGGGCCTAAATTATAGTGCTAACAGGAACCTAGTAGGTTTGAAGAAGGAGGCATCTGAGCTGATGCAAAGAAAAGATTCAAATCGCATAAACAGCTCACTGTCACCACATCATCCCCACTACCACCATTGCCTCCACCACACCCCCATTGCTACCATCACTGCCATCACCACCACTACCAGTAACAACACCAGCAACACTACCAATAGCATCAGTGCCAGCACAATCACCACCATCACCGCCATCACCACAATCAACACTGTTACCATTACCAACACCACCATCACCACTACCATTATCACCACCATTACCAACACCACTATCACCACCACCATTACTAACACCGATGCCACCATCACCACCACCAACACCATCATCACCACCATCACCATTACCAACATCATCATCACCACCAACACTAACACCACCATCACCACCATCACCACTATCATTACCAACACCACTGTCAACACTACCATGATCACCACCACCATTACCAACACCACCATCACCACTACCATTATCACCACCAGCATTACCAACACCACTATCACCACCACCATTACTGACACCAACACCACCATCACCACCAACACCATCATCACCACCATCACCATTACTAACATCATCATCACCACCACACTAACACCACCATCACCACCATCACCACTATCATTACCAACACCACTGTCAACAATACCATGATCACCACCACCATTACCAACACCACCATCACCACCACCATCACCACCAACACCATCATCAGCACCATCACCATTACCAACATCATCATCACCACCACACTAACACCACTTCCATCATCACTATACTGTTACCAACACCACTGTCACCACTACCATGATCACTACCACCATTACCAACACCATCACCACCACTATTACCAACACCATTACCAACACCACTATCACCACTCTCATTATCACCATCATGATTACCAACACCAACACTACCATCACCACCATCACCATTACCAACACCATCACCACCACCAACACCATCGTCACCACCACACTAAAACCTCCATCACCACCATCACCACTATCACCATTACCAACACCATCACCACTAC